>NC_000011.10:93430109-94057323 GCF_000001405.40 Homo sapiens
CTATGACACTATACTCCGCTGATTCTCCTGCCACCCTCTGGCTACTGTTTCCCAGCCTGTTTCTAGGGTTCTCCCTCCTATTTCTGTCCCTTAAATATTAGTGTTATTTATTCATAAAATAAAATAAACATGTATTGAGCACCAACTATATGGCAGTTCCTGTTCTAAACATGTCTTTGAATAAGATAGACACATAAGTAGTATGGTGAAAAAAAAAGAGGAAACTTCATCAATGGATGAATGGATAATCAGATTGTGATATATACATACAATGGAATATTATTCAGCCATTAAAAGCAGCTATGCCAAAAAAGGCCAAAAATTACTACAATGTGGATGAGCCTCAAAAACATGTTAAGTGAAAGAAGCCAAACACAAAAGGCTATATTGTATAATTCCATGTATATGAAATAGCCAAATAGGTAAATGAAATCCACTGAAACAATGTAGATTGGTGGTTACCAGGGGCAGTGGGGAGGGAGAAACAAGGAGCAGTGGCTTAAGGAGTACAGAGTTTTCATTACGGATAATGAAACTATTTTGGAACTAGATAGAGATGGTGGTTGCACAACATTGTGAATGTACTAAATGCCACTGAACCACTCATTTTGAAATGGTTAATTGTATGTGAATTTTATCTCAAAAACAAACAAGAGGAGAAAAATTAATGATTGGAAATAAATGAACAAATAAGAAAATATCAAGGCCAGGCGCTGTGGCTCATGCCTATAATCCCAGCACTTTGGGAAGCCGAGGTGGTCAGATCACCTGAGGTCAGGAGTTCAAGACCAGGCTGGCCAACATGGTGAAGCCCCGTCTCTACTAAAAATACAAAAATTGGCTGGGCGTGGTGGCACATGCCTGTAGTCCCAGCTACTCCAGAAGCTGAGGCAAGAGAATCGCTTGAACCCGGGAAGCAGAGGTTGCAGTGAGCCGAGATAGGATCACTGCACTCCAGCCTGGGCAACAGAGCGAAACACTGTCTCAAAAAAAAAAAAAAAAAAAAGAAAGAAAGAAAATATCAAATAGTGATAAATGCTGTGATGAAAAGAAAAGCAGGTAATGTGATAGGGAGTGATGAAAGTATGGGGGATTACTTTAGGTTGAGTAGCCAGGAAAATTATCATTGAGAAAGGGAAATTTAAGGTGAAACCCAAACAACAGCAAATCCAGCCTTGCAAAGATCTGGTAGAAGAGAGTTTTAAGTAAGGGAACTATAAGGCAGGAACGAGTTTGGCAGGCATGAGAACCAGAAAGGTTGGGGGACCTTCTGGAGCTTAGAAGGGAAGAGGGAGACTGGAACAAAAGGGAACAGATAAGTTGTCAGGGGAAGTCCGATATATGAGGACAGTAGGTCATGGGAAGGAGTTTGGATTTTATTTTAAAACAATGGGAAGCCATTTTAAAGTTTCAGTTAGGAAAATACTGGTCTGTTTACTCCATTTCAAATTATTTTACTCTAATAATAAACAGATATGTTTAAAATTTTTAAAAGATCCTTTTTACTACTAAATAAAGAATAAATTATAGAGGGGCAAGGGTAGAAGAGGAGACAACTATTGTAAGGCTATTTCAGTAGCCTAGGCAAGAGATGATGCTGGCTTGGTAGCAGTGGAGATAGAGCAACATATTAGATCCAGGAAATATTCTGGTGTGTAGACCAGACTTGACAATGAATTGTTTATGGGAAGTGGGAGAAAAGAGTGATTAAAGATGACTCCTAGGATTTCAACCTGAGCATTGAGTAGATGCTAATACCACTTTCCGACATGGGAAGACTAGGGAAGAAATAGGGTTAGAGGAGTAATCATGATTTCTAGGTTGGGCATATAAGTTTAAAATGTTTACTAGACACCCAAACGTAGACATTAAATAGTCAATAGGATATGTGAATCTGATATTCGAGGGAGAGATCAAAGCTGGAAATACAAATGTGGGAATAATCGGCATATGGTTGGTATTTAAGTCTATAGAACTGGATGAAAATACTGAAGTATAAAAAAGAAATCATCCCAATACAAAGCCTTGGGTCATAATATTGAGTGACCTAATGGGAATCCTGAAGGACAGGAGGAAAGTTTGATAATGAAGAGGATGGGGCTCAAGGAGGGTCCTCTTTCATTTGCAGAAACAAAGTCACTGAGAGGTAAGAAGAAATAGGATCTGCAGTATAGGAGGAAGGATGAGTTTCTGAAACAGGAGGATGGCCTAAAATTCAGCTACAGATACAAATGGATGTGGAATAATGAGGGAGCTCCCCTCTGACTCCTAGGAGGAAGCCAGGCCACAACGTAATGAGTAAGAAAGTGAACATACTAGGGAAGTGCAATAGAATCGCCTTGCAGTGTTCACTGACCACATGATATTTATGGTCATGAATTTAAAGTGAAACTAGTCCATGCAGTAATTTACCCCCAACCTGTTGGCTCCAGCATTCAGCTGCTCAGGTGTAGGCAAGACCCGGGCAGATGGGCCAGCTTAATTAGGGGTGGGTTTTACCAGGTTATTAGGATAGAGACAAGATACAGGGGTTTACCAGGTAATGAGGATAGAGACAAGATACAGGGAGGGACAAGTTGCTGAATGGTTATGAGATGGACGGGAATAAGCAGAGTTAGGAAGAGAGAGTATGAGGAAGATGATGGATAGTGAAAAGTAAAGAGTCTAAATGAGGTCAGAGAAATGCTGGCGTGGGAGTACTAGATTAAGCATGCTGGAAGGATGATGGATAGGTTGCTTTAAATCTCAATTAGTAAATAATGCAGTTCTCATTGATGATAGTGTCAAGGACATGCTATGTGGGTGGATGCCTGACATGAAGGATTCTTCAGGGCTCCATCTTTTAACTTCTTTTTTTCCTTTTACTTGCCTATCTTGGATAATTTCAGTCAATCTCATGGCCTTGTCATCTATAACTTCCAAGTCTGTCTCTCTGATTCAGACCTATATTCTGAGTCCTAGATTGACATATCTCACTGTTTACTTGAGTCTGTTTAAGTCTCAAGTCACCTCAAACTCATTATTATTCAAAATTGAATCCATTTTCTTCATTCATAAACTAACTAAAAAATTTTATTGAAAACACACTGGCCTAGAATCTGTGCTAGAACCTGATGAATCAGAAATAAGTAAGAGGCCAGGAGCTGTGGCTCACACCTACAATCTCAGGCCAAGGCAAGAGGGATTGCTTGAGCCCAAGAGTTCAAGACCAGTCTGGGCAACATAATGAGGCTCCGTTTCTATAAAAACTTTTTTAAAAAAGAGCTGGGTGTGGTGGTGTGTGCCTATAGTCCCACCTACTCAGGAGGCTGAAGTGGGAGGATCACTTGAGCCCAGGAGCTGGAAGTTAAGAGTTAGCTGTGGTTGCACCACTGTGCTCCAGCCTGGGCAATAGAGCAAGACACTGTCTCTAAATCAATCAATCAATCAATCAATCCATAAAAAGAAAGAAAGAATATCTTACTCTTAATGGCTTCCTTTACCTTTTTCTCTTTCTCAGTAAATGGCATGAGTGTCACTAATCACTCAGGCCAGAATCTAGGAAGTCATCTCTCTGAGATCAGGTTTCCTAGAATCTGAGATGAGATTCTTGTGAAAGCGATTTACCGAGGGAGTATTTTAGTATTTTCAGGAGGAGAGTGAAGGAGACAGGCTAGGGAAGGGGAGGAAAATTAAGCAAAGATGTGGTCTGAGCTACAAACTAGTATAGCCTGGTGTCCCAGGAAGCTTGGCACATGAATTGCACCACAGCATTTGTTCTCACCAAACAAAAAGTTTGGTATTTTACGCCCCTGTGTCCATCAATCAGTCATTGCCTCAGAGAGGATAGCAAATGGGCAGAGGAGGGACTGCAGCCTCCCAGGTGAGGCAGGAGCCTCCAGTTCGGTGGAGGGCAGTTCCCCAAAGGAGCCAGCTGTGAGCTGTTAGTAGCCAACACCCACCCAGCTAGAGGAGAGATGCATCAGCCTGGGGAAGGGGATCCGGGTAGGGGACCAACCACCATGGTCAACCTGTTGCACCACTCAGAACCACCTTCTTCCATAGCTTCCATTCAGGCATAGCTTCTTCACGATTCTTGCTGGTCATAATTTCTGGAAAAACTGTTGAGAGGAAAGTTAGTGAGATAAGCCACAGCCCCTCATGCTGCAATTGGTCGCTGACACCTATCACTGCCTCACCCATTCTAGATTCCTCTCCCCGTCAGCCAACTCTTCTGTTGATCCAGGTGGCTTTTCTTTTGGGGTGAGCCCCTAATGTCCATGCCCTTATTAGGATATGGTTTCTGTATTTGCCAATTAAAATTAAAATTGGGCATGAGAGTACCAAAAGATGCCTCAGAGGATCATCAGAGTACCAAACACATTCCTCACTGCCTCTGTTATGCAGTAGCAATCTTAACTCTTCAGGATGACTTAGGGTCAGCTACCTCTGCCAATATAGGAACTCCACTCTGTGTGTCTGATCTGTTGGCATGAGGAGCCCAAAGTGACCACATGGGAGCCAAAGCTCTAAGTTTGGTGGGACTCTTACAGGTCTCTTGGTAGAAGCATTCCGCCTCTAAGAGCCAGGACCTGTAGAACAACAGAGCCTAAAGATACATAGACAGAAAGCACAGATTCTCCAAGTGGGTTAACAGAAGTGATAGAGAGTGAAGCCATTCCTACTTCCTCCCTTTTGTTCCCAGATCCATGTATTCTACCCATTGGAAACACAGAACCATAAAACAGCCATCGGTTTAAAGTCTATACCACATCCTGAAGAATGGCACCCCAACCTCACAGGATATAATCTCCAAGCTGGTGCCTCAGCTTTGCCCTCAAGAGGCCGTCCCAAAGCTCTATCATGTTAGCATCCTCTGGATAGTGCTGTGTGTGGTTAGGACCAGTGGATACCATGGTCGTGCCCCCACTGCCATACTCTTTTGCTATAAAGTAGGTACCTTTACTATTAAGCAGGGTCTCTCTCATGTCTGCAGATAAGTGATTCTGTGAGCCCTAAGATAGTGGTGCAGCCAGGAAAGGCAAACACGCAGAATTCATATCCATTCTGATAAGCATACAGCATTGCCCTTTCCAAGGTGCTAGGGACCTATTGCAGTCAAGTTGCCACCAAGAGGCTGGCTGGTCTCCTTGAGGGATGATGCCATATCAAGAGCTCAGCTTTGGTTTCTGTTGCAAGCAGGTCAGACATTCAACAGCAATAGCAGCTGGATTACCCTTGGTGAAAGGGGAAATCATGGTATTGGGATGATGCATAATTCCCACTGAGGTAGCCAAAGACAAAGGCTGGATCAAATCATCCTGTCCACTTGCTGGAGTCTCAACCAGGACTCAACAGCATGACAAGAATTGTCTTGCAAATAGTATATAGGTTTCTGCTACAGATAGCATAGCCTTGTTCCAGAATCTTAAGGGTCTGCAACACAGCTTTCCCGATGAAACTTGCCAGAGGCTCCACAAGGCATTTTTCTTTACCAGAGATTCTTCTAGTATGGGATCTACCAAGTTATTTGACCAAAGTAGCAGGACTACTTGTACCCTATCCTGAACCTCCTACACAGCTCTTTCTTTCCAGAGTTCTGGGCTTTCTCACAAAATAATTTTTTCACCAGGCATGGTGGCTCACGCCTGTAATCCCAGCACTTTGGGAGGCCGAGGAGGGCAGATCACGAGGTCAGGAGATCGAGACCATCCTGGCTAACATGGTGAAACCCCGTCTCTACTAAAAATACAAAAAATTAGCCGGGAGTGGTGGCGGGCGCCTGTAGTCCCAGCTACTCGGGAGGCTGAGGCAGGAGAATGGCGTGAACCCGGGAGGTGGAGCTTGCAGTGAGCCGAGATCACGCCACTGCACTCCAGTGTGGGCGACAGAGTGAGACTCCGTCTCAAAAAAAAAAAAAAAAAATTTTTTCTGTGTCACCCAATAAATGAATCAGATTATTCAATTATTTGATCCAAGGGTGGAACATTTTCAAGGTGCATTAATTTTTGCTTTACCTAGGATGTTCTGACATGCCACATAGCAGTAGACACCTAAAAACAATGTGTCAAGCCCCAATCTTTTATGGGGTTTATCTTTCACCTTCTGGAGTACATACATCTTTCCATCCCTTTAACATACTTGCCACTTCTTGCTCATCAAGTCTCATTAACATGATGTTAGTGTTAATATATGATGTTCCATGTGATAGTCTTTGGAATGTCCAGATGGGCTAGGCCCCTTCAGAATTTATTGTGACAGCTTCATTAACATAACTTTGGGGCAAAACCATGGATATATATTGTTGGCCACCACATGTGAATGCTAACTGCTTCCTATCCTCCTTTTTATTAGATATTAAAAAGAATGCATTTGCCAATATTAAAAATAATGCATTTGCCAGATCAATAGTAGCATACCATCTACCCCAGGCTGTGATAGTCTTCTCTAGTAGAGATACTATCCCTGACACAGCAGCTACAGTTGGGCCTACTGGTTGGAAAAGTGTGCAGTACTCCATCATTTGCATGATCCCTAGTTTTGGCAGGGGCCAGATTGGTGAACAAAATCCACCTAACAAGGTTCACATGTATACAGATTGTCGACTCCCCAAACACTACATAAAGTCCCATTCTTCCTACCAAAATGAAAATCAAAGAAGAATATAGCAACCACAGAACTGGAAAATTAAAGTACAGATTTCCCCAACAAAAAAAAATTACTTAATTTTTGTATGTGGCTTTTCAAAACGAAGAATTGTAAAATTATCTGATGTTGTCCTTTATTCTTTAGCCACAGATTTTTATTTTTTTTTAAATAAGCACTAAACAGGTCACAAACAATTAAATAGCATTTTCATGTCACCATGAAGGGTGGAATTGGGGCACTTGTCCCTGATACTTTCTTCTCTGTGATAAGACAAACAAGATACATGCCAGCATCAAGCCTTCCCTACTAGGGAGCCACCTCCACCCCAAGACACATCATGCAGCCAGCCCTCTCACCTGGCTAACTCCAAGCATTGATTCTCCCTGTCAAAGCCAATCCTTATTTTCTTCTCTATAAACTGTCTAGTGCAATTCCACTATAATCTTTACTTTAGCTTTTTGGAGTTGCCTATTTTCAAATGAAAATCATTGGCTTTGCAAATGATTGCAGCATGTTTTAGGCAGGTTCCATGGTGAGTGCATTGTCCCTGCATTTGCAGTTGGACAATATAACACTCATTTGTAGAGCTTTTTAATGTAATGGTGCTGTGATGTCTTACTTAGTTCCTTGAGGATTTCATTAGTGGTAACTGAATTACACTAGTAGTGGGAATTCAGCCCAGGATGTATTCTTTCATTAAGAGCTGCGGTGTTTGACAGTATGTCAGGGATGAAGCATGCCTGGAAATGGGAAGATTTTTTAAAGCTCTGTATTCCTCACTCACTTTTCTTTCTTTCTCTCTTTAGTCTCCCCCAGATATGTCCTTCCCAGCATCTTTGGCTGCACAGCATTTCCTTCTGGAAGAAGAGAAACGAGCAAAAGAACTTGAAAAACTTCTAAATACACATATTGATGAACTGCAAAGACACACAGAATTTACTCTTAATAAATACTCCAAGCTAAAACAAAATAGACACATATGAGCTTTTAAACTTTTTTATTTGCTTCCCCCCCCCACCCCCGCCAAGAAAAAAAGCTCTGGCAAAATATTTACAAAGCTGATTAATGAAACCAAGAAATTCTGTTCTGTTTCCTTGAGTAAATAATTTCCGTAAGGCAGCTAGAAAATAGTAAGTATTTTGTTCTATAAAGCTGTTCACATTTCTGCATTAACATGCTAAATTGTCCTGCTGTAGAGTTACTATAAAATAAACATGACTATTCCAAAAGAGATTTTTTTCCAGTCTAAGGAATATTTTGGAATCAAATATGCAGTTTTTTTTCCCCACTTGAATCATGTATACTGAAAACCCATTTCCTCAGCAACTACACAAAATAAGAGAAAGGGAAGTGCTATATTCCAGATACAAATGACTCAAAGGCAGCTCAGTTGTACTGGTTTTGAAAACTCAAGGATTTTATAAATAAAAATATTTAAGTATTTCCAGTTATGTAAACACTCTAAAATTCTATAATTTTTTGGAAAAAAAAAGCTATAGCTTTATTGTTTTTACATTCACCTTTATAATGTCTGTCTGTTTCAACACAATGAAGGTATATGGAATGTGCAATTTACAAACCTAAAATATATGTGCCAAAAATTAACGCTTTTTTGTTAGTACTAATTACTTCATGGACACAAACAAGATAAAGGAAATATAAAGCATTACTGTTGCTACATTTTCCTTTGTAATCACTTCTGTTTTTAATACAATAAAGGAATGTAAAATTCAATGGACTTGAAGCATAAATGCTAAATCTGTATAGAACAGTAATAGCATGGCTGTGAACAATAAAACAGAGTTACAAATACACAGCAATAATACAATATACTTTAAGAGTTTCACATATGTGTGTGTGTGTATATATATGTCTCTCTCTCTCTCTATATATATATATATATGTATATATGAAGAGAGATTATGAAAGAAGGTAAGTCCTACTACAGCTTTTACAGTTCTCTATTTCCCTTTAAAGAAACAATCTCATCATACTGAAAGATAAACCAAAATGCCATTAGATACCAAGTGTCATTTTCATGTGAAAAATGCAGAGCATTGTAGACTTCAGATGACATGACCACATGTGTTTGTATAGCTCTGGACGTTTGAAGAAAAGAAAAGATGTATTTGTATAGCTCTTGAGGTTTGTCTTAGTTCAGCCCGCTATAGCAAAAATACCATAGACTGGGTGACCTAAACAACAAACATTTATCTCTCACAGTTCAGAAGGCTGGGAAGTCCAAGATCAAGGTGCCAGCTAATCTGGTGTCTGGCGAGGGCCCACTTCCAGGCTTGTTGACAGCCACCTTCTTGATGTATCTTCACATGGCAGAGAGGAAGTATCTCTCTCAGTTTCTTTTTTTTCTTTTTTATTATACTTTAAGTTCTAGGGTACATGTGCACAACGTGCAGGTTTGTTACATAGTTACACATGTGCCATGTTCTTTTGCTGCACCCATCAACTCGTCATTTACATTAGGTATTTCTCCTAATGTTATCCCTCTCCCAGCCCCCCATCCCTCGACAGGCCCTGGTATCTGATGTTCCCCACCCTGTGTCCATGTGTTCTCATTTTTCAACTTCCACTTATGAGTGAGAACATGCAGTGTTTGGTTTTCTGTCCTTGTGATAGTTTACTGAGAATCATAGTTTCCAGCTTCATCCACGTCCATGCAAAGGACATGAACTCATCCTTTTTTAAGGCTCCATGGTGTATATGTGCCACATTTTGTTAATCCAGTCTATCATTGATGAACATTTCAGTTGGTCCCAAGTCTTTGCTATTGTGAATAGTGCTGCAACAAACATACGTGTGCATGTGTCTTTATAGTAGCATGATTTATAATCCTTTGGGTATACACCCAGTAATGGGATGGCTGGGTCAAATGGTATTTCTAGTTCTAGATCCTTGAGGAATCGCCACGCTGTCATCCACAATGGTTGAACTAATTTACACTCCCACCAACAATGTAAAAGCATTCCTATTTCTCCACATCCTCTCCAGCATCTGTTTTTCCTGTTTAATGATTGCCATTTTAACTGGCCTGAGATGGTATCTCATTGTGGTTTTGATTTGCATTTCTCTGATGACCAGTGATGATGAGCATTTTTTCATATGTCTGTTGGCTGCATAAATACCTTCTTTTGAGAAGTGTCTCTTCATATCCTTTGCCCACTTTGTGATGGGGTTGTTTGTTCTTTTCTTGTAAATTTGTTTAAGTTCTTTGTAGATTCTGGATATTAGCCCTTTGTCAGATGAGTAGGTTGTGAAAAGTTTCTCCCATTCTGTAGGTTGCCTGTTCACTCTGATGGTAGTTTCTTTTGCTGTGCAGAAGCTCTTTAGTTTAATTAGATCCCATTTGTCTATTTTGGCTTTTGTTGCCATTGCTTTTGGTGTCTTTGCCCATGCCTATGTCCTGAATGGTATTGCTTAGGTTTTCTTCTAGGGTTTTTATGGTTTTAGGTCTAACATGTAAGTCTTTAATCCATCTTGAGTTAATTTTTATATAAGGTGTAAGGAAGGGATCCACTTTCAGCTTTGTACATATGGCTAGCCAGTTTTCCCAGCACCATTTATTAAATAGGGAATCCTTTCCCCATTGCTTGTTTTTCTCAGGTTTGTCAAAGATCAGATGGTTGTAGAAGTGTGGTGTTATTTCTGAGGCCTCTGTTCCGTTCCATTGGTCTGTACATCTGTTTTGTTACCAGTACCATGCTGTTTTGGTTACTGTAGCCTTGTAGTATAGTTTGAAGTCAGGTAGCATGATGCCTCCAGCTTTGTTCTTTTTGCTTAGGATTATCTTGGCTATGCAGGCTCTTTTTTGGTTCCATTTGAACTTTAAAGTAGTTTTTTCCAATTCTGGAAGAAAGTCATTGGTAGCTTGATGGGGATGGCACTGAATCTATAAATTACCTTGGGCAGTATGGCCATTTTCACAATATTGCTTCTTCCTATCCATGAGCATGGAATGTTCTTCCATTTGTTTGTGTCCTCTTATTTCGTTGAGCAGTGGTTTGTAGTTCTCCTTGAAGAGGTCCTTCACATCCCTTGTAAGTTGGATTCCTAGGTATTTCATTCTCTTTGTAGTAATTGGGAATGGGAGTTCACTCATGATTTGGCTCTCTGTTTGTCTGTTACTGGTGTATAGGAATGCTTGTGATTTTTGCACATTGATTTTGTATCCTGAGACTTTGCTGAAGTTGCTTATCAGCTTAAGGAGATTTTGGGCTGAGACGATGGGGTTTCCTAAATATAAATCACATCATCTGCAAACAGGGACAATTTGACTTCCTCTTTTCCTAATTGAATACCCTTTATTTCTTTCTCTTGGCTGATTGCCCTGGCCAGAACTTCCAACACTATGTTGAATAGGAGTGGTGAGAGAGGGCATCCTTGTCTTGTGGCAGTTTCAAAGGGAATGCTTCCAGTTTTTGCCCATTCAGTATGATATTGGCTGTGGGTTTGTCATTAATAGCTCTTACTATTTTGAGATATGTTCCATCAATACCAAGTTTATTGAGAGTTCTTAGCATTGAAGCTCTGTTGAATATTGTCAAAGACCTTTTCTGCATCTACTGAGATAATCACATGGTTTTTGTCATTGGTTCTGTTTATGTGATGGATTACATTTATTGATTGGCATATGTTGAACCAGCCTTGCATCCCTTGATCGTGGTGGATAAGCTTTTTGATGTACTGCTCGATTTGGTTTGCCAGTATTTTATTGAGGATTTTCACATCGATGTTCATCAGGGATATTGGCCTAAAATTTTCTTTTTTTGTGTGTCTCTGCCAGGCTGTGGTATCAGGATAATGCTGGCCTCATAAAATGAGTTAGGGAGGATTCCCTCTTTTTCTATTGATTGGAATAGTATCAGAAGGAATGGTACCAGCTCCTCTTTATACCTCTGGTAGAATTCAGCTGTGAATCCGTCTGGTCCCGGACTTTTTTTGGTTGGTAGGCTATTAATTATTTCCTCAATTTCAGAACCTGTTATTGGTCTATTCAGAGATTCAACTTCTTCCTGGTTTAGTCTTGGGAGGGTGTATGTGTCCAGGAATTTATCCATTTCTTCTAGAGTTTCTAGTTTATTTGCGTAGAGGTGTTTATAGTATTCTCTGATGGTAGTTTGTATTTCTGTGGGATCGGTGGTGATATCCCTTTTATCATTTTTTATTGCATCTATTTGATTCTTCTCTCTTTTCTTCTTTATTAGTTTTGCTAGTGCTCTATTTTGTTGATTTTTTCAAAAAACCAGCCCCTGGATTCATTGATTTTTTTGAAGAGATTTTTGTGTCTCTATCTCCTTCAGTTCTGCTCTGATCTTAGTTATTTCTTGCCTTCGGCTAGCTTTTGAATGTGTTTGCTCTTGCTTCTGTAGTTCTTTTAATTGTGATGTTAGGGTGTCGATGTTAGATCTTTCTTGCTTTCTCTTGTGGGCATTTAGTGCTATAAATTTCCCTCTACACAATGCTTTAAATGTGTTCCAGAGATTCTGGTACACTGTGTCTTTGTTCTCATTGGTTTCAAAGAACATCTTTATTTCTGCCTTCATTTCGTTTTCTACCCAGTAGCATTCAGGAGCAGGTTGTTCAGTTTCCATGTAGTTGTGTGGTTTTGAGTGAGTTTCTTAATCCTGAGTTCTAATTTGATTGCACTGTGGTCTGAGAGACAGTTTGTTGTGATATCTGTTCTTTTGCATTTGTTGAATATTTTACTTCCAATTATATGGTCAATTTTAGAATAAGTGTGATGTGGTGCTGAGAAGAATGTATATTCTGTTGATTTGGGGTGGAGAGTTCCATAGATGTGTATTAGGTCCACTTGGTCCAGAGCTGAGTTCAAGTCCTGGATATCCTTGTTAATTTTCTGTCTCATTGATCTAATATTGACAATGGGGTGTTAAGATCTCCCATTATTATTGTGTGGGAGTCTAAGTCTCTTTGTAGGTCTCTAAGGACTTGCTTTATGAATCTGGGTGCTCCTGTATTGGGTGCATATATATTTAGGATGGTTAGTTCTTCCTGTTGAATTGATCCCTTTACCAATATGTAATGGCCTTCTTTGTCTCTTTTGAACTTTGTTGGTTTAAAGTATGTTTTATCAGAGACTGGGATTGCAACCCCTGCTTTTTTTTTGCTTTCCATTTGCTTGGTAGATCTTCCTCCATCCTTTTATTTTGAGCCTATGTGTGTCTTTGCATCTGAGATGGGTCTCCTGAATACTGCACACCAATGGGTCTTGACTCTTTATCCAATTTGCCAGTCTGTGTCTTTTAATTGGGGCATTTAGCCCATTTACATTTAAGATTAATATTGTTATGTGTGAATTTGATCCTGTCATTATGATGTTTGCTGGTTATTCTGCCCATTAATTGATGCAGTTTCTTCATAGCGTCAATGGTTTTCACAATTTGGCATGTTTTTGCAGTGGCTGGTACCTGTTGTTCCTTTCCATGTTTAGTGCTTCCTTCAGGGGCTCTTGTAAGGCAAGCCTGGTGGTGACAAAATCTCTCAGCATTTGCTTGTCTGTAAAGGATTTTATTTCTCTTTCACTTATGAAGCTTAGTTTGGCTGGATATGAAATTTTGGGTTTGAAAAGTCTTTTCTATAAGAATGTTGAATATTGGCCCCCACTTTCTTCTGGCTTGCAGGGTTTCTGCTGAGAGATCCGCTGTTAGTCTTATGGGCTTCCCTTTGTGGGTAACCCGACCTTTCTCTCTGGCTGCCCTTAGCATTTTTTCCTTCATTTCAGCCTTGGTGAATCTGACAATTATGTGTCCTGGGGTTGCTCTTCTTGAGGAGCATCTTTGTGGTGTTCTCTGTATTTCCTGAATTTGAATGTTGGCCTGCCTTGCTAGATTGGGGAAGTTCTCCTGGATAATATCCTGAAGAATGTTTTCTAACTTGGATCCATTCTCCCTGTTACTTTCAGGAACACCAATCAAATGTAGATTTGGTCTTTTCACATAGTCCCATATTTCCTGGAGGCTTTGTTCGTTTCTTTTCACTCTTTTTTCTCTAATCCTGTCTTCTCGCTTTATTTCATTAATTTGACCTTTGATCACTGATATCCTTTCTTCCACTTGATCGAGTCGGCTGTTAAAGCTTGTGCATGCATCACGAAGTTCTCATGCTGTGGTTTTCACCTCCATCAGGTCATTTAAGTTCTTCTCTACACTGTTTATTCTAGTTAGCCATTTGTCTAACCTTTTTTCAAGGTTTTTAACTTCCTTGCAGTGGGTTAGAACATGCTCCTTTAGCTTGGAGAAGTTTGTTATTACCGACCTTCTGAAGCCTACTTCTGTCAACTTGTCAAACTCATTCTCTGTCCAGTTTTGTTCCTTTGCTGGCGAGGAGCTGCAATCCTTTGGAGGAAAAGAGGTGCTCCAGTTTTTGGAATTTTCAGCTTTTCTGCTCTGATTTCTCCCCATCTTCGTGGTTTTATCTACCTTTGGTCCTTGATGTTGGTGACCTACAGATGGGGTTTTGGTGTGGATGTGCTTTTTGTTGATGTTGATGCTATTCCTTTCTGTTTGTTAGTTTTCCTTCTAACAGTCGAGCCCCTCAGCTGCAGGTCTGTTGGATTTTGCTGGAGGTCCACTCCAGACCCTGTTTGCCTGGGTATCACCAGTGGAGGGTGCAGAACAGCAAATATTGCTGCCTGATCCTTCCCCTAGAAGCTTCATCCCAGAGGGGCACCTGCCTGTATGAGGTGTCTGTCGGCCCCAAGTGGGAGGTGTCCCCCAGTCAGGCTACACAGGGGTCAGGGACCCACTTGAGGAGGCAGTCTGTCCGTTTTCAGAGATCGAACACCATACTGAGAGAACCACTGCTCTCTTCAGAGCTGTCAGACAGGGACGTTTAGGTCAGCCGAGGCTGTCAGCTGCCTTTTGTTCTGATATGTCCTGCCCCTAGATGTGGAATCTAGAGAGGCAGTAGGCCTTGCTGAGCTGTGGTGGGCTCCGCCCAGTTTAAGCTTCCCAGCCTCTTTGTTTACACTGTGAGCATAAAACCACCTACTCAAGCCTCATCAATGGTGGACGCCCCTCCCCCCACCAAGCTGCAGCATCACAGGTCTACCTCAGACTGCTGCGCTAGCAGTGAGCAATGCTCTGTGGGCGTGGGAGCTGCCAAGCCAGGCAGGGGAGGGAATTTCTTGGTCTGCGGGTTGTGAAGACTGTGGGAAAGCGCAGTATTTGGGCAGGAGTTTACTGGGCAGGAGTTTACTGTTCTTCCAGGTACAGTCCCTCACAGCTTCCCTTGATTAGGAAAGGGAAATCCCCTGACCCCTTGCGCTTCCCAGGTGAGGCAACACCCCGCCCTGCTTCAGCTTGCCCTCCGTGAGCTGCACCTCCTGTCCAACCAGTCTCAATGAGATGAACCAGGTACCTCAGTTGTAAATGCAGAAATCACCAGTCTTCATCGATCTCGCTGGGTGCTGCAGACCGGAGCTGTTACTGTTTGGCCATCTTGGAAGCAACTTCTCGTTTCTTCTTTATAAGGCTGTAATCCCATTGATGAAGGTGTCTACCCTCATGATGTAATTACCTCCTAAAGGCCCAATTTCCTAATACCATCACAATGGAGGTTAAAATTTCAATACAGTCATGTATCACTTAATGACAGGGATATATTCTGAGAAATGTCTTGTTAGGCAATTACATTGTGCAAACATCATAGAGTGGACTTATACAAACCTAGATGGCACAACTACTACACACCTAGGCTATATGGCATAGCCTATTGCTCCTAGGCTACAAACTTGTACAGTGTGTTACTGTACTGAATGCTGTAGGTAATTTTAACACAATGGTAAGTATTTGTGTATCTAAATATAGAAAAGGTAGAGCAAAATATGGAATTATAATATGGGAACACCATCATACATTAGGTCCATTGAAATATTATTATGCAGTGCATGACTCTATAAATTTTAGGTGGGCACACACATTCTGTCCACAACACCTTCCCATAGGATTATTCATTTAAACTCGAAATGAGCCTGTGAGGTCACCAAGCCTGATATCCTTGTCCCTGGGAATCAGAGCTGTTAAGAAACTTACTCAGAATCATGGTAAATGGGAGAATCAGAAAGGAAACCCCTGGTCTTCTGATTCCTGGCTCTAGCTCTTATTACTTCCCAGTATCACTTCTTGTAAACAAGCAGATGGTGAACAAAGTTGCATCCACAGAAGCCAGGTTTGATGACAAAACATCAGAAGGTCCAAAGCCATTAGTGTACTCACAAAATCTCCATGTGGAAAAATAATAGAATTATGATACCTTCAAATTATTTAGTAATTGCTAGCCTAGACATGAGGAAAATATTGTTCAGTGTTATCTTTAGAAAACAGGAAGAAGTATGTTTAGGAAAAAGGCATTCCATAAACAAATTTGAAAACCTTAATATCCCTAATACAAACAATGAAAAAGTTTCAATATACATATCTTGATAATCCCCTAAGTCAGGATGACATTTCATTCTCTTCAGGGTAAAGATACAATTGAAAATTGTTTGTTGAAATAAAGATCTAGGCTACAATAGTCTCAGAACTTAGCAGAGTCAAGACAGCATGAGTTTGGACTATGTCCAGAACTAATGGTAAATTTGCCCCTATGGCCTATTAATACTTAAGTCCATATACAGACTTCTTTTAAATTACTATTTCAGCATTCCACTTGATACTAACTTTCTTAAAATTGTGGTTTTCGATATGCTTTGCTTAAGAACAGGATTCAGTGTTCAAAAGGAATCATATGCTGAAGTCCAACATCGATATACCGTAATCAAGATAAAAGGCAAGTAGTCCTTGTTGAATGTTGAAAGGAGGTAGTGAGGCCAACCCGCCCTCTCTACTCCCCATCTCTATTCCCCTCTCTTCCCCTTCTGCTCACCATAGGCCAAAGGCATGGCCATGGAGCAGCTTCCCTAGATGTTGTGGAGGGGGCCTGAAGGAGAGGCAGATTTGCTTGGTTATTACCTTAGCACAGAATACATTTTCCTGCAGAAACTGTTTCATGGATACTGGTTATAACCTCCACACCAAAAGCAGGGTTTCAAACAGGGAAGCCTTCAGCAGGGCCAAGCATAGAACTAAGGAGATCCTCAGAGCTACCTCGCTGACCCCAGGACCGGACTAGAAATGTTTAGGTCTTAAAGGTGCTCTGTACAATAGGACAAGTTAGACCTGTTGGAGACAAAGTTCTCCATGCCTTGGCACAGTGACCTTAACAAAGCTTCCATTTCCTTATCTATAGAACAGGCATAATACTA
This sequence comes from Homo sapiens, assembly GCF_000001405.40. Classification (NCBI taxonomy): domain Eukaryota; kingdom Metazoa; phylum Chordata; class Mammalia; order Primates; family Hominidae; genus Homo; species Homo sapiens. The sequence continues at coordinate 93,447,016 of NC_000011.10, forward strand.
CTACCTACCTCGGAGGATTGTTGTGAGGATTAGAGGATGTAATGTACATAATGTGGTTAGCATGGAGCTTGGCACAGTCAGTACTCAGTACATGCTAGCTGTTGGCATTTGCCATCCTTGCCCTCTGAGGCATTAGGTCTGAACTCCGAAGACAAAGCACATCCTCAAGGAACAATACTATCATTTTTTGGGGACCATGTGACAGCCACCATACATAAGTTAATCATTAACAGTTTTCTTAAAAAGAATTACACACCATAAAACTCACCCATTTAAAAGGTATATTTCAATGATTTTTACTAAGTTTACAGAGTTGTGTATCCATTGCCACAACCCAATTTTAGAACATTACCTTCACTCCAAAAAGATCCCTAATGCCTGTTTTTAGTCACTCCCTGTTCCTATGCCCAACCCCAGGCAGCTACTAAACTACTTTCTGTCTCTACAGATTTACCTGGACATTTTACATAAATGAATTCATATGTGGGTTTTTTTTAATCTTAGCATAATGTTCTCAAGATTTGTATTGTAGCATATATCAGTATCTTGTTCTTTTTTTATTGCTTAGCAGTATTCTGTTGTATGAATAAACCACGTTTCATTTATCTATTTCACCAGTTGATGGACATTTGAATTGCTTCCAGTTTAGGGCTATTATGAATAAAGCTGTTATGAATACACAAGTCTCCATGGGGACATATGTTTTCATATCTATTGAATCATTTCCTAGGAGTAGAATTTCTGAGTTACATGGTATATTTATGTTTAACTTTGAAAAAAAATTTTTAGTGTGTATAAAAGAATATTTCATTCTGGTTTTAATTCTCATTTCTCTAGTGGCTAATGATGTTGAGCATCATTATGTGTGCTTATTGACCATCCACATCTATTCTTCAGTGAAATGTCTATTTAAATCTTTCGCCAATTTTATAATTAGGTTATTTCTCTTGTTGAGTTATAAAAATTCTTTATATATTAGATATTAATCCTTTATCAGATATAAGATTTGCATATATTTTCTCCCAGTCTGTGACTTGTCATTTTCTTAATGGTGTCTTTTGAAGCAAATAAGTTTTAAATTTTGATAAAGTACACTTCATTAGTTTTTTTATTTTACGAATTATGCTTTTAGCATCATATCTAAGAAATATTTGCCCAATCCAAGTCACAAAGTTATCCTTTATATTTTCTTCTAAAATTGTTATAGTTTTAAGTTTTACATTAGATCTAGAGTCCATTTTGAGTTAACATTTTTGTATGGTGATAGGGTCTAGATTCATCTTTTTACCTGTGGATATCTAATTGTCCCAGCACCATACGTTTCAAAAAAAAAAAACATTCTTTTTCCCCTTTAAATTGTTTTGGACCTTTGTTGAAAAATCAATTGGATATAAACATAAGGGTTTATTTCTGGACTCTTAATTCTCTTACATTGACCTATATGTTATTCCTTATGCCAGTACCACACAATCGTACTTACTGTAGCTTTGCCAGAAGTTTTGATATTGGGAAGTGTAAGTCCTCCAACTTTCAAAATGATTTTGACTATTTTGGGTAGTTTGATCAGCTTGTCAGCTTGTCAATTTTTGTAAAAAAAAAAGTAATAATAATAATAATAGTAAGCCTGCTGAGATTTCTATGGAGATTAAGACGGCAGTCCTCTCCAAAATGACCTATACTGAATCTCAGTTTGGGCGGCATTGCCATCTTAATAATATTGAGTCTTCCAATTTGTAAACATGAAATTTCACATTTTTTCCATTATTTAGTTCTTCTTTAATTTCTCTTAGAAATGTTTTAGTTTCCAATGTATAATATTATGCTTCTTTTGTTAAATTTATTCCTAAATATTTTATTTGATTTGATGCTGTTACTAATGAATTGTTTTCTTAATTTCATTATTGGATTGTTCATGGTTAGTATATAGAAATACAATAGATTTTTGTATACTAGTTTTGTATTCTGTGACCCAGCTGAGCTCATTTATTCTAGTAGGGGTGTGTGTGTGTGTGTGCGCGCGTGCGCGCTCCTCGGAATTTTCTGCATACAGGGTCATGTTGTCTTTACGTAAAGACAGCTTTTTTACTTCTTCTTTCCATTCTGGGAACATTTTCTTTCTTTTCCTTACCTGACTGCACTAGCTAGAAACTCCAGTACAATGTTAAATAGAAGTGGCGAGAGCAGACATGTTTGCCTTGTTCTTGATCTTAAGAGAAAGCTTTTAGTCTTTCATCATTAATTATGATGTTAGCGACAGGTTTTTTGTAGATGCTTTTTATCAAGTTGCAGAAGTTCTCATATAGTCCTAGTTTATTGAGAGTTTTTATGATTGGCCATTAGATTTTGTTAAATGCTTTTTCTGTGTCTGCTGAGATGATCATGGGGTTTTTGTCCTTTATTAATATAGAATATTATATTAACTTTTAAAAGGGATAAACCAATCTTATGTTTCTGGGATAAAGCCTACTTGATCGTGATGTATAATTCCTTTTATATGTTGCTGGATTTTGTCTGCTTATATTTTGTTGAGAATTGTGTCTATATACATGAGGGATATTGGTCTCTAGTTTTCTTGTCATGTCTTTGTCTGGCTTCGGTATCAGGGTAATTTTTGCCTCATAGAGTGAATAGTGAAGTTTTCCCTACTCCTCTGTTTTCTAGAAGAGTTTGTATTATTTATTTAAATGCCAATGAAATTCACTAGTGAAGCTATCTGGTCCGGGCTTTTCTTTGTGGGAAAATTTTAATTATTACTTAATATCTTTCCTTGTTATAGCTCTGTTCAGATTTTCTATTTCTTCTTGAGTCCATTTTGGTGATCTGTGTCTTTTAAACTTGATTTGACCTTTATAATAACCTTGAAAGTAAGAATTAGGCCTATTTTATTTTGAGACTTAAAAGACTGAGTGATAGTATTCCAAGATCAAGTATCTGGAAAATGGCCAGTCTGTGGAGTGCTAACATCTGTGCTGCTTCCACCAGGCCACACTGCCTCTAGCAGACATAGGGCTTCTTGAAGGAAAAGGTGACTCCTCACTGCACCACCAAGGCTGCCACCAAAAACAGCCTTCTTTTGTGGGTGTCCTAGTTCAAGTGTTTTTGTTTGTTTGTTTTGTTTTTCCTCAATGACTTGTGCCTCCTGGGAGTTCCAAATGCTGGCAACAGGGAAGCTAACAAAACCCAAGCCTGCTTCTGCCCAAAGACCAGAGTTCTCCTCACTTGAAAGCCCCCTTGAAAACTGCTGCCTTAGGAGCCCCAGCCTCCTGGGAAAGCACCCAATGATAAGCGCTGTACTTAATTCAGATGGACACGTTTTCCTCCCTTGCCTGCCAAGGAAAGGAAAAACAAAATGCCAAAGGACCAAGGTGTGGTTTGCAATGAACCACACTTGTTTTGATATTTACTGCTGACAACTGATGACCAAGACCTCTGCTAAATAAGAGGAGCTCAGATGCGTTGACTTCCCAAATGTTGTTTACTCACACAGAAATGAAATGGCTGCTCCCTCAACAGGAGGAACCCATCCAAGATCAAACTTACTGGCTCTGTGGGTTTCACATAAAATGAAAAATTAGGCTGAGTGCAGTGGCTCATGCCTGTAATCCTAGCACTTGGGGACACCAAGGCAGGCGGATCACTAGGTCAATAGATCGAGACCAGCCTGGCCAACAGGGTGAAGCCCCGTCTCTGTTAAAAATACAAAAATTAGCTGGGCATGGTGGTGCACACCTGTAGTCCCAGCTACCTGGGAGGCTAAGGCAGGAGAATTGCTTGAACCTGGGAGGCAGAGGTTGCAGTGAGCTGAGATCACGCCACTGCACTCCAGCCTGGCAACACAGCAAGACTTCGTCTCTAAATAAGTAAAATGAAGAATTAAGCTTTTCACTTATCTGGTCAATGTGTCTTTTATCAGGTGTGGTGACCTGCTGCCTCAGTCTTTTAAGGCTGCTATAACAAAATACCTTAGAGTGAGTAATTTATAAACAGAAAATTGTTGCTCACAGTTCCAGAGGCTGGGAAGTCCAAGATCAAGGCACCAGCAGATTTGGTGTCTCAGGAAAGGCCCTTCCTTATAGATGACACCTTCTAGCTATGTCCTCACAGCAGAAGGGACAAACAAGCCCCTTAAGGCCTCTTTTTATAGGGTCAGTAATTGGTCCTCATGATCTAGTCACCTCCTAAAGGCCCCATCTCTTAGTAATATTGCACTGGAGATTACATTTCATATGAATTTTGGGGTAACACAAACACTCACATCATAGCACTTGCCTGAAAAAATTATTATGTAACATAGGGCCAACAGGCTTTTTTGTACTTGAGGTATGCACGACAGATCTCCCTTCATTACAAAATTGTATACATTAAATTGATAAAACAGAAAAGAACTGAGCTATCATTCTTCCCATTTGGTATGATTTCTTTTGGTTTTTGTTTGGTTGGTTGGTTATAAAAACAACATTGCAGCTTGGAAATTCTTCCTTTTCATCAGCTTGAGGAAAATCTTCCAAAAGTCAGTGCTGATTGAGCTGAAACCTTTTCTAATCCTAAATATATCCGTTGGTCATGATAAATTATTTCATGAATCATTACCAAGGAATTTTGATAGATAAAATTATGAGTAATCAAACTAAAACAGTTCTTTGGCTTCAGATAAAATGTTTGCTATATATAAAGTTTACTTCATAACCAAAGTTTTTATATTAACAAGAGTTGCACCCAAGAATTTGGGGAGAGTATATATCCATATACGTGTGTGTATTCATTTATGTGCATATATATGTATATAAATAAATATATATATATACAAAACCCTGAAAATAATCAATAAAACATGAATCGAGAACTGTCCCAGAGCTTGGAAAACAAACATATATCAGTCAGTCATTATTTTTAATATTGAAAATATGAGTACTTAAGAATAGATAGGATTTAATGGCCAAACGTAATAGCCGTATTTTGGAGAAAATACGTTTATTTTATTGAAGATAGTATGCTAAATGTATAAGGCACCCAAAGTTTTGGGGAGAATAAAACTTTAGATATATAAAGATTTAAAAATTCTCAGATGAGAGTGAGATTAACCCAGAAGCTGAATTTTGAGTTGGACCATAAAGGATGAGTTGGAAAAGAAGTGAAGGAAGAAGAAGCTAAGTAAACGGATGTTCTCATGTGCTTGCTACCTGGCTCATCATTCGTTCCACAGAATTCACTGAGAACCCACCAAGGGTCAGACATTGGCCCAGATGCTAGATGATAGCCCACAATCCTGAATAAACATGGATAGTGTGGTCCAATGTTATGTTCATTGGTTAGTTTACCAGTCGACATAGCTGTTTTCTACTTAGATATTCACAAATAAGTTTTAAATAATTTTAAAGATGGTCTTAAGTTGTCAGCTTTACAGAGTTTGTAGCAACACTTTCATGTTTGGATGGAGGTGGAGGAGATGAAGGAAGTGGGAACAGGTTCACCTCATTAGTTTGCCATTTCTTTCACTCAGTTCAGCAGTCAGGTCAAAAAGCATTTCTTGACTGTCTATTGCAAGCCAGGCTGTGCTAGGTTTTAGAGGTATGAAGTTGAGTCAAAAACAATTCATGCTCTCAAAAAGTTCCCAAATGAGTGTCAGACACCTATACAGATCATTAAAAAACAACATGCAATATTAAAAACATGTGCACAGCATTATGGAAGCTCAAACGAAGATACCTAACCCAACTTGGGGGGGCAGGTAGCAGTGTGTGTATTAGGAGAGGGTGGAAAATAGGAGTTATCTAAAAAAGGCTCCCCAAGGAAATGATGTCTAGCTGAGTTTTAGAGGCTCAACAGCAGTTAGCATCAAGGGATAGGAGGGATTGACTTCACAGGCATGTGACACAGGGTCTTGTGCTCAGAAGGGCTTGGTTGAATGCTCTGCTCTTGACATCTTGAACTTAATAATTTTCAAAGCCAGGTCCCTGCATTTTTATTTTGCACTGGGCCCTGCAAATAGTCTACCTGCTCCCGAAGATAGGGTAAGGATGGGAAGCAGATAGTGCTTTTGATTATATCTGTCCCACGGCTTCATAAAGTCATGAACAGGCTATGGGACAAACATAATCAAAACTGTGACATGGAACTCCTGATACAAGTGCCTTTCTTTCATGTTTCTCTGTTCCCTCTTAGGCCACATTTTCTCAAGTTGCATTTACCCTCCAACATACATACACTTATTCTTCCTGCTAAGTACAACTAAAATCTCTGGACTTATATATGAAATAAACACAAGATGACTGAAAGATAGAGAGAGAAGGAAGACTGGCTAGAACCCTCAGGAGCAAAAAAACAAGCTGGTGAGTTTCCTGGATTTTCTTTTTGCCTCATAATTATGGCTTGAATTGTGTTCTCCCAAAATTCATATGTTGCTGTCTTAACCCCTAGTGCCTTAGAATGTGACCTTATGTGGAAATAGGGTCACTGCAGATGTATTAGTTACTAAAACGAGGTCATTTTGGAGTAGAGTGGACCCTTAGTCCATTCTGACTAGTGTCCTTATAAAAGGGGGATATTTAGACACAGTTGCACCCAGGGAGAACACCATGTGAATGTAAAGGTAAATATCAAGGTGATGCTTCCACAAGTCAAGAAGCATCAAAGATCACCAGCCAACCACCAGCAGCTGGGAGAGAGGTCTGGAACAGATTTTCCCTCACAGCAATCAAGAGGAACTAATCTACTGACACCTTGACTTTGGACTTCCAGCCTCCAGAACTGCAAGGCTATACATTTCTGTTGTTTGAGCCACCCAATGTGTAGCACTTTGTTACAGCTGCCCTAGGAAACTACTACACTCATACATCCCAGACTTGGAGCTGAACAAACTGGCAACAGGCACAGACAGAAAAGGCCCCATCAAAAGCCTGCTCTCTCTTGGCAAGGACCGAGAAAGGGGCAGCACAGCCAGACAGAAAACTTACAGATAAGAACCACTAAAATCCAGCCAACCACCCCCAAAAAAGCTGTTGGCCACACTAACACCCACACCAGCAAAGGCAGAGGGAGAGCCTAGACTTCTGCCCTCTCTTCAAACACATAGCAAAGTGGCATCGCAGAGGGCTGAGTAGGGCAAAAGAACTCTCATCCATGCCAGCAGGTGATGCAATGTACACCTCTGCAGCATCAGTACAGATTATGTGGGTATCTCATACAAGGCAGGAACAGGCAACTCTACCCCTCACCCCTAGGGTGGGGCAGTGGAGGCCTGGTGGAGAGTCAGAATATTCACCTGAGCTTAGCGGTAAAAAGGACCCTTCTGCAGAAACTGAAACTGGACCCCTTTCTTACACCTTATGCAAAAATTAATTCAAGATGGATTAAAGACTTAAATGTAAGACCTAAAACCATAAAAGCCCTAGAAGAAAACCTAGGCAATACCATTCAGGACATAGGCATGGGCAAAGACTTCATGACTAAAACACCAAGAGCAATGGCAACAAAAGCCAAAATTCTCAAATGGGATCTAATTAAAGAGCTTCTGAACAGCAAAAGAAACTGTCATGAGAGTGAACAGGCAACCTACAGAATGGGAGAAAATTTTTGCAATCCATCTGACAAAGGGCTAATATCCAGAACCTACAAAGAACTTAAACTAATTTACAAGAAAAAAACAAACAACCCCATCAAAAAGTGGGTGAAGGATATGAACAGACAGATTGAGAAATGTCTTCTCAAAAGAAGACATTTATGCAGCCAGTAAACATGAAAAAAAGCTCATCATCACTGGTCATTAGAGAAATGCAAATCAAAACCAGAGTGAGATACCATCTCAGGCCAGTTTGAATAGCAATCATTAAAAAGTGAGAAAATAAAAGATGCTGGCAAAGATATGGAGAAACAGGAACACTTTTACCCTATTGGTGGGAGTGTAAATTAGTTCAACCATTGTGGAAGACAGTGTGGCGATTCCTCAAGGATCTAGAACTAGAAATACCATTTGATTTAGCAATCCCATTACTGGGTATAAACCCAAAGGATTAGAAATGATTCTACTAGAAAGACACATGCAAAAGTATGTTTATTGCAGCACTATTGACAATAGCAAAGACTTGGAACCAACCCAAATGTCCATCAATGATAGACTAGATAAAGAAAATGGGGCACATATACACCATGGAATACTATGAAGCCATAAAAAAGGATGAGTTCACGTCCTTTGCAGGGACATGGATGAAGCTGGAAACCATCATTCTCAGCAAACTAACACAGGAACAGAAAGCCAAACACTGCATGTTCTCACTCATCAGTGGGAACTGAACAATGAGAACACATGGAGACAGGGAGGGGAACATCACACACCAGGGCCTGTCAGGGGGTTGGTGGGGCTAGGGGAGGGATAGCACTAGGAGAAATACCTAATGTAGGTGACGGGTTGCTGGGTGCAGCAAACCACCATGGCACATGTATACCTGTGTAACAAACCTGCACATTCTGCACATGTATCCCAGAACTTAAAGTATTTAAAAAAAAAAAAAAAAAAGAACTAAGGGAGTAGAATACTCATTAGAATTTTTTTTATTTTTTATGTTTGGGGGAGCAATAATTTATATCTCATTGTATTATCGAAATCCAGAAAATTTAATAAAATGAAATGAAGATCCTTGAAGAGAATCAATAAAATAAATAAAACGATTAAATCACTTAAAAAAAAAAGGGACCCTTCTGGTTCCAAGCTAAAGCAGTGCTAAGAAGGAAATTAATAGCACTAAATGCATACATTAGAAAAGGGGAAAAGTCTCAAATCATCTAAGTTCCCATCTCAAGAACCTAGGGATAAAAAAGACCAAAATAAACCCAAAGCAAGCAGAAGGAAGAGACAATAAAGAGCAAAAGCCAATAAAATGGAAATCAGAAAAATTGAGAAAATCAATGAAATAAAGAGCTGGCTCTTTGAAAAAAATAAATAAAATTAACAAATCTCTAGCAAGACTGACAAAAGAAGGAAGAAAATACAAATTACCATTATCAGGAATGAAACAGAGGATCTCACTGCACACTCTGCAAAAGGCAAAAGGATACAGGACTGCTATGAACACAAATATTTATTTGACAACTTTGTTGAAATGGACCAAGTTCTCAAAAAACACAGATTATTACAATTCACTCAGTAGGAAACTAGTAAATTTAAATAGCCCTAAACTACTGAGGAAACTGAATTCATAATTTTTAAGTTACCAAAAAAGAAATCTCTAGGTCCAAATGATTTCATCAGAAAATTCTAGCAAAAGTTAAAAAAAACAAAACAAAACACGAATTTCAGAAATCTCTTCTAGGAAATAGGAAAGAAAACATTTCCCAATTCATTTGAAAATAATATTCCCATAATAGCAAAATGAGACAAGGACATAGCAAACTACAAACAAAAAATTCTCATGAATATCCATGCAAAAATCCTTAACAAAATATATATATACCATGATTAATTGGGATTTATTCCAGAGATGCAAGGCTGGTTCAAAAGTGAAACAATGTAATCCACCTGAGGACATGAGAAGACTAAAGAAAAAAATTCACATGATCATATGAATTAATGCAGAAAACGCATTTGACAAAATTAAACACTCTTTCATGATTAAAAAAAAAACTTTCAGAAAAATAAGAACAAAGGGAACTTGATAAAGAATGTTTACAAAAACCTATGGATCACATTTTACTTAATGGTAAAAGGCAGAATGTTTTCCCCTTAAGATCAGGAACAAGGGCTGTAACCCCAGCACTTTGGGAAGCCGAGGTGGGCAGATCACGAGGTCAAGAGATCGAGACCATCCTGGCCAACTTGGTGAAACCCCGTCTCTACTAAAAATACAAAAATTAGCTGGGCACAGTGGCAGGCGCCTGTAATCCCACTACTCAGGAGGCTGAGGCAGGAGAATCGCTTGAAACCGGGAGGTGGAGGTTGCAGTGAGCCGAGATCACACCACTGCACTCCAGCCTGGCGACAGAGTGAGACTCCGTCTTAAAAAAAAAGATCAGGAATAAGGCGAAGATGTCCATTCTCACCCTTCTTATTCAACATAGTGCTGGAAGTTCTAGCCAGTGTGATAAGTGACAAAAAATAAAAGGTGCATAAATCAGAAAGGAAGACATAAAACTTTCCCTATTTTCTAGTAAAATGATTGTCTAGTGAAGGTCCCAAGGAATCTACAAAAAAACTTCTAGAACTGATAAGAGAGCCCAGTAAGCTCAAAGGACACAAGATAAATACACAAAAATCAATTGTATATATACCAGCAATAAACACATGGACATTGAAATTAAAAATCTGATAACATTTACAATCACTAAATAAATTAAATACCTAGGTGTAAATCTAACAAAACACATGCAGGATTTGTATGCTGAAAACTGCTAAATGCTGATGAAAGAAATCAAAGACTTTTTAAAATGAAAGACGTACCATCAATTAGAAGACTCGACATAGTAAAGGTCTCAGATATACAGGTTTAGAAATTGATGTACAGATTTAATGCAATTCCAATTAAATGCCAAGACTTTTTGTTACACACAGACAAGGTTATTCTACATTTTATATAGTAAACAAACTAGAATAGCTAAAACAATTTTGAAAAAGAATAAAGAGAAAAGATTCAGTCTACTCAATTTTGAGACAATATATAGGGAAAGTAACGAAGTCTGTGTGATATCAATGAAGAACTCAGAAGTGGACCCACACAAGTACGCCTAACTGATTTTTGACAAATGTACAAAAAGAATTCAATGGAGGAATGATAGCCATCCAATAAACTATGCTGAAGCGATTGGATATCCAAAGGCAAAAATATGAACCTTACGTCTCACACTTTCTATAAAAATTATCTTTTTTTGTAATTAATAAATTATAAAATTAATTATACAAAAATGGATCATGAACTTAAATGTAAAACTATGAAACTTTTAGGGTGAAAACATAGGATAAAAGCTGTGGGACCTAGAGCTAGGCAAAGAATTCTTAGATGTGACAGGAAAAGCACAATCCATGAATGGAAAAATTAAATTGAAAGTTGTAAAAACCAAACACTTTTGCTCTGATAAAAAGTCTGGGCTTTGGGTTCCAAGATGGCCGAATAGGAACAGCTCCAGTCTGCAGCTCCCAGTGTGACTGATGCAGAAGACGGGTGATTTCTGCATTTACAACTGAGGTACCTGGTACATCTCATTGGGACTGGTTGGACAGTGGGTGCAGCCCACAGAAGGCGAGCTGAAGCAGGGTGGGGGATTTCCCTTTCCTAGCCAAGGGAAGCTGTGACAGACTACCTGGAAAATCGGGACACTCCCACCCAAAGGCTGTGCTTTTCCCAAGGTCTTAGCAACCAGCAGACAAGATGATTCTCTCCCATGCCTGACTTAGCGGCTCCCACTCCCACAGAGCCTTGCTCACTGCTAGCACAGCAGTCTGAGATCGATCTGCAAGACGGCAGCCTGGCTGAGGGACGGGCGTCCACCATGGCTGATGCTTGAGGAGGTAAACAAAGTGGCTAGGAAGCTCGAACTGGGCAGAGCTCACGGCAGCTCAATAAGGCCTACTGCCTCTAGACTCCACCTCTGTGGGCAGGGCATAGCTGAACGAAAGGCAGCAGATGACTTCTGCAGACTTAAATGTCCCTGTCTGACAGCTCTGAAGAGAGCAGTGGTTCTCCCAGCATGGCTTTTGAGCTCTGAGAATGGACAGACTGCCTCCTCAAGTGGGTCCCTGACCCCCGTGTAGCCTAACTGGGAGACACGTCCCAGTAGGGGCTGACAGACACCTCATATAGGCGGCTGCCCCTCTGGGATGAAGCTTCTATACGAAGGATCAGGCAGCAATTTTTGCTGTTCTGCAATACTTGCTGTTCTGCAGCCTCCACTGGTGATACAAAGGCAAACAGGGTCTGGAGTGGACCTCCAGCAAAATCCAACAGACCTGCAGCTGAGGGACCTGACTGTTAGAAGGAAAACTAACAAACAGAGAGGAATAGCATCAACATCAACAAAAAGGTCATCCACACCAAAACCCCATCTGTAGGTCACCAACATCAAAGACCAAACGTAAATAAAACCACAAAGATGGGGAGAAGTCAGAGCAGAAAAGCTGAAAATTCTAAAAATCAGAGCACCTCTTCTGCAAAGGATTGCAACTCCTCGTCAGCAATGGGACAAAGATGGATGGAGAATGACTTTAATGAGTTGACAGAAGTAGGCTTCAGAAGGTCGGTAATAACAAACTTCTCCGAGCTAAAAAAGGATGTTCAAACCCATTGCAAGGAAGCTAAAAACCTTGAAAAAAGATTGGACGAATAGCTAACTAGAATAAACAGTGTAGAGAAGACCTTAAATTGCCTGATGGAGCTGAAAACCATGGCATGAGAACTTCGTGACGCATGCACAAGCTTCAATAGCTGATGCGATCAAGCGGAAGAAAGGGTATCAGTGACTGAAGATCAAATTAATGAAATAAAGCAAGAAGGCAAGATTAGAGAAAAAAGAGTGAAAAGAAATGAATAAAGCCTCCAAGAAATATGCGACTATGTGAAAAGACCAAATCTGCGTTTGACTGGTGTACCTGAAAGTGATGGGAAGAATGGAACCAAGTTGGAAAACACTCTTCAGGATATTATCCAGGAGAACTTCCCCAATCTAGCAAGGCTGGCCAACATTCAAATTCAGGAAATACAGAGAACACCACAAAGATACTTCTCGAGAAGAGCAACCCCAAGACACATAATTGAGAGATTCGCCAAGGTTGAAATGAAGGAAAAAATGTTAAGGGCAGCCAGAGAGAAAGGTCGGGTTACCCACAAAGGGAAGCCCATCAGACTAACAGCAGATCCCTCGGCAGAAACTCTACAAGCCAGAAGAGAGTGGGGGCCAATATTCAACATTCTGAAAGAAAAGGATTTTCAACCAGAATTTCATATCCAGCCAAACTAAGCTTCATAAGTAAAGGAGAAATAAAATCCTTTACAGACAAGCAAATGTTGAGAGATTTTGTCACCACCAGGCCTGCCTTACAAGAGCTCCTGAAGGAAGCACCAAACATGAAAAGAAACAACCAGTACCAACCACTGCAAAAACAGGCCAAATTGTAAAGACCATCGATGCTGTGAAGAAACTGCATCAATTAACAGACAAAATAACCAGCGAACATCATAATGACAGGATCAAATTCACACATAACAATATTAACCTTAAACGTAAATGGGCTAAATGCCTCAATTAAAAGACACACACTGGAAAATTGGATAAAGAGTCAAGACCCATCAGTGTACTGTATTCAGGAGACCCATCTCACATGCAAAGACACACATAGGCTCAAAATAAAGGGATGGAGGAAGATCTACCAAGCAAATGGAAAGCAAAAAAAAACAAGGGTTGCAATCCTAGTCTCTGATAAGACAGATTTTAAACCAACAAAGATCAAAAGAGACAAAGAAGGCCATTAGATAATGGTAAAGGGATCAATTTAACAAGAAGAACTAACTATCCTAAATATATATGCACCCAATACAGGAGCACCCAGATTCATAAAGCAAGTCCTTAGAGACCTACAAAGAGACTTAGACTCCCATACAATAATAATGGGAGACTTTAACACCCCACTGTCAACATTAGACACATCAACAAGACAGAAGGTTAACAAGGATATTCAGGACCTGAACTCAGCTCTGCAACAAGCAGACATAATAGACATCTACAGAACTCTCCACCCCAAATCAAAAGAATATATATTCTTCTCAGCACCACAACACACTTATTCTAAAATTGACCACATAATTGGAAGTAAAGCACTCCTCAGCAAATGTAAAACAACAGAAATAACAACAAACTGTCTCTCAGACCACAGTGCAATCAAATTAGAACTCAGGATTAAGAAACTCACTCAAAACTGCACACCTACATGGAAACTGAACAACTTGCTCCTGAATGACTACTGGGTAAATAACGAAGTGAAGGGAGAAATAAAGATGTTCTTTGAAACCAATGAGAACAAAGACATAACGTACCAGAATCTCTGGGACACATTTAAAGCAGTGTGTAGAGGGAAATTTATAGCACTAAATGCCCACAAGAGAAAGCAGGAAAGATCTATAATCGACAACCTAACAACACAATTAAAAGAACTAGAGAAGCAAGAGCAAACACATTCAAAAGCTAGCAGAAGGCAAGAAATTACTAAAATCAGAGCAGAATTGAAGGAGATAGAGGCATAAAAAACCCTTCAAAAAATCAATGAATCCAAGAGCTGGTTTTTTGAAAAGATCAACAAAATTGAAAGACTGCTAGCAAGACTAATAAAGAAGAAAAAAGAGAAGAATCAAATAGATGCAATAAAAAATGATAAAGGGGATATCACCACCGATCCCACAGAAATACACACTACCATCAGAGAATACTATAAACACCTCTATGCAAATAAACTAGAAAATCTAGAAGAAACAAATAAATTCCTAGACACATACACCCTCCCAAGACTAAACCAGGAAGAAGTTGAATCTCTGAATAGACCAATAACAGGATCTGAAATTGAGGCAATAATTCATAGCGTACCAGCGAAAAAAAGTCCAGGACCAGACAGATTCACAGTCGAATTCTATCAGAGGTACAAAGAGGAGCTGGCACCATTCCTTCTGAAACTATTCCAATCAATAGAAAAAGAGGGAATCCTCCCTAACTCATTTTATGAGGCCAGCATCATCCTGATACCAAAGCCGGGCAGAGACACAACAAAAAAAGAGAAGTTTAGACCAGTATCCCTGATGAACATTGATGCAAAAATCCTCAATAAAATACTGGCAAACTGAATCCAGTAGCACACCAAAAAGCTTATCCACCACGATCAAGTCGGCTTCATCCCTGGGATGCACGGCTGGTTCAACATACACAAATCAATAAATGTAATCCATGACATAAACAGAACCAAAGACAAAAACCACATGATTATCTCAATAGATGCAGAAAAGGCCTTTGACAAAATTCAACAGCCCTTCATGCTAAAAACTCTCAATAAATTTGGTATTCATGGAACATATCTCAAAATAATTAGAGCTATTTATGACAAACCCACAGCCAATATCATACTAAATGGGCAAAAACTGGAAGCATTCCCTTTGAAAACTGGCACAAGACAGGGATGCCCTCTCTCACCACTCCTATTCAACATAGTGTTGGAAGTTCTGGCCATGGCAATCAGGCAAGAGAAAGAAATAAAGGGTATTCAATTAAGAAATGAGGAAGTCAAATTGTCCCTGTTTGCAGATGACATGATTGTATCTTTAGAAAACCCCATCGTCTCAGCCCACCATCTCCTTCAGCTGATAAACAACTTCAGCAAAGTCTCAGGATACAAAATCAATGTGCAGAAGTCACAAGCATTCCTATACACCAATAACAGACAAACAGAGAGCCAAATCATGAGTGAACTCCCATTCACAATTGCTTCAAAGAGAATAAAATACCTAGGAATACAACTTACAAGGGATGTGAAGGACTTCTTCAAGGAGAACTACAAACCACTGCTCAACAAAATAAAAGAGAACACAAACAAATGGAGGAATATTCCATGCTCATGGATAGGAAGAATCAATATCATGAAAATGGCAATACTGCCCAAAGCAATTTATAGACTCAATGCCATCCCCATCAAGCTACCAATTACTTTCTTCACAGAATTGAAAAAAACTACCTTAAAGTTCATATGGAACCAAAAAAGAGCCCGCATTGCCAAGACAATCCTAAGCAAAAAGAACAAAGCTGGAGGCATCACGCTACCTGACTTCAAACTATACCACAAGGCTACGGTAACCAAAACAGCATGGTACTGGTAACAAAACAGATATATAGACCAATGGAACAGAACAGAGTCCTCAGAAGTAACACCACACATCTACAACCATCTGGTCTTTGACAAACCTGACAAAAACAAGAAATGGGGAAAGGATTCCCTGTTTAATAAATGGTGCTGGGAAAACTGGCTAGCCATATGTAGAAAGCTGAAAGTGGATCTCTTCCTTACACCTTATACAAAAATTAATTCAAGATGGACTAAAGACTTAAATGTTCGACCTAAAACCATAAAAACCCTAGAAGAAAACCTAGGCAATACCATTCAAGACATAGGCATGTGCAAGGACTTCATGACTAAAGCACCAAAATCAATGGCATCAAAAGCCAAAATAGACAAGTGGGATCTAATTAAACTAAAGAGCTTCTGCACAGCAAAAGAAACTATCATCAGAGTGAACAGGCAACCTATAGAATGGGAGAAAATTTTTGCAATCTACCCGTCTGACAAAAGGCTAATTTCCAGAAGCTACACAAATTTACAAGAAAAAAAACAACCCCATCAAAAAGTGGGCAAAGGATGTGAACAGATACTTCTCAAAAGAAGACATCTATGCAGCCAACAGACACATGAAAAAATGCTCATCATCACTGGTCATCAGAGAAATGCAAATCAAAACCACAATGAGATACCATCTCACGCCAGTTAGAATGGCAATCATTAAAAAGTCAGGAAACAAAAGATGCAGGCATGGATGTTAAGAAATAGGAATGCTTTTACACTGTTGGTGGGAGTGTAAATTAGTTCAACCATTGTGGAAGACAGTGTGGTGATTCCTCAAGGATCTACAACTAGAAATACCATTTGACCCAGCAATCCCATTACTGGGTATATACCCAAAGGATTAGAATTCATGCTGCTATAAAGACACATGCACCCGTATGTTTATTGCAGCACTATTCACAATAGCAAAGACTTGGAACCAACCCAAATGTCCATTAAAGATAAACTGGATAAAGAAAATGTGGCACATATATACCATGGAGTACTATGCAGCCATAAAAAAGGATGAGTTCCTGTCCTTTGCAGAGACATGGATGAAGCTGGAAACCATCATTCTCAGCAAACTATCACAAGGACAGAAAACCAAACACCGCATGTTCTCACTCATAGGTGGGAAATGAACAATGAGATCACTTGGACACAGGATGGGGAACATCACACACCGGGGCATGTCGTGGGGTGGGAGGCTGGGGTAGGGATAGCATTAGGAGAAATACCCAATGTAAATGATGAGTTGATGGGTGCAGCAAACCAACATGGCACATGCATACCTATGTATCAAACCTGCACGTTGTGCACATGTACCCTAGGATTTAAAGTATAATAAAAAAATACTTTTGCTAGTGGAGACACAAACAAATTGAACTAGGTAACTTAAAAAAAAAAGTCTGTTAAGAGGGTGAAAAGAAAAGCTACTGGGAGAAAATATTTGCAAACCACATATCTAACAGGGGACTAACATCTAGAATGTATAAAGATCTATCAAAACTGAACAGAAAAAAAACTGAAGGATCCAATTAGAATATGGAGAAAAGATGTGAGATGCATTGCACTGAAGAGAATAGATAGGTGGCCAGTAAGCTCATGAAAAGGTGTTCAACAGTATTAGCCATTAGGGAAATGCAAATTTAGCCACAGTAAGTTATCACTACACACTTGTCAGAGTAGCTAAAAACAAAAAATAGTGACAACCCTAAATAATGGCAAGAACACAGAGAAACTGATCACATTGCTGGTGGAATGCACAGTGGAACCACTCCTCTGGAAAATAGTTGGACAGTTTCATGCAACTACCATACAACCCAGCATATGAACTCTTCAAAATTTATCCCAGAGAAGTAAATACTTATGTTCACCAAAAAACCTATATGTGAATGCTCAGAGCAGCTTTATTCATAATAGCCAAAAACTAGAAACAGCATAGATATCCTTCAACAGGTGAATGGTTAAAACAAAAAAAAAGTGGTACCTCCATACCATGGAATACTACTCAGCAGTAGAAAAAACAAAAACCGATTGCTTCATGCAAAACCTGGAGGATTCTGCAGAGCATTATGCTGAGCAAAAAGAGGTCAATCTCAAAAGGTTCCATTCTGTACTCTACCATTTATATGACATTCTTGAAATAACAAAATTATGGAAATAGAGACCAGATTAGTGGTTACCAGGGGCTACAGAGCGAGTGGGAGCATGAGGGCAGGGGATGTGGCTATAAAAAGGGAAGCTGAGAAGTCCCTGTGACGATCTGTTCTGTATCTTGGCTGCATCAATGTCAATGTGCTGATCATACTAAGATACTGTACTGTAGGTTTGAAGAAGTTAATACGGGGGGGACTAGGTAAAGGGTATACAGGATCTATCTGTATTACTTCCTACAACTGCATGTGAAAATACAGTTATTTCAAAAAGTTTATTTTTTAAAAATAACTATTCTTAGCTTTCCATCTGTTCAAAAGCAGGTGGCAGGCTAGATTTGGCCCACAGGCTGTAGTAGTTTATAGAGTTTAGTGCAAACACCAAGAAACACTGTATGTTCATTCAATGGTGTTTTAAATGTTAAAACTACAGAGTTCCAAACAGAGAGGTCCTAAAATGTGTTTTCAGTCATTTGGTTCTTATAATTGCAATAGTGGTTTTTCTACAGGGACAATGTCCATCCCAATCCTAATTGGGAGGGGATAGGAGCAGTGGGTATGTAACCTCTAGATTTGGAATCTTCAAAATCCTCTTTGTCTTGTTTTAATATGAGCACCATGAGTTCATCTTCTCCAGTTATATGCTTCCATATACTACATCCTGGATTCTCACTATACCATGGAAGCTGGTGTGTGTTTTATTCAAATGTGTTGCAGGCCACAAAATATGACTGTTCTTTGAATAGGAGTTCGGTTTGAATTGTATATATTGGTTTTAACTTTCTTAGCCCTTCCATTCACAATCTGTTTTGGTCACTGTGCAGCAGAAAAACAAATTTTAAACCATATTTAAAACATATATATTCACATTCACATTAGGAAGTTTATTTTGATCCAAACAGCAATCATCATTCAGTCATTCAGTATGGTCTCTGTTTCCTTTGCATCGCTATTTAATGTTTCCTTATGTTGGCTTCTGTCTTTTAAAAAATATATCATGATCCTTAGCCATCTGCTTGTATTTAAAAGTGGGACACTAAAAATCTCTGTGCCCATGGGTGGGCTCAGTGGAATTTTACTAACCTGGAGCTTTACTGCAGGTGAATCCAAATAGATTTCTTTGGGTAACCCTCAATATTAGTGTCCTTAGGTCTTTTCTCTTGGATCTGTTACATTTCTCAGAGAGGCTGCTTCTAATTTTCTGTCTGAAGGGTATACTCTTCCTTGCCACATTCTGGGGGTCCAGGTGGAAAAAAAAGGTTGAGGATCTCAGCATTCGATATGTATATTACTGGAGCCCATATTTTTAGTACAAGATCTCTTCCTTCAGCTGTACCTGGTGCCGTCAGCCAAGAGACTCTGTGTTCGACTCTCTCTTGAGAATGAATCACCTGCCTTCTGTCACGATTGGGGAAAGAATCTGGTAGTTTAACGAGTTCTTAGGCTGACTTTCTACCAATCCTTCTTCTAGCTTTACCTTCACAGTCACTTCCAGAATAATCTGGGTATACCCATTCCTGAGCTTTGTGAGGATCTGCAGTGACAGTCAGGCTGATTTTGAGATGCTCTCACTGCCAACTATAACTCATTGTTCTCAGGTCTGCTAAGGCAGTTACCACTCAACCCTTTGCTTTCCATTTTTCAAAATGGAGCTGCTCTTACCTCTGCTCCCTTTCTCTTCATGCTAGTGATAGGGACAGGAGGCAGAGAAATTCTAGGCAAGAAAGGGCGGGTCCCTGGCAAAAACCCCACCCTCAAGCTGAAAAGCCTGAAACCATGGCCCAAAATAAGAACTTCTATCCCTGTTTTCCCACTCGAATGTTGCCTTTTCGTGAACTACCCATGGCCCCACCCCTCCCTATCCTGTGCCTATAAAGACCCCAGACTCAGCCAGCAGAGAAGTAGCTGGACGTCAGGACTACAGCTGGATGTCAGGACTGCAGCTGGATGTCAGAGAGAAGCAGCTTGACTTTAGACAGACAGCTTAACAGCATAACTTCAGAGAAGAATCCAGCTGGAGACAGACAGACTTCAGAGGAAGATTACCTTCCCACCCCATTTCGGCTCCCCTTCTCACTGAGAGCCACTTTCATCGGCAGTAAAATCCCCCACATTTACCATCCTTCAATTTGCCTATGCAAACTCATTTTTCCTGGACACCACACAAGAGCTCAGGAGCCATGAGTGCAGAGCACTGTAACATGCCCTCTGGGGCTTTGGGGGTTACAGGTACCCCAACCTAGACACTGCCACAAGGGCCTGCATGGAGTTCTCTCCTGCCAGTGCCGAGGCAGCCAACCAGTTCCAACACTCACACACTCCAGTTCCCACCTCATTTGCTGATGCGCTCCCTCCTGCAAGGAGTTGAGAGCAGCAGGCTGAGTAAATGAGGCACCCCTGTTATGAGTCTTGTGAAGGGGATAGGGAAATATCCTGCTTCACTAGGAATGTATGTCTTTTTTCCTTTTACTTTACTATGGCTTTACCTTTAAGAGGGAGCATGTATTCAACTCACCATCATTAACCAGAAGTCTTTATTCAGCCTGAGCCAACACATAGGAATTGTGGTTGTAAGGGTTTAACATGACATATGAGTTTGTCAGCATCTTTCTTTTTTTTGAGACAAAGTCTCACTCTGTGGCCCAGGCTGGAGTGCAGTGGTGCAATCTTGGTCCACTGCAGCCTCTCCTTCCTGGGTTCAAGCAATTCTCCTGCCTCAGCCTCCCTGAGTTTGTCATCATTCTTATCCAGTTAAGAGCTGGGACATAGGCTCCTCTCCCATACCTGCTTCATGCACATGGACTCAAGTTATTCTGATTGTAGCTAGGATTAATTCTTATCATTACTATAGGTAATGACAAAGACTCTAAGGCAGGGGCCAAATCCCAAGCCTAACTTGAAGGAGAAAGTACAAGATATCCTTATTTGGATATGGAATCTTCTTCAAAATCCTTTTTCTTCTGTTACTTTGTTTTATTTTTTAACACCAGTATTTGGGGCCTATCTTCTCCAGTTCTAGGCTCTCCTAATGCTAGATACTTAATCAGAATCTATCAGGATGCTCCAGGAAGTGGTAGGAGATCTAGCCAGTAAACTCTAAGAAACTTTTCATCTCTAATGTTCTAAAATTCAAATAGGTTTTTTAAGATAGTCTGAAAATCTAACCATGAAATATAGACCTTAATTGCTACATAAATATGGTCTGGGCTCCATGCAGCAAATTTACGTATCAGCAGTAGACTAAATAAGAGCCTCAGGGAGATATTTCCTCAGGGTACAGCAGTGCAGTGGGGCAGATGGACAATGATGGGCAAGAGCAGCTAAGCAGAGCTCCTGGGACCCAGCTCAGGGTGGGTCGGCCCATGTGGTAGGTCTATCCGGAGGACATGTCACCCTGCTTAGGTATAAGCCACTCACAAATCCAGGGGAAGTTAGGATGGGACAAACACAACGTAATGCATTTCCTCACAGGCCATGGCTGACTTGGAAGTTTGCATGAGAGTAATGGGAATTGGAAAGAACTCTTCATATTTATTCAGCTCAACGTTTTGGAAAGTTGACAAATTATCTACGTATGCTTTTATGTATAAAGCAAAGGATTTAGAGCATTCTGCTTTTTAAAAGCTTTGCTGATTTGATAGGTAAAATGATATTCTATTGTTACTTGAACAGAAATTTTTGTTTACACAGCTGTGCTTTTTTTTTTTTCATGAGCATACTGGTCATTTGCATTTTTCTTTTGTGAATTATCTGCTCTTTCACTTTGTAAAAAATATTTATTGATATTCTCTTTTAGCTCTAGGAAAATGGGGTTAACAAGACAGACAACTTCTTTTGAATCTCCTAGAGCTCAGGATTTAGAGGAGATAAACATACATCAGGTAATTTTTTTTTTTTTTTTTTTGAGACAGAGTCTCACACTGTCGCCCAGGCTGTAGTGCAGTGCCATGATAGCTCACTGCAACCTCTGCCTCCCGGGTTCAGGCAATTCACCTGCCTCAGCCTCCCAAGTAGCTGGGATTACAGGAGCACACCACCACATCTGGCTAATTTTTTATATTTTTAGTAGAGACAGGGTTTCACTATGTTGGCCAGACTGGTCTTGAACTCCTGACCTCGTGATCCACCCACCTCGGCCTCCCAAAGTGCTGGGATTACAGGTGTGAGCCACCAAGCCAGGCCAGTAAATAATTTTCGTAAATGTTTCTGAAACTTGAAAAAAAATACATAGCCTCTGTTTTTAGGAACAGTTTGATATGTATGAGTCAGATATATTTTGTCTTCTAAATCCTTATCTTTTATTTACTTGCTCAAATAAAAGATAAGGATTTAGAAGACTCAAAGTCTCCAATTACTAATACATTTCTGTCTATCACTCTTTGTATTTCCTATAATTTCTGTTAAGATAAATTTGGTCATTTTGTATGTATTCATAATTTCTAGATCTTCATTATAAATTGTATACTTTACACCATAAAGTGCCCTTTATCTCTTTTATGCTTTTTGCTCCCAACTTTATTGAATAGTAAGGCTGTAACTACTGCTTCCTGTTTGTTTCCCTGACAATTTCCTGTTCGTAGATACCTGTTTAAAGCTATGAATTTTCATCTGAGCTCTCCTCTAATGGTATTACTTTCTTCTAGATGCATCACTGACATACTTTTGTCCATCTTTTTACTTTCAACTGCTTTGAGTCACTTTAAGGTGTATCTTTTTTATAAGATGTGCATTAGGTTTTCCTTTATATTCCAATTTAAGTCTTTTTTCTTTAAATAAGTATATTCACGCCATTTTCTCAGATTTGATAGCTATGTTTGGTCTTGCTTCTGTCATCATATTTTGCATTACATTATTTCCATCAATGGTTCAAAATAACTTCCAATGTATATATAACTTCCAATATACATAACTTCCAATGTATATAGAAGCTGTATAGCTTGTTTCCTTCACTCGTGTGTGCTGTCATGATTTTATAAGCTTTTATTTTGTCTTAGTTGTTCCTAATGGCTACTTTATTTTTTTTCTCGTTGTCAGGAAGGTTTTTCATTTTTCAAATGATCATTATATATTTTCTACAATTTCCTGATTTTTCCTTTTAATTTCAGCATTTATTTTAGATACAGTGAGTACCTATGCAGGTTTGTTACATGGGTATACTGCACCCAGGTAGTGAGCACAGTACCTGGTAAGTTTTTCAACCTACACACCTGTCTCTCCTTCCCACCTCTGGTAGCCCCCAGTATCTATTGTTCCCATGTTTACGTCCATGGGTGCTCAACGTTTAGCTCTCACTTATAAGTGACAACATGGGGTATTTGGTTTTCTGTTCCTGCATCAGTTAGGATTATGGCCTCCATCCAGCTCCATCAGTGTTGCTACAAAAGACATTATTTCATTCTTTAGGCTGCATAGTATTCCATGTATCACATTTTCTTTATCCAGTTCACACTGATGGGCATCTAAGTTGATTTCCCATCTTTGCTATTGAGAATAGCATGGCAGTGAACATGTGTGCCTGTCTCTTTTTGGTATAAGGTTCTATTTGCCTTTGGGTATATACCCGTAATGGGATGGTGGGTCAAATGTTAACTCTGTTTTAAATTCTTTGAGAAATCTCCTAACTGCTTTCCACAGTGGCTGAACTAATTTACATTCCCACCAATAGCGTATAAGCGTTCCCATTTCTCCATGGCCTCTCCAGAATCTGTTGGTTTTTAACTTTTTAATTGATAAAAATTGTGTATAATTATCATGTATATGTTGTTTTGAAATATGTACACATTGTGGAATGGCTAAATGGAGCTAATTAACATATGCATTACCTCACATAGTTGTCATTTTGTGATGAGAATACTTAAAATCTACTCTTAGTAATTTTCAAGAATACATTAACTGTAGTCACTATGCTGTATTACATGATTTCTTGAACTTATTCCTCCTAACTGAAATTTTGTATTGTTGACCAGTAGCTCTCAAACCCCCTTCCATCCAGCCCCTGCAACTCTTCTATGAGTTCGACCTTTTCAGATTACACATATAAGTGAGATCATGCAGTATTTATCTTTCTGTGCCTGGCTTATTTCATTTAACATAAACCCTTCCAGGTTCATCCATATTGTCACAGATGACAGAATTTCCATCCTTTTAAAGGCTGAACAGTATTCCATTGCGTATATACCTTTTTCTTTATCCATTTATCCACTGATAGACACTTAGGTTGGTTCCATATCTTGGCGGTTGTGAATAGTGTTGCAATGAATATAGGAGTACAGATACCTCTTTGACATACTGATTTCATTTCCTTTAACTATGTACCCAGTAGTGAGATTGGTAGATCACATGGTAGTTCTACTTTTAATGTCTTGGGGAACCTCCATATTTTCCATAATGGCTGTACTAATTTACATTCCCACAAGTAGTATGCAAGTGTTCCCTTCTCCACATCCTCTCCAATACTTGTTTTTTCGTCATTTTGATAACAGCCATTCTAACAGGTACAAGGGTGATATTGTGGTTTTAATTTGCATTTCCCTGATTAGTGAGGTTGAACGTTTTTTCATATACCTGTTGCCCATTTGTATGTCTTTTGAGAAATGTCTATTCAGGTCTTTTGCTCATTTTCTAATTTGTTTTCTTACTATTGAGTTCCATATATATTTATATATATTTGGGGTTTGGGGTTTTTTCTTATTTAAAAATTTACATGATTATATAGTAGGTGTATATATTTATGGGGTACATGAGATGTTTTGATACAGGCATGCTATGTCAAATAAGCACATCATGGAGCATGGGGTATCCATTCCCCCTCAAGCATTTATCCTTTGAGTTACAATCCAACTACATTCATTATTTTAATATACATTATTGACTATAGTCACCCTATTGTGCTATCAAATAGCAGATCTTATTCATTCCACTTTTTGGGGGGCATCCATTAACCGTCTCCCTGTATATATTTTGGATATTAACCCCCTATCAAATATATAGTGTGTACTTTTTTTTTTAACCATCCTGTAGGATGTCTCTTCACTCTGTTGATTGTTTCGTTCGATGTAATCCCATTTGTCTATTTTTGCCTTCGTTGTCTGTGCTTTTGGGTTCATATCCAAAAAAATTATTGCCCAGACCAGCGATACAGAGTTCTCTACCATGTTTTCTTCCAGCACCTTTATTCGTTAATCCTTTATTCCCTTAATTTCTATGTACTGACACCATACCTGAGCAACAATAAAATAATAGCATGCTTCACTTCATACTGGTCCTCCACCAAATAAGCTGATTATATTATTTCTATTTTTTCTTTCAGTACTTACCTTTACACTTCAAAGTATATTATCAGCTTTAAATAATTTAAAGTCCTAACATTAAAAGAGCAAGAAAGAATACTTATGTCACCTCATGTCTTCTCACTTCCAACTTGTTATAACATTTCTGAAACCATAGTTTGCACAGTTGATTTTATTGTAATCCTATAGCAAATTATTTTACTGTAGCTTCTCCATTTCTCTTGTTTGGACACTATGCTCTTATGGTTTCTCCACAAAATACTCATGAAAAATAGTCCCTAATTTTTCCATGTTTAGAAATGCTTATGTATTGCAGTTATACATGTTAGTTTGATGTGTTCCCCTGCTAAAATGTACTCTATTTAATAAAGACAGGAATATTTTACATTTTTCTCACTGATGTATCTCCCAGTACCAAGAACAGTACCTGGCACATAGTTGTTACACTGAAAATAGTTGTTAAATGAGCAACATATTATACAAAGGAAACATACAAAAGAGCTCTTGGGTTGGTCTTTTTCCCCGAGAACTTTGTAGGCATTGCTCCTCAAGTGCTAAATGGTAGAGAAGGTTGAGGCTAGATTTCCATGCCCACTGCTATTTATTTTTGGTTTTTAGTAATTTGACTCTGACATGCCTAGGTGTGGTTTTCTTTGTTTACCCTACTTAGAGCTTGTTGAATTTCTTGAATCTGTGGGTTATTTTCCATCAAAGTTGAAAACAAAGCCAATTTTTATTAACGTTTTTCATGTGCACTCTTAAAAAATTATATTCTCCATTGGGTAAAAGGATCTAGTTTTATATACCATATCAAGCTTATTCATGTGATTATTCAAATCCTCTATATACTTGCTCCTTTCATCTGCTCGATCTATCAACGTCTAAAAGTGCTACCTTAAAAACAACTAAAATTGTGATGTATTTCTTCTCGTGGTCCTGTCAAGTCACTTGCTTTATATATTTTGAAGCTATATTAACATACACATTCATGATCATAATCTTTTTTTTATTACAGTACTAGTATATGTTGGCCAGGCGCGGTGGCTCACGCCTGTAATCCCAGTACTTTGGGAGGCCGAGGTGGGTGGATCACGAAGTCAGGAGATCGAGACCATCCTGGCTAACACGGTGAAGCCCCGTCTCTACTAAAAATACAAAAAAAAAAAAAAAAACCAAAAAAAAACTAGCCGGGTGTGGTGGCAGGTGCCTGTAGTCCCAGCTACTCAGGAGGCTGAGGCAGGAGAATGGCGTGAACCCAGGAGGCGGAGCTGGCAGTGAGCCGAGATCATGCCACTGCACTCTAGCCTGGGCGACAGAGCGAGACTCCATCACAAAAATAAATAAATAAATAAAAATAGAGTACTAGTATATGTCATCCTTTGCCCCCATGGCATGTTCACCTTATATTTCTTTGCTGATGTTAAAACTGTTGCTATCGCTTTTGTTCATATTTGCCTTTTTTCTTTTCACCATTTTGTACATTTTTGCTTTAAATATGTCTTTGTAGACATTGTTACATCTTTTAAAATCCAATCTGGGAGGACTGTGTGAGATAGGGGAATTTCAATGTCTCTGGAGAATTGGGGTGGAGGAAACAGATGGGCAGACCTTTGACAGAATCAGGTGGAGACAGAGAAATTTCAAGGTAGAGGAGTCTGCAAAAGGAGTTCATAATGGGCTTTCTTAATTTATTCTAACCTAAACTTGTTGGCGCCTTTGAAGTTAAGTCTGATCCCAAATGACTTAATATGGTTTCTGAAAAAGCTGGGGTGATCCACGTGTAACCAGTTGTGCCTGTTTCAATTGGAAAGGGAATATTCAAAGGTTGGATGAAAGTTTCCTTGTGGGAAAATTCAAAAGCAGACAACCTTTACGAAACAATGGGGAAGGGAACACAAGGGAAGGAGAGAGACAGACCCTTAACCATGACATTACTGAGCATCCAAATCCTCTCTCAGCTCCACATTCCTTAAGTTGTCACTCAACAGTTCAAGGGACTAAAAGCTTTTTGAAAAGACTGGCTCCTTTCCAAAGAACTGGCAGGCAGGGAGATAATACACATGACAAGACTGAAATACACTGAAGTCAGGGATATTTGCCTTGTAATGAGAAAATACTCAGAAGAGGACTGCCTACTGAAGTACATGATTCATAAGAAAAAATTAGGCCTGATAGAGTAAGAGGTTTGCTGTGTAGAGGCAAACCATATGTGCACAGTTGCTCTGCCTGATATTTGAAGCATGGAGGAAGGGGGACACGGATCCAGAAGACGTACAAACCCTTCTGCAATTCTAGTACAGATACTCTCAAAAGATTTAGAGGAAGCTATTCATATATCTTCTTGATCCCAAAATTCTGTATCTCATTTCTAATGTTTAAGGAAAAGTCTGTGGCAAATATTGTACAGAACACAGAATTAGACAGTTTCAAATACATTCAAAGGCAGACATCTTTGAAAAATATCCTGTATGGGATATTTTCAAGGCAGAGCTATAGGGAATGTGATAGTAGACTTCCAAAAAAAAAACCTGAGGGCCATAATTTCAACAGATTTCCTGATTTTTCTACCTCTGACAAGTAATTAATGGTGTGAGACCCTTTTGGGGAAGAGGGAAGGACAATCATCTCTCAAATTTTCCTAGCGACCTACGGCAATGTCTTAACCATCTCCAGTTCACAGACGAGCTTGGCTGCAGGTTCCCTATCTTACCTCATGAAGGACACATGAAGGATGGATGGGTGCATATTTGCTCTGTCCTTGAACTGACCAGGAAAACTTATAGCTGGCGGCCTCAGGACCAATCAAACTGAACTTAACCTTTACAGGTTTAGACTCATGACCAGTTGGTAGCAACCGCTGCATTTATAGAGCTCTGGGAAGATCACAAGGAGATACACAGTCTACCTTGTAGCTTCTATCCTCAGACCTCTTAGACCAGGTGCCGTTGGTTCTCTGAGCTCCAAGTAAATCTATTCATTCACATAGGTATTTTGTTAACTCTACGTTCACAGAATCTCTGGGATACAAGAGCTCTCAGGAGATTCTATGGTCCAACATACCTATATGAGGTGCCTGGCCAATGTCACACTCTGAGTGGCAGACTGGGTCTAGATCCTTCTTCTCTCAGTCTCATACCCTCCATAATGACAATGATAATCACCAAGATTTTCGTTGGCCAGAAAATGAATACACAAACACATCTTGGTATCAGGACTTTTAAAAAAAATACATCAAATGACACCTTTTAAATCAATGACAATGGTTTCTATTCTTGTCTCCAACTCGGAAGTTGCCCTTCAAGAAACATTAGGCTTGGTAATGAGGACTCCGAAAGCCAAGAGTCCTAGATTCTATTGCAGGAACCCCAGCATGACTTTCTGTGAAACTCCTAATAAATAATTCAGTATTGCCTTGAAGCCATTGAATAGCTGGAAATAATTTGGAACCTGGTGTCTCAAATCATTACCAAGTACACCCATACGAGAGTACTATTTCCCCTGAGAATTGTTAAAATTCCACCGAGCAAGTCCACAGTAAATTGGCATCTGGTCCCTGCCAGGTGACTCACATCAAAATTGTTATCTTTTAAAGGTCCATTTTCAGCCTGCCTTCACCAAGCCTGTCTAGTAGTTGCCTTCTGAAGGTCCAGTTCAAACCAACTAGGCCTCCTGATGGACAACAAAGAGAAAAACAGTGGTGAAAACAGAGCCACAAGCACCTAAAGGATCTATTACACTGTGTGTGGCATGTCCATTTGGCCAGTAGAGCCTTGGGAAGCAGGCCTTCATTTATATTCTGAGTTTTTGAACACACTGACGAAAAGGGAATGGCCATTTATGGGGCCTCCATAATGTACTAGGCACAAAGTATGCCATTTTCATATTTCAATATATCCTCCCAACATCCCTTAGAGAGTAAACCTTACTTCACAGATGTGGGGCAAGTGCGGCTCAGGTCATGGGGCCTGAGTAACGTCATTCAGCTAGAAAGCGGCAGAGGTAGAATTCAGATAATGTCGGTTTCCCAAAGATTATATTCTTTTCACATCATATACAAAATCTCCTAAGCAAGAACACTGAAATGTTTTAAGTAAGGAGCCCATGGAAAAGATTATTTCTCATATCGCTACCAGGTGAGGCTCCTCTTTCACTGAGCAACAGACCAGAGGCTGGGTGGAGTTAGTGCCCACAGGGCAGGCCAAACTCACAGCCCATTTGTCTAAAGATGGCATCAAAGGCTGTTCACCATGACCAGGTGAGGGCTGTTCAAATACCCTGGGCAGGCAAGGTTTCTTTAGACCAGGGGAGTAGAAAAAATTATTTATTGAAAGGCAACAGATTTTAATGATGTAGAAGAGCATGGACTCTGGAGCCAGGCTGCCTGGGTTTAAAATCCCATCTCCTGTTTTGCTCCAAACAGTCCAAGGAATGTGTGCACATGAGGGTGTCTGGATGTGGGGGCAGTGCAGATGGATGGGCAGGAGCAGCCAGTGAGGTTTGCTGAAGAATGGTGAACGGGGACCTGAGGCATGCTGCATCTATTTTTGTATATGTTTAAAATGTACCGTAACAAAAGCTTAAGAATAAACAAACCAGGGCTCCTCCACTCACTAGAGCTGTGTGACATGGACAGGTTTCCTGGCCTGCCTCAGCTTCTTCATGTGTAAGAT
The DNA here is from genome assembly GCF_000001405.40 of Homo sapiens. Lineage (NCBI taxonomy): Eukaryota > Metazoa > Chordata > Mammalia > Primates > Hominidae > Homo > Homo sapiens. The sequence goes on from NC_000011.10 coordinate 93,476,963, forward strand.
TGAGTAATAATCATACCTACCTCATGAGGCTGTGTGAGAAATAAATATATGTAAAATATCAAGCTACTATTGTTTACACAGTAACTATGAGTAACTAAGCCCCAGGCGCTAGATTTGGCTTTACAAATACACTATTTCAACTTAACCCTCCCCACAATCCTATGAGGCAAGATAACCTCTAAGTGGACTCAGAGGGGTTCCAGCAGCAAAATCTGCACCAAAACCCAAGTTTGTTCTAAAAGCCTTATTTTCTACTAGGGCTCACCTTCCTGAAAGTGACTTTACCAGTTCTTTACAGACAGGGAAACTGAGGTTCAGTGGGGTTAAGTAATCCACAATTCTGAGTGGTAGACTGGGAACTAAATGCTGATCAGGTAATTGCAAGACATGCAGACTGGGGTCTTTCTGCTGGAGTGGACAGGCTGTCCTTGCTCCATCCTCACAGCATCTGCCCTGGGAAGGGGACTCATCAGCCGCACAGCAGCCCCTGTGAGGAGCAGGGATGGCCGCAGACGCCTTCCTCCACCCTCCAGCCCCTGAATGAGAAAGTCCTTGGGACAGTGGCCTGCAGTCTTTCTCAGACCAGCAAGCACTGAAGTTCATAACAGAACCAAATAAAGGGGAGGAAAACAGAAACCTCAGAGGAACTTGATGCTAGCAGCCTCTGAATTTGGCAAGTATTTTAGCAAATCTCTTACCAGGGCCATTGGCCCTTGAGTGAGCATGAGGAGACACGGAGTCTCTCTGAGACCAGCTCACAGAGCGGGGCCGCAGAGCTCTGTCAGCCTGCTGAGTCCAGGCTCTCCAGGCATCAGCCAGAGAAGTCCTTCCTTTCAATAGCTGCTTCGTCTTCCAGAGAGACTCACTCCAAGAGGCCCCAAATCTCCACTAACAGCCTCTGCCATCTGTGAGCGAGTCGCGCAGCCACGGGGATTAGGAAAAGCACTTCTCTCCCCACAGATCTCCATAATCAGCAATGACAGGAAAACAGACATCCTCAGAACAGTAACCATGAATCTGACTTCCAAAAAGAGGCTGCTCCATCAGGAACCAGGACCGCCTGAGCAGTGCTGTTAGAATAAAATGAGGCAACCATTCCAGCCAATTTGCATTGAAAACTCAGCTGGAATGCCAACAATTTGCATCCTTTCAGCTAAGAACAAAACCAAGCCTGACCTTTACTTCCAGGATCACTCTGTATTGCTGTTTGCACAAACATACCGAGTTGAAGTAGGAAAAACTAACTGGTGTAAAAAGCACCTGTCGTCACAGTCTAATTAGAACTCTCACTTTCTAAAGCAAGCCAATTAATATACCCTTTCTGTCCCTCTCCATCTTAAAATTATCGGTCAAAAAGCATAATTTTACTCAGAAATGATGAGCAGAGGGAGTGCTGGGGAAGGTGGAGAGAGCCACAGGAGAAAGGGAAGGGGAGGGAAGAGGGGCAGACCCGTGGGCAGGGGGAGACCCACAGACAGCACCTCCTTGCAAAACATGATAAGCATCCAGTTTAAGGCTATTATCTCCTTTATTCAAAAAATAAATATTTCACTTTGATTCAACATATTTCAAATCACATTAAGCACAGAGAAGAAATACAGTCCCTTTGGAGATTGTGAACACGTGTTGGAAAGAAGCATGATCCAAACAATGGGAATGAGGTGAGTGTGGATTCCAGCTGTTTCCTGACCCAGAGGTTCCATCCCTCTTCAGGTGGAGCTACTTATCGATTTTTAGGAGAGAAAAAGAAGCACACACACACACACACACACACACACACACACACACACATGCGCGCGCGCTTTGAAGTCTGAAAGGCACATGAAGTGGACCATAAGGTGTATGGCACATTCACTGATAAAACATCCCCTATTCCCTCCCAAGAAAGCGGAGATACTTTAATCAAGTCAAAGACCAGAGAAGACAGGGTGCTCCTGCTTACAGCTCAGCAACATGAACATCTCTGAATATGAAAGCCATTTTTTGTTTGCGTCCCCCTCCCGCGCCTCCTCTCCCTGCCGATGGGGTCCGCAGCCGGCTGCGGGGCTCACTCGGTGATGGTGGGGCGCGTGGCCACGTACACAAACACCACGATCAAGAGCACGACCACGGCCAGCGTGGGCAGCACCACTGTAGTGATCTGCTGCCGGGCCTCCTGCATGGCTTGCTTCCGCTCCTTCTTGTCCTTGGAGGTCTCCTTCTTGGGCTTCCCTTTGAGCTGCCGCATCTTTCCTAGAGGATGCTAGGAGGGTGTGTCCAGAGGGATTCCAGGAAGGGCCACACTCCTCTTGCCAAGGCTGGAACCTCCTGTAGAGAGAACAACTGTGATAGTAGAGAATAAACCAAATAGAAGAAAAAATAAATCACTTAAAGGCAAATACACAACTAGGAAAAATATCTGCAACTTACATGACAAAGGGCTAAGAACAGAGGCCACACCAGGCTCTAAGTTCTCTTGGGATCAGCGCTCTAAGTAGTGGGCACTGGGTCACCGGTGTGCTGTGAGAGGGGCCTCCGCTCCAGCGCCAGCTGGACAAAGCCCTGGGTACCAGACAAATAATACTGTGTTCTGTACATGCCATGAGGTGAAAGGATTGGGAAGCACCAACTACGCCGCCTCCACTCAGAGGAGCGGCTCTCCCTTTCGTGGCTCTAGCTACTTGCTTTCCTGCTCTAAGTTCCATGATCTCCCCAGCCCATCTCCAGCATGGAACTGCAGGCAGCCTGCAGTCTCCAGGCACGTAGCCCCCTTCCTGCCCAAGCCAGGCCAGCCTCATTAAGGCTGCAGAGAGCCCACAGGCATCAACTTCTCTCATCTCTTTGTTGGTTCCTTGGCCCATTCATCCAAACCTTCCCAAGCACCCACCGTGTGCCAAGCATTACTCAAGGAGCTGAGGATAGAGATGAAGGACTCAGTTGTGTCCCCACAGAGGTCACCGTCTAGGGGGCATGATGGAGACCCGGGTCACAGTAATAATGAAGGGAGACGGCTGAGCCCACAGTCCTGCCACCCACTCAACCTGGGATTCTCCTGTTAATTCTGTAGCTCACGGAGGTGCCTAACAGGTGAAGTAGAACTTTCAGGGGCCAGAAGAATGAATACAAATGTTTGGATAACTACAGAGGAACATCTCTATAAAAGTCGGCTTCTTAGCTTTAAGCAGATGAAGCAGACTTCAGCTGATTTAAATCGAGTTTACTTAAAGGCCTTTGGCATCTCACTGATTCCCAGAAAAGCCAAAGAACCAGGCTCAGAAAATGGGCAGGACATTATGCTGTGCTGCCATAACTGGAGCCCAACTCACACTCCCAGTGTGAGGATGCCAGAGCCTGCATCACCACCGTCAGCACTGGACATGGGCACTGGAGCAGGAGGTGCCGAGCCACCATGACCACCCCCAAAAACTAGATGTGGCTGCTGGCACAGTCTCCAGATGAACTCGCCACCCCCCAGCATTCTGCATCACCAGCTTCCATGCATGTGTGACTAGCCAAGCCCCGGCCCATATGCCCACAGCCTAGCCTTCCAATTTGTACAGCAGGAAGAGTACTTTTCAAACACAGTGACGGAGTGGGGTTGGGTATCAGGGCTATATCAAAGGCAGATGTCCATTACAATATTCTCGGAGAGTAGCATGGAGTGAGGGGTTCTTGGAAGCAGAAGAGCACTGAATACCAATGTTCCTCTAGCAGAGGGACCTATGCTGTATACTGTCTGCCCTGTTTTGTCCCAGGGTAGTGGGTGGCCTGTCATCATCTTGAGGAGGAAGATGACATTTACACCTAAGTGACCGAGGTGGTAGAATGTGAACTCAGAGTTGGGAAAGGTCTTACTGACACCATCCTGTTTTTATGAGGGATACTTAATCTCTTACCATTCCTCTCACTCCATTTAGACCCCAAAACCTTTTTTGTATCATTCAAAATCAGGCAGAGTTTCCTAAGGTATGAGATGACAAATATTATTGTGCTAGGATGGCATAATGCCAATCAAAAGCAAACATTAAGGTTCAGCAAATATTAAGGGAAGCGCCATTTGGGCAAATGTATAATTTCCTTCATGAAATAAGGAACAGAGAGAAAAAAAAAAACACCTACTATTACTTTCTTAAGGCCTGAAAGGTATAGGAACCCCTGGCTTTACCAATTCTCCTTTTCAAGTCTTCCAAAGGACTTCCAGGCAGACTTGCCTTCAAATCCAGGACCAATCACTTACAGGCTAAATGGCTTTGAGCAAGTCACTTAACTCCACTAGGCCTCCATGCCATCATCTGAACAATGAGAACAGCTTGTCTTAAAGGATGACTGTGAGAATCTGGAAAACAAATGCATCTGTACCCAGAGCTCTGCCCGCCCGCAGGGACGCGGTACAGGTGGGCTGAGACATCTCCACCCATACCCGTGGGCGGCCCAGGGACGGGTGCACTGAGCTCCTCTAAGCCTGACTGCAGCCTTGAGTGATGCCCACCTTCGCGGGACCGTGGTGAGGATGGAGTAGGAAGCTGTATAACTCAGGGCTTGGCACAGAGCGGGCGGCGAATTCGTGCTAGCTGACATACCAACACCTGGAACACACCCCAACGGCCCTGTGAGTCAGACAGACAGGCTTTATTATCCCCATCACGGAAGGGAGGAAACCAAGGAGCAAAGGGGAAAAATGTCTTGCCAACAGTCACCCAGTTTGTAAATACCCCATGGCTTCTAACAGAGCAATGGACAGCATTCCTGTTCAAAGCTGCAAATGGCAGCCTATTCTCTCCGACACGGCCTCAAAAAAATTGTTTAAAAAGAAACAAGCCATTAGCAGCACTCTGATTCGTGGCCATTTCCTTGTGGAGCTAATGGCCTGTCGGAGCCCGCTGCTGTCTCTCCCAAATTCCTCACAGGACTGGCAGGTGGCACCCCAGGCCTGGGGCTAGCCATGCCCTGGCTGGCTGGCTAGCAGTGCTGGGCCTGACTTCCCTCCTGCACTTCATGCTGCTGTCTGCATCCACCCACACAAGTGTAGTTGACATTCAAAGGCCCCAGCCTCCACAATGACCAGTTCTCAACATTTGTAAGATGCATTCAGAAGTTCCTGGAGGCATGGAAAAAAGCCTCAAGCTGCTGGGGCCAGGGCCGGTCTGGTCAGGATTTAAAGGGCAAACATGCCCGTCTGAATCCTGGGTACTTCATCAGGCTTCAGGAGGAGCAGCGTCTCTGCTCTCACTCACCTGTGAGCTGGGGCAGCAAGGGAAAGCATCTCTGAGATAACGACTGGGGAGGGGACCCTATGGTGAAAAGGGACCAACCAGGAAAAAAGCTGGGAAGAGCACCAGGCAGAGGGCAGAGTGGCCTGAGCCAGGGAGGGCATGGGCACTGGGGAAGGGCGGACTCAAGAAGCGCATTGAGTGCTCTGCATGTGAGGATGCTTCTTAGACATCGTCATGGAAATAATATCAAGGAGGCAATTGGATAAATGAGTCAGGAGCTGGGTCTGGGCTGAAGATCTGTATTTGGAAGTCATCAACTATTGGATTAAGAGAGATCATGTCCAAGGCAGGCAGAGAAAGGGCCCAGGACTGAGTCCTTTCACCCTGACAGCTACAGGGCAGGAAGGGGAAGAGCAAGCATGGGGTACTCAGAGAAAAGGAGTGAGGCAAAAGAGAACGTGCTGTCGTGGGGACCAAGACAGTCAAGAAGGTCAACTGTGAGAAGACAGAGGCATTTGTGCCAGAACATAAGCGAACGCACTGCTTCCTTCCTCGGGAATATTTGGCCAGGGAAAAACTGTCAGTGGCACGTGCTCAGTGCAGAGCTGGCTGACACTCTGCTGCAAGCCCCTCTGTCTTCCGGTAGCTTGTGATGACGGGTCTGCATGCCAGCACGCCAAACAGCACCAGGGCAGAAAACTGCTTTGAAGTTTTGTGGGAAGAATGTGTGTGGCCAAAATGGTTTTTCTTTCTTTTTCTTTAAATAATAAGCGAAACTAGAGAATGATGTTTGAGGGGTCTAATAGAATGGGAGAAAACCCTGACACTGAAAAAAGAAGAGGTCTCTGTAGGAGCAAGACAAGAAGCTGAATGGACAGACCTGCCTTCGAGAGGCAAAGGACCCTTTGAACTCAACAAGAGGAGGTAGGAAGATGGCACTGGGGGCGAGGGGTGGCTCCGTACTGTGAGGGTTGGGGGACTAAAGGCTTCTGTTTTTTTCAATGAAATAGGAGAAGGTTTCAGCTTAAAGTCTGGGAAGTTGGGAGGCAGACTCAGGGAAAGAGAAATCAAGAAGCAATCACTTTTGGAGGGTGGAAAGGCCACCACAGAGCACTGTCCATGCCCGCCTCCCTCTGGGCTAAGGATCGCCTCACCATGGCTCTGGGCCCAGGGGCTGCACCGGGCGGCCTCCTGGGCCAGGGCTGGCTCAAGCACATCTGCTAGGACCTCTGAAATGTGGGCTTGCCTAAAGGAGAAGCTGGGCCAACTGGCCTCTACTTCAAGAATCTAAGAGACATGAATGGACACTGAAGTTGGACAATCACACAGTTGTAGTCACCAGGGAAGCCAGGTGGGAGAGAGGCCTGGGGGTGGAGGGAGCACTCCAGAGAGGCCACAAGAGAAGCCTCCACACTCTCCTCCTTCTAGTCGAGTCCCCTGTGAGGCCAGCTCTACACAGGTTCCTGTCCTCAGGGTACTCCGACGTGTCTCTGTATGTGATGAACGCCTCTTTCAACTTTGGCTGGCTCCAAGGGGTCTCTGTCCCTTACACTGGAAAGAGCTCTGCCTAAAATGACTGCTCCAGTTTCACAAGGAAGAATCCAAGGCCCTGCCACTGACACAAAAGAAAGGACTGGCAGAGTCAAAGGTCAAACCCACATCTGTGACTCTGAAGCCTGGACAGTCCCCACCTTCCTGGGTGTACCCCACTTATCTTCCCGCCCTTCGCCCACTTTGTGCCCCCATCATGGTTCAGCAGCCCCTTGCAGAGAGAAATAAATGAAGCTCACACGCTCAGCCTGGCTTCTGCCCAGCAAGCAGCTCAGGCAGGATGGAAGCTGCAGCCTCCAGCTTCTCAAATGCCAGTGCCCCACGGCCTCTAGCTTCCCTAACCAGGGAAACGGAAACTTCACAAATGCCTGAGTTCTACTAATTCTAATGAAACTCCACCTGCTATGCTCCTACCCCCCACCAGCACACACCCACGGCAACCGGTCAGCATGGGGACACTCCAAATGGTCCCCAGTATGTGTGGGCAGGAGACCAGAGGCAGAGAGGAGGAAAGCAGGGACGCATTCTTCAGCACAGAATTGTTTGTGATTTTTTTTCTGTGATTAGAACTTTCCCGTCTTTTCCTACTTATGTATATAGATATGCATGTATGCACACATGCTAACTTCTTATATGCACTTTTCTCCGATTTGGAGATTATAATGTACACAGAGTGTTAGATCCTATTAAGGAATGGTAGGAACACAGGTTTGAAGTCAGGTTTGTGCCTTAGCTCTGCCCCATCTGGTTAAACGATCTTGGACAAGGTACTAAATCTCTCACGTCCCGACTCTCCTCCTCTGTAAAATGGGTAAGAAACCTGTTTTGCAGACATCGAAAAATTAGAAATAATGTATTATCTGAAGTATGCAGTGGATGAACAGGCCATACCAGAGGCTCAATAAATGGTACACAGTAACTTGCTGTCCAGCGAGGTCTGTGCTGTGGAGATGTACATGAATCTGGGAAACACCAGGGAATTCTTTTTTTTTTTTTTTGCACCATATAACCCATGCATGACAAAATCCCCCAGGTTTTCTCTTTTCCCTGAGGTACCAATTAGCTGTTGGGCAGGTTTGTTCAAAGGTTTGATGCGAGAAGCCTGGTTCAGGCTCTCAGGGGAAGGTCTAAGACAAGGAAGATCACTTTCAACTCTCATCACCCCAGACCTGCTAACCCTGTGCAGCCAATGCAGCAGCCACCGGCCATGTGTTGAACATCTGCAATATGGCTGTGGTCCAAAATCAGCTGTGCTGTGGTATAAAATACACACAAGATTTTGAAGGCTTAGTACCAAAAGAAAGAATGCCAAATAGCTCATTAAAAGTTATTTATGCTGATTATATGTTGAAATAATGTTTTGAATATACTGGGTTAAATAAAATCTATTATTAAAATCGATTTCACCTGTTTTCTTTTCTGTTTTAATGTGGCTACTAGAAAAGTTTTAAATTCCATGAGTAGCTGGCATTATACTTTTACCGGACAGCTTGCCCCATGCAGTCAGGGGCTCACACTGCCCTCCTGTAAGCTTTCCACATCATAGGCTCAGCCCACAAGGCTGAGAACTCCCTAAGCCTTCACAGCCCAGCCCCATTCATTCTTTCCAGCCTCACCACACCCAAATGACCCACTATTACCATCACACCTGAGCCTGCCTGTGGATTCTCACCTCCATGCCTTTGCTGATGGAACATCTATGCTGGAATGCGCTTTTCCCTCACACTGTCACCTGCCTGTGCAGTCTCTCATCTTTGGACAACCATCACATGTGGCCTTTGCCAGCTCCTCCATGCAGAAGCAACAGCTTCCTCCTCAGTGCTATCTCAGGACTTGGTTTATACCTTTACTGCAGCACTGACTGGCAGCTACTGCCTAGCTGGCTGGGCCTCTGACGTCTCCACTTCTCGGGGACTGCAAATGTGCCTTGCTGGTAATAATATTCTCCTGGGCTGGCATGATGCCTTTTATATAACAGGTGCTCAACAAACATCTGCTGGACTGAATATCAAAGCCGGAATATTTTAAGACAAGCAGTTCATCTTAGGCAACTAACCATTGAGTTAGAATAGAAAATTCTGTAATAATAAAGCAGCTAGCTGCCATTTATAAATACTTATTTCATTCCCACCACAATCATACAAGATTGGTATTTTTACCCCCATTTAAATGATGAAACTGGGATTCAGTAAAGTATGCTGTTGTCCAACATCAAAGACTGCTGGGAACAAGCACAATCTCAACTCCACTATAAAACCTGCAATAAGTACTCGTTAAGTATTTAATGAATGACCAACTGAATGAGGATTTGAACTCAGATGTGATTCCAAAGCCCACCCATCCTGTGTGACCCCACAGTGCCTCTCAACCACCCTACAAATAAGAACAGCAGCTACTGCTTCCTGAATGCTCAATACCTATCAAGCGACTGCACTAAAGCCCTCCACAAACATGCAAGCCTCACAGCAGCCTTCATCCCCATTTTGCAGACAAGGGAACTGAGGCTTAGAGCAGGCCCCAGGTGGTTAGAAAGTCAATAGTGCAGCTGGGATTCCAATCAAGCTCTTTCTGGCTCAGAAACCGTGTTGCCCCCACCCCAAGCAGCTGCTTCCAGGGAGGCCAGGCTATCCCCTACAAGGCATGTGGACCAATGGGACACAGATCAAGAGTCCAAGCCTGGTTCCCGCTCATCAGCTTTGGAAGCTGAGGACACAGGGAAGGTTGTGAGAGGAACACAAGCCTTCTTGGTATGTCTCATTTGGCAGCAGGTAAAGTCTGTTGCTTACAATCAGGCTAGCCCTGATGCCTGGAAGGTGCCGCTACACGCTGGCTGGGCAGTCATTCTGGGTTAAAAGATGCACCACATCCCGCTTGAGTTTTCAGTGTGGGCCAGGCTGCTCTGAAGGCCCCCAGGAAAAGTGCAACTCTCTCCACCCACCCCTACACTGCCCAGGGCCTACAGCATGGAGGGAGCCAAGGATGTCACAGGCTGTTGAAGGGGTGCCTGCCGAGAAGAGCTTGACCAGACCTGGAGTCCATGCTAAGTCCCTGTACACTAACGCCCATTACACCCCACTGTACAACCCATGTGAGAACAGTAACCAGGCCCAGACATCCAACCACTAGACTATTCTCAATGCTGTTCTCCTTTTCTAAAGTTTCAAAGCTCTCCTGTCTTCAGAAAAAAACAGTTGAAGGCGCTCCCTAAGAAGTGGCTGCATGTTTCTCCCACTTCAAAATCAGGAACACAAATGAATAAACAACACGAGAAGGGTATATATGGAGAAAGCTCCACCATCTCTTCTTGTAACTGTGTCATTATTACAATATGAGGCATTAGAAGGGCCAAACTGCTCTATGCTTTATGCTATAAGCCCAGGGAAGCTGCCCTGGGTTCAGGGAGACATAAATTCTGCACTTGAGAGCAGCAGCTCTGCGGTTCATCAAGTGTGCTTGCTTCATTTTATGTCCCTGGTATTTAGCCATAACGGGCCTGTGATCACTTCACTCCAGTCTGCGGCAGAGTGGGGGTAGGGGGCAGACAGGCTGACAGGAGAATTGTGCAAGATGGGACTCCGGACACCCGCAAAGCACCTGCTGATAACATAAGCGTCTGCCCCAGGAACATATACATGAACAAACAATGACAGCCACACAGGTGCCAGCTCCACTAGCTCCCTGCTGCCGACAGGCCACAGGGGTCAGGAAAGCTCTTGACCTGAAGGCCAGTGGGTGTATGGAGGGGAGGAGGGATCATAGCTACAGACAGATAAAAGATACACACACACACTTCTCATACCAAGGGCAGAAAAAATAAGAAAATGTTATTTGGCAGCAGTGGCAGCAGCACTGACTACTCCCAAATAAAAATCCAGAAACACAAAAGAATCTTTGAGTGGGTTGCCGAATGACAGAGACATGAAAGCTAGCATTCTCAATAAATCAGATAAGTCACATTTTTTTGGCACACTTGGATTAATAAAGTGCTTTTCTGTGCATTATTCATTTCATCCTCAAAGTAACTGTGTTATGTATTATTGTCCTTAGTCAACAAGAAAAAGCAGCACACGGTAAATTAAGTGCATGTCAGGGTTTCAGTCCCATCCTGGCAATTCTAGGGTCTGTGATCCTGGGCAAGTAACTTAACCTCTTAAGACCTTCAATTACTATGTTGTCAAACAAAGATAAAAGTATCTATCATTCAAATATTTTTTAAGCATACCCTGTATGTCAGGGGACAATGTTGAGGATGCAGCTATGAACAAAACAAGCAAAAATGTTGCCTTCAGGTAATGAAGCTGTCTTCATTCACAGGGAATGTGGAGAGACAGACAACTAACAAATGGATAGAGCATGTGTCAGATGATGCTATGTGCTGCTGGAGGCGCAGAGGCTGTAAATTTAGAGTAACTGATCAGGGAAGGCTTCATGAGAAAGTGACACTGGACCAGAGACTTGAAGGGACCTGTGCAGGGGGAAGATCTTCCAGGCAGGGCAGGACCCATGCACAGACCCTCAGGCGGGGCATCCCTTGCATGTCTGAGAAGCACGCAGGGGCCAGCAAGTCCGGAGAAAGCAAAGGGAGAGCTGAGGGGTCACAGAGGGAGCAGCAGAGGGCAAGATGGGGCCACAGAAGGGTGCTGCTTACATTTTAAAAGAACTCTGTGTGGACAACTGACTGCAGCTGTGAAAGGGCTAAGGCAAGGAAATCAGTGAAGATGCTAATGAATTATTCAGGTAAAACTTAATGTTCCAGGATACGGGTAGATGTGGTGCAAAGTGGTCTGATACCGAGTACACTTTGAAGGCAGAGGCATACAATTTACCGAGATTGGAAATGGAGTGTGAAAAAAAGAAAACAGACTGAAGGTCTCAGGCCTGCGCAACTGGAAGAATGGTGTTGCCATTGAGAGAGGTGGGAAGTTGCAAGGGGGTGTGAGGCGGGTGGGGACAGCTGGAGTTTGACAATCTATCAGCCATCCCTAGTAGAGGCATGAAAAGGCAGCTGGAGGCATGCGCCTGCAAAGCAGGGAGAATGGGCTGGAGACAGGACCCTGGGAGCTGTGGGCCCTTAAAGCTGGGAAGTGGAGTGTGTGCAGAGTAGGGGACTAAGCCCTGGAGCAATCCAAAGTCTAGACCTTGGGGGAGTTGAAGAGGAAGCAGGAAAAGACTGAAAAGGGAGTCAAGAAGAAAACCAGGAAGACGATGGTGGCTTGGAAGGCAAATGAAGAAGGTGTCCTGAGGAAGGGGGAGCTGGCCATCTGGTCTGGCCACATGCAGGTCCTCTATGACTTGCAGAGCAGTTTCAGTGAAGAGGGGTCAGGGGCAAGATTGGAGTAAGTCTGAGGGAGGGTGGCAGCAGGCAGACAGAAGGCAGTGAGAGCAACTCTTCTCCAGACTGCAGTAAACAAGAGCACAGGGAAGACTCGGAGGCAGTGCCGGCCTGAAATCCTAGTTCTGCCGTTTATCGGCCCTGCAACCTCAGGCAGGTTACTTAATCTTTCTGTGCCTCAGATGTCTCACCTGAAAAATGGGGCTAATAATTGGACCTAGAAAACTGATATACAAGAATAGTGACTGGTACATAGTAGGTATAATATAAGCATTAGCTGTCATCATCATAAGGAATAATGACAAAATAATTATGTATGAAAAATAATTCCTCAAAGAAGAGCATCTGCTTAGGAGGCAGGGAGAGAAGGGAGATGTTGGAAGTCTGAAGAGAGAGAAGCCATGAACAGCTGTCCAGGAGGCGATGACTGAATGGGAGGAGTGGCATGACCTGCCACCAGCTTGGGGCCCACTGCAGTTGGAGGCCACACAGCTTGAAGCAGGAAAGTCAGGATGGCACCAACCGCGCAGGTGTAGGCATAGAAAAAGTAGGAGGTTCAATTTAACCAGGGATGGGGTTTCATCAGGCCAGTACGACAAAGTAAGAGAAAGACAATGTGAGGATGACATGAGATTACAAAAGAAAAGTCCCTGGCATAGGCCCTGAACCTGAAATCTGACCGTTGTTCAAAGAGCTTAAGTCATGTGTCCAAGGAGCCCCCTCTCTCCACAGCTGTCCCTCACCTGTCCCCCCACACCTCTCCCCCTCCATCCCCAATGCAGAGTTCAAGATCAGAAAACAATGCTAGACTCTCAACTCTGTTCTTTCAACTAAGCCACATCCCTCCCTTTCCAGTTGGAGGTATTGTCACATCCCTCACACCAAGTTGTGATAAGGTGACTCTCTTGTTTGTGAGAATACTTCCAGGCTCAGGGCAGTCTAGAGACCAAAGCAGCCCGGGTAAGTGCAGGCTCGTCCTCAAAAGCTCCTTCCCAGAGCCAGCAGCAAAGGAGGTTCCTCCTGCCTTGAGGAAAGGCTGCCTTTTAAGGACAGGCCCTAAGATTGCACGAAATCCTCTAGGTGCTCACAACCAGCTTCTCTCACTGAAGGTGGAGTAAGGAAAAAGGAGGAAGCAGAGCTTTTGAACAGGTCTTGTTATTTAACCCTGGCCAGCCAGGAAATGCTCTTCTTTACAGAGCAATCAGAGTTAAATTAATAGCCATCAGCAACCTGAAACACAGCTACTATGTCTTTAACTAGTTGACCTGAAGCAAATTCAACCATTAAAAGGACAAAGATGATAACTAAATAAACGTGAAGTAACTTGAAATTCCTGTAAGAGGGTCCAAAACAATGGCTTTTGAAATGCTTATGATGTGCAGAAAGAATATAACGGCAGCACATGCAACACAAACTGAAATCAGAGTTTTAGAAAATATGTGTTTATATACTCTGATATTTCATTTCATTAAAAAAATGCTGGTTGAGATCCACAAAAGAGATTTCACAATCAGTCAATGAGTTGAGACCTGTAGCTGAAGTCCACCAGACTAAGCCGACCTACCAGTCAAGGCTGCCTCTCGCAGACTTCATATATTTAATGGTTAAATCGCAATGGTTAAATGGCCCAGGTGAGGTTGTGGAAACACTACCTCCAGAGGTCTGTATATTAAAAGGGCATAAATTACAGGTTGAAGAAGTGCTAGATTTAGCTGCGGCTCTAAAAGACAGAACCTAAACCAATGCGTAGAAATTATGGGGAGCCAGACTGAACTGCCTTTGGGGCAGGGAACGCTCTATCTCCCGGAGAAACCAAGCAGGGTCTGAAAGACGAATAGGATGCTGAAGAAGGGACTTCAGAAATCATATCAAACAGATGGACCCAAGAGTTACTGAAGTCTCTTTCCATTCTGACAGTCTTCGCTACCTTGATGAATAAGTGGTTATAAGAATGAAATGCAAGCAATGTGTGTGAAAATGCTCAAATTACAAGCTCCTCTATATACCGTCATTCCTTAGATGGCAGTTCTTTATCCAAACCTGTAGGTTCCCTCGACTTCATTTGCTATTCAAATAGGTACTTTAAAACAGCAGGTACTAAAAGTAAGCATGGCTAATTCATCACTTCCTTAACGGCAGCTCAACTCCAAGGCAAGGCTGGGGAAGAATTCCTGAGAAAGCATGCAAGCCATCCAATGGTGTGCACTGGGTTTTGTTAAGGCAGTGCTTCTCCTAACTTGCCCATCTGAAATATGCAGAAGTAAGTGAATGCCTATCCCTGGAGGCCATGTTAGGGCATGGCCAGGGTAAGAATAAAATTTCCTTTGGCTCCTCTGTTATCTTAAAACATCAAGTGATCACATGAAACATCTGCCTTGTTGTTTACTTACAATGTGCACACACTGTGATAAAGCCTTCCGTGGCTCTCACTGATCCCTGACATCCCCGTGCTGTTGGCTCTACTGCATCACAGGCTCCCACCTTAGAAGTGAGAAATGAGTTTTGAGATTATGTAACTTGCTCAGGACCACTAGGCAAGTAAGTGGTGAGACACAGTCAAACCTAGGCAGTCTGGTTCCACAGCCTGCTCTTAACTACTAAGTGATATTGAATTCTCCTTTAACAAATATCAGTATTGGTTGTAAAATTTTAAAATGTTATTTCTCCCAAATCTTTGGGTTAAATGTGACCCTTGAGGAAGATGACCACACTGACCCTGATCCTTGGCCCCCATGCTGGCATGCTGGTGCACTGGAGCTAGAGAAACACAACTTCGCCAGAACTTGCCAGCCTGTCCCCATGTTTTTATGGCCAGGTGTGGGCTAACAGCCCCTTCTCCCCTAGACACGTAACACAGCCCTCATGTTCTTTTAGGCATGAACTTCATCAACAACCAAGATGCACAAGCACCAGTTGTTTATAACATCTTTAAAATGGAAAATTCACCTCTCAGCTAAATTACAGTAAGTTAATTACAGAGCCTGGCTGATGGCAGACAAACGGAAAGAATGAGGGACTAACTGAATTTATCAAACAGAAACAATAGCACACATCAAAGATTGTGCATCCGGGCCTTCCCCCAATAAAGAAGCTAGGGACTAGCCCCAGAGACAGGCGAGTAAGCTCCAGCAACCGTTCATTTATCCAGCTAACAGTTGCTGAGCACCAGTGTTGGCAACTAACCATGCACAGATTCATTTACTCACTCACCAATTCATTCTTTCAAACACTTCCTGAGCACCTACCACGTGCCACAAGCTGATTAACTGTTGTGAATATACAAACTGATTGACTGGTCCATCTGATCATTCATTGATTCACCAAATACAAGGCAGACTCGATGTGCTGGGTAATGTCCTGGTGACAGGACAGAATAATGAAAACAAAGTTCCTGGTCTCATGGAATTCACAGTCCAATTGAGGGAGATAAAAAATAAACAAATAAAAGTGTAATATGTCAAGGAACAAAGTGCTATGAAGAAAGACAAAAGAGTGTAAGGTGACCAGGTGGGAGACGTGATTTAACCCAGAGAGCATTACAAGGGACTGCCTCTGTGACTGGAGAGCAGAGGCCTGCAGGAAAGGCTGGAGCAAGCCCCAAGGAGACCTCAAAGAAGAGGGTGCCAGGGAAGGGCATGGAGGGCAAAGGCCACAAGGCAGGAGCAGCCTGAAGGTTTTAAGGGGTAGCAAGGGGCCAGGGCGACCAGAGCAGAACGAGTTGATGAACGATGAGCAAGGGGACTAGCCAAGGAGCTGAGACGGCCGGTCCAAAAGGGATTCTGCAAACACACTGTGCACTCTCAATGCTTACCATGTGTGCTTCACTGCAGACCTTTGATTCCTGACAAAATTCATATATTTTGCAAAAGAAAGGCAGTAAGCTAAGCTGCTATCAAATATTTACATAGCGGTGTGTCAATGTTCTCCAAGGTCTCCTAAGAGTCTATTTTAGGGTAGGAGAAAGGGAATGACCCCATCAGAAAATGAACTTGAGCTGCTGAAGTTGCATTTGTCATTAACAAAGTGATAAATATTTGATCTTTAATTTAAATGTCCTCCTTTTTGCTGAACCTTAAGCTGATTTACCAGTCAATGAGAATGGTTTCGGCAATGGCACAGAACAAGAAGGCTTTTGAGCACTGAAGACAAGGTTTATTGATCTTGCCACTGGTCCAACTGCAGACTGCACAGAAGCCTCCAGGTCAGCAAGAGTCAGACCAGCTCCAGTCTTAGGTCCACTCAGGCCACCGTGGGTCCACTGTTAACTAAGGCAAGCCTGGGCACCAGAACAGAGGAGAGCTCTCCCAGTCACCTTCTACTCCACCTTCCCCACGCTGCCCCCACCTGCTCCTGGTTAATAGCTTACCAAGGGCTGCTCATTCTCCTCTGTGTTGACTCTAGAATCTGTATCACACGCCACCCCCAAATAAAATAGAGGCTGCAGACACTGCACGCATACCCATGCCTGTATGTTCTCCCTGCCATTACCGAGTCCTCAGCATCTCCACCCAGATGCCTCCCTTCCTCCAGCCTCCTGATTCCTCAATTTCCAGGGAATGATTTCACAGAAACCCATGTCTGATCTTAGTCCTCTAACTAGAATGTGTTCATGTGTTCCCCACTGTCAACAAAACAGGGTACAGATAGGACCTGGCTTTCAACATCTCTGTGCTGAGCCCAACCCTGACCTCTGACATCGCATCATGCACGGCTGTTCTGTCTGCACATAGTGGGAGAACAAGCCAAACTCTTGCCCACTTCCAAGCCTCCTCATCTTGGCCTGCTTTACTTACTTGCTAGATGATACAAGACTGTCCCTCTCGCCAATGCTGCCCAAGCCAGAAGTCTGGGGATCTCCTAGATACCACCCCTCTCTGTCATTCTCTACATCAGATTGTTCTCCCTTATCCTAAACATCTCTCAGACATACCCCTCTCTCCTTCCCCACAGCCCTCATCTTTATTGATGAGGAAATTGTGATAGCCTCCTCCACTGTTTCTCTGCCTTCACCTTACTGCTTTGTCAAGCCTTAAGTAATGCAAACACTCCTGAGTCCTTTCGAAACCACTGTCCATGGAGGCAAGGCAAGGGATGCCACCCTTGCTCATCTCACATATTTTCCCCTTAGCAGGAAAAAATAATATGGTAGTAACACTGAAGAATCACCAGAGAAGCAAATGTGGGAGACAGAGACATCTTTTGCAAAGGGATATAGACGATGCATCTAAATTTCATACCTGTTTTAAAGTCTAGTTATCATAAACTTTGAAGCCAAAACACATTCCTAGCATAAATATGCATCACTTCAGAGTGCAGGGTTAACCACCAACCAAAAAATGTTAACCAAATAACAAGAAAGCCAAGTTAACAGTATAATTAGACCTCTAGATTCCCAGCAACTTTAAGTTGCTGTCACAAATTCAAGACCTCACTGACGTTGCACTGTCAGAGTGCCATTTCCAAACCCGCAGGAATCCAACCGCCTGTGTCCATGCTCAGCAGGCACCTGGAATGCACCACTGCTGAGCATGGCAACCCAGGGGAGTACAATCATCCAGAAACTCCAGCAGGGCACTAACTTAACACCAATCACATGTCAGTCACTTAGCAACATCCAGCCTACCGTCATACCTAAAATGTGCAAGTCTCTGGAATTTTAAGTCTCACACCCATTAGAACTAATAAAAGGACTTGCATATCTGAATCAGATCACTGACTTTCAGGAGAAGTCTTAGTACAGACCATGCCTACAGAATCCCTATTGTAAAAGACAAACCCGGTCCAGTAACTCCCTAGTATTTAATTCTACAGTGGCATTCCACTGCCTTTAGAATAAAATCCAAATCCCTTGCCTAACCTGGTCCCCAAGGAAGGACCTGCATGATCTGGCTCCTGCCTACCTTTTGCACTCAACTCCCACCCCACCGTGCCCTCCACCACAGCAGCGACCCTCCTCAGTGTTCTCTGGCATGCCACACCCTTGCTGACCTCCCAGGCCTTTATCCATGCAGCTGTCTGAAATGCCCTTTGCACCCCTATTCTCCCAAGCATTCCTTCTGCTTGGCAAAAAAGTAACAAGCAGTTGGTACTTGGCATCTCTTTCAAGACCCATCTCAAGGGTCACATGACTTTCCATCCCCCAGGGTGAGTGAGGGGCCATCTCTGTGTTCCCAGGACTCTGGGTAATAAACTCTATCACAACGCTCATCACACTATTAAAATCACCTTTGCTGGTATTCCCATTACAAACTTTGCTGTAACTCATCAGGCCACAGTGTACCAAACATCCAGCTGGAGTTTCAATATTACCATTAATTACCTTGGGGAAGGCCTGAGAATGGAGAGTATCATGCCTAAGATGAAATTCAGGTACGTGCTTTTCAGATGTGTGCACGGCAGCACACGCAGGACCTCCGACACACACAGGAGTAAAGCTCAAGACTAAGGAAAACAAATCGGCTTCAAGATAGGAAAAACATATTTAAAAAGGAAAGCTGTATGCTAATATTTAGCTTTCTTTTTCCCTTGTATAATAGAATGCCAGTCTTTTCTTGTACCAACCTAGAACCAAGTTTCATTCAAGATTTCATGAGCTAAAATGCTGTTGCACATTTTTATGTCAAAATATGTGGGTGGGGGATGGGGAGGTTGCTTGGGGAGTAGCAAGGAGTATTGCAATTTCAGCTGATTACTTATTGGCTATTAACTTATTAAGGTTACAAATGAAATAGTGGTCCACCTCTGTGTTCTAGGAGTTGTTATTCTGGTGTTTGGAGGAACAAATCACTCCTTGTTCCATTTCCCAGAACACAATATTCATTCTAAGTACACCTTTGAGAGCCTGAGTTATTTTATTGCGTTTGGAAAATTGAAGTCACTGCAATCTTCCTAGGAAGTCAAGAGTGAAGGGGAGAATGTCTCACAAGCTACAACAACATGGTGCCAACAATGCTGTGCCTCTGTAGCCAGGCCTGGGGCCCAGACAGTGCAGTCCACTCCATGGGCTGCACTGGGCTTATGTGTTTCATCAAGTGCAGGATGAGGTCACCAACAGGTTTCAAGCAAGGGAATTACATGATTTGACAAGAATTTTTAAAGATTGCTCTGGGTCCAAATTGATGAGAGGAATAGAAGAAAAGGGGAAGCAGGCAGGGCAGTCAGTTAAGAGGCTTTGGCAGTCACCTGGCAAAGGACGATGTTGGCTTGGACTTGGGGGGCGGATACAGGAAGGCCATGGATGAATTCAAGATGTACTTTAGGAGAGGCATCATTAGGATTTGGTGATTTGGGGGAAGAAAAAGATGAGTATTAACAAATGAAGTACCAGTTTCTGGCCTGACAAAGTGAGTTAACAACTACGTACCTTAATAAGATGGGGGAAGGGAGGAGGCCTAGAAAGGGACTATGGTAGAAGTAGACCAAGAGTTAAAATCTGGACACAGTAAGCTTGAGGTGCCCATGAGATACCAAGTTTGCTAACTGCCATAAAGGGTGTAAGAATGCTATAGAACACAGAGGAGTCCTGGGGCCAGCCTCAGAGGTGACCCCTGTCTATCCTCTCATGGTGTCGGAGGTCCTGCCACTGTGCCAATTCAAGGTGGGCACAACCACTGAGGAGCACCTGGAACCCCACTCAGCCAGGACACATGAGGGTAGCCTCTATGAGGATCCTCACTAATGCAGATCCAGCTTTGGGGTTAAGAAAACAATAACCTTAACAGTAAAATGGTGCTTGCATCATGCCACAACTAAAAGTAAAATGTGAAGCCTGTTTCCTTTGATTACAAGCATCACGATAGGCTTGCAGATTTCTCGATACTGATGCTTCAGATTCCCAGTAAAAGGGTGTTGGTATCTGGTCCTGGGCCCCAACGCTTACACTATGGGGAGTAACCTGTTTGGGGGATTCCAGGTTAGAATTTCCCACAGGAAAATGTTAATCTAAGAGAGTATCAGAGGAAGGTCTCTCAACATAAAAAGACCAGAGATGGTGGCCTGTTTTAGGAAAACAACAATTCACTGAAATCACATCCTGCTTTTAATAGCCCCCCTTCTAGAATAGAAGCTGGTTTTTTATTATGATGGTTCTATTTTCCCATTTCCCCATCAAAGGACAAATCAAAATGTCACCTGACAATCCACTTTCATTAAAAGTTGAGCAATTTTTTAAAAATCACAGTTAACTAAACAATTCCACATGGCAATAAAGCACTGTGCTCTGCTGCCTTGACTGATAGAAACCATTTGCAATGATTTAAAAGAGAAGGAAGCGAAAGAACATCATCAGATACAGCTGAATTAAGCTGATCAAACCTGTTAGTGTCTTCCAGTTTACTCAGAGTAAGACAATGCAGCATTCATGTAAGCTAATTAAATTTCTTGTATTTAAATTAGCCTTAACAAAAACAAAACTTTCAAGACTGACTGGAAGGTCTCAGGAGGAACATATCTGCTTTTTCAAGAAAGCTGCCTGGCTGAGGGTGGAGGGAGCACCAGGGTCAGACTCTCAACAGAAGGTCAAGACTCCCCTCCCTCAAAGGAACACTGAGGGTAGAGACGGTTCTGTGACACTGTTAGTTTGCCATGGCTTCCAAAGGGGGGTACCAAGATCAGATGGTTGGGGGGAACTGAACCCCATTCACATCAGTTCATGATGTTATGCAAGACATTGAACTTCTGAGCTTATTTCCCAACTTTGAAAATGAGAAGTTACCACTTGCCTCTGCCTGCTTCCCAGGACTGGTGGGAGAAGAAAATCTGCCGACGTGTGTCAAAGCACCTTGCAAAAGAGAAAGCACTCTACAAATGTGAGAGACAGTTGCTGGTTACTGTTAGGCAGAAAGGGCTGAGTCAAGTCTTCCAAGATGATGGTGACCAATTAAACTGATTTTCTTTTTTTTGAGAACTGTCAGTTGATTATTTATTTTGTATAAAAGTTACATTGAAAGAAGAGGTTGAAAAGTCAAGTATACTAGATTTGCACACACTTGCGAAGTCTCACAGGATTCAACCACTTGGATAATTTCTTAATTGATAACAGGATATACATATTAAAAGCCTCACACTGAAGCCCAATACACGTCAAACCCAGACAACAATGTGCAGATGAATACGCAAAACAATCTCTGGAAATTTGTATCTCTGGGAACACCCACAATCTATGCTTTGTCCCTCTGGCTATGATGCATAAACTCATAAAATTAATAAGAAACTTTTATGGGATCTTTAGCAGTTACAGTAAACAGTTTGAGAAAAGGAACCTGCTGACTTATTCATTTAAAGGACAAAGGTTGGGGGCAGGGAGGTGGGTTAAGACACAAAGTCACTGAGTGAAGCAGTCGAGAGCATGGCACAGATGGAGAAGGTGATCCACCTGTGCAGCAGATAGGAGGGGCTACAACCACAGCGAGACCTAAAGCCCCCCACATGCAACCCCCACTCACACCCGCCACAAGCGGAGAAGGGGGCTGGGGAGCTGTGCTCCAGTGACCACTGGCATCCAGCTCTGCCTGTCACCTCCCTCCCCACTTCTGGATTCCTGCTCTTAACATGGGTCCAAAATCAAATGTGAAAAAAAAGTATCAGATACAAAAGCTTTGCTATTAGCTTCATTTCACCAATAGCCAAAGGACACCTGGCGAAGATCAGGAATTTCGGATGAATGCTCAAAGATCATAATGTATTTAAGAATGATTCCTAGTACAGGCCCAGTAAGGGAGGCGTGGTGGGGGTACAATGTGGGTCCACACAGGAGCAGGCCTCTTGTGGAGAGGCTCCTTCATGAGTCATTCGAGAAACATTTATGGAATACCGACTGTGTCCCAGGCACAACTCAGATGCACCCTTAAGCAGCTTACTGGGGAAAACACAAAAACAGGCAACGAGAATAAAGCGTGGAAGTAAGTACTATGATGGGGGGTGTGTCACAGACCTCTACCCGACTGGCCAAGAGAGGAAGGGTGAGACCATCAGGGGAAGGGCAAACGAGAACACAAACATCACAGGAAGGAGAAAGTGTCGTGGGGGTTCAACAGCAGGAGAAATCACCCGCAGCCTGGAGGAGATCCTCCACAAAGGACAAAGGTGGCATTTGATAAAGATCTTGAGGGATGAAGAGGAACTTGGCCAGGCAGAGAGAAGGGGTAAAATATTACACACAAAACTAGGCATATGAGAGAAATGACTGGGACAGTAACCTCTCCCCAGACAATGAGTTTCCCTTATAAGAGAATGTTTACCTTTTCTTCAACTTCAAGAATCGTTGATTAATTTCAGCAAACTGATTTCCAGTACAGGTGACTTGAGTTATTCCTGTTGAGAAATTAGAAGAAAGGGTATAATAGCTGCTGGGGAGGTATCCCTCCACAGACTCCTTTTTTGGAACCCCCTCAGCCCATGCTGAGAGGGCAGTCACACGGTTCCCCTCTCCCAACTGGCTTAGGGATAGACACTTGTCACCGCCCTGCTCCAGAAGGGCAGACAGACAGATACACTGGCACATGTGTGCATGTGCGTGATGGACAGGACCAAGCAGCCCCTGCATGGAGTTAGAGGGGCCTTCCCACTCCTGTGCCCAGCAGGCAGTCAAGCTTTGCTTCCTGTATTCCTGGGATTTCTACAACAAACTCGCTGCTAACTTAAGCCGCCATGAGACCATGGCTGTTCCCTGCAATCAAAAATCACTGATTTAAAAATGAAGGATACAGGTTTGGGATTAGAAAAGAAACAAACGCGGAAGGTGAAGGAACAGAGGCTTTTAAACCAAAGCCTTGGGAAAAATAAAAGATGAGAAAGTGACCCAGGCATCCGAACTACCGTCCCATAACATCAGAGAGGAAAGGAAGAGAGATGTGTGACAGCCACAGAGGACAGCCAACAAATTAACTCAAAACCTCAGTGGCATTAAATATTAAGTTGGAAGCCCAGATACTGGGGGAAAGGAGCTTTTAGTATGGGTATTACCCATAAAGCAAAATAAATAAGAGTTCCCTTGAAAGTAAAAAGGTGGGAGACTCCAAAAAGTGTCCATAACAAGCAAGACATAATTGAGTAATGGTACAATGCCTATCATTACTAAAATACGTAAAGATAAATCTTGGTTTACCGTGCTTTTTGTTTTGTTTCAAACAAACATTTCATTTCAAGGTATGGTGGGTCAGCAATCAGTGCTGAGTTCAGCTGGGCTTTTTCTTCTGGTCTTGCCTGGCTTATGTATGTGGCTATAGGCATCTGGTTGCTCCACTGGGCCAGATGGTCTCAGATGACTTTGTTCATGTTAGTGGTTGGTACTGGCTGCTGTGCTGCCTTCATATTCTCTTGCAGTAAATGTAAACAGTTGTTGTTTTTTTATTCCCAAAGAGCTTCACAGATGTATGCCCGACCTCTATCCTCGCCATATTTTTCCATTAGTTCCTGAGTTGGGCAATCACAAACTTACCTACTGTGGGGATTTAAGAACCTAATGTCTTATAGCCTCTTCTACTAGGGAGCACTGATTTTGGTGAAGTCCAGAGATTAAGGTATGTAAAAGGGAGGGATGGGACGCAGAACTGGAAAGGGGAAGGGAGTTGGTTATTCAGGAGTCATGAATGCCAAGTAAAGGAGTTTGGACTTTATCAAAGCAGCATGTAGTCTAGTCCCCATTCTCTAAGAGATAATTGCCATTCTGAAAATATGGAAAGTTAAAATTGGGCTCCAGAGGAAAAATATGACCTGAGTTAGAGGGTCTATAAAGACTGAAGCAGTCAGCTGGAAATTAAGTCATCAGCAAGCCGTGACCTCTACCCTTGACAGGGTTCTTTGCCTGCTGCTGTTGGCTCAGTAGCTGCAGCAAAGGCTCTACCAGTTTGCCCTAGTTTCTAGGCCTTCTGAGCAGCTTGTCGCCCCAGGGGCTCACTGGAGCATCAGCTTTCACTGAACAGGGTACAGAACAGCGACAGGGACACCAGCTGGCCTCCGAAGGGCAACTCTGCTATCTGCTCTCCCCAGATCTGGCCCTGTCTAAATATTCCAAGTAGCAGAGGCACCTGCTGCTCGTCCCAGACCTATAGCACTTTCTCTCACTAGGCCTCAGTTTCTTCATTCATAAAATGATAGAGACTAGATCAGTGGTACTCAACAGGAGTTCTGCAAACCAGTGCCAACTCTGCTGCTGGGTCATGACCAGATAAGTACAGAAATTGGGAGTAAGTGCTCAGAAGCTTTTCTAGCAATATGAGAAAGAGAGAGCCAAGCACATAAACAGCAGAAGTGTCTTGGACAGGGCACAGACTAGTATATGAGTTTCCTGAGGCTGCCATAATTATCACTGGAAGGCTTAAAACAGGAAATGTATTAATTCTGAAGGTCAGAAGTCTGAAATAAACAGGCAATGCCATGCTCCCTCTAGAAGCCGTAGGGGAGAACTCGTTTGTCGCCGCTTCCAGCTTCTGGTGGCTTGGCATTCCCTGGCTTGTGGCCACATCATTCCGACCTCTGCCTCCATCTTGACATATGCCCTCTCCTCTTGGCACACTGCCTTCTCTTCTGTGTCAAATCTCTCTCTGCTTCTCTCTTATAAGAATATCTGTGATGGCACTTAGGGCCTACCAAATAATCCAGGATGATCTCATCTCAAGATCCTTACTTAGTCACATCTGCAAACCCCCTTTTTCCAATTAAGGTAACATTTATAGGTTCCAGGGATGTTCTAATCTAAGCACATCTTTGGGGCCACCATTTAGCCAACTACGGCGGGTTTGGGTATTGTTGAATTTGTGCATGACCTGCTGCACATGGTGTATACTGTACCTTTCCACTGGGGAAACACAGCCACCCTGTTTCTAAATAGCCTGAACAGCAATGGGCCAGATGACGTCAAATGTAGCAGGTTCCCTTGAGCACACACACTTGGAACCCCTGCTATGCCTCTCTATAGCCCAGAGGCCTGGGCTGCACAGGACCAGACTGCAATGGGCACCACCAAGAAAGGAGAGCAGGCTAGCAGGTGACCCAGGGGGCAAAGTACAGATGCAAACTGTTCCCTTAGCCTTTCCCACGGCTGATCTCCCAGATAATCTGGCAGGCAATGCAGGAGCTACCCCTTCCCCACCCCATACTCCTGTCCCTCACATGGCCTTAGTTGTAAAGTGATTACATTAATCTGTTTTCTGTTCAAATGTACCTCCCTCATCCCATCAAATGCTCAGTTTTAAATGTTCACATTTGAGAACAGAAGCAAAACTATGCTATTGAAGTCCCTGTAAACCTAGCATTACCCTGCTACTAACAACCTTTCCCCCAACAGCCCTCCCCCTACCCTCAAAAACACCCAGCAAGTTTCCAGGCTTCATAACAGAATGGAGAAGGCACTGGGGTGACTTCACAAAGCAAGGATTTCATTTTGTGTTAGAGGTTTTCTTGCATGGTCAGAATACTCCTCACTGAATGAAACACAAAATGTAGGGTCCCTATGCTGTACATTTCAGGCTTAAAGGGCAGACTATATCAAAGGACCTCAGAGTATTGAAAATGGTAACATGCGATAACAGGTATGGCCATGGTAAAACAGGTACTCTCATCATTCAACTTTCTGGAAAGCAATTAAACAAATTCTCATTAAGTGGCTTAAAACTATACACACCCTTTGACTTTGTAATTCCATTTCCAGAACTCTACACTAAGGAACAAAACTTAATGCTACACGGCAACATCATACCTGAGATAAAAAATGAAAAAGAAACTTATCCAACAAAAGGACAGAATTAGACAAATTATGGTAGATTCATTTAAAAACTCTTATGCAGCCATTAAAAATGACATCTAACAAAGAATTGTTAATAAAAATCACAAATACAATACTAACAGCTACTCCTTACACAGGCCAGCCACTAACCTGAGCTTTTTAGGTGTTCTGTATATGTTAATCTTTGTAATTTGTATACCAACTCAAGGAGGTAGGTACTATTATTCCCATTTTACAGATCAGAAAGAAGAGGTACTGAGAGTTAAGGCACTTGCTCAAGATTAGATCCCACAGAGTCTGGCTCCAGAGTCCATTGTCTAGAACCCTGTAGAAGGCTGAATAATGGCCCCAGAGAGGTCAGGTCCTGTATCAGTCCATTTTCACGCTGCTGATAAAGACATACCTGAGACTGGGTAATTTATAAAGAAAAAGAGGTTTAATGGACTCACAGTTCCATTGTGAGGCCCCCCCAACCATGGTGAAAGGCAAAAGGCATGTCTTACACGGTGGCAGACAAGAGATAATGAGAACCAAGTGACAGGGGCTTCCCTTATAAAACTATCAGATCTTGTGAGACTTATTCATTACCACAAGAACAGTATGGGGAAAACTGCCCCCATGATTCAATTATCTCCCAACAGTTCCCTCCCACAACACGTGGGAATTATGGGAGCTACAATTCAAGGTGAGATTTGGGTGGGGACACAACCAAACCATATCAGGTCCCAATCCTGAAACCTGGAAATGTTATCTTAGGTGGAAAATGGTCTTTGTAGACATGATTAAGTCAAGAATTGTGAGATAAAGCTGTATTCTTGATTATCTGGATTGGACCTAAATTCACATGCCCTTATAAGAAAGGTAGATTACACACACACAAACACACAGACACACACTGTGAAAACTGAGGCAGATATACGAATGACAAGACCACGTGCCAAGGAATGCTGGCAGCACCAAAGGCTGGGAGAGCAAGGAGTGGAACAGATTCTCCCCTAGAGTCTGTGCACATGGAGCACGGTCCTGCCCATACCTTGATTTCAGACTTCTGGCTTCCAAAACTATGAGAATATATTTGCTATTTTAAGCCACTCTGTTTGTGGAAATGTATTACAGCAGCAACAGGAAACTAATACAAGTCCATGTTGCTCTCAACACAAGAAAAAGTATTCATATGTTAAATGGAATAAGAAGAAATCAAAATTTATACACAATGATCTTAATTATGCATATAAAAATACATGCAAATAAAACAAAATGTTTATAGTGATTATCTCTGAAGAAGGATTATGGGTAATTTTCAGCATTATGCCTTCTGCTATTTACCCAAATTTCTACAATTAGTCTGAATTATTTTTACAAAGAAAAAGTTATTTTAAAAGTAGGAATCCATGATATTTCTGCAACTCCAACTTAATCAAAGAAGATTAGAAATCAAGAGGTCCAAAAACTCAATGGGAATTTCCCTAATTCAATCTCAGAGCAACACCAAAAAATTTAGCAACCTGGATACATGTCATTCCCTAAATGACTCCACTCAACCCTTGGTCTCTTGAAAGCCTGTTGGTTTTCAGACTCTGGCAGGAAGATGATGTGGCTGAAGAAGTTTCAGGCTTCTTTGAAGAGGATAACCTGAAAAGGTAAATATTTTCCTGCTTATCTACCCATACAAGAGAAGGAATGAGAGATTTTTGTGCATTCCCAGAGCTCATCCAGCCCAAAGCCTGTGGCCACATGCCAAAACCAAAAGCACCAGTTAATAAACATGTAAATGTTTGATTTCTCTGTAGGTGACTTTGCAGAATGAAACATCAAATCAAACACTGACCTAATCTTCTTACAAAAGTCCTGACTCCAAGGCTATTCTGTCGCAAAACCCTCCTGCTATCATCTGCCCAGGAAGCCACCAGACCACAGGCCAATTTTACTGTATCAACATCATGCCCTTTGATTAAATATATTCATACAAATAGTATATTAACATTTTCCCCAACGTGTGGGCAGTACTGGATCAAAACAGAAAGATGTGTTTTTCTGTTTTGCATGGTGGGGAAGGGAAGAGTCACTGGATCCATCCAAAATGGGGCCAGGTCAGAGCAAGGGGGTGCAGGAAATGCATGTGAAATGATTTTATTCAGTCCCCCTGTACAGCACAGTGAGTTAGGGCAGTGGGTGAAGAAACCACAGTGTAGGGTTTGTCTTTCAGTCCAGGTTTTTCTAAGTATGTTTATGCATACTTCATGCAGTCTATCAATATGTACAAGTACTTATTAAACATGAGGCACTAAGAGAAAGTTGTCTCACGCTGTAACAGATCATGTCTTCAACATGCTACACTCTCAGATGATGCAGCTGGGCAAATGGACATCTTTACTGATCTTCAGCAGTCTGGATCACAGAGCTGCTAGCAGTGGCAGAACGTTGAGAGGAAGACCTAAATGGGCCTGGCAGAGCTTTGAAAATGAGTAAAACAAAAAACAAATGATTTAGCACTGTCTACTTTCCTACACACCATTCACATAACAGTTCTAATTTCAGTAACTACTTCATTAATGTCTGTACCTCCCACTTAATCATCTACTCCATATAAAAAGTATAATTAACACTTTCCCCAACTCTGTTTTTTTTCACTTGCTATTGTATTACCCAACCTAGCAGTGTCTAACTTTAAGAAGTACTCATTACATATTTGAGGTATAAATTATTGCAAGAATGAATATAGGTCATCAGTTTCCTCATCTGTAAAAATGAAAAGGCCAGACTATGTGATTATTTCCCAAAGAAAATTCCAAGAAACCTAATTTTACGACTTATGCCAAAAAAAGAAGTTTCACAAGTTATTCAGCTTTGGAAATGCTACATTCTATAGCCTCCCATTCCCCTTAAAGATTCACAATATATACCTTATACAACAAAGGATCTTGAAAATCCTTCAATCAAAAATGTATTTGAGCATTCCCAAATCTAGCTGACCACAGATGCCCATTCATCAACACTTACTGATATCACAGAGAACCAATGTTCTAAGGAAACCATGGGAAATACTAACCTAAACTCTTCGTTTGTTAAAAAAGAAAAATGTATTAAGCCCTTGCAATGATGATGATGATGATGATGATGATGATGATGATGATGAAAATAGCTAACATTTAGCAAGTGATTAGCTGTGCCAGACATGGTACTTGGTGCTCCTGCCCACCAAGATAAATATGAAACCTGGCCCATAGTCTACAGCCCACTGGATGAAATCATTGCACACGATTATAACCAGAAATGCTGAATATACACACGTGTGCATTTATACACACATACACACCTATACATGTGTAGATATATAAATATGTGTGAATATGCACACACACACACGGGGAGGGAGAGGTGGTGGTGAAGATGAATGTTCCGGGTAGAGGGGGCATGGAGCCAAGATATGGAAAGCGAGAGAATCTAGAGCATGCAGATGAATGATGGGCAGTTTAGTCTTACCCACTGGTTTTTGAAGTGTGGCCCAAGACCCTTTCTGGGAGTCCCGCCAGGTCAAAACTATCTTCAACTGTGTTGACACTTACATTGCTGGTGCAAAAGCAATAGCAGGTAAAACAACTGGTGGCTTAGCATAAATCAAGGCAGTGGCATCTCACTGTATCAGTGGTCATTATATTCTCTACTGCCACACACACAGCTTTTTTTTTTTTTTTTGAGATGGAGTCTCGCTCTGTCGCCCAGGCTGGAGTACAGTGGCACGATCTCGGCTCACTGCAACCTCCACCTCCCAGGTTCACACCATTCTCCTGCCTCAGCCTCCAGAGTAGCTGGGACTACGGGTGCCCGCCACCACGTCTAGCTAATTTTTTGTTTTTTTTGTAGTAGAGACGGGGTTTCACCATGTTAGCCAGGATGGTCTCGCTCTCCTGACCTCGTGATCCAACCGCCTCGGCCTCCCAAAGTGCTGGGATTACAGGCATGAGCCACCACGCCTGTCCTTAGCTAAGCGTGTCCTTGATGAAGCAGTAAAATTATTAATTTCATTAAATATTGATTCTTGAGTACACATCTTTTTAATATCCCATGTAACAAAATGTTAAGCGCACTCATTCGGCACTTCCGCTGCAGGCCAGAGTGCGGTGGTTGTCTTTGGGAAGAAAAAGTACTTGTGTGACTGAGCTGCAAGCTTAGCCACTGTTTTTCACAGAACACCATCTTTCCTTGAAAGAATGACTGAGAAAAACTATGATTACTCAGATTTGGGTATTTATAGACACTTTGTCAAAAATAAATACAGTGAGCCTGTTATTTCAAGGAAAACTGACGGTATTTGTTGCTAAAGACAAATTTTGGGCTTTCAAGCAAAAATTAAAACTTCGGGGCCGGGTGCGGTGGCTCACGCATGTAATCCCAGCACTTTGGGAGGCCGAGGCAGGCAGATCACCTGAGGTCAGGAGTTCAAGGTCAGCCTGAACAACATGGTGAAACCCTATCTCTACTAAAAATACAAAAATAAGCGTGATGGTGGGTGTCAGTAATCCCAGTTACTCGGGAGGCTGAGGCATGAGAATCACTTGAACCCGGGAAGCGGAGGTTGCAATGACCTGAGATTGTGGCACTGCACTTCAGCCTGGGGGATAGAGACTCTATCTCAAAACAAATAAACAGAACTTTGGAAAACCTGTATCCAGTATTTTCAGCTTTAGAGCATCTCAATACTTAAAGACTTTTCAGATGAGAATGGCAATGACATTAACAAATGTGATATGTTGATATTTTTCTAAACGGTGGTATTAAATGTGATATTTTGATATTTTCCAAATGACTAATGATGCATGATGTTACAAAATGATGTGTAAAAGATCCTTTCAATGGATGTGATAGGACAACAGACTTTAATGTAACAGCATTATGAAAAGTTCATTGATTGGTTTCAGAGTCTATGTTGCAACAAACCTTTACACCTGGGTCAAGTTCTGATATAGTTTCAAAGACTATCCACAATTAACTGAAAGGGCTATTAAAACACTCCTCCCTTTTCTAACTACATGTCTGTGTAAGGCTGGATTTTCTCCATATAGTTCAACCAACACAATATACTGCAACAGAATGAATGCAAAAGCATTTATGAGACTCCAGCTGTCTTCCATTAAGAGAGACATTAAAGAGATTTGGGAAAAAGTAAAACAATGTCACTCTTCTCACTAAATGTTTGTGCTTTGGAAATATTTACTTTTCATTAAAAATGCTACTTTATATTATCATATATCATATAATGGGTTTATTGTTATATTTAAACAAGTTTATAAATATTTTTAAATTTCTTTAATTTTAATTTCTAACACAGTAAATATTACTAGATACAATCTATACAAACAAAAGCTCTTAGGGGAATCTCACTAATTTTTAAGAGTTACATAAAGGGGTCCTGAAACCAATTGTGGAGAACTGCTGAGCTAGTGTCGTAGCGGGCAGGTGAAGGGAGGGGGACACCACTGGTCTCCAACACTGGGATGGGGCATTCAGAGCTGATCTTCAAGAGCCTATGAAGGGTGCTGAGTACGAAAATGGTATGGACAGATTTGCCTTTTAGAAAAAGCAAGGACAGCATAAAAGTGCCTCTGCTCCATGAACATATGATTCTGAAAACAAGTAAGTATGATAAGAAGTCAAACTGTAGGGCGTTGAAGGTCCATTATTACAACCTAAAAAATGAAATACAAATTTCTATAAAAGAGCAGGAAGAGAAGAATATTAAAATGTAATGATTTAAGAAAGAAGAAAAGCAGGGTCTTGCCAAATAGAACTGCAACTGAATGGAATTCTGCAAAATGAGGGAAATCATTAGTAACAAAGTGCAGGGCTTTAAACATCTAAAGATGCCAGAATCAAGATGCATTTCAGGCAAGTCTGGAAAATAAAAATAAAGGAGTCAGCAAAGAGCAATAAACTACAGCAGTAAAGAGGGAAAATGAATGCAGCCAAGAAAAGATGAACAGAAGCAGTTAGAAATAAAAAGAAGTAGTGAGGAGAGAAAATTGGTTCCTATTTCCAGAGCATGGACTCTATCCAATCAGCACACACTCCACCACTGGAGGTGGGAAAAGAAGGAGCAGGAAACACTTCCAGAGCAAAGTAGACCTCTGCAGAGCCTGGACGAGCAGACCCACTGAGCAATGACCTCATCTAGGTAAAACTGGGTTATACCAATTAAGAACAGAGGCCATATAGAAGAGACAAGAGACAACTATTAAAAATTGCTCACGGCCAGGTGCAGTGGCCCATGCCTGTAATCCCAACACTCTGGGAGGCGGAGGTAGGCAATTTACTTCAGCCCAGGAGTTTGAGACCAGCCTGGGCAACATGGTGAAACCCTGTCTCTACCAAAAAAAAAAAAAGTTAGCTGGGCATGGTTGCATATGCCTATAGTCTCAGATACTCGGGAGGCCAAAGCAGGAGGATCGCTTGCACCCAGAAGCTCAAGGCTGCAGTGAGCTATGATTGCACTGCTGTACTTTAGCTAAGCAACAGAATGAGACCCTGACTCAAAAATGGAAAAAAAAAAAAAAAGTTGCTCACAAGGGGCTTACAAACAGCCATCATTTTCTAAGTCAAAGCAATTATGGGAATGCAAACTGGTACAACCACTATGGAAAACAGTGTGGAGATTCCTTAAAGAACTAAAAGTAGGACCACCATTTTATCCAGCAACCCCACAATCCCAGTATCTACCCAGAGGAAAAGAAGTCATTATATGAGAAAGATACTTGCACATGCATGTTTACAGCAGCACAATTCGCATTTGTAAAAATATGGAACCAGCCCAAATGCCCATCAATCAACGAGTGGATAAAGAAACTGTGCTATACATATACCACGAAAGACTACTGCGTCATAATAAAGAATGAAATAATGGCATTTACAGCAACCTGGACGGAACTGGAGATCATTATTCTAAGTGAAGTAACTCAGGAATGGAAAACCAAACATCCTATGTTCTCACTCATAATTGGGAGCTAAGCTATGGGTGCAAAGGCATAAGAATGATGCATAAGAGTGGACTTTGGGGACTTGGTGGGGAAAGGATGGGAGCAGAGTGAGGGATAAAAGGATACACACTGAGTATAGTGTACACTGCTCAGGTGATCAGTGCACCAAAATCTCAGAAATCACCATCAGAGAACTTATTCATATAATCAAACACTACCTCTTCCCCAAAAACCTATTGGAATAAAACTAAAAAAGCAATTAAAAGACTAGTTATAACTAAAAGAGAAGGAGGTCCTATAGAGAACTCCAAACAGGAGACCGCGTCAAGTTTCTCAAACTCTCTGGACTACAGTTTCCTCTTGCATAAAATGGGGAGTCCACCACCTACTTGACAAGGTTGGTGTGAGCATCATGGACTCTGAGTACAGGTCTGGTGAAGGGCAGATGCTCAACAAATGAAAGCTGCAATTAGTATCACCCTAGTTATGACCGCAGGGCCAAAGTGGGACCTACAGTTGTCACTGCACTAGCCTAGGCCAGAAAGCTCTCCAAGCTCAAATGTCAAGGTTTCAACAATCACCAATGTGTGAACCTAAGAAGGAATTTGAATGGCTTTGGCCTTAGGGCTACAGTCACTCTGCTGATGAAAAAACTGCCCTTGACCAACCAAGGCCTGGATCTAAGTGGAAAGGCACACTGCCAAGCACAAGGAGATCCAAGAAAGAAGAGATTTTTAAAAAACAGTCACTTTTCCTGAACAGCCAACACTGCCATGCCAGGGACCTTTTACACAATCTCCCAATTGTCGAAAGCAGCCCAGATGTAGGCTTGTATGCTGTTACCACCCACCCCCAACCCCACTGCACCCCACCACAGTTTTATGGAACAGGAAGCTGTCTCATGGCTGAATTGCAAAGAAGTGGTGTAGTCAGGTCCTCCACCTCTTGATCTGCGGCTCAGGACTCCTTCACTACCACACTGCTCAGCCCACAAGGACTAAGGGCCTGCCCAACAGATGTAAGCCAGCAGCTCTTCATCTAGTTAGAGCAGCACACTGGGGATCCACAGATTAAAAGACAAAAACAGGCCACTGCAGTGGCTCATGCCTGTAATCCAAGCACTTTGGGATGCTGAGGTGGGCGGATCACTTGAGGTCAGGAGTTAAAGACTAGCCTGGCCAACATGGTGAAACCCCATCTCTACTAAAAATACAAAAATTAGCCAGGTATGGTGGCAGGCACCTGTATACCCAGCTACTGCGGAGACTGAGGCAGGAGAATCACTTAAACCCAGGAGGCAGAGGATGCAGTGAACCAAGATTATACCACTGCACTCCAGCCTGAGAGACAGAGCAAGACTCCGTCTCAAAATGGGACAAAAACAAAAAGCCCACTCAAAAGATTTTGACCCACCCACAGAAATAAACATGTCCAATTAAAAAAAAATGCTTTCTAGAAAGGTAAGACAGGAAGAAGAAAGGACTATTTTGACAGGGATAGACGATTCAGCCAAAAATGAGACCCCTCCCTTCCTTCACCTCCCACAGCTAATCAAACACCCAGTTAGGTTTTCCCTGACTGTCATGCCAGACGCTGCCCTAGGGACTGATGCAGGCCAGCCTTTGTGCCCCTGAAGTCAGCAAGGAACTACAGCAGGTCCTCAAATAGCATCATTGCATTATAACGTTGATAAAAAGAAAAAAAAAATCAATTCCCAGCTGGGGCCACTGTCTGTGTGGAGTTTGCACATTCTCTCCATGTCTGTGTGGGTTTTCTCCAGGTACTCTGGTTTCCTCTTACATCCTCTACAAATACCTAACTTGAACATCCCAAAGATGTTGGAGTTAGGCACTTATGTGTCTAATGGTCCCCATCGGAGTGGATGTGAGCGCACCTTGGGATGAAACTGTGTCCTACGCAGGGTGTGCTTATCACCTTGTGCCCTGAGCTGCTGGGAGAGGCTCCAACCACATGCTACTCTACACTGGAATAAGCAGGTTAGAAAATGGATAAATGAATGAATACAAATTATTGTCAAAAAAAAATTCATAAAGTATAATCATACAAATGCAGGACATTAACAATGTGGTCTGAAAGTGCTCAGTGAGCTGCCATATTCGTAATTGTTTTTAAACTGCACGGTAGGAGGAGATGACCCTGGTAATTTTCATTTTGTAAACATGACCACCCTCACTCACTGATCCACCAAAAACTGGGTCAATAGTGATCTCACTTGTTCTTATTAATTTTTCTTAAATGTAGGTATAGCTGCCATTTACTTCAGTGTTTAGTATTAGAAGTGTTTGGGGTCTTTATTTAGAAGTTTGGTGATATTTCTGTGCCAGAAATATGCAATAGGAATTTAACTCTTGTTTACATCAATTAGCCTTCATAAAATTGGTTTCATTATACATGGTTTCACTTCAAGTCATAGTTTCCAAGAACCCATGTATGAGGTTAAATGAGGACTTAGTGTACAGTCACGCACCACATAATGATGTTCTGGTGAACAAAGGACTGCATATATGACAGCAGTCCTCTAAGATTATAATGAAGCTGAAAACGTCCTATTGTCCAATGATGTCATGGCCATCATAAAACCGTAGCACAAAGCATTACTCCGTGTTTGTGGTGATGCTGGCATAAGCATACCTACTGCACTGCCACATAAAGAGTGTACAATGATGTCCCAGGCCTTCACATTCACTCACCACTCAGCCACTGACTCACCCAAAGCAGTTTCCAGTCCTGCAAGCTCCATTCATGGCAAGTACCCTATACAGGTATATATTTTTCAAATCTTTTATACTATATTTTTATTGTACCTTTTATATGTTTAGATACACAAATGCTTACCATTGTGTTATAACTGCCTACAGTATCCAGTATAGCAACATGCTGTAAAGGTTTGTAGCCTAGGAGCAATAGGCTATAGACACATTGTCTAGGTGTGTAGTAGGCCATACCATCTAGGTTTGTGTAAGCACACTCTACAATATTCACACAACAAAACTGCCTAATGATGCATTTCTCAGGATGTGTCCCTGTCATTAAGTGAGGCATTGACCGTATATCTTGGTGGCTCCAGTAAGTGCTGTGAAAGGGTACTACAATACAATACAGGGCAATACAGAGTACTATGGGAGCAGGTCATGAAGGGGCCTAACTAAGTCTGAAAGGCCAAAGGCAAAGGCCCTGAGGTGTTTCAAAGCCTGGCACATCTAGAAGCTGAAAGGCAGTGGGGCAAGAGGATGGTCGGCAGGCCCGAGAGGTGTGGGGAAACCAGATTACACAGGGCCTTATGACCAGACTTTATACTATCCTAAGAGCATGGGACCCATCAATAGTGAAGAATCATCCAACTTGCATTTTATAAGCCTATTGTGGCTGCAGTGTGGGGGCTGGAACACTAATATTCTCTGTGACCCTGGGCCAGCTTCTCAAATTCTCTGAGTTTCAGTTCCCTCTTTTGTAAAATAAGGATAAGCATAATGGTACCTACTATACAGGTTGTTGTGGGAGATAAATAAGTCAATATATGTGAAGACCTTAGCAATGTTAGCCTTTTTTTGTATGTGAAACTATTATACACAAACACAAGTTTGACAAAATAAAACTCAAACTTAAACTACATGTAATTTACTCTAATGTCTCCCATTCTACTATTTTTTTATTTTGTTAAATGATGGGGGGGAACCCCTAAATTAATTTCAGAATGAGGTAACATAGGTCATGACCTGCAGCTGGAGATGGGTTAGACTTGGGTGATAGCAATGGAAGAGAGGGCAATAGAGGTGCCAGGACTTGGTGGATGATCAGATAGAGGTGATGAGGGAGACGGAGGTATCAAAGATGCTCTCAAGCCTCTGGATTGATGACAGTGCCAATTTTGAGATGGAGGGCCCAGGAGGAAGAGCAGGTTTGTCTGTGAGAGGAAGGAAGACTGGACTCCTCAGTGGAAGAGGATTTGGGTGGAGGTGACAAAAGGAATCTTCACTTATACACTTTCCCAACCAAGATACTATATAGAGAGATTTCACATCAGAATCGTAGTTATTAATAAGGAATGCATTTTCCCAGACTGCTCCGTGAGGGGGACAGCCTTTCTGAACCAAGCACAGCAGTAAGTGACTGAGGGAGGACTCTGGGATGTGGGGCTCCCGCCAAATGTCTTTCCTTATCTGACCAACATAAAGCACTAATCACATTTAATTAGAGTCCATTTGCCCATCTGTTTCCTCTACTAACCAAGCTGCTTCAGGGCAGGGACCACCTGGTTTCATCAATCTCTTTATTCCCCAGACCTCCTTTGCATACTGCCCTGCATGCTGCCTGTCGTAGGTGCTCAACAAGCATCTGCTGAATGAATGGTCATGATTCCACATGATGGAACTCCTGAGAAGGCCATTTCCAGTGCAGAAAATTAAAGTGGGGAAAATGGAAGGAGGGATACAGAATCTGTTAGGAGAATTCTGATCACTGAGGGCTATAGGCCAGTGGTTCATGGCAAAAATTAGTCTACAAAGAAAATGCTAAACTCTGGAATGGGCAATTGGCATGGGTCATCAATATAATGATCAGAAACATTAAGCAGATCTGGGAAGGAATCAGGAAGACAAAGGAAAAATAAAACAGGATGAGGCTATATATATATATATATATATATATATATATATATATATATATATATAAAATTTGGTCTCTTCCAAAGATCACCCTAAGTGTGTAATTCCTGACATCAATTCCCTCGCTATATTTTTCCATCAGCTCTACACCTCCAAGAAGCCTCCCCATTTCCAATCCTCTGCCACCCTCCAAACCCCAGCTGCCTCACGTATTACTTTTTTCCATACGTACATGATTTATTTCCCTAATAAACAAACAGGAATGGTGTTACATAACTTCTTATCCACTCCACTGCTACCCCTTGCACAGAGGAGGCACTCAATAGTATATTCAATTAATAGCTGATTAAATGATTTCGGCATTCACATTTTCTAGCCTCATTCCCTTTAGTTGCAAATGGTTTACTGAAGGTATCGTTTTTAATAGTAACAGCTGCATTTGTTCAGCATCTACCACATACCAGACATAGCTAAGGACTTTAAACACATCGTCTCCTATAATCCTCCATCTGCAGGGTTGGGGTAATTATCCCCATTTTACAGACTTCAAGATTGAGGCTCAAAGAGACAACATAGTTAGATAAGTGGCATTCAACACTGGCATTCAAACCCAAGGCTACTTAACTCCAAGGCCAAATAAATGCACCATTACTCTAAAATTTTGGCACCATTATCCCTGGCACAGAAACACGAAGAAAAGCTCATCTGACCTGGAGGCAATACTCTCTGCTCCCCAAAATATAATTAAAACTCAACTCAGAGAAAGCTTTTTTTTAGGTTTGGAAAGGCCATAATTTATCAAGAGCCATTCATTCATTTCCTACAAATACACAGGTCAGGTCAAGCAACTCTGTGATTTTAAAAAGTGGAGCGCGTTATTGGCACCATTTGTTTCTGAAAGAATTTTAACGAGAAAACCAATGATGTGCAGAACAATCAGATCATTAGTGACAGGTAGTTAGTAAAATAATCACAAAATGCTAAAGCCTCCACTTCTTCTATGCTACAGTCCCCCCAAGCTTCCATGTTCATTATTTTATTGGATCATCTCTGTAACTGTGAGGTAATTACTTGTATATCACTGTATACATGAGGAAAAAATTAGAGTAAGGGAAGTTCAATGAGTTAACGAAGGTCATGTCTGTTACTCAGGACCCTTGGTTATAAGTAACAAAACAAAACACCTTGGCAAAAGAAAATTTGAAATAAGGAAGAGAGGCCAGACAGGAGGGAATTTCCAGGCGAATACACTCCCTTCTCTGCTTCTCTCTGCCTACAAGTTCCTCCTACTCCAAGCCAGCTGCAGCAAGCCAGCTTTCTCCTCCAGACAGGAAACCAGGGTCACTGCAGCTTCACGTTCCCATTTCTCTGGCTCCACCACCCCAGAAGAAAAGGCTCTTGGGCCTCAAGTTCAAAATTCCAGGGAGATGGGCTTGAACAAATGTGCACTACACCACTGTACGTCTCCCCAGCCCTATCTATGCTGGGCGGATTGGCAGCAACACAACAGCAGCTCTGTCCAAAGACACCTATCCATCAAATCCTCTCCCCTCTCCAGTCTGACCCCCTTTTAATAGCTTTGACCTGGCAAGGGGTCCAAATGCAGTAAAACTGGTTCTGTTTTTCCTTTGTAATTTCTACACAGGAGGCTGCTTCACATTCATTTGGGGCAGGGAAAGGCCCCATCTTAACATCCTATTACATGGCTGCAATTACTGCCTTGGATTTTCTTGAGGCATTCCGGTTCTCATAATAAATTATCCCTTTTACTAAAAAAGATTTTTTAATTACAAAAATTAATTATAATTAAAATTGTACCAAGACCAAGAACACAGGAGACCAAGAACCATGCTTGGCAGGTCCCGGTAATGGGTAAGGGAGAAGTAACACCCCTGAAGAAGGGAGAATGCCGGTCCCAAAAGAAAGAAGGGGAGTCAGGCAGATAAAGTAAATAGAAATCCTGTAAACATAACTGCTAAGCTCTGTTCTTCAGATCCCAAGTCCAATAATCTTGCTTCTTTCTATACCACAGTTTACATTATTTGGGCACTAAATTGTGAAGTACCAACAGTAAAGAACCACCAATATATAAAAGGTGCTAATTGTGCATAATGACATTTAGCGCAAACGGAATTAGAAAAGAGAGAGATCGTCTAGGCGTGGTGGCTCATGCCTGTAATCCCAGCACTTTGGGAGGCCAAGGCGGGTGGATCACTTGAGGCCTGGAGTTCGAGACCAGCCTAGCCAACATGGTGAAACCCCATCTCTACTAAAAATACAAAAATTAGCCAGCTGTGGTGGTGCGTGCCTGTAGTCCCAGCTACCCGGGAGGCTGAGGCAGGAGAATCGCCTGAACCCAGGAGGTGAAGGTTGCTGTGAGCCGAGATCGTGCCATTGCACTCCAGCCTGGGTGACAAAGCAAGACTCTGTCAAAAAAAAGAAAAAAAAGAAAAAAAAGTAGAGAGAGAGATCTACATACCCATTTACATTCGAGTAGTATCCTAATATTAGAAATCTCTACAATTGTGTGCTAAGAAGAAACAAAAACTTCTTTACCAGTGAAAGTCAGACTAGCCTTCCCTGCCTCATAGCCCTCTGCCTTCCACCTTCCCTTAAAGCTGGATGATGGGAGCCTCTCCTTAGATCCAGGGTTTCTTTGTCCTCTACTCAGCTGGAAGGTTCACCTGGGCCCAGGTGATGATAAAGACCTTTCTTCCAAGGAAGAAAGCAGGAATCAGAAACATAAAATACATTTACAAAGGGGACCCCAGTAGCTGAGTTTCCTACAAATGCCAGAGGGCTAACAAAAGATGCCGGCACATCTCCATCGATGTGTGCTCAACACTGTCTCACAAAACCAGCTCCAGAATGAGACCACCCAAGCATGAAGCAGAGAGCTCAGGAAGGGAAGTGGGCAGGGGCTGTCACCCTACTGCTGCCTTACGACTGCCGTAATCCAATTGGTTTTTTCTTCTTTAATTTAATCAAGCACTTAATTGAGCCCTTGCTGTCTGGCAGGCACTATTCTAAGTGCTTTAGAAATATTCTTTGCTTTAGTTGGTAGAAATCAGCTCCCAATAGCATCACTGACTGCACATGGTTATGGCAACTTCTAAAAAGAAATTTAGAGAACAAGATTTTTAAAATTCTTCTCAAAGGTCTAACCCAAACCTAGATGGCTGAAATCAACTCCAATTTCTCTAGTTCCAGCACTTTGCTTCTCTCCTTGAGTCCACTTTGTTCTTCTCCTTCCACAGAACAGATAAAGGTTAATATTTATTAAGCACTTACAGTGTACCAAGCATTTTATATCCATTATCTCCGCTGATTCTCACAGCAACCCTAGAAAGTAATGCTTTTATGCTCTTTACAGAAGAAAAAACAGGCTGAAAGGGGAGGCAACTCACCAGGCCAACTTGCCCCCAGGCCAAGTGACAAGCCAAGATCCCAGCCCCAGCAGCCTGACTCCACACTCCTTCTCCTACCCGCATTGAAGTACCCTGCTAGACAGCAACTCTTGTATGGTGTCACTGGAAAAGCCATCTTTTGCAAGAACACATATGCTGCCGCTCCAAATTGTTTTTAATTGAAATGAAATGCATATAACATATATCAGACATTTTAAAGTACATAATTCACGGCATTTAGACATTCACAATGTTGTGCAACTGCCACCTCTATCTAGTTTCAAAACATTTTCATCAACCCAAAAGAAAATCAGTATCCACTTGGCAGTCGATCCACACAACCTCTTCCCTCCAGCCCCTGGAAACCATTACTTTGCTTTTTCTCTATCTATGGATTTACCTATTCTGGATAATTTGTATAAATGGAATCATATAATATGTGGCCTTTGGTGTTTGGTTTCTCTTACAAATAACATGTTCTTGCGGTTTATGCAAGTTGTGGCATACATCTGTACATCATTCCTTTTTATTGCTGAACAACATTCCATTGTACAGATATGGAGATACCACATTTTGTCTATCCATGTATCCACTGATGGACACCTGGCTGAGTTACTTCTACCTTTTGACTGTCGCTAATAGTGCTGCCATGAAGATTTGGATTCAAGGATTTAAGTCCCTGATCCAATTCTTTTGAGTATATAACTAGGATGGAGTTGCTGGGTCTTATGATCATTCTATGTTTAACTTTTTGAGGAGCCATGCCTTTTGAAATATTTTTAAAATTTGAAATTCTGCAAAGAAAAGCCAGAAGGAAACTGAAAACAAAATGCAAACCTCAATGAAATCAAAGGAGATAACCAGTCTCATCTCATTTGAATAAGTTCAAATCTGGGCAGAAGAAATCCAAACAGTACACTTCTATGTTTTTGAAAGGCTAAGAGAAAAGATATGTAATTCTACCAAATAACTAAGAAGGGGTTGCTGTATCTCCAGGATATTTTTAACAAAAAAATCACACCTAAGCCAGGGCTCCAGTAGGAGCCATGTGACTGGCTATAAGACTTTTCAACCAAAGAAAACAGTCAAGAGGACAAGCATAGGCCATTAACAGGGGCGGCCTTCTGTGATCAGAGAAGGCTGAATTCCCGCCCTGGTTCTCATTTTTAGTAAGACCACTCTTCTCTTTGGAAAGATACAAGTCTCTAATGTCAAAAAATGACAGCACTCTTTTAAAAACCATCTTGTGTCCCAACCCTTAAAAGACTATTTCTAATTAGTTCTAAACTGTCAGCACTACTTAAGAATGGCTTGCTGGAAATTTAGCCTGGGACCAAGGGAAAGATACGAAAGCATCAGAACCAACCCAGGGTGCACATATGCCCTTGTCCTGCATCTGGTGTTTCAGCATTTTTATGAGGCCTAGTCAGTAATGATCTTAACCAGGAGGACAGTGGCAAGATGGGAATGCAGAGGGACTGTAACAAAGGAGGATGCACGAGTGCCTTTAAATTACATGAAAAAAAGAAAAGTTATCTGAAGAACACAGAAAGTGAACTACAAATGACAAGACTGAGTCTTTGCATA
Source organism: Homo sapiens (assembly GCF_000001405.40). Taxonomy (NCBI): domain Eukaryota; kingdom Metazoa; phylum Chordata; class Mammalia; order Primates; family Hominidae; genus Homo; species Homo sapiens. The sequence goes on from NC_000011.10 coordinate 93,519,351, forward strand.
CAAGCAAGACACTGACATGACAGGAATGGCTGGCAAATCAGGTAATAGGCAAGTGACTTGGCAGCATTCACTGGGCAGGTGTTCAATTAGGCAGGAAGTGGGCTGAAAACAACTCAATTAATTCATTGTGCATGCCTGTCCAAGAGAACAAGATAAACCTAAAACATCAATGGCAGACCAGAGATTAACTCCACAGCTCCATCTTTTGCAAAAGTAGGGGCTAACAAAGATGCATGTGCAAAATATAAAACTACACCAAGATGAGCTCTGGTGAGCTCTTTAAAAGTTCGAACTAAAACCAAGGCAAAGAAGGAAACAAAGCAAGAAGGTGGCTTATTATGGATCCAGAAAAGCCATTCCTTTCTCATGAGTGGCTCTCAATGGCCAGCCTCAGATATAGGCAGTCCTCAGTACTTGGGTTGAGAAGTGTGACAGGTGCAAACACAAACATATTTAAAAAGTCAACAGCAAAGTGATGGGCTCACCCTTACTTGTAATATCCCCTATGTGTGAGGCTCTCCCAAGCTAAGACTTAACTCCAATGCCAGACCTATAGTCTGAATACACTAGAAAAAAATATAAAACCATGAGGAGTCATTTGGCAGAGCCAGAAAAAGAAAGCTACACTACGAACATAAAATCAAGCAAAGAAAAGCAAAGGTTAGCAGGGCCAACATCTGGCAGAGCCACTATAGGTCCTTACTGGAAAAGGGGACTCAAACCCTTGCAGCCCGGATGGCATCGCTCAGGCCTGATGAGAAACAAAGCATGCTGCAGGTGGGGCAGAACGTTTGTACTAGAGGCATCTGGACAACTCCCTTGTTTTAGAGAAAAGAATCCTGAAGTTTAGGAGTTCAGCAACATACCCAGGGCAACTGTTAGCAACAGCACAGCCAGGTGTATAATTCTGGGCTCCTGGAAAGACCTTCCACTAATAATACTGATGATGATAATGATGACGGTAACAACTCTTATTCACTGAAGAGTTTAGGAGCAGACATTGCATTGAGGGTTTTACATGTTACCCCGTTTAATCCTCTCAACAACTTACAAGGTAGCAATTCTCTTATTAACCCACTTTACACACAGGGTGCAGAGAGGTTAAGGCACCAAAGTCAAACACCTTGTTGGAAGCACAGGCAGGACAGGAACCTAAATCCAGCTAAAAGTTTCTGCTCTTGACCATTATACTTAACTATCCCTAAACTATATTGCTTCCAAACAAGGCAGAAAAGGCTATTTTCAACTAAAGTATAAACCAGCAAGTTTTGACCATTAGATAATTTTTCACATATACTACCTTTTCCTATCAAGATACAAAGACAATCAACACTTCGGGATATAAAGAACAAAATTATTTTGACTTTAAGGAGAAAGAAGGCTCAAAACTCTCCAGCCTGGAAAAGAGAACTGAACAGAGACCCAGACTTGCAAATTAGGGGCTAAAGCCAAAACCAAGTCTCTTTGGGATTTCTGTCCAGTGCCTTTCACCTTCAGCATGTCACGTATTTTCAAGGACTTCGTTCTAAGTGCACAGTGGTGCTGCTAGGCTCAGTGAGTGATTTCAGAAATCAGTATTTACCAAATCTTGGAGTTTCCACTAAAATTATCACTGTGTCGACACAAAACCACCAGTTTAAGCCTATACATTGCTATATTCAGTTTTAGGAAACTGTTGTTTTTGATGAAAATACAAAGCACCTGGCTTTCCTAAGAAATGTCATTTATATTCTCAGATTCCACATGCAGCCATATCTCTGGAAGATGCTGTTTTCTCTAACTGGCAAAACCAGGACATCTCTTTGTATGCACACACCTGCTCTGTTGCAACATTCACTTCCTTTCACTGCCACAGCCAAACCACAGATTAGAGCTACAAGTTTAGATCAAGATCAATAACCATCACAGATCTGCAACTCTAGAAGGGGCTCCTGCAGTGGGCCTGGCTCCAGCTGGTGCCCTGGGACCCAACATGAGTCACTTAATCTCTCTTAATCATAAAACGAAGGGCAGCAGATAATGCTTACTAACTGCTTATCAGATGCCAGGCACTGTGCTAAAGCCACTAAACTCGAGCTAACTCATCTAACTGTCATAATACCTGAGGTAGGTACCCTCATCATACCCTGCCTAAAGATGGACAAAGTCAGGCTTAAAAAAGTTACCCAAAGTCACACAACCATGACACTGCACAAACAGAATTCAAACACAGGTTTCTCAGACTTTAGACCCCAAGCTCTTAACTATCACACTCGGTGTCTTTCTGCTTTCCTCATTCATAAAGCAAGGGTAAGAATACCTGTCATTTCCTTGCAGAGACAGTATTCTGCAAATTGTCCTTAACATCATTCTGACTATTCTTCCAGTCTGAGGGGTGAACTGTTACAAATTCTCCCAGACAGACCAACCAATCAGCTAAGTACTCAGTACTGGACTAAGGATGAAGGGAACATAAAAGAGAGAACATCCCTGCCGCCAAGGACTTCGCAATCTAGCCAATACCAATCGAAGCTATAATCTCTCTCAGATATTTTGATCATTGATCCACAGTCAGAAGTGTATTTCTATTATGGCCTGGGAGGGATGCACCTACACACAGCCTTACTGTGTGTCACACATTGTTATTTTTCACTGTTCTATTTCATTTAAAAATGTATCAACCCACTAAATCAATTCTCTGACTGTGGATTGTGATTAACAGTTTGAAAAGCCCCAACTCTAGCCCCTTTTTGGCACAAACTTTAAAACAAAACAAAAACAAAATGTCAGGAAGTTCTTCCTCAGACTAGTTTAAGTTTCTTGGGCTATCGGGTTAATTGGATTTGTATCGCTGAATATGTCCTCAGGGGCAGATGCACCAGCATATCCGATCTGTGAAGGGTATAAAAAGTGGACTCCTGCAGGCCCACATTCAAATGCTGACTCTCTGGCATGTTAGCTATGTGACTTCTCCAGATCTTGGTCTATAAAACAGAAGATAATTCCACTCACCCCTCTGGCTTTTTACAAGGGACCTACCTGGTACTGGTTCTGTCTTTCTCAGCAGAGGGGCTGTGGGCATGGGAGGAAGGGAGACAAGTCTGGTCATGTGGCACGACCAGTTTACGCAACACAAGACCTGTGGTAGCCAATTCCACCCCTCGGCCTGCTACCATGTTAAGTGATTCGAAATCCTTCAAATCTTTTATGCAGGCATCCGTTGTATTCCACATGGAAGTACAATAAATAAGATGCCTAAGATATAACAGGGCATAGGCCAAGTCTCCGCCATTGTAGAGCTTGCTGTTAATCTAGGCAGGTGGCCAGGTAAACAGGTAACTGTAACTGACCGCACCAGGTGGTATAACATAAGTCTGGGAGTCTGATGAGAGAGTGTCTGATGAGAGAGTGTCTCATGCAGGGAAGTCTAGTCCTTGATCCCATTTGCAATTCCCTTAGTGTCAAAAACCACACCTTGCAAACTTCTAATTTATAACACATAAAGACTTAAAAACCACTACCACCACACTGAGGACAAGAATCCTTGTCTGTAGCCACAGCAATAAGAGGGCTATCAACTCCAGTTCTATCTCCCCTACGAGATGCTAAGTTCCTTGAGACCTGAAGTAAGAGAATTGCTCAAGATCACACAGCAAATACACAAAATTGGAAACCCCAAAGATCAAAAATTGCAGGTCACTTTGCTGGTTCCTCTGGAATTTCCCCTATACTTGTCTAGGCTCAAACATAAAAACTAATGTGGAAAGGAGAGAGAGGAGAAGGGAAAAAAGGTCTGTCACTAGGTGACCAAAAATGTAAGAGCTGGCCAAGCACGGTGGCTCATGCCTGTAATCCCAGCACTTTGGGAGGGCCGAGGTAGGAGGATTGCCTGTCCCAGCTACTCAGGAGAATTTCCTGAGCTCAGGAGATGAGCTGTGATCACGCCACTGCACTCCAGCCTGGGTTACAGAGTGAGACCCTGTCTCAAAAAAAACAAAAAGACTTACCCACTAGACGCTGATTAGGTCTTTGAAGAGGTGAGACCACGCCGGGCATAGTGGCTCACGCCTGTAATCCCAGCACTCTGGGAGGCCAAGGCAGGTGGATTGCTTGAGCTCAGGAGTTCAAGACCAGCCTGGGTAACATGGCAAAACCCTATCTCTACCAAGAATATAAAAAATTAGCTGGACATGGTGGCACATGCCTGTAGTCCCAGCTATTCCGGAGGCAGAGACAGGAGAATCGCCTGAGCCTGGGAGGCAGAGGTTGCAGTGAGCTGAGATCATGCCACCGCACTCTAGCCTGGGCAACAGAGCAAGACCCCGCAAGAAATGAGACCAGAAAACCTCAAATTTAGTTTTTTAAGTCTTTTCAAGATAATTATACAATCAGTGAAAGTGTGTGTGCTAAAAGTGCTGACACGTCCAATATGTAAATTTAAAATACCCCGCTTTCTAAAATCGTGTTTTGGCATTTCCTCATTTTTAAAAATACTGGGCATTTCTGAGAGGCTGTGTGGTTAACATGGACTTCCTTAGTTTTGGTTTCCAGTAAATGAAGCATATATCAGCACCCCATTCCAAAACCAAAAGAATGAGAAAACCTTGGAAAGATTCTAGCTGAAACAGGGTTTTTAAGCTTCATCCTCTCCTTCTTGTTTTGGGGGAGGAAGTGTGCAGGGAAGATCAGTTACTAATGCCCTTCAGGGGAGGGGAGTTTCTCAGGCCTCAACCTCTGTAGCTGAGATCTGTATTTTCTTCAAGCCATCCTGGTTGAAAAATAAAAACAAGCGATTACAACACATTGAGCCTGGGTGATCTCACATACACTATCTCATATATATCTTACCACAGCCTCTTTTAGATTGTACTATCATCACCAATTTATAGGACACAGACTCAGAAAGGTTCAGTAACCAGCTCAGGCTCACAAAGCCAGGAAACGGCCGGGAGGGAACCTAGGATGGGACCACACATTCCTGAGGGAGAAGAGAACCCTACTGTGTACACGATCCCCAGGGCATTTGAAGAGGGCATTCTTTCACTTTCGGAATACAAGCTGATTTTAAACAGGCATCTTCTCGGTTGTGTTTTATGAAACTTACAGGGGAAGCTATGGTATAGAAGTATGCTACCTAAGAGTGACTTCCCTTAAGAATCCCCATCTGTAAAATGGAGATGATGACGACCACTCCCTGGGAGCACTGGACAAGACTTTCTGGGCAAAGTCCTGAAAACTCTGACACTCCACAAACACAAATGACCTGGAGCAGCAGCATTACTGCCAGGCCCCTGGAAGTAGCTTATGGGGACAAACTGAAGAGAAAGGCAAAACACACACTCCCCGCTACAAAAGTGCTTAGTCCTCCAAAATGCAGGGAAGGCACGGAGTACTGATGATGAGGAATGGTGGGTCAACAGCCAGTGCACACAGAGGAGGTGGTGCATCCAATGCGTTCCCCACCTATGTTAACTCACAGATCTCGCCTGCTCACTGCACTCATCCAAGGTCTTGGGCAAGGACCCACAGAAAAATAGTGAAACAGGAAAAAAATCCAACAAAGGGTATAAACTCAGAATTCTGTGATCCAGTCACACCAGAGTGACATCATAAAACATAACTCCAGTTCCACAAAGACAGATGCTTCCCTGGGCTGGGCGGCCCACATCCCCAACACCCACAGCTGGCCTCTACTCAGAGGAAGGTTGCACTCAACCCACAATGGGCCAAGGAGCCACTACTGTACTGCCACTCCCAGCTGTGGTCAGAATACCCTCTCCCAGGGCTCCTGCTGCCACTTCCAGCTGTGGCCAGAACACCTCCCAGGGCTCCTGAGACCACTGTGCTATGCAGCAAAAGGCCACACTCTGATCAGAAGATCTTACGTTTGAATCTCAAGCACTGCTACTTACACACTGGGTCTGTCAGCAAATTACTGCCCCACTGATTCTCAGGTCTTTTCCTCTGTAAAATGGAGAAAATAATAACCACTTTCTGAGCTTGTTGTGAGGATTAAATGAGATAATCTGCATAAAAGGCAAGGCACACAGCAACTGAAGCTATTATCCAACTTGAAGCAGAGGCCAGCTAATATTGGGTAAAAATTAAATTTGATTCCTTGAAAGAAAAAAGTTCCATAGAGTTAGTGAGGATCAGCAATTTTCAGAAAATTTAAGGAAGTGAGGTGGAAAAATTCCACTCCCCCCATTCCTAAAGGGTTTTGAAGCCCACCCACTCCTGGCTCTCCTGCAGGAATAGAGAACTGCAGTGTCTCCAGACTCTTCCCACTTTATAAATACACCCTACGACCAACCAGAGAGTGCTTGCTGCCAAACTCCTGGGCAAACGCGACCAACAGGATTGGATCCGGAAATTAGATGTCCAAGCAGCCCAGTCATACTCAATTCAAAATAGATATCTGTGACCTACTTAGTCTTCGAGTACCATTCTCAAAGCCAAAAAACAAGACAGGGCCACTGACTTCAGCAGAGCCCTGCATGGGCCCCTGCTTTCCTGTCAGATGAAACGTGCACTGCAACAGTGATGACTCAAGAAATTATCTCAGGATAGCTGGACAGAAACCCCAGCTTGGAAAGAGCTGATTCAAACAGTTGTGAAAAAGCAAAAAGTCACAGAAGTCCTGCCAACAGTTTATCCTCTCTGACTATCCCCAATAATCCATCTTCATCCACTTGGACTGAGGGTTACACCTCTCATGACAGGGACTTCTCAAGCTGTCTATCCCTAACACTCATATTGGTTTGAGTATACATATCTTCCCATAAAACAAGGGATTCTGCCTACTGTACCTTGATGTTCTACAAAGCATCAAGCACAGAAAGGGTCCAATGAAGAGCAAGCACCACCCAAGGGGGACCCCCTCCCCTCCCCAGGGGCAGACCACCAGGTTCCAGCCCACTCACACGCTTGGCTGCTCAAGATTAGAGAACAGAAACAGACAAATATTTGCTAAAAAAAAAAAAAAATTAGGAAGACAAACAAGACCAGGGAAAGTTGCTATGTACTTTCAACCACCGCAGTTACAGAATGATCTCCTAAATTACAACTCATTTCACCAAAGAGATGAGAGTTTTGGGGAGAGTGAATCCAAGGAATTTGGCAGGGACAAATTCCAGTGAAATCCTAGAGCATTCAGCACTAGGCAGTACAACACCAGGTAGACAGTGGAACATTATACTTCACCAGTGAAGCGATGGTAGAGGAAACAAGCTGCTGCCAAAAACAAAAATGAAATAAAGCAAACCTGCTGCTCTTCACATCCGCATCCATCCTCCTCACATCTCCAAGGTCAGCCCCACTGTTCTCACGCACCATTGTACACTCAAAATTCTCATCAGAGAAACTTCCTTGAGAGCCCTGTGGTTTCCTCAGCACTTTTTCCCTACATCATGACATTTAATCATCACCACCATCCTGGGAGGCAGGTGGAACAGGCATTTTTATCACTCACTGAGAAATGAGGAAATGGAAGCCTAAGTATGTCTACCACACGGCACAATCAGGACTAAAGTACAGACTAATTCCCAAGTTCAATGTGTGTTCTCCAAAATAACCCAGACCTGACAAGGCCACATATCTGAGCTCTAGGCCATTGCCCTTTCCACTGCACTGCTGAGGACCTTCTAGAGACAGAATTCCGACACACAACCCTCTCAGTACAGCAGCCCACTCTTCAACCTTCTCAAGACACAACAGAGCTCACAAACCAACCTTGGCAACCGCTGACAGGCAGCACCTGCGTCAGCCACACACCCTAAATCGGGCTGACCACCACCTCACTGGCAAACACAATCCAACCCCTAGAGTTTCAAAAAAGAGACATACACTAGCAAATGGCTTTCTACTGTCAAATGGTGGGCAGAGGCAGAAGAGTGATCATGGACTCCAACTGTTATATACCACAGATCCCAGGAACCTGGGACCTTTCTGAGTATGTCAGTTCTGGGTTCAAATCCTGCCTCTGAAGCTGACTAGCTCTGTGACTTTGGGCAGGTAGCTTTGTTTCTGTAAGTCTCAGCGTCCTCATTTATCACATAAGGGGTTCCAAAAAAAAATCTCTCAGGGGATGTGGTTAAGGCCACAAAACTATACACTTAAAAATAGTTGAAAAGGCAATTTTTTTCCTTGAGACATGGTCTCACTGTCACCCAGGCTGGAGTGCAGGGACATGATCACAGCTCACTGCAACTTCAGCTTCTTGGGCTCAAGCGACCTTCCCAACTCAGCCTCTTAAGTAGCTGGGACTACAGGCACACACCACCACGCATAACTAATTTTTTAAAAATTTTTTTGTAGAGATGGGGTCTCACTATATTGTCCAGGCTGGTCTCCAACTCCTAGGCTCAAGTGATCCTCCTGCCTCAGTCTCCCAAAGGGCTGGGATTATAGGCATGAGACACCACAACCAGCCTAAAAAAGCAATTTTTACGTATATTTCACCACAATAACAAAAATTAGGTTAATATTTGTTTGCTTTTAAGAAACAGGATGGGTTTTGCTATGTAGCCCTCAAACTCCTGGGTTCAGGTGATCTTCCCAACTCAGCCTCCTGAGTAGCTGGGCCTATAGGTACAAGTCACCACACCCAGTATATTTTGTTTTTTTAAAATAGGAATGTCATAGGTTCACAGTGAGAATTAAATAAGATACTGTAATGGCAAGTTCTTACATTGTCTGGCACATACTAAATCCTAATAAATAATAATTAATTATCATTAATAATTTTAATAGTTATAAAGACAGTACATGCTCATTGTAAAAAAAATGCTTAAAAAGCCCTCCTATAATATGAAAATCCAGAGATGACCACTAAAATAAAGTACTTTATGGTCTTTTTCCTACACATAGATATTTCTTAACAAATTTGGAATGTAATTGATATAAAATTTTGTAGTTATGATCCATTCTTTTCTGCCTTACTTATAAATACAAAAACTTCTCACAACATCATCCAGAAATAAAAAGCCTTTGTTCAAGGAAAGGATAAAAAGTTGTGTGAAACTTGAGAAAAGAACAAGGAGATCAGGTTGAGCAACTGGAGACACCCGCCTCCAGAGCCAGAATGGAGATTTAGCCAAATCCTCCACCACCTGCTCGTCTCTGCCTCCAAGTTGGCCCAGAAAGCAAGAACTCTGGGGGTCTGGCCAGACAGGCCATCAGGGAGCACCAGGGCTGAAGCATGTTGAGTTCTGGGGAAGCCCTGTATTTATCAGGCTGGCTGGGATAAAAAGTTCATGTTCCCTGTGCCTAAACCGGCTCTACCTTCCAGGAGCTCGCACTGTGACCAGGGAGACAGTGCAAGGGGCTGCCCAGAGTGGGTGGAGAGGTGAAGGGAGACCCCCATGCCAATCATTTCATCCAACCCTCTAGATTAAAGATGAGAGAACTGAGGCCCAGGGAGGCAAGTAACTTATCGAAGGCAGCAGTGATGAAATCAGAACTTAATGTTCCAGTACCAATCTGGATACCAGAAGACCAACTTCTCAGGGTTCTAAGTGAAATCACAGCATGCCGCCTACTCAGAGCCCAGCAAAGATGCCAGGGCCCACATCCAATACATCCTGTCCATCAACAAGTACGTATTTACTAGATGTTGGGGGCATGTCAGCAGAGACAAAAGCCACCCCTGGGCATAGGACAAGGAGGCTGTCTTATGGGAGGGGAACACGTGGAGCCCTGTCTGGCTCCCACTCGTGGGCAAGGCCTTTCTGTTCTAACTATAACAAGGAAGCAAAGCCTGCCTCCACAGATTCTGAAGGAACACTACCTGAGTCAAAACTTCCTGTAGCACTCTGGCAGAGAAAGGCTGTGCAATTTAAAAGGCAGTTCCTCTAAGGAAGCTCTTTTGATGTGCTAAGGAAAGAACACCCTAAAAATAACTTCTGGAATTACACACTCACAAAACACATTTGTAACACTCACTTTTCTAGCTAGGAATCATCTTCACAACTTTCATTTTGGATGGGTGTGTTTTGTTTGGGAGGAAGGAGGGGCCCCAAAGGCAACTCCTGAAACACTACGGAAGAGCAGCTGCTCCTGGCACTGGAGAATTCTATTTTCATCTCCACTTACACATAATTATCTTCTAAAGCGATGCTCCCCAGAGGGGTCACAATGACATCGGCCTCCCAGATAACCTCCCCAAGCAGGCTGCTTCTGGCACTATCTTGGTAAGTGGAGGCAGGAGAGTCTGAAATCAGGCCCCCGCACAGCCCAGAGAGAGTCTGAAATCAGGCCCCCATATAGCCCACTTCCCCCGAGCCCTCATTACACAAGGGCCAGGCCCCTTCCTTTGGAGGCAAAAAGGAAATTAAATGTCAACCAAATAAGGATATTTCCCTTTAACTCCAAGGCCAAGGAATCTGAAGTAGTGATTCCCCCAGTAACTGGGCAAACTGAACCGACGACACAGGCCACAGACCAGCAGGCCAGGCCCGCTGAGGGCCAGCCTCCGCCTGGAGTTCCTTCTTCTTTTTAATGACCAATACTCAGATTGCAGGCTGAAGTGTTTTTATGACAAATAAGAACAACAATGTGTGAACACTTTGTAGGCCAGTAACAAGGCTGGCAGCAGAGGGCCCTGGGCCCACGTACCAAGACCACACAGCCATCTACTCACTGTCTCCAAAGGTCCTCTTGGATGTTCCTCCCTGTCCCACATTTTCAAGGCCAAATGTGGCCTGCTGACCAGGAGAGCTGACTCAACTCTTTTCACAGCATAGTGATTTTATACACAGAAGAATCCTGGAAGCCCAGAAGAATCCACATAGCTTGCACACTGACCTTGGCATTTTCTAAATCTACCCAGGTTAAAGACCACCTGAATGGCAGGCATGGCGTTCACCAGGCAGGCCCAAGGCTGAAGGGGTCGTGGGGGGAAGAGCCCACCAGTTCACACGTGTGAGGCCCTGCAGCTCACAGCAGGGCAGCTAAGCACACAGTTTCCTAGCAATTCCTGCCACCACAGCCTTGTCTGTTTGCTCTCTCTTCTTCGTGTTTGTGGTTTATGTGTGGGTGGGTGGGTAGGTGAAAAGCATACAGAAAGGAAAGGGTGGTGGATCAAGGGTCAGTACAGCACTAACATTTTTTAAAAACCTGCCTAGAAACAGCTGCTGCAAAATATCTAGGCACACACACAGCTCAGCTACATCCATCTGAACTTAGAAAAGTCCTCAATGAGCTGGCCCACACTACCTGCTTTCATTCATGCTCACAGGCACAACAGTGGCTCCCATCTTACTAGAACAAAGGCCACAGTCCACGCAAAGAAGGACCTCTTGATCCTCATCCTCTTCTTTACTCCCAACCTCTCCCTTTCCTCCCCTGACACAATGGACTCAAATTGTACTGTCCCTACACTTCAGGGCCTCTGCCTGTGCTGTCCCCTTCACACAGAATCCTCTTCCTCCACACAGCAGCTCCTCCCTCTCTCCCCCTTCTCCAGCCCCAAGTGCACACATTCCTTCTCAGCAAAGCCCTCCTTGACCACCTCACCTTCCCCTCTGCTGCGGGACTCTTCCACTTTTTCAGCAGTCACCAATATCTCACATACCACCTGGACAGAACAGAGTCCCAAAAAACTCATGTCCACCTGGAACCTCAGAATATGAGCTTATTTAGAAATAGGGTCTTTGCAGATATAATATTTTAAGATGAGTGTGATGGTTAATTTCATGTGTCAACTTGACTGGGCCATGGGTGCCCAGACTTTTGGCCAAAGATTATTCCTTGTATGTCTGTGAGGATGTTTTCTGGATACAATTAACATTTGAATGGGTAGACTGAATAAAGCAGAATGCCTTCCCTCATCTGGGTGGACTTCATCTAATCAAATGAAGATCTGAACAGAACAAACAGCCTGAGTAAGAGGGAATTCCTCTTGCAGTGTATGTAAGCTTGAGCTGGGACATTGGTCTTTTCTGCCTTTGGACTGACCTGAACTGAGAAACTGGCTCTTCCTGGGTCTCAAGCCTGCTGGCTTTTGGACTAGAACTTACACCATTGGCTCTTCTGGAACTCAAGGTCTCAGTACCTGGATTGGAACTGACACCATTGGCTCTCCTGGGTCTCAAGGCCTCAGTACTTGGATTGGAACTTACACCATTGGCTCTCTGGGGTCTCAAACTTGCTGACTGCAGCTCTTAGGACTTCTTAACCTTCATAAACATGTGAGCCAACACCTTATAATGAATCTCTTTATATACATACACATAACCCTATTGGTTCTGTTTCTCTGCAGAACTCTAACACAATGAGGTCATACTGATGCATAGTAATGTGCAGACAGGTAACACTAATTAATATATTGTACACTTAAAAATGGTTAAGATGGTAAATTTTATGGGGTTTTTTGCCACAGTTTTAAAAAAAGGCAGTTGTGAAAGGAAAATAAATCTTGGGGCCCCCAAATCACTAAGCTAAAGGGAAAAGTCAAGCTGGGAACTGCTTAGGCAAACCTGCCTCCCTTTCTTTTCAAAGTCGCCCCTCTGCTCCCTGAGATAAATGCATATCTGCTTGCTTCCTTTGGAGAGGCTAATCAGAAACTCAGAAGAATGCAACCATTTGTCTCTTATCTACCTATAAGCTGGAAGCCCCTGCCCCATTTCGAGTTGTCCCACCTTTCTGGACCAAATCAATGTTCATCTTACATACACTGATTGTCTCATATCTCCCTAAAATGTATAAAACCAAGCTGTGCTCAGACCCCCTTGGGCACATGTCATCAGGACCTTCTGAGGCTGTGTCACAGGTGCATGTCACAGGCGCATGTCAAAATAAACTCCCTAAACTGATTGAGACCTGTCTCAGATATTCAGAGTTCACACAGTCATACTAGAATAGGGTGGGCCCTAATCCAATGACTAGTGTCCTTATAAGAAAACAGAGACACACACCGTAATGGTTAATTTTAGATGTCAACTTGACTGAACTAAAAGATATCCAGATAGCTAGTAAAGTACTACATCATCTGGGTGTTTCCAGAACAGACTGGTATTTGAATCAGGCAACTGAGTAAGAAAGACTTGCACCAGCACATCCTGCCCCCAAACCCCCAGGTTCTCAGGTCTTCAACCTCAAACTGAGACTTACACCATCAGCTTTCCTAGTTCTGAGGCTTTTAGACTTGGACGGAGTCCCGCTGCCAGCCTTCCTTGTTCTCCAGCCTGCAGACACCCTGTCACAGGCCTTCTCAGCCTCCAAAGTCATGTGAGCCAATTCCCCTAATAAATCCCCTCTCATCTATCTGTCTATGTCCTATTGGTTCTGTCTCTCTGGAGCACCCTGACTCATACACAGACACAGGGGAATGCCATGAGACAGCAGAGGCAGAGACTGAAGCTATGCTCCCACAAGCCAAGAATACCAAGGACGGCCAGCAACCACCAGAAGCTGGAAGGGAGGCATGGAACAGACTCCCCTCAGAGCCCCCAGATCCATGGGAAAACATACTCCTGCTGTTTAAGCCACTCAGTTTCTGGCACTTTGTTACAGCAGCCCTGGGAACCTAATAAACATGTCGTGTATTTTAATCACTATTGTCTGTCATCCTCACTAGAAAATAGGCCCCATGAGAACAGGATTTTGGCTCCTTCTGTTCAGTGCAAAATCACCAACACCTAGAACAGTGTATTTCCTGAATGAATTCTGAGTGAAGGAGGATAAGCTTAAAGGCAGGCAGGGGTGCTATACTAATCCCAGAGGGCCAAACGGAGAGGCAGATGTTCTCTTTTCAGAGACACGAGAGCCAGGGAAAGACTGAATTGGATCTTGCTCATTTATTCGATAAATAATACTGACTGCCACACCAGTCCCCAGGAGAGCTGCTCCATGCAGGAAAAACTAACGACATACATGGTGTGGTGGGAAAGAGGGAGCAGGATCCAGTCTTTGCCCTCCCCTTGATTACAGGTGACCAGGGGAATGAAACCAGCAGACATCAACCTGTGGCTGGCACTGTAGGAATAGAAGAACATGCATATCTCAACCTCATCTCACAAGAACCTTGGGAGGAGTAAACGGCAGACCTTTGTAAAGTGCCTAACACCATGTCTCTTTCCTGCATCTGGCTATAAGCAACACATGGCAGTGCAGGGAAGAAGGGAAAGAAATCTCAACTCCCCAGAGCACAGAGAGCTGGGCCTACTTGTGCTCTGTCCTGGCCATCTGTGTAGCTTGAGGCAGACACTTTGGCTTTCAGGGCCCCACTCAGCCACCTCGAAATAAAGGGTAGAGGTTGCACTAGCAATCCCCTAACCCTCAGTCTATCTAAAAAAAGAGAAAAGGCCTCTGCGTGTGGGGCTCTGATGTGCACAAAGGAGGGGATTCTGCAGGAGCAATGGTATTGGAAGAGAACATCCCAACTCAACTCTCCTGCCCCACCTAAGGCCTCCACCGAAGCCTCCCACCTTCATCCCTTTTAATTCCCATAGCCCCCACCCTCATCTGCCCCGACAGCTACTAATCTCCTGACCTCTTCTCTTTAATGTTACCAGATTAAGTCTACTTATGTAATATGCAAATATGATATGTAGTCACTCATTTTAAAACAGTTATTAGCCAGGTGTGGTAGCTCACGCCTGTAATCCCAACACTTGTGGAGGCCAAGGTGGGCAGATCACTTTAAGTCCAGGGTTCAAGACCAGCCTGGCCAACAAACACAGTGAAACCCCATCTCTACTAAAAATACAAAAATTAGCCAGGCGTGGTGGCGCACACCTGTAATTCCAGCTACTAGGGAGGCTGAGGCAGGAGAATTGCTTGAACCTGGGAGGCAGAGGTTGAAATGAGCTAAGATCGCGGCACAGCACTCCAGCCTGGGCGACAAAATGAGACTCCGTCTCAAAAAAAAAAAAAAAATATATATATACACACACACACACACACACACACACACACACACACACACACACACAAACACATATATATATACATATATACACACACACATATATATACATATATACACATATATACACATATACATATATACACATATATATACACATACATATATATATATATATATAGAGAGAGAGAGAGAGAGAGATACATATATATATGGAAAAGGGAACACAAATAGGTGGAGTTACTTACAATTACCAAGTACTAATTAGGTAATATGCTGAGAGATTTATAAACATTATTCTTTTAATCTTCACAACAACCCTGTGAGGCAGGTACTAATTATTATTCCTAACTTACAGGGAAAAGCTGAGGCCCAGGGAGATAAAATAGCTGCTCAAGGCACACACCCATAAGGTGCTGAATGGGAGCTGGGTCCAGTGTGGCTCAACTCTGCAGTCCCTTCATCTCCCAAGGGTTCCCCCTCCACCACTCCTGCTCTCTGCCCCTTTGAGCAATAGGTAAAGGACTCTGTGGTCCAGTAAGCCAGGGCTTTCCGAAGCCCACTGTGTCCACTGGACAGCCCAGCCTGCAGGGAGGGCCCCGAGATCAGCCCATTCATGGAAGCCACCAGACGCCTTCTCTGCCAGCCCATTGTGTCACACCCCTCAAACACCTTCTAAGAAGTCATCGCTTCTCCCCAGAGCATCCTGCTAAGGGTCAAAGCACCACAATATTCCCATAGCAAGCCAGGAGAGGGGGAATAATCACATGCAACTAGAAGAAAACATCTGCTTTACCACATTCCTGGAGGCTTTTCCAGAAGCAACAGTGCCTGATTTTCCAGCACGCAATCTTTAAGTGTCTTCCCAGTGCCCCTCCCCAGTCTCCAATCCACGCCTCAGCAGCACAGGACAGACTGATCTTAATACTTACGGACCCTTGATTCCTCAGATGAAAGGTTTGGAGAAATACTCTGGCAAGTTACACCAAAATTAAAATGTCCTATTACCATAACTAGCATCCGGGAGAAACAGAGAATGTGAAATCAGGAGCTCTTGCTTCCAGGTACCACAATGCCACCACTGGTGGCATGACGCTTACACCACCCTGAGCTGAGCCATGGTCCTTGAGGGTTTGGTTCCCTCATCTTCTATAGTTGCTATGGACCCACCACTCTTAACATCTACGATCTCAGCAATAAGAATCAAGAAGCCAAATAACCAGTTCTCACTGCTAGGGGCTTAAGCAGAGGGAGTCGAGCCAGAGTCGCCGCGATGGTGTTGTTGGAGAGCGAGCAGCTCCTGACGGAGCTGACCAGACTTTTCCAGAAGTGCTGGACATCAGGCAGCATCATATCACCTTGAAGAAGTATGACAGTCGAACCAAATCCATTCCAAAGAAAGGTACTGTGGAGGGCTTTGAGCCTGCAGACAACAAGTGTCTGTTAAGAGCTACCGATGGGAAAAAGAAGATCAGCACAGTGGTGAGCTCCGAGGAAGTGAATAAGTTTCAGATGGCTTATTCAAACCTCCTGAGAGCTAACATGGATGGGCTGAAGAAGAGAGACAAAAAGAACAAAACTAAGAAGACCAAAGCAGCAGCAGCAGCAGCAACAGCAGCACAGTAAAGGACATACATTTCCTGCTTTCACCAATTAACCACTGAATTGCTATTTTTTCCTTTTGGCCACATAGCTAGGTTTCTGGTTCCCCCACAGTAGGTGTTTTCACATAAGATTAGGGTCTTTTTGGAAAGAATAGTTGCAGTGTTTATAGGATAGTTGTGGTAAGAATCTAGTTTATTTTGCATTTGGCTAATTGGTCTGTGCTGCATGGTTATATACTCCTGGATTATAGATAAAAAGTCTCCGTAGACATCTCTGTGAAGAGCAAGCTATCATTAAACATGTCTGTTTATCAAGAAAAAAAAAAGAAGCCAAATGATGAGGTTTGCAACCTCACCAATAATAAATGAAATGCCTACTGAACAATGATCCATTTCTTTCACCCAGGGGAATGGCAGCCCATTACCACTGACAACAGGAACTAGCACATCTCTTGAGAGCATAGTATGGGTACTGCTGCAACATTTTAAATGAATTTAACATTTGACATGCCAATTCTACTCCTAGAGAAACATGTGCATACTAATATGTATGAATGAAGATATAATAGCAAAACTAATGAGTTAGTTTATATGTCTACCAGTAGGGGACCAATTCATAAATTATGACATAACTACACTGGAAAATATTTTGTAGGCAAATAAAAGACAAATTAAAAGAACAGAGAAGAGCTACATGCATGAAAAGCTCTCGAAAATATACTATGTGAAAAAAGCAGTATGATGCAATCAGATTCATGCTTCTAAAAGAAGGAAAACCATAGTGTATTTGTGTATACAGGCTTGACAGTTTCAGGACACGGATCCAACTGCTAACACCAGTTATCTCTGAGGACCTGGAGGAGCTGGCACCTGGGGAGGGGTGCTGGGTGAAGGGGAATGTGACAAGTCTGCTGTGTCCTTCTGCACTATTTAAATGCAAGGGCAGGCTGCAGGAGAATACATTTACATATTACCTATATGATTTCAGAAAAAAAGCACCTAAACTGATTAAAAAACCACCACCACCAAAACAAGCTACTTATGCTGATGTGAAATTGCTGCACCAATTTGAACAGGTTTCTATGCTGCACTTCCAGGTCTTCCCAAGACTGACAAAGTTCAAGCCAATTTCTGCAGTACTGATGACAGACTGAATTGGGACTAACAAGGAAGAAGGAAAATGTGGGATGCAAGGAAAACATCTGTAAAAGCTCTGTGGAAGCTGCAAACCAGTCCTACCCTGAACCTGCTCATCACCAAAACTCACTAGTTCTGGGGCCTTCCTCCCTCTCATCCCTATAGGATGAGAAATAAGCCAAAACCGGAATCAAGAGAGAATTCCCTTTCCCACGGCAGAGGGAGGCCTCCACTGTCACCAGCAGAGCTGCTCCCAGGCAAAGCCAAAGAAACGGCCTGGCCAAACTCCACCTTCCTGACAAAGGCACCATGTGCCAGGCTCCTGGGATTGCAGGGACAGCCAAGACTGGCAGCCCTGAAGCCCACGCATTTGAGTCCCTCCACTTCGGCAAACAGCCCAGGAATCTTTTCACACTCACTACTGAAATCCAAACTGAACCAGTATACAAATCAGATGGTCCTGCCAACAAAACAGGAACAAAATGGAAAAAAGGGTGATAAATCAATGATATCCTGGCTAAATATATACTTCTTCTTTCTGCTTGCAGGGGCACTGCTATAGATTTAAACCTTTGATAAATATCTTTTTTGCTTCCCAGTAATAATTAAAGCAAACACACCCAAACACGCACCTAAACACGAAGCAAAAAGAACGAGAAAAGGGCTTTGCTCAGGACATAATGTTCAAGAGGTAGGCATGACAGCTCATATCCACAGGCAGAAATGCTCTTCTCCCATTAAAACATGTACCTGTCTGGCACGGGTTCTTACCCCACAAAAGAAACAACTGGACACTCTAGGGGACTGCCGAGAAGTGCCCTCAGAACAAGAAGAGGTTCCCTCTTTGAGGGAAAAGTGTAAACATCAAGCAGAAAGTGGGTGAGCAGACTCTTGCACGGAGTGACTCACCGGCAGAGACAGCTTGTTGCTGGAGATGCTGGGAGCAGGCAGGTCCAACAGAGGTAACCTGGCTTCCTCCTCGCAGCGAGAACACAGCCCAAATAAAGCCAGAATCTGACCACCTGACCTCCGGCCTGACCAGAGCCAGCACAAACTCTCAGAAGGGCAGGGATGTTGCACAATTTGGAAAAACGGAAGCCCAAAAGCAAGTTTATGACCACGTCTGGCACTGACTAGGGGAAAGGGCACAAAACCAGTATATTCCTGACATGGCAACAGTGCGTCCTACCGATGACAGGACATGCAGACCCCAGCCAATCATCTCCTTGGGCTCTGATGCCCGCTTCCCTGAGCATGGCTTGGCGCCCCGCAGAGACTGCACCCGTCAGAGGAGGCTGGCCTCGACTCCTCTTGGGGCTGGCCATTATGTTCACTGCCACTCCTGCTTCCCAGTCAACCCCTGCAAGTTTGGTGACCACAAGTTAACCCCATCTAGGGCAGATCAACTCTTATGGAATAGCCAAAACTGAGGACCAAACCCTGGTGGGTCCCCTGTGCCACCAGGGAAGAGGGGTGTGCAGACAATACCCCAGGAAGGCGTCTTCCCTTCCACACTTCTAACCTTGACTAGCATTTCCCAAAATGCAGTCTGAGGAATCCAACTTCATTCTCTGCGATGCTCCTGGAAAGTTAGGAATGATAAGGCTGGGGTGGCACAGGGAAGGGAAGGCCCTTTCGGACTGTGCTCAGCCACCTTTCTCTAGCTGTTAGCAGAGACCAAAGGAGGCACTTTTGGTTTCTGCAGAGATTGCTTTTAGCCTGCACATAGTCAGCATCTCCAACACCCATCCCTGGGGCATCAGACCTGAAATGGGAAGGGATGATGCAATTCTAGTATCCAAAGGCACTAAGCTCTATGGATTCCAACAAGCCCCCTCTTCTCCGCAACCACTGCCACTGTCTTAATGTCTTCTGTTCAGGCCCTCATCTCTCAAGACATTACTTTAATGAACTAGTTTCTCTACACCTAATTTCTACTTGCTTCACTTCAAAACTCCAGACAGCCACCGAGCTACCTTTCTAGAATACAGGCCTGACCCTCTCTGCCTACAGGACTAAGTCCCAACCCTGGCACAGCATGCAAGGCCCCTGCCTGCCTTTCCAGCTGGAAGCATGGGCTTTGGAGTCCTACAGATCATTGCAGTGACACTTAGATAAACCACTTGCTGGCTATGTGAACACACATGTGTTTCTGCACCCATTTCCACATCTGTGTGTTGGGAATAGCATGATCAGCCTCCCAGAGCTACTGTGAGGACCGAATCCAAGTTCTAAAGAGCCTAGATCTCACCAACCTAGCTCCAGGGTCCTCTCTCTTTCCCATCTTGCTATACCAGCTCTTCATAATCAATGAGAATTGACTCAAGGGTAAAAAAAAAAAAATACATGCAAGATCTAAAAATGAAGGGTCATAAATTTAAAAATTAGGCCACCACAATGTGAAAGAAACCAAAATTAACTCATTATCAAAATAATGTAGGAGGACGGAAGGAACAGGAAGAGAAGGAAAACAGTACATTTAGGAAGAAATGCTTTTAAAATATAAGTCTCTATGATGTTTTGAGCCTCATTTGCTCCAAAGATTTAGGAAGATGACATTTCAAAAGCTCACAAAGACGACACTTCTACTTTTTAAAAACTATTTCCTAATTATTATCTTCAGAGAACTAAGAAGTACTTTCACAGACTGAATGTTAATAAAATTCTCAGAGGAAATTCTGGCATCAGTCACAACAAACACCCTCTTGGAATTTAATTTCCTTTCAGCATACAATTTACTATGGAAACTCATTTGTGATGCCACCACAACCAGTCAAAATCTGCCTGGAGCACAAAAACTTCAGAGTCCCAAAAGAGGGCCTTAAAGGACTAGATGGAAATTGGTCCCATATTAAGCCAAATCCTGCATCTAACAGAAATTTCCCCCACACCAAACTAGCTTTGACCGTCAGCCAGCCCACTCCTCTCTCTAGCTGCCCTATACTATAGGCTCTTCCAGGGCCCCCTTCCAGCTAGAACCCCCTGAATTCTGTATCTTTTCCCTGTCCAACAAAATTAATTTAAAAAAAAAAAAAAGGAGGAAGGCCACAAAATGGGCAAAGGGAAACCAGCTACATCCATTTTCAACTTTCTATCAAAGACCTGTCCTTTCTGGCTTACGATTTTTTCAATTCCCTTGGACAAGACAATCACAGGCCCTGGAATATTCATTGCGCGTGCTGGGGCTTAGGGTGGGAAGGCAAAAAGGCTAGAAGAATCATTGATAAGTACAAAAAGTACTTTAAGCCTTTTCCCCCTGAGGACAACTGCTGAAAGACTTACTCAATCCCATTGACCCAAGTACCTGTGTGCAAGGGAAAGGAGTGGATGCCAATCTTTACTCAGCACCCACTGCAATTAGTGGGTACATTTCTTGAATATAAGACAGACAGTATTATCCTGATTTTACACATGTGGAAACCAGGCTCAGAGAGGTCAGGCAGCAGGTTCAGTATTTACACCCAGGCCTGCCAGACTCCCAAGACGCTTGAACTTAACCACTTCACCACACTGCTTCCAGAGTCTACAAGTGTTTATGTTAAAATGTGCTGGGTTAGGGAGCCCGTTAAGAGTTTACTTGTTGCTCTTCACATACAGTATCTCATTTAACTAGCACAACCCTGTAGGATAGCTGAGAATTCCTTTTCCACTGTTAACAAAATGGTACATGGATTGAAAGATCATCAGTAACTTATGCACGACAGCTGTACCAGAGTCGTGCCATCTCTTGGCTTTGTTTTCTCTCCTGTAAAATGATGCTCACTCCTACCTCACAATGCCTGCTCAATGGCAGGGGCTCAAATGGTGACGATTATGATTTTTATCAATACTTCTCAATTAAAGTAAAATTTATACACACACAAACACTAGATATTTTAAAGACTCAACCTAATTAATCAAGCCTTTACTTGTTGGAGAAGATATCATTTTTAACACTACCTCATCTGGTCTGAAAAGGAAAGTAGTTTAAAAAATATTTGGAAAAAATTGTTTAATAATAAAATACCACTACCTCAAACTCAGAGAGAACCACTAACTGCAGCTTCCAAAAAGCTGACAAAAAAGGATTACTGAAAATGATGTGGTCAAACCCAATATGGATTTTGAAAGCTACTAATGGACAAGAACAGGAACATTCAGTTATGACAAAATACACACACAAAAAAAATTCCTCTTCTTCCAGCACCATGGCTTGATCATTAATGTGTGGTGTGACCCTGGCCAAGTCACTTCAATGCTGTGATGGCCCTCAGCACCCAAAATGTCAAGGCCAGCTTATGACCAGGAAGCTCTAGTGAGAAGTTGCCCAGGGGGTCTAGGGGACAGGAGCGGGGTGGAGGGGACACAGATGATTGCCTGGAGCAATTTTTAATGTGCTGCCTCTAACTCACTGCTTGCCTTTTACTACACTCATCTGAAAAGAAATGAGAAGTCTGGGCATGCCAGAGGCAAGAGGAACCAGCTCACCACTTCTCAAGCCAGAATGGAAAAGATGGCAGAAGCATAGTTGTACAAGGACCCCAGCATCAGTCAGACAGAAGGAAACCTATAATATTATGCAATGAGAGACCCTGAGGATGTTCTTCAGACAAACCCCAGCAGGACCAATCCAACTCCAAGCTTGAGCGTCCACTCCAAGCTTGAAGATTAAACAATAAGAAAAAATTCGGGTCCACAGGTGAAATACACACTTTCTAAGCACAATGAGCAACTTTATAGTAGATAGCTGGACAACCAAGTACACTAACTGCAAGCATAAGAACAGTATTCATGTTGTAAATCGAGTACCAACTACTATTAGTTTTTTGTTGTTTTGCTTTTTGCAATATTTCTTCTCATATTTTATTTTAAATCTAAGCTAATTTCTTTATAAGAACAGGCTAAGGCTTATTTTCTGTGGCTGATCCAGCCTTACAAGAAAAAAGATTTCACTGTGTCCCTCAGAAACCTACTCCTGTCTACATCACACTGTCGAGCTCTCTCTTTATACCCCATGTGACAGATAAGAAAACAGAAGTCCAGAGAGAGCAAGTGACTCATCCAAGGTCAAACTTCTTGCTAACACATCTAGGACGAGAATAAGGGCTCAAGAAGCCCACTATGGGTCTCTTGCCGTATCACTGCTGCAAATGACCAGGCATACTGGTGTCTTGAATACAAAGTTTATTTGTAAAGGGGAAAAAAAAAAAGCCAACATGAGTCATCTGCATTGTCAACGGGCTCCACACAGGTTGTTCTAATAAAGCATCCAGCACCTCCAGAACCACTTGTTTCTGAAAGCACCAACCTACGCAGACACTAGCAGGCCATGTCTTCCACCCTTGCCACCCTCGAGGCTGTGAGCAGATGCGCTGTTGGGCTCTGGGGATCTAGAGGTGTCACTTAAAGAGCAAGGGAGCCTGGAGCTTGGCAGTACTGACTGGATGAGTGGATGGGTGGGTGTATGAGGACATGGGAGTGTTTTCTGACAGCTCCCGGAGATAGTTATGATATCATGCAGCCTAATCCCACTCATCTTGGAACACCCCAAACATCTCATCCGCTCAGCTGTCCCTCCTCAACTTCCTCAGGGCAAAAGCACTGCAGTCTGAGGTGAATCTGGCCGCTGGGGAGGGGCGGTAGTCGGCCCCAGCAGCAGAGGAAGCAACGCTCAGCTCCCTCCTCCACCCACCCCGTACAGGAACTCCCCACTGGGTCTTCAGATGCCAGAGGCGTACCCAGCTCGGAGCCTGCCCCGGGTCTCAGGGTCGGTCCCGAAAGAACGGGGGAGGAGGAAGGCTCTATCCCGCCCCCGCCTCACCTCTACTCCCCGACCCCCAGGCGCCGACCCTTCTCACCCGCAAGGTCCGCCGCCGGACTCTTGTCCACTCCCAGAGACCCTGAGCGCACCCCTTTCTCGGCGTCCTCAAAGGACCCGCGTTTCCCACCTTCCCATACGGGGCCCTCCCGGCCGCCCCGGCCCAAGCCCTTTGCACTGCGTCCCCCGGCCCCTGAGTCCGCCCCGCACCCGCACTTCCCGCCCGGCCCCGCGGGCTCGCGGTCCGCCCCAACTTTTCCCAGCCCCCGCCCCGCAGCAACCGGGATGCAGCGTCTCGAGCCGCGACGGGCAGGCGAGCTCGAGTCCCTCGGGCCCCCAACCCCGCCCGCACGAGTTGCGCTCGGGACCCGCCGGGCGCCCAGGCCTGGGTCAGCAGCACTGCGCGGAGGCGGAGCCGGCGTGGCGGGAACCGTACTGTCCCGGCGCCGCACCCCCGCCCGGTGCCCGGTGCCCCGTGCCCCGCGCCCGCCCGCCGGCTCGCCCGCCCCGCCGCCGCCGCCGCCGCGCCGCTCCCAGCCCACCTGCCCGCGGGCGCCGCCGCCGCCGCCGCCACCACTGCCGGGAATACGTGGCAGTGGCCGCCGCCGCTTGCGCTCCCCGCCTCGCCTCTCCTCTCGGCGCCCGCGCGGGCGACTCTGGCGCGCCAGACCGCAGCGCCAGGCGCCCTCTGCCGCCGGGAAGCCGAATCCTCCCGTCCTAACCCTAACTCGCTGGCTGCCCCCGCCCGGGCCTCGGCTCCCGCCCCCTCTTCCCCGTTCCCGGCTCAGACTGTCGCTTCCGAGCGACCTGGGTTCTCGCCCGGCCTGCTGCTGCCGCTGCCTCCAGGAAGTTCGCCCTGACCACCTCTGCAGGCTCAGCGCGCTTCCTCCGGCTCCCGCGCAGCGGGTGCTTAAGTCACCCCCTTGTTGATATATTTCCTGCTTCTTTGAACGCCTCGCCCGTGAGATAGCAGAATCGGAAAGGGGATAGTTGGAGGCAAACGCCATGTCTGTTGTGTTCACCATTCTCTCCTCCAGGGCAAGGTTAGCGCCCTGTCTGGAATACTGAAGTGCGCAATAAATACTTGTGAAGAGAGCAAACGAGTAGATGAATGAGTTGAGACTTTTACCGCTGTCTACCCAAGTAGGCTTTGAAACCTCAAGCGGACAGAGATCCTGACCTGGATTTGTTTTTTGTAACTTACACGTGCATATGTGTGCGCAGCTCAGCATAAATAAATGAGATTCACAATTCCCCACCTCGGACCAGCGCCAAATCCGCAAGAGGCCCACGGCTAAATGTTATTCAGGGCTTTTGGTCAAACACGTTTAGGTTTGAGATCTACCTCTTAAAAGCTGGGCAATCGCGGGAAAGCTCATCTCCCTGGCCCACAGTGAACACGTCTATAAATTAAGAATAATAAAACCTACTTCACAGAGTTGTGAGAATTAATTGAGATGGTGCACTATAAAGTTCTTTACGCAGCCCCGATGTGTGCGGTGGTATGTAAATGGTAGTTATTGTTGTATTACTACTGATGCAGTAGGTGATTTTAAAAACTATCTTCGAAATGTAAAATATTGACTACCTTTTCACCTTAAAACCTTTATATGTGTGGTATTGTCACCTGCTCAGCAAGGCCAGCCCGGGGAGCAAGGCCACTCCTGTAACCTCTTCCCCTCCACCGGTAAAAATATAACAAGTCTTGGGGTTTTTTTGTTCTGTTTTGAAGAATTGTGGAACCCACTCTTCTGCAGGTTTTCCACCTGGATTTCTGTGGCCAATCTCTTAATTAACAAGTTTTTATTTTAGGGATGTCAAAGACAGGGAGCCCTTTGAAAGCACCTGCAGTCTACTGGCTCTTCCTGTTTTCTTCCTGACCCTCTCTCAAACAACTTAAGGCTTTTTTTTTCATTTTTACAGGAAGTGTCCTTCCTGCTGCGTACAAAAGGCAGCAATGCAGTAGAGTGGGATCAGAGGGGATTGGGCTGCATACACCTTGGGCTTTCTGCACCTCAGTCCCCTCAACGGTAAACTGTGGAGAATAAGACCTTGTCACATTGGGAGATCATTCATGATCCGGTCTGTGAAGGAAATAAGGAAATACCTGAAACACAAAGATATTTAATAAAAGGCAACTATTGATCAGTTTATTTAGCATGTATTTAAGGAGCATCTTTTTAGTGTTCTATGCGCTGAAAGAATGAGGGGAACACGCGTGTGTGAGGTAAGTTTCCTACCTTCAAAGGAGTTTGAGCTGTAGCTCCACACTAGGGCAGAGGGATTGGGAGCATATGGGATGCAGCTAAATATGAAATTAGCAAGCCTCAAGGTTTAAATTGGGGCAGTGGTACTGCCGTGTGAATTGCTTTAATTCATTATCATTGTAAATGCCATTTTCCTCTAAATATTATGTACACAACTTCCCAAGGCCACTGCTAAAAATTAATGAATAATTTTATGAGGCAAGCAGAGCCACTGATGTAGGACTCAGTCCCTTAATAAGGTGACTCCACATGCTCCCTTATAGTAGTAATAACATAGATATTGTGTCTGTGAAAGTGCCATCCTTGGCTGGGCGTGGTGGCTTACCCCTGTAATCCCTGCACTTTGGGAGGCCGAGGTGGGTGGATCACCTGAGGTCAGGAGTTCGGGATCAACCTGGCCAACACGATGAACCCCGTCTCTACTGAAAATACAAAAACTAGCTGGGCGTGGTGGCAGGCACCTATAATCCCAGCTACTTGGGAGGCCTGAGGCAGGAGAATCACCTGAACCCAGAAGGCGGAGGTTGTAGTGAGCTGAGATCATGCCACTGCACTCCAGCCTGGGCAACAAGAGTGAAACTCTGTCTCAAAAAAAAAAAAAAAAAAAAAGAGAGAGAGAGAGAAAAGAAAAAGAAAGTGTCATCCTTTATAGGTTAGAGTTGTGTATCTTGCAATGCAAGTCTCAGAGGAAAAGTTTACACATTTTACACTAATGGCTTCTAATGAATCACCCCTACTGAGTTGTCCTTCTGTAGCTCCCTCCCACGTTGACCCTGGAGTTGGCCTTGTGACTTCCTTTAGCTACTGGGACATGAACAAATATGACACAAGCAGGGGCTTTCGATGTGCACTTGTGCCTTGCTCCTTGCTTTCTTGAAATGCTATCCTGAGACTGCCATGAAGAAACCTGGTCCAACTCCTTGAAGAGGAAAGACCCTGAGAAGAGAAAGCCTTGCTGTCCCAGCTATGCAGCCCACCAGCTCTCAGCCACATGAGTGAGCTCCAGGGAAAGCCAGCCAAAAATAGTCCAGCCAACCCAGGAATTGTGAGAAATAAAATGGTGGTTGTTTCAAATCACTAAGTGTTAGGGTGGTTTGTTATACAGTAATAGATAACTGACACACAGATCACTCACAGGCACTCCTGCAGTTACAAGTTCTAGATGAAATTCACCCAAGAATCAGTACTCTTGCTAGCGTTTTCTGTTATGAAGCATTCAGTTGAAGTCACTAAATCTAAGCTTAGCAGAGCATCACACTTCATGTAAATACCCTCTTTGAAAGTTCTTCATTGAATTGGTTACTGAGCCTAGTACTGTTTAAAATCCTTTGGCAGTCAACATAACAATGGGCTGGCAAAATCAGCTTGTAAGCTACCAAAAGCTTTAAACGTTAGAACTCCCTGGAACATCAACAGCAGGTATCATAGAGGTTAGGTGTGTTTATCTCTCCCACTTGATTGTAAGCTCCTTAATGACAATTACATTTATTGGCATGGTTTTATCATAGATCACGAAACATCAGAGATGGAGTTAGAGATCATCTAACCCACCACCTCATTTTACAGATGAGAAAACTGGGGCTAAGAGAAATCATCAGAGCCTTACAAATATCCAAGGTCCTGGAGCTGGCTCAGAGCAGAACTGGGATGACCAATTCACAGTTCTTTACGCTGTTAGTTGAACTCTTCTGTTTTTCCTTTGTGACATTTTTGCTATTTAAAATATTCTTCCCATGCTCAAAATATGTCTGTAACTTTCCTATGTGCTGGTGATAAAATCTAAACGATTATACATGGCCCCATGAGGTCTGGTGCAGCTTGCCCCTACAGAGATATTGGTACTGTTCTGCCCCTCACTCAGCACACTTTGCCCAACTGGCTTTCTTTCTGTTCCCCAAACCAGCAAGCTCTTCTCTTCTTCACAGAAAGCCCCTTCCACATGCTGTTCCTTCCACTGACGTGCTCTTTCCCAAACTCTTCACTTTGCTAAATCCCGCTTTCCAGAACCCATTAGAGTTCTGTGGTACATTATTTGGGAAATAATGTAAACAAAAAAATTTGGTGCACATAGAGGTAGCTCTCAGTCTCTTCAGCCAAGTTTTGGAAAGCTCAAAGACCAAACAGCTCAGGAATCTTATGGAGATTTGATTCCTAACAGACACCTTGTTGAGGCTCAACCAGTGGAACAAGCCACTCTGGTTTTTCTGTTTTTGCATCACTCCACTCAAGATTCCAAACCCTAGAAGAACGTCAGCCTTGGTTAGCTTGGCCACATGCCTACCCTCAGCCAGAGAAGAACAGGACACCTTGAATGAAAGCCTCCAAACATAATCATCAGGGCATTGTTACCAAAGAAGGGAAAGTTGATCAAGGATAACAAAACCAGTGAATGTCCACTACATAATCTCTCGGGCCTTGCCTTAAATGTCGTCTTCTCAGAGAAGCTTTTCTTAACCACCCCATCTGTTGCACGCTTTCATGACACTCCTTGTTTTTTTCACTGTTCTCATCATATTTTTATAGTTACATATTCTCATGTGTTTGTGTCTCTCGAATTCTCCCTCCACGAGAAAAGGGACTGCGTTTGCTTGCCCACTACTATACCTTCAATACCTAGCATGGAGCCTGGTGCATACAGGAACTCAATAAATATGTATTAAATCAATCAATAAATGAGCAAACAAATGAATGAATAATATAAGCCTTGTGAGTCTTCTGACTTAATCCATGTGATATTAACTTTGTAGGAAGAAGGAGAAAAGACAAAGAGAATATAATGAGTGTAGGCTGTGGAAGATTCTCTCTGCTGGGTCCCTTTGTGATGCTGTGGGGAGGACAAAGACTCGTGTGCAGGATAAATGAAGAAACACAACCTTGTGCATCAGAGATAAGCCATGTGTTGTGCTATGCTGTACTGTCCTTGAGGGATAAATTATGCAAGTAATGAAGTAAGAGGGGGAGGCCTAGAATGGTGGTCTGCATGTCTCAGAATGTTTGCAGAAGTAGGAACCCTCAAAACTGCTGCCTGACTGCAGCTGCCAGGAGCTGAGGTCAGGAATGTATGTTCATAAACCTACTCCCTTGGCCCCTGTTCATGCCTGGCTGTGCATTCTCTGTAGCAGAAGTTCCAGAGTTATCTGCCGATGGCTGCAAATCCACAGACAGGTTTTTCACAACTCAGAGGTAAAATGAGAGTAATCAGAGCAATGTAAAGCTAAATGTATGCAATTCTTGTATCAATGATTATTATATTTGTAATCATTTGGATGTGGGTTTTTTGTTTTGGTCATTTTTTGGCAAAATAAAAAGTTGACAGCCTCAGTTTCCATTCCCACTCCCAAAATGTTTTTGTAATGGTTTTGGTCTATGAAATCTGAAAGCCTCAGAAATTCTCACTTTATAATCTCAGAGACCTGGACAATCCCTGCAAAGGCTTCAGACCCATCAGAAAATCAACTGTTGTTGTTTTGTTGTTTCTCATGTTTTAATCATGTAGCCTGTTTCCTTTTCTGCCTCATACCTACTTGGCAGTCATTTAACTCCAGTGGTTAAAACATGGGGTTAAGGGGACTTCACTGCCAGAATCACATCTGTGGCTGTGGGTCAGGAGGGAGCTGGGCCTTGGTTCTGTCCTGTCCACAAGGAAGACCTGGACTTGAGGTCTGGTTGTTACCAGTGGAGGGTCCAGGTTCTTGGCATTTCGAACATTTGAACAAAGAACTGGAGAAAACACACAAACAAAGCAAGGAAAGAGTGAAGCAACAAAAGCAGAAATTTATTGAAAATGAAACTCTACAGGGTGGGAACAGCCTCAAGCAGGTGGCTCAAGGGCCCTGGGTACAGAATTTTCTGGGGCTTAAATACCCTCTAGAGGTTTCCCACTGGTTACTTGGTGTATACCCTGCATAAATAAAGAGGCTGAAGTGAAGTTGCAAAGTTATTTATTTGGTGTACACTCTATGCGTATGAAGAGGTTATTTCCTGTCATAGCTGAAGTAGAGTTACAGAGTTATTTACTTGGTCGTAGAAAGTTGGGGTTTTTCCGTTTGATTTGCTTCTAGGAAGTCCTTAGTTTTCCTGCCCTGAGACTCTATTCCCCTGCCTTATGGTCAGTGGCCATGAGTGTGTGTGTACACTCACATGCATGTGTGTGTACTTATGGCAGGGAGAGTCCTTGGGTGTCCCCAACACTCTTCCACCGTAGGGGAGCTACTTAACCCTAAGAGGAGATATTGTTCTTAATCCCTGTTTTACAAAGAAGGAAAATAAGACTTAGAACGTTTAAGCAATTCACCCCAAGCCTGGTTAAATACAAAGTTCAAATACTTAATTAACCTTAACCTCTTTGGTCATAGTTCAGGTGCTTGATTGGTGTTACCTGAAGTTAAATCTGATATGAATTCCCAGAAGCCAACATTATGGAAAGACTTTTCTAGAACTAGGAAAGAGGTAAAAAAAATTTTTTTGAGTCAGGGTCTCACTCTGTTGCCCAGGCTGGAGTGCAGTGGCACAATCACATCTCACTGCAGCTTCAACCTCCTGGGCTCAAACGATCCTCCTGCCTCAGCCTCCCCAGTAGCTTGGACCACAGGCATGCACCACCATGCTTAACTAATTTATTTATTTTTTTTTTTTTTATGTTGAGACAAGGTCTCACTATGTTGCCCAGGCTGTTCTTGAACTCCTGGGCTCAAGTGATCCTTCCACCTCAGCCTCCCGAAGTGCTGTGATTACAGACACAAACCATCATGTTTGGCCAAGAGGTAAAACTTACCCTCCCTAAGTTAAGAGGGAAAACTACCAGCTTCTTGGATTTAAGAAGCCGTAGAGCTTGAAGTCCTGTACATTTATGTAAGTATCAAGTGTTATAATAAAAATGTCTTTTTCTCACTGGTAGTAATTCTTTTAAAGACTTCAAACAAAATTATACCTATTCTTGGAAATTAAGTAAGCATGCCCATTTTCATAAAGCTGTGAAATCCCATATAAGGAAAAGTTTTAAGATCTCTGCTTTCGTTTGAAAAAAGCACCAGAGCGCTACTGAAAAGTTCAACCCAAATCTTCATGCTTACTGCCCTGTTTTCTGAAATTTAAGTCTCTAGCTAAAGAATGGGAAGGAATTCCTACTCTACCCCTGCTGCCGGCAACCAAAGCATGCTCTCAAGCCAAGAACACCAGTGAACCCTTTAAATTTCTCCACAACTTTCTCCCTGCTGGCAAATGTCAAGTTTCTATTTCAAAAGAAATAAGAGCGTCATTAACATGCCTGTCTTCATGCTCTTCTAACTCCTTTCAGAATTTTGGGGGGTTTTGCTTGAGAAAGTAAGACCACACTAAAATCACAACTCCCCAGGGTGTATCATTAAAGGTGGAACTCGGCCAGGCATGGTGCCTCATGCCTGTAATCCCAACAATTTGGGAGACTGAGGTAGGAGGACCGCTTGAGCTCAGGAGTTCGAGATCAGCC
Organism: Homo sapiens; assembly: GCF_000001405.40. Classification (NCBI taxonomy): domain Eukaryota; kingdom Metazoa; phylum Chordata; class Mammalia; order Primates; family Hominidae; genus Homo; species Homo sapiens. Next base: position 93,550,468 of record NC_000011.10, read on the forward strand.
TGGGCAACATGGTGAAACCGCATCTCTACAAAAAATTTTAAAAAATTAAAAAATAAAAATAGCCAGGCGTGGTGGCACACCCTGGTAGTCCCAGCTACTTGGGGGGCTGAGGCAGGAGGAGCACTTGAGCTCAGGAATTTGAGGCTACAGTGAGCTGTTATCGCACCATTGCACTCCAGCCTGGGTGACAGTGAGACCCTGAATTTTTTTTATTTTTATTTTTATTTTATTTTTTCAGGGAAAGTATGTGGCAGAGAAGAAAAAACAAAAATGGAACTGTTGGTGTGTTTAGAAGGGAGCAGGGGAGCTCCACTTTTATTCCATAGGCTGTAAATAGCCCACTATCATTTTTAAATCCCAAAGTAAAAAATAACACTTAATTACCTTAACTTTCAAACCTATAACCACAAGATCTTCATTAGTGACTCATATACCAGCTGTACCTTTTGGTCTGGCACATTTTTTAACATCAAAGGTGTTTCCTATCAACTATGTCTTTTTCCCCAAGGGAGCTTCATCTTTATCAGAAAGCAATGAGAACGTTTCTAGTCTATACTTAACTCTTCAATCACTTCACATGTATTTACGGAACACCTAGTACATGCAGGCAATTTATCGAGTTGTGTGAATATAAAAGCAAAAAAGACATATACTCCTTTCCTTCCCTAGAGAAACTCACAGATCAGTGGAGAGAAAAAATGTATATAATTACAAATTTTACAAATGATGTTAAGCGTGCTGAAGAGAAAGAACAAGGTTCTATGAGAAAGTTTTATAAAGAGAACAAGTTTTATATTGAAAGGTCAGAGAAGACCTTTCTGGAAGTGATCTGAAAGTTTGACCAAAGAGATGAACAGGTATTGGCCCAGTGAGGAACCTCCTGGGGACGTGGTCCTCCTCACCCAAGGCTTCTCTATGTCTCGGACAATGATCAGGACAAGAAGTGCAACTTCTCGGTGCATCATTGCTTTCAGAGAGGAGTCTTGGGGCCCTGTCTCCCCAGAGGTGCAGAGGCAAGACAGGGAGTCCCCAGCTTCTTCCACAGGGGCTTCCTTCTCTATCCAACCCACACTCTGCTCTCTGAATTCCTGACTCCCCTCAGCTGCAGCACTTAGGTGAGTATTTTACTCCAGGTGAGTATTTTGCTAGTTCCTGTGCATATGCAGTCTCTGCACCTAAACTGTCAGTGCCTGGAGAGCGGATGGCTCTATCTAACTCTCCTTTTTTAATGCTCATAGTGTCTACAAGAGAACTTGATTCATAGCCACCATTCAACAAACACCTGTTTAATGGGATTGAATTTTCAGCATTTAGTAGTGTACTAAACATCTGATGTGAAATAAGAGCCAAATTAGGCAAAGTAAGCATGATTTAGAAGTGCAGAGATGGAAAGAAAATGGTATGAAGAGCATTGGTGTAGAAGTACTTCCTGAAACTTGAAGGAATCCATCTGGTATCGCTTTGATTGACTTTGTTAAGGACACAATTCCTAGGTTCTGAGACTCCTCAACTCTAAGATGCAACAGTCATTGAACAACAGTTTACTTTTTGAGGGGTGAAAAATGGCTGCTTTCAATGTTTACATATATTGAGAGCCATAGAGCCATATTCTGACTTTGGAAACACTAAAATGTTTCCAAAAAGTATGTTTTATAATTTAAAAAAAAGTCAGTACTCATCACTACTTTTTTTTTTTTTTTTTTTTTTGAGACACAGTTTCACTCTGTCGCTCAGGCTGAAGTGCAGTGGCACAATCTCGGCTCACTGCAATCTCCTCCTCCAGGGTTCAAGCCTTCCAAGTAATTGGGATTACAGGCATGCACCACCACAGCCAGCTAATTTTTGTATTTTTAGTAGAGATGGGGTTTCACCCTGTTGGCCAGGCTGGTTTCAAACTCCCAGCCTCAGGTGATCCACCCACCTCGGCCTCCCAAAGTGCTGGGATTACAGGCGTAGGCCACCGTGCCCAGCCACGTTATTATTATTATTATTATTATTATTATTATTATTATTATTATTTTTGAGACAGAGTCTCGATCTGTTCCCCAGGCTGTAGTACAATGGCGTGATCTCGGCTCACTGCAACCTCTGTCTCCCGGGTTCAAGCGATTCTCCTGCCTCAGCCTCCTGAGTAGCTGGGATTACAGGCACCCGCTAACAAGCCCGGCTAATTTTTGTATTTTTAGTAGAGACAGGGTTTCACCATGTCGTTTAGGCTGGTCCCAAAGTCCTAACCTCAGGTGATCCACCTGCCTCAGCCTCCCAAAGTGCTGGGATTACAGGCGTGAGCCACCGCACCTGGCCCACATTATTACTTTTAACAGGACTTTGTTTTCTCTTTTGCCTACCTCATGTCCACATCAATTTAATTTTTTTTTTGTAATAGTGCCTCAAATTCCTTTTAGGAAATTATTCTTCCTTATTATATACAGCCTGCTGGGTTATTTCATCAAGGTGTGCAACTTTCCCCTAGTGAAGGGATTGAGGGACACCCTACCCAAGCTAGACTATTCAGATGTGTCAACAGTGACCAGAACGTCAAAGGCCTGGCCACAGATGGAGCTTACTCATTCCAGGCATGGGATGTAGACAAGACTGTCCAGAGCTTCTGCTACAAAAAGCCTCTAAAACCACATGGTTCCAAAGTCCATTTCTGTTATTTACAGGCAAAGAATTCTAAATGGGACAGTGCTTTTTGCTGATAGTACATCTAAAACTGAAGTTCTTAATCTGAGGTCCAGAGACTTGGACATGGTTCATGGGTGGGTGTCAGGGTTCAACAGATAAGATATAATTTTTATATCTGCTGATGAGTTTATTTTCCCAGTGAGATGGTCTACAGGCAGCTTTGATCAGATTCTCAAAGGGGTCTATGGCTGAAAATGGATTAGAAACAATTGATCCCAGAGCAGGAGTTCTTAATAAGTCTGTGTATAAACTCAGATGGGCAAAAATTATATCTTTGTTTGTACTAACTTCCATTCATGGTTGCTTATTTATGAATGTTGGTAACAAACCACAGTATTATTAGCAATTCCCATGAATTTGCTACCAGTAGAAATCAGATATTTTCATATCATGTTACAGTGTTGCAGATCTCAAAACATAATTTACACCTTTCACTGCTTTAAAATTACAGTGTTAGTAGACCCAAGCTAGATCTTGTTATTCAATGTGTTAATAAAGAAGCATATATATTACTTGATCACCAGATACTTTAATATTTTAAAGCTGCATCTTAACATAACTGGTTTCCTTGGTAATCTGTATGCTTTAGTTTCTTCAAAACATTATTCTAAGTAGTCCAAGGGCTTCATCAGACTGCCAAGCCTATAATACCAAAAAGTCACTAGCCCTCTTAGGAAAATCTTGGTAGGACCAAGCCTCCTAGCCTTACCTTTATTTGCTCTACAAAGCCAGGTTCTATCTGGTAGTTCCTCTCCTTTCAATAACCTGACATCTTGGTTCCCAGCATTGCAACTTCTGAATACTTCCAAAGCAGCAGGCATTGCCTAAGTCCAGAAAAACACAAACTTATACAAACCATAGGACAAAACAAGAGCAAAAAGAGAGAGAAAGAGAGAGAGATCCAGAATAGGTGGATCCAGAGAGGCAGAAAGCAGATTGGTGGTTGCAAGGGCCTGCAGCGAGGGGGAAACAGGGAGTGACAGCTTAATGGGGGGATTGACCCCATAATGGGTACAGGATTTCCTTTTGGGGTGATGAAAATGTGTTGGAAATTGATAGAGGTGATGATGGAACAGCACTGTGATGGTACTGGATGGTAATGAATTACATATGGCAAAAAAGCTAATTTTATGTTCTACGAATTAGCATTCATTAGCTCAATAAAACAAAAACAAATAAGAAATAAATAAATAAAAGGCAACTCCATAACAAATTCACCTGGGAATTATGTAAAGTCCTACTTAGGGGAATAAAGAAAAAAATAATCCCAAAGTTTAACGGTATTCTATTTCCCTTTTTCCCCCTCAACCCACCCTCCCATCAAGTTGCTTCTGTACGCTGCAATTTGAGATCACTTACGAAATTGCTAATGTGTACTTTAGCCTACATATTAAATTCCGGTTTGCACTTATGCATATTAAAACACACCACTAAATACTCATCTGACAAGCTATATTTTAAACCCCAAACTAGGCTTTATTGTGCCTGGATGCATTTTTAATATACCCACTAAATTTCAGCCAGACTGAAGACTGGCTGGCAATAATGATTTATAAGGGAGGGTAGAGTCCCTCACTTTCTATCCCAGAGTCCGCTCCCACTTGAGGGTCTGGGGGTTGGCAGCCCCCTACTGCCTGCTGGCTCTGTGGAGCTTTTAGGAAAAGATTTCAAGCACGATCTCACGGCCTCAACCAGGATCTGAAAGATGACTGAAGGGCTTCCCATTCTGGTAATAGACCCCACCCAGGACCTCAGCATATCCCATTAGAGCTCGCCAGCCTCCAACACAGCAGGATTGGATTGGCTGTCCACCGGCCCCTCTCATATCCTCCTCCATCGTTCTCTCTCTGCCAGGCTTTTGAAGTTCCTTTTCCTGCTCACGAACCCTGCTGGCACCACATAGCCTACAGGATAGTGTCCAAGTGCCTCAGTCGGGAAAGCAAGAACTGACCTTTTTTTGAAGCCCCACACAATAGAAAGCTTTCATATCAAGCACCCCATTTAACTTCATGAAAACCACGACTAGGCTTATTATGGCCATTTAGGGATGAAGACACTAAGGCAAAAGATCATATAAAGTCACACAACTGGTCAAGCTTTCACCACATTTCTATTTCTCCTTCCTTTCCAACATTTTCTCTACCACTCACTCCTTTGTGTCAGCCAGGCAGGCCCCCTACTCACTGTCCCCTGACTGTCACACCTTGCCCACAGGGCCCCTCCACCTAAGGGCCTCCCCTTTCTGCATTCCAAATCCCACCCATTCCTCAAGGTTTGGCTCAAGTCTCCCCTTCTCCAAAAAGCTTTCTTAGACCCCAGTTCTCTCCCCATCCTCTGAATTTCCACTTATTACGCCACTACTCCTTGAACATATCCAGGTATTGCCTGGTGTGGAGTGTGTGTCTGGCCTCCTCCAGTAAAAACTAAACTCCCTGAGGACAGGAATTGTGTCTTATTCCTTTTGTATTTGCTACAAGTACCCTGTAGGATTGAGAGATCAAAACCGCTTGATTCTCTCAATCAGCAAGAGATTGATTTTTTTCAGGCCAAAGCATTGATCCTTTTTCCCAGTTTCTGTACTTCTCCCCTGTCTCCTGCCACATTCCCTACACAAGTCTCACGGGGCTCCCAGTCATCCTCTCCAGGCCGCCCTGCACAAGAGAGCCCCGCCTTGCACAGGGCTCCTTCCCTGCTGCATCATCTCCCCTAGATGCAGCCTGCTTCCTTTCCAGCTGGAGGATGAAGAAGGTTCTTTTTTCCTTTTACATGTCTAATGACATTGTTTTTTTCAGACAGGGACTTTGGGAAAAGTCATGGCAATGAAGTATGGAGCTTATTCAGAGAATGAGCAGGTTGTGTCCTATCTCCAGGTGTGTGACAGCTGCCAAGAGGGTAGTATGTGGACTGTTTTGGCAGGAGAAGGGGGTTCAGTGGTATTAAGCGCTCACAGGAAAGGACAGGGGCTTTGGGATGGGGGACACAGATGAAAAGCACTGTTGCCTGCATCATGTAATTTGACAGATACTGTAAGACTCCAGAGGTTCCCAACCATGTCCCTTTGAACTTATAATGTTTTCTTCTTTCCTTCTGTGTTCAAAATTCCTCACATTTTAGTTTTTCTCTGTTTTAGATGATGTGGTTAGCTAATATTTTGCAACAAAATTTATGTTTTCTTCTCTTTTTTTCTACCACGTCTTCTCCCACAACTTCCAAAAGTGCCTTATTTTTTCAGGGATGTGGCAGGGAAGAAATCAGGGATTAATCAGTAATATCTCTAGGACTTTGTTTTCCAAAGTCCTCTATCTTTTGAAGACCTAAGAGGGTTCACGAAGGAGGTTAAAGAAAGAGGCAATTCATAGAGTAACTTGAGCATTTGAATCAAGGCATTGGGAATAAGAAAGGATCCTCCCAAGACCATACAGCCAACCCCAGGCCAAGGCAGAAAAGAAAGAGGGTGTATGATTCCAAAGAGGAATAGTTGCAAGCTCAGATGTTCAAATGCCTTCAAAGAATCAGAAGGTATTATGAACAAATAAATGAGTAAAGCTGGTAAAGAGACAAGCGGGAGTGGTAAGGATTAAGTCTACCTGGGGTTTTATGTCCTAAGTATATAATTTTGTTTAAAAAATGTATACTATGCTGGTGAAAAAAACACATCTTGGGCTTCATTCCACCCACTGGCAATCTCTGAATCTAGCTAGTTGTGATAGCCTTGTAAAAGATTTTTGTGCCTCAAGCATGAAATAAAATCTGCAGAGCCAGCCACAGTGCTGTGCACCTGTAGACTAAGCTACTCCAGAGGTGGGGCAGGAGGATTGCTTGAGCCCAGGAGATCTGTGCTGTAGTGCACTATGCCAATGGGATGTCTGCACTAAATGCAACATCAATATGGTGACCTCCCAGGAGCAGAGGACCAGCAGGATGCCTATGGAGGGGTGATCCAGCCCGGGTCAGAAACAGAGCAGGACAAAACTTCCATGCTGATCAGCAGTGGGATCACATCTGTGAATAGCCACTGCCAGTCTGGACAACATAGAAAGACCCTATCTCTAAAAAAATAAATAAATAAATAAATAAATAAATAAATAAATAAATAAATGATACAGAGAGGCAGTAGTTCTAATACAGCCCTGTAGACAGCAGAAAACTGTAAACCAATGACCTGGTAACAAGGGAGACATCTCCCCACATCAGATGCCTGGGGAATGTGAATGACCATGGAACTGTGATCTAAATTCTGGGCTTGGAGGGGGCAGAGAAAGTCCAAGAATGGCTTAGGTTAAGTAGCCCTTCCCCAGCTACAAGCCCAGTGGGATGGGAAAAATTAGGTTAATTTATAAAAATATTTTAAAGGTACAATATTTGTGTATAAAGTTGAAATTCCTATAACTACAAACATTGAAGGATATGTTTGGGTTAATTCAATTCTCCATACATCTACTCTGCACTGCCTATATATCTCTGCTGTGTGTATATGTGTCTCTTACATAGATATTGAATTGAGTTGTACTGTAATGGATCTGTCCCATTTGAGTCTTGGAATAAAATAAAGCCACATCCTTGTGTTCAGAAGATGGAGTCACATTTAGAGTAATGGACACTTCTGGTGTTGGTGGTCCTGAGAAACAGTGGAACTTGGAAGAAGTGAGGGATTAGAAGACAGGACTTAGACCGGGGTAAGGAAAGAATGTCTTCCTTTCTCTGATATGGCTCTCTTGAGCTCAAGCTCCCACAAGTTTAGCAAGGCTTGAATGTCCTACCTGGTAGGGGGGATGAAAAATGACTCTTGCCATTTGAAGCTGGATAGGGAGGCAGATCTGGAGGGGCTCCCCAAGGATGGGCAGGTGCAGGTGATTAGAACAACCATTTATTCACCCAAGAGTTTCATGAATCATTCTATGCTATTAGCACAAAGCTTTAACTTAAGCACAGCTGTTCTGAAAGATACTAAAAGAAGAGAATTGGCCCATCCTTAGGGTAGAAAGGTAAGGACTTTTATGCCACCTAAGGTCATGACAGCAGTGGAAGCAGCAATCGAAGACATTCCCTAGAAGAAAGTGACGTTGGAGGAACAAGTGTTAGGCCTTTACAGGGATCCTTTCACAATTGCCCACCTTGAGGGATCACAGAGTGTTATTTTATTAAGCCAGTTGGTGAGTTCCTTGGTCAGACACAGCTGAATTCTGAGGGATGACTAAGACAGAGCCTCTGCCCTCTAGAAAAAGTGGACACATTTTTATGGTGGGGGAGCTTAAGTATGATATGTCTTAAAAAAAATTTAGAGTGTTTCTCTAAAGAAACACTGGATGAATAGAATATTAGGGACAAAGGTGTAGCTGGGAGTGTGTTCCAAGTGGAGTAGACAGCAGGAACCACGGCATAGACATGGGGAGCCCCTTTTGATCAGGAGAGATGGAGCTACACCCTCTGGCTGTATCATAGAGACATGAAAAGAGTGAAGCCTGGAGAAACAGCTGACATCACAACAGGCAAAGCCTCAGTTGCAAGGGAAGACATTTGCTCTTAATCCGAAGACAAAAAAAAAAAAGACTATGCACTTTGAGACTTCTTAGTTACAAACAACCATTCCAGGGAGTTTAAATAGAAAATAAATTAATTAAAAGACATTACAGACGTGTACTTGTACAAAGAATAAATTCTGCAGACCCAATGTACAGCACAGTGACTATAGTTAATAATAATGTACTGTGTACTTGCAATTTGCTAAGAGAGTAGATCTTAAGTAATCTGATCACCAAAAAAAGGTAATTATGTGATGTGAGAGATGGGTTAACTAACCTGATTGCAGTAATCATGTCACAATGTATACATATATCAAAACATCATGTTGTATATCTAGAATATATACTATTGTTATTTGTCAATTATACCTCAACAAAGCTGAAAAATTGGGGGTAATTTGAGTAAAAATATTGAGATACTGGGTAATTTACAGGAACTCTGGGAGGGCAAAGAACAAAACTTGAAAACCAAGCAGTTAATCCACCCTCTGTGCTAATTCCATGGAGGCCCACATTTACTACCACCAGGCACTAGACGCAAGACCTCATCTCTACTTCCAGAAAATGGATCCCACTCCATGTGGCTTCCTGGTGGTGCTCTCCTCTGAACCTAAGTCTACCGAGAGCAGTCTATGGGCAGAACAAGGGTCCTGGGCCTGTGCTCCAGCTGCAAGGGATGCTGGGTAAGAGTTTCTAGCATCTGCCTTGGGAAGGCAGGACTCCTAATTGCACATTTCCCTAAATGTAAAAAGGCTTTCAGAAGATGCTGAGCAGCAGTAAAGCATAGAAAATGTCACTACAATTGCCAGTAAAGTTTTTCGAGAAGGAGAGTAAACATAATCTAAGCACATGTTAGGAAGATTAATTAGAGGTTGGATGGGTAATGCCCACATGTTTTCTGGGAAGACTGACCCAACTGGAGAAGGGCAAGGAAGTCCTGAATGAGTAGCCTTCATTCTACTTCTGCAGAGGACTAATTGTCACTCTGTGGACAGTTTGACAGGTCCAGGGAGTCAGAATGGCAGGACAGATAAGTCAGGAGTAGGGTAGGATAGTAAGAAAGCATCTACAGGAGGAAAAGACTGAAGGTGAGTGGGGAAGTGGACATGAACGTGTTGACAAAGGTCAGCCTGACCAGCTCCCTGAGTTGGGGCAAGCCCAGGTGAGGCCCAGCACCAGGCCATGGAAATCCAGCCACTACAATGCCAAGTGAAAGGTGAGAGTTTAGAGTTTAGACTGGTATTGGCAGAGCCACATGAGAGATGAAGGAAGAGCAGCCAGGAGCTGCGAGTGGGCAGGAAGTGGGGATGAGTGGCGTCCACTGCAGGTTCTCCCTGCAGGACAGAGCTCCAAGCCAGAAGGGAAAGGAAGCAGAGGAGTGCTCTGAAAAAGCAGCAGCCCTGCAGCCGAGGGACCGAGGGGCTGAACGGTTTCTCCACTGAGAGATCCAGTTCTCAGGTAGGAACTGAGAATCAGAAACAAGGGAGAGGCACATCCTGTTTTACGAGAAAAATCAAGGTCTTCAAAGATAACTGTAATAGGTTTCCATTTGTCTGTTTTTATTGTGGTAAAATATGTGTAACATAAAACTTACCGTTTTAACCAATATAAAGTGTACAATTCAGTGGCATTAAGTACACTCACAGTGCTATGCAGCTATCACCACTATCCAGGTCCAGAACATTTTCACCACCGCAAATGCAAACTCCACCCTCATCAAGCAGTTGCTCTCCATTCCCCACTCCCCACCAGTCCCTGGCAACCACTCATCTGCTCACTGTTTCTATGGATTTGCCTATCCTGGATATTTTATATAAATAGAATCATGTAATATGTGACCTTTTGTGTCTGGTGTCTTTCTCATGGCATGTTTCTGAGGTTTATCCATGTGATAGCATATAATGGTCAATTTTATGTGCCAATTTGACTGGGCCATAGAGTGCCAGGTATTTGGTTAAACGTTATTCTGGGTGTGTCTGTGAGGGTGTCTCTGGATGAAATTAACATCTGAATTGATGGCCTGAGAAAGGAGGTTGCCCTTCCCAGAGTGGGTGGGCCCCATGCAATCAATTAAAGGCTTGAATAGAACAAAAAGGCTGTGTAAGAAAGGATTTGTTCTCTCTCTATATGAATGTCTTCCAGTGAGACATTGGTCTTCTGCCTTTGGACTTGGACTCAGAATAGACCTTACACCATTGACTCTCCTGGTTCTCAGGCCTTTGGATTAGGACTGAAACTATACCATAGACTTTCCTGGTTCTCCAGCTTGTCAACCAAAGATCTTGGGACTTCTCAGCCTCCATAATTGCATGAGTCAATTCTTTTTTTTTTTTTTTTTCTTGAGACAGGATCTGGCTCTGTTGCCCAGGCTGGAGTGCAGTGGCACAATCTTGGCTCACTGCAACCTCTGCCTTCCGGGTTCAAGCGATTCTCCTGCCTCAGCCTTCTGAGTAGCTGGGATTACAGGTGCCCGCCACCATGCCTGGCTAATTTTTGTATTTTTTTTTGTAGAGACGAGGTTTCACCATATTGGCCAGGCTGGTGTCAAACTCCTGACCTCAAGTGATCCACCCACCTCGGCCTCCCAAAGTGCTGGGATTACAGGGATGAGCCACCACGCCCAGCCTCCAGTTCTTTATGATAAATCTCTCTGTGTGTGTGTGTGTGTGTGTGTGTGTGTGTGTGTGTGTGTGTGTATACATATATACATACACTCATACATATATCCTATTGGTTCTTTTTTTTTGAGAATCCTCACTAATACATAGCATGTATCATTACTTTATTTCTTTAATGGCTGCATAATATTCCATTGTATGGATATATCACATTTTGTTTATCCATTCATCAGCTGATCAGCATTTGGGTTGTTTTCATCATGCGCCAAGGTTTTAAAATCCTGGTTCCCCATTTACATTGCAGGGTGGCTTGGTCAAATCACTTACCCTCTCTGGGCATCTGTTTCATCACATGTTAAATTATTAGGAGGGTTAAATGAAATGAAGTATGTAAAAGCCTGACATAGAGAGGACAATTGGCAAGCAATCAAAAATTGATTCCCTTAACTGGAGTTGGAACTCAGATCAGAGTGGGCCCAGCAGCAGCAATAACTTGCAATAGATCAGGGCCCCTTAAATTCCTCCCAAATCAGAACTGGACCCACAGCCAGGGCAGGGTAGATACCTGCAGGTAGAGGACAAAGAAGTCTTAATTCTGAGGCAAGAAACTGGACCCTCCCTTGCCTTCTTGCCTCTTCCTAGTGTGCATGCTTGGGGAATTAGGGGTTCTAAATCAGGACCCTAAAACATGGCTATGCCTCTGTTTCACAAAGTCTTAGGCAATAAATATTGTGTGGAAATATCTCATGTTTAAACTGTTAGAAATATTACACATTTTACAGATATTTGAAAGATAAGCATATACTTCTATCATATCTTATCTTAAAAATGAGTACCCTTCAGGTTTATTTACAACTTTTGTTCAGATGATTCCATAGCATGCACTTACATTATATAAAACCTGTGAAAAAATAACACCTATCATTCCCTAAATCACAGTAATTTCAGAAGTTTACACTTGCATTCATTTTTCTTTTAATGTTCTGTAACCATAAATGTCCCTCTCCTAGGTGTCATAAAAGGCAACATAAAAAGTGAGTTTAAATGCACCCAGTCTTCCTTGCTAAAGGCACATAAGCAGAATTTCTTACTCCACAATCAGCGGTGAAAAATTCAATAGCTGACCCAGGAACACAGGCCTGGGGGTCACGAGGCCCTTGGTGCATGCTCCAGTGGGGCCCTGAACATATTCCTCAGTTTCCTTATCTGTGCAATCCATTCATTCAGCAGCAATCCCTGAGGACCACAGTGGGCTAGGCCAGGCTGTAGAGTTACAGGATCAATAAGACCTGCATCCCCATTCTCAGAAACCCATAGTCTAGCAAGAAAGCAGCAAAAAAACTTAATGATTATTGTGTACCAGGGATTGTTCTTCCATTTTCCATGTATTAGCTCATTAAATCCTTCCAACAACCCTCTGAAATAAACAGTATTTCCTATGATTCGACTGTTTGTGTCTCCCACCCGCAGAGTCATATGTGGAAATCCTACCGGGCAAGCTTATGGCTTTAGGAGATGGGGCTTTGGGAAGATGATCAGGTCATGATGGCTCATGAATGAAATTAGTGCCCTTATGAAAGAGGTCTGGGAGAGGCCCTTACCCCTCCTGCTTTTGAGAAGGCAAAAGTGAGATGACTATCTATGAGGAAGCAACTCCTCACCAAACATCAAATCTGCTGGCACTTTGATCTTGGATTTCCCAGCCTTCAGAACTGTGAGAAATAAATTTCTGTTGTTTATAAGCCACCAGTCTATAATATTTTGTTGTATCAGCTAGATCAGACTAAGACACTATTAGTAAAAATACCACTATTATCTTCATTTTACAGATGAGGAAACTAAAGCACAAAGCAGGTCAGTGACTTAGCCCAAAACAAACCTTGGCAGCCTAGCTTTATAAAGTCCACACCATTAATTATCATGTGAGTATGCCTTATGTGTTTTACATAATAGACCTTAATGTGAGTAACACAGGTGCATACAGCACAGCAATTAATTTTACCTGAACAAAGTTAAGGAAGGCACTGGACATGACTCTGTATCTCGGCCAAGAAAAATGATTTCACACAGCAGGGATGGAAGAGAAAAATGAAGAACTGAGGGACCAGCAAGAGGAAACAACCGGAGATGTGGCAGAGTTGGGGACATTGAAGGAGCCCCTAATGGAAACAGCAAGACCAAGCAGGTGAAAATAAAGAATAAAGGCACAGGTCTCCTCTGAAGCTCCTTTTAGTTCTCAATCCTATGACATACCTAAAAATTGCATCTACAATCCTTCGTTTAGGGACATGCGATGCTTGTCTATGCATTAACCACGCTGTGGTTTAAGAAGGGATTATCTCTATCCTACCACCTACATCAATTTTCCTTTAACCAGTTTGTATAATGTGTTGTATATTTAAATATGCATATTTTAAATACTTGATATTATTGAACAAACATGCTGAGCATTAGCTCAGTGCACAGCATCCTCTTCATTCTGACCACACTACCTTAGTGGAGGGAGTGCCTCGTGTCTTGCCTGCAGTATTTGCTTTCTCCATCCAAGTCCCCTCTTCTATATGACATTAACCTAATCATGATTTTTTAAGCCCCTCCCCATTTCCAAGGCCATTGCTTCCAGCACAAAATCTGTCCTCCTTAGCACAGCACTCACCACCTTTCTCCATTGTTTGCAGTCTAACCTTCAGTCTCATCTTCTGCCACTCCTCATCCCTCCATCCTTATCCTATCTATCCCAAGCTCCACCCACACCAAGCCACCACCCACCCAAAGAGGATTCACCTGCTGCCTGAATTATCATCAGCCTTTCTGACAGCCCCAGACAGCTCATCACTCCTTCCTCCACAGCTCTCTGTTCTAACAGTGTGCTAGTACTCACCTTATCATCCAGCCATATCTAAAACACCTAGGTAGGTTTCCCTAAGGTTCATCTGGACCTGCTTTTCTTATGATCACTTAGCCAACAAATACACACACATCTAGTGACCATATAAAATCCAGGCTTGCCGGATGTGGTGGCTCACGCCTATAACCCCAGAATTTTGGGAGGCTAAGGCGGGTGGATCACCTGAGGTCGCGAGTTCAAGACCAGCCTGACCAACATAGAGAAACCCCATCTCTACTAAAAATACAAAATTAGTCGGGCGTGGTGGCACATGCCCGTAATCCCAGCTACTCTGGAGGCTGAGGCAGAAGAATCGCTTGAACCCAGGAGGCGTAAGTTGCAGTGGGCCGAGATCGCGCCATTGCGCTCCAGGCTGGGCAACAAGAGCAAAACTCCGTCAAAAAAAAAAAAAAAAGAAATAGAAAAAGAAATCCGGGCCTGCTAAATTATTAAATATTGACCTGAGTAGATGGTCATTACTTAGAAGAAATGTATGGGCTGTTTTTTTTTTTAGCATTTATTACTTAATATTCATAAGATACATTTATCAACTCATTTGTCATATACATATTGAGCCTCTGTTCCTTGCACATACCATGCACTGGTGTAGTAAACAAGACAGTGGTGAGGAAGATGCCATCACAAAGCTTACAAAACATTCCAGATGGGGAAATAGACAAGCACAATAAAAGACATAAACATGACCGTGAAAGGCTCCAGTAAATTATCAGCAAGAACCCATCAGCAGAAAAGGACATCATAACTGGAGAAAGTTGCTTAGATTGGGTAGTCAAGGGCAGCCTCTCCAAAGAGGTGATATTTGAGCTGACACCTGGTGGGTGCACACAAGCCAACTGTGAGAAGAGCTGGAGCTAGCATTTCCAAGGCCAAGGGGACAGCGAGTACAAAGGCCCTGGGGGTAGGAAAGAGCTCTGCGAGCATTTGGAACAGAAAGGAGCAAAGTACGGCTGCCACATAAATTAGAGAGGAGGAGAGATAAGGTTGTCATGAAGATTAAATGAAATTCTAGCTAATTCTGGTTGGTATTTTTTTAAAAAAAGATTAAATGAGAGTAAGCATATAAAGTGCTTAGTGGATGCTCAATAAATGCAGTCTATTTTTCATCATCATCATCATCATCGTCATCATCATATCAGTTTGGACAGATAGGAGATAGATCATGTAGATCACTGCAGCCCATGATAAGAAATTTGGGTTTTAATCTAACAACAATTCTGAGTTATTAATGGGCTTTTAGCTGGTAAGGGACATGGTCTGATTTATTGTTTTAAAAGATCACCTGGCTGCTCTGTGCAGGGGGATTAAAGCAGGGTACAGAAGAAAAGGGGAGATAGTTGGGAGGTCTTTGTAATAATCTGGACAGGAACTTAATAACACAAAATGTTTAAACATCCATCTTTTATTTTGTTCATAAAGATGAAATCTATATGTTTTAAGTCTGCTACACAATTTTCACAATTTTGACAGAAGATGTTTGTATTTTCTGATGCCCATGTTTAGTTATGAACATATTTATGTTGGTCTCTCAAGAAGCCCACTGTGGTGTTTTCCACTTCCAGCGACCAATTCACTAATTTTCTGAGAAGCAACTGAGCGTCCTATGATTCAACTAAATTCCAACACTACTCAGAGTTAGTGTCAGATCCCACAAGGTAAAGGCTCAGTCTCACAGTACTACTCGCACTGCAGACACCAGTCACAGGTCCCACGGCACCTGTACTTCTGACTGACTGGCTATAAATCAGGAGTTCCCATGACCCCTCCTAAGGTTTGATAATTTGCTAGGATGGCTCACAGAACTCAGGAAGGCATCTTACTTACATTTATCAGTTTATTATAAAGGATACAACTCAGAAGCAGCCAAATGGGAGATGCAGAGGAGCAAAAAAGGAAGGGTAGCAGGTAGAGTTTCCATACTCTCTCTAGAAGCACGACCCTCCCAGCACCTCAACATGCTCACCAACGTGGAAGCTCTCCAAATCCCAAAGTTTAGGAGTTTTTATGGAGGTTTCATCATATAGGGAACCTCTCTCCCCCTTCCCAGAGGTTAGGGTTTGGGGCTGAAAATTTCAGGCTGCTTATCAAGGTTTGGTCTTTCTGGTGACTACCCCCATCCAAGAGCCTACCAAGAGTTATCTCATTAGAACAAGAGATGTTCCTATCACTCCAGAGGTTCCAAGGGATATGGGAGCTGTGTGTCAGAAACCCTGGGCAAAGACCAAATACATATTTCTTATTATGCCACACCACCATTGGATTAATTTAACTATTTTTATGAGAATACTCTTGTTAATTGCATTTAGAATAAAATACAAGATAAATACATAAAATATGTGAATAGTCTATAAATAGCTGGTAAGAACTGCTAGAATTGCATACCCTATGTGGGGTCAACCTTGTTATTTTGTAATAACTCATTGACTTCCCTGGGTATTACCCTGCATAGGATTATTAGCTCCCAAAGAGCGGGCCCAGTGACTTTTTGCCTTTTTATTGGCAAATGCTTGGCATAATCCCTGGCACATAATAAGTGCTCAATAAATATTTCCCAAATGCATGAATGAATACTATGGAAACACTGCAGTGGAAATGGTCCCACACCACTGCATTCCCGCCTGGGTGACTCTATTTATTGATTTATTTATTTTAGAGCCAGGTTGGCATTAATTTATTTTAGAGCCAGGTCCTTTCCCTCAAGAAACTATTGAAGTAATTGTGGGTTTTGCCACTGAAAGTAATGGCAAAACCATTACTTCTGCACCAACCTAATAGAAACCATTTGGGAAGAAAATAGAGACATGAATACTTAAATAATAATTCTTTTCACAACCGTCACAAGACAGAGATACCAATATGTGGTGAAAGCTCTTAGACTTTGGAGTTAACCTGGACTCTCAATGTGTGTGCTCACTGTGTGCTCTTCGGTGAGTTACTTCATCTCTCTTCACTTTCATGTCTTTTCCTGCAAAGGGTGCTTGTGAGAGACAGATAATTCAGAAAAAGAGCTTAGGGACAGCACCTGAAACAAAGAAAATGCTATCAATTTGAATCCCAAAAAGGATATCATTTTTGTCCTGAATAACACTGGAGCCAAGGCCAGAATATTTGTTTGGGTTAATAAGAAACAAGATTAATAATGAGAAGACGGAAGGCCTGTGTGATTTGGCATCCTGTGAATCTCGGAGGCTTAGCCTCAACCCAGCTGGGAGGTCTCCGGTCGTCAAAAGAGCAACTCACATTGGCAGCCCCTGCTGTGACACCAGGACCTTGGCGGGTCCTCCTGGGGCCCTGCTGTGAAGTGTTGGCTTGGGAATGACCCAGGGCATGGCTGTGGCTGAACCATCTCCAAGAAGCCAGCTTCTCTGCTTTTGGCTGGAGGGAGGTTTGGGTGTCCACTACTGCCAATTTCAGCTGGGCACTTGCCACGTTTTGGCAGCGAAGCTCTGGGAAAATGTGACCTCTTGTTTTACTATATTCTGCACAGGCTCATTGCCAGAGCTGGATTTTGGCCTGCACCATGGAGCTGGTGCACAGCAAGGAAGCAGTGGCTGCTTTACGGAGTGAGTGATTCATTAGCCTAGGCTCCACCCAAGTAGTGTCAAGCAAGCTAACGCTGCCTGTCTGGCCTGTCACCCCTACTCCAGCTGGAATATGGTGCCCACCCAGTAGTTTTCCCTTGCTGTCTTTGCAATACCATGAATTCAAAATGCTGAAAACAAGGCTCAGAGCCAAACCATCATTCTTCCCCTCAGTCCCATCCCTCACCCACCCTTTCCAAACTAACAAAAGTATGTTGCACTTCAGAAAACCAAACAAGAGAAGCCCAGCAGAAAGTAAAGGTGATGTGCCAAGGTGCTCAACCCTTGACACATCAAATTCTTCAACTGCACTCAAATGCTGACACATTTCTAGAGCATGACATTTTTACATAAAAATGAATATGATTATGGGACTCCTTTCTAAGGTTGCCCCAAATCTAGTTCAATGATGCAACCCGTTGCCCTTCCTGTCAATTGTCCATTGTTTCTTCTTTCTATTTACATAACATATTCATTTAAATTAGAATTTATTGTATATTTTATCTTTACTATAAGGAGACAGAATATCATGGTATTGAAGTCCAAGTGATAAAGTCTGATTGCCTGGGTTGGAATCACAGCCACAACACTTACTAATAGGTAACCTAGAGTAAGTTATATAACCTCTCTGTGCCTCAGTTGCCTCATCTGTAAAAATGGGATAAATGGAGTTTTCATGAAGCACAAATAAAATTATTCATGTAAAATACTAAGAGGAGCACCTGAAATACAGGAAGCTCTCAGTGAACACTTGTATTTGGTTTTGAGTATTTGCCAGTAACATTGTTATTCCCAAAACTTCTGATCAGTTATATATATCGTTACCTCTTTTCATTCTTTAGCTCTACTGAGTACAAATATAACAGGCATTTCATTCATTCATTTATCAAACTTTCTAATAGAAAATTTAAGTATTTTAACTTACGATGATTGTACTATTTAGGATTCTCCAGGATATATAGAGAGCTATCCTATATATAGGACACATATAGGAAATTTATAGGAATTGGCTTATGTGATTATGGAGGCTGAGAAGTCCCACAACCCGACATCTATAAGCTGGAGAACCAAGAAAGCCAGTGGTGTAATTTAGTGTACATTGGAACTTCAGCCTTTGGACTGAGATAAGGGGGTAATGGTGTCAATTCCAGCCCAAAGGCCAAAGAACCAGAAGTGCCAATGTCCAGGGTAGGAGAAGATGGATGTCCCAACCTAAGCAGAAAAAACAAATCTGTCCTTCCTCCACTTTTATGTTCTCTTCAGGCCCTCAACAGATTGGAGAATGCCCTCCTGCATTGGTAAGGTCGATCTTCTTTACTCAGTCTACTAATTAAAATACTATTCTCTTCCAGAAACACCATATCAGACACACTCAGAAATAATGTTTTACCAGCTATCTGGGCATCCCTTAGCCCAGACAAGTTGACACATAAAATTAAACAACGCAATCATGACAAAAATAATATTAAATAGTAGCAGTTAATATTTATTTAGTGTTTTCTGTGTGCCAGGCTCTACACTCAGCTATTTATACATATTATCTCATTTCATCTTCATTATTAATGGATTCAAGAGTCTGGACACAGATGGTGCTGGTGTAAGACTAAAGTTTTCACCAGCCTAAAATAAGGATGTTAGAAAGTATTTTTCTTTTTAAAGATATTTCTGTTTAAGGAAATTTATCTTTCTCACTTTTTGGTGTTAGATACTCTTCCTTTTATGGTGACAGTAGATGATAGTTTCTTTTCTGGAACATTCTTACTTGAAAAAATAAAAGGTTAGTACTAGACTTTGGTTTGGATGCATTAAATACAAAAGTCTAAAATCTGTTTCTCACCACAACTCTGTGATATAGATGTTATTATTCCTATTATATAGATAAGAAGCCAAGGCTCAGAGAGGTTAGGTGACTTGCCCAAGGTCACACAGCCAGCAAATGTAGAACCTGGATGCAATCTCAGGATCTAGTTCTTAATTCCTTGACAATCACATTTATTAGTACCTACTACATACAGGACACATATCTCATTTCACTCCCTCAGCAGCCCTGTGAGGAAGTGAGATTCCCTTTTACAGAATAATGGAACTTGCAGAGTTTAAGCATTTGCCATAATTCCACAGTTTGAAAATACGAGGGCAGGATTGGAGCACAGAGCTCTGATTCTAGCTCCCTTTCTCTTTGCAACTACCATGTGCCACACACCATAACAAAAGCTAGACCTATCACAGATAGCTAAGAAACGTGCTCTGTCCTCAAAGGCTCACAGTCTCAGCAGAGACTGTCAACAATTTATTATCATGCCCAAATAAGCACTATAGTGAGGTGTGTCTAAGGCACTTTAAGAGCACTAAGAAGGGAAAAATTAATTCTGAGGCTTTTGCAAACATTTCTGACAACATCATAATATCTTGCTATATCATATTTAAAGAATCCCATGTGAAACTTTGGATTTCATGTGACTGCTTTTTATGAACATTTGGCAGGAAAATCTTTTCCATTAACATGTTTTTGCATTATATGATGCCCTGATTAGTTAACTTGGTGAGAATTTTCTGGCATCTTGTAGACTAACACATTATTTTTTAGTAGCGACAGGGTCTTGCTACATTGCCCAGGTTGGTCTCGAACTCCTAGCCTCAAGTGATCCTCCCACCTCAGCCTGTCAAAGTGCTGGCATTAGAAGCATGAGCAATCACACCCAGCCCCATATTTTATTTTTAAAGTTAGAAAGGATTTTTAATAACAAACACATACACAAAAAAACATAAAACACTAAATCCTCCAGCTTCTGTTGTATCCCAAAGTAACAAAACATTTCTCCTTGTGTCTTTAACTATGGCTAAAGACTGAAGAGAACTTGATTCAGCTTGATTTTTCAGCTGATCGAGCCTCAGCTCTGCATTCTGATTTTTATCTAATAGTTCTTAAATAATAAAATACAAGGAAATACAAATGCACTAGCAAATGAAAGTTAAATCATACCAGGGCAGGCTGGAGGGGTGGCATAAAGGCTGCATTTCACTTTAAACCCTAAAACAAACAGCAGGTGAAATGTCTTCAGGTCAAACTCTTCCCTCCAAATTGCACTGTGGAGGCTGAGTCAGACACGCTGAGCACAGGGAACTCTCACTGACGTCAGTGCATATTTGGAGAATCAGCTATTAAAGCTGCAGTCAGGCAGGCAGCTCTTGCAGCAAAATTGTGCCCTTGGACTTTGCCTTTGAGGGTTAATGTCTCACTGTGTTTTCAAAAGTGTGGGCAGCCAACTGGCTTTCGACATAGGGTATTGGGAATTGGCAAGTCAAAATCTTTGGAGAGAGATATGTTTCCTGGCCTAATAGGGCAAATGCCTCCGCAATTTATAGTGTCCTTGAATCTCATTCACTCAAAGTAAATGATTCTCTGACCCAAGAAGACTTAGAGGCTAGGCTTGCATCGTTCTATAGATTTTTTTTTATTAATCCATTTCCTAAGGGTCCATTTACTCTTTAACAAATATTTATTGAGGACTTGCTATAAGCAAGGTCCAGATACATGGAAAAGCAAGCAGAGACAGGTATGTATGGTTCAAGCCTGTATGAAACTCAGAGTCAAGTTAAGAGCCAGCCATTAATCCATCAAATCAATGACACTAGTGAATGTGTCATACTGAATAGGGATAAATAGACTTACGAGGGAAATAAGGTTCTTTAAGAGCGAATAGGCCGGGCACGGTGGCTCATGCTTGTAATCCCAGCACTTTGGGAGGCTGAGGCAGGTGGATCACGAGGCCAGGAGATCGACTCCATCCTGGCTAACACAGTGAAACCCCGTCTCTACTAAAAAAAAAAAAATACAAAAAATTATCCGAGTGTGGTGGGGGGAGGCTGAGGCAGGAGAATCGCTCAAACCCAGGAGGCAGAGGTTGCAGTGAGCCGAGATCGCGCCATTGCACTCCAGCCTGGGAGACACAGCAAGACTCCGTCTTTAAAAAAAAAAAAAAAAAGTGAATAATAAAGGAACCTGACCTAGACCGAGGACTCAGGAGTGAGGCAGCTGAGGAAGAGATTTCCAGGCAAAGGCTGGGCTGCAGAAGAGACAGAGAGGAGGTGGTGTGGCTGGAGAGCAGAGGCAGCATGGTAAAAGGGCAGTTGAGAGCCAGGCAAGCCACATCAGGCAGGACCTTAAAGGCCTAGTTAAGGATTTGATCCTTGTCTTAAGAATGATAGGAGGCTTTGGAGGGTCCTAAGCAGGGGGTGATGTGACCAGATATGCCTTTTGGGAAGATGGTCTGACAGCAACGTAGAGAAGAGAATTGGTAGGGGAGGCTGTCAGATAATATTGGTAGGAAGACCAATTAGGAGATTATTGGGACTGACCACACGAAAGGCTGGAGAGGATGTGGAAAAACAAGAACTCATTCATTGCTGGTGGGAATGCAAAATGGTGCAGCCACTACGGTTTGGTAGTTCTTTATAAAACTAAAACACTCTTATCACATGATGCAGCAATTGTACTCCTGGCCTTAGTATCTACCTAAGGTAAGGTGATACTATCTACCTAAGAGATAAGAGATACTATCTACTTACTTACTACCTAAGAGATACTATCTACCTAAGATACTATCTACCTAGGAGATAAGTATCTACCTGAGTATCTGCCTTAGTATCTACCTGAAGGAGTTGAATTTGTATGTCCACACAAAAACCAGTCTGCAGATATCTATAGCAGCTTTATTCATAATTGCCAAAACTTGGAAGTAACCAAATTGTCTTTCAGTAGGTAAATGGATAAACAAATTATGGTGCATCTGCACAAGGGAACATTATTCAGCACTAAATCAAAATAAGCTATCGAGCCAAAAAAAAAGACATGGAGAGAACTTAAATGCATATTACTAAGAAAAAGAAACCAATCTAGAAGGGCTGTATACTAGATGATTACAGCTATATGACATTCTGAAAAAAGCACAAGTATAGAGAAAGTAAAAAGATCAGGGTTGAGGTCAGAGGGAAGGGATGAATAGGCAGAGCATAAAAGATTTTTAGGGCAGTAAAAATACCCAGTATGATACTATAAAGTGGATACAAATCACTCAAACCGTAGAATGTACCACAGCAAGGATGAATCCTAATGTAAATATGTACCTTGGGAGATTATGAGTCAATTGTAGGTTTATCAGTTATAACGAATGTAGCACTCCGGTGGGGGATGTTGATAATGGGGAGGATGTGCATGTATAAGGACTAGGGGTATATGGGAACTCCCTGTACCTTCCTCTCAATTTTGCTGTGAACCCAAAATGTCACTAAAAGATTAAGACTTTAACAGCAACACCTTTAAGGAAAAAAAAAAGGAAGAAGACTATTGTGGTGGTCCAGCCAAGATGTGGCATTACCTTGGCTAGGGATGGTGACAATGAAGATGATGAGAAGGGGTATTTAAGGTAAATGTGACAGGCTGAAGATAAGTTTGATATAAGCATGGGGGAGGATGAGGTGTTAAGGATGGTGCCCAGGTACCCAGCTTTTGGAACTGGGTAGATGCTGATGTCATTTGGTGAGATGGGAGTCCTACAAAGGGACCGGAAGGTGAGGGAAAAGATAATGATTCAGCCTAAGCCACAGGAAGTTTGCAGTGCCTTTGCAATACCCAAGTGGAGATGACTGTCTAAGCACCAGACAGAGAGGCCAGAGCTTGAGATACAGACTCAGGAGTCATCAGTCAGTTGTGGCCATGTAAGATGGGAAGGAAGTCTTCAAAGCCAGGGGAGTATATAGCATTAAAGAGAAAAGGGCTTTTATGTGTCTTTAGGAATTCCACCCCATGGCATTGGAAAAGAAGATGGGCATTAAAAAAAAAAAGAAAGAAAGAAAAGAAAGAAAGCCTGAGGTGGATTTGCTGCGAAATAATTCTCTACCTTGTATGAGTCCCATCCAAGGCCTTTTATTTATAATTTTGTATTCCTTTAAAGATAGCCCCCCAAAATAAAAACGCTTCAAGTCCAAAAATCTGCTCATGCCCTGGCATTCTTAGATGTAGGGGAAAACTTAGGGAAACGTGCAACACACAAAATCAACAGAAGAGAGTTTTCATGGTAGGAGGAACTGCAGAAAGGCTGCTGAGTGAAGTAAGATGATGTTTAGAATGTGGATCTCACAGGACTCAAAAACCATCAGGTAGGTAGGAGAAAAGAACATGAGTGAGAGTTGAGGACCCCTCCCAGGCTTCCAGCTTGTGGGACAGAGTAGATGTGCTGCTGAGGAAGGAATTCAGGAAGAGGAGCAAGATTGGTCCAATATGTCTTGGGGCCACAGAGAATTCCCTTCCAGTCACGGAAATCAACTATCACTATCCCGCTGGCCTCAAACTCCCTTCTTGAAGTGAACCATTACCTTTTTCTTCTACCATTCTCATTACTTTCCTCTGAACAAGCTCCACACTCAGAAACTGAAGGCTCTCTCCCAGATGTAGTCCAAGCAGCCTGGAGGAGCACACTCTACAGCCCAACATCTTGGTTCTAGAGACGCCATCCCAGTGGCTCTCCACGGGCGCTTCCTTTCCCATCCTTGCCAACTTGTCCACTTTCTGTTCATGTTCTGCTTCTTTTTTATTTTATTTTATTTTAGAGACAGAGTGTCACTCTGTCACCCAGGCCAGATTGCAGTGGGGCAATCATGGCTCACTGCAGGCTCGAATTTCTGGCCTCAAACAAGACTCCTGCCTCAGTCTCCCAAAGTGCTGAGATTCCAGGCATGAGCCACTGAGGCTGGCCCATGTTCTGCTTCCAAGCCACATCTCCCCCATCCTATATTTGTACCATTGAACTTTTTTTGTACCCAAATGCCATGTTTTACGTTTGTCAGTGTAAAATTTCAAATTCATAGATTTGGTCCATCTCTCTAGCTTATTAAAAATGTTTTCCAGCCCTGATTCTTAGTGAATTGTCACTTCAGGGATGTCTGTACTGTATTGTGGCATGGTCTTCTGCACAGTAGCCAAAAAAAGGAATGTCATGTATTATGACAGGCAAATTATAATAATCCTGACTGCATTACATAACATATTCTCTGCTTACAGAGTCAGACTACATCTAGTTGAATATTCATGCATGCATACATGCTGTAACTTACTCATTAAATTATAGTTACAAGTCAATGTAAACACATGGACACAGGGAGGGGAACAACACACACAGGGGCCTGGTGGTGGAGGGATGGGGGAGGAAGAACATCAGGTAAAATAGCTAGTGCATGCTGGGCTTAATACCTAGGTGATCGATTGATAGGTGAAGCAAACCACCATGGCACATATTTACCTATATAACAAACTTGCACATCCTGCATATATACCCCGGAACTTGAAATTTAAAAAAAATTATAGTTACAACTATCAACATGGATAAATCTAAAAATATAATGTTGAGCCAAAACAAAAATCAAATTGCAGAATATCTGCAGCATTATATTATTTGTATAAAGTTTTAAAATATGTAAAGCAATACCATGAATTGTTTATGAATTCATACATACGTGGTATAAAAATATGCAAATAAATGAAAAACACCAAACTTAGGAGAGTGATTGCCTTCAAAAGGGAGGACGGGAATGGCATTGGGAAAGGGTGCCAGGAGGCTTCCACTGTATAAACAAATGTTACATTTACTTTTTGAAAACATCTGAAACAAAGCAAAAATGCTAAGATTTGACAAAATGAGAGTACCTAGGAGGTTTTTTTTACTATTCCCTATACAGTACTTTTCTAGGTGCTTAAAATATTTCAAAAAAAATTTAAGTTCACAATCTAGTGGAAGAATAATAAGTGATACAAGAGAGGCATTGATAAAAGATATGGGAGAATAGGAGAGGAAAACAATTTTAATAGGAGAATTTATATTGCTAACTTCATCGTCAATAGAAATATGGCCAATGTATGTGTCTGATTCTTGTAATTCAATAAAGATTTTTTAAGCCCCAACATATTAGTTGTTAGAGGCACAGGTATGACCATGGCAGAGTCTGTAACATCAAATCATACACAGTCTACAAAGGAAACAGACTTCACAGACACAATGAAGCAATAACCAACCAATGTTGTGTTAGGATTACATAAAAGGTTCTGAGATCCCTATGTCTGCCTGGGTAAAATCTTCACAGACAAGGAAATATCTCAGCTAGACCTTCAGAAATAAATGGGAAGAGAGAGACAGAAAGGTAAAACCAGTGACAGGGTCAGCATATAAGAGATGAGGAGTCGTGAAAATTCAATGTAACTAACGATGAGCCTGAAAAGGGACAAATTTATGAAATGGTTCTTCTCGATGTGCCAAATGCCTGCCTCTTTCCAACAAGTATTTGTTGAAGGAAGGAATCTGTATCTCAACCTATGGACAAAAGGCAGCCAATGGAAGAATTTCATTAAGGGAGTATGAATAGAAGTGGTGAGAAGGAAGATGTTGGCTGGATTGAGTAGGGGAGGGGAGCAAGACCAGAGGTTCTCAGACTGGTACAGTGGAGAGGAGCTGGGGACCTAAACTAATACTGAGCAGTTGAGAGGGTGACAAGAGAAACTCACTGGAGATAAATGTTTGAAGTCGAGTGAGCAGATTTCATAATTCATTAGTTGTAGGGAGTAACAAAAAGGAGGAAGTGGAAAACATTTTAAAATCCCAGTTGGCCAGATAAATCAATTTTATAAAGATATACTTTACATAAAATAAAAATGCACCTATTTTAAGTATACAGTTCAGTAAGATTGGGCAAATGCATATATTCATGTAAGCACAACCAAGATATAGAATATTTCCATCATCCAAAAAGTTATCCTAGGACTTCTATAGTGAGTAAACCACTCTCTGACTCTGCCAAATCCAGATAGCCACGAATGTGTTTTCTGTCATTATAACTTAGTTTTTTTCTTTTCTGAAATTTCATAAAAATTTCATAAAAGTAGAATTGTACAGTGTGAACCCTTTTGTCTGCCTTCATGTTAAAATATTGTGTCTGCATAATATTTTTGAAATTCATCAATTTTTTGGTCTTTATAAGTAGTTTGTGCCTTTGTATTGCCAAGTAATGTTCCCTTTTGTGGATATACCATGTTTAATTTATTTATTCACCTGCTGATGGATGTTTGAGTTGGTTCCAATATGGGGCTATTACAAATAAAGCTGCTATGAAGCTGGGTGTGGTGGCTCATGCCTGTAATCCCAGCACTTTGCGAGGCCGAGTCAGGCAGATCAATTGAGGCCAGGAGTTGGAGACCAGCCTGGCCAACATGGTGAAATCACATCTCTACTAAAAATAGAAAAATTAGCCAGACATAGTGCTGCATGCCTGTAATCCCAGCTACTCTGGAGGCTGAGTCATAAGAGTCGCTTGAACCCAGGAGGCGGAGGTTGCAGTAAGCTGAGATCACACCACTGCACTCCAGCATGGGAGACAGAGCAAGACCTTGCCTCAAAATAAATAAATAAATGAAGCTGCTATGAACATTTATGTACAAGTCTTTGCGTGGACATATGTTTTTATTTCTCATGAGGGAAATAGCTAGGAGTGAAATTGCTAAAGCACATGGTAAGTGTGAAGTGAACTGTACAAGAAACCGTCAATCAGTCTCCAAAGTGGCTGTACCATTTTATATTCCCATCAGCAATACAGGCAAGCTCCAGTTGCTCCATATCATTGCCAACACTTGCTTGTCAGTCTTTTAAATTTTAGACATTCTTGTGGGTGTATAATGGTGTCTCATTGTGAATTTAATTTTTATTTGTCTGATGACTAATGGTGTTGAGCATCTATTCATGTGCTTGTCCATTTGTACATATTCTTTTAAAAATTGTCTATTCAGGCTGGGTGCAGTGGCTCATGCCTGTAATTCCAGAGTTTTGGGAGGCTAATGTGGGAAGACAGCTTGCAACCAGAAGTTTGAGACCAGCCCGGTAACATAACAACACCCTGTCTCTAGGAAAAAAAAAAATTATCTTAATGTGATGGCATATGCCTGTAGTCCCAGCTTTGTTTTTGGGAGGCTGAGGAGGGAAGATCACTTGATCCTAAGAGTTTGAGGCTGCAATGTGCTATGATCATGCCACTGCACTCCAGCCTGGGTGACAAAGTGAGACCCTGTCTCTAAAAAAGAAAAAAAATGTCTATTTAATCTTGGTTGAACTCTATTCAACTCTTGGTTGGAAGAGTTCTTTATATATTTCAGGAGACTGGGAAGGTAGAGAACACATCAAAGTGAGCTGGGGAGCAGTGGAGAAAGAGCAGCTTTAAAAGGTTGGAGAAGGAGGCAGGAAGTACATACAAGACTTTTTTTTTTTTTTTTTTTTTGAGATAGAGTTTCACTCTTGTCGCCCAGGCTGGAATGCAATGGCACGATCTCAGCTTACTGCAACTTCCGCCTCCTGAGCTCAAGCAATTCTCCCGCCTCAGCCTCCCAAGTAGCTGGGATTACAGGTGCCCACCACCATACCCGGCTAATTTTTGTACTTTTAGTAGACATGGGGTTTCGCCATGTTGGCCAGGTTGGTCTCGAACTCTTGACTCCAAGTGAACCACCCGCCTCGGCCTCCCAAAATGCTGGGATTACAGGCATGAGCCACCGCACCAGGCCATACAAGACATGTTGGTCGAGGTGCAGGAAGAAAGCTGGAAATGTGTTCTGAAGCCCATGAAAGGGTGATCTGCAAAGAGACTGAGTTTCAAGATAACAGAATCTTATCTAAGTGTCAACTGCCACAAAAAGGTCGAGTAAAATAAAGACAAAAAAAGTGGACTTCAACAGTGGTTTTTAAACTGTGGGCAACAGCCTGTTAGAAACCAATTTAGTAGAGTCTGACCAGTATTTCTTTTAAAAAAATTAAATAGAATAGAAAAGTGTATTGCAGGTACTAAGGTTAAGTGTAGTTCCATGAAATTTTTCTCTGTTATATATGTGTATTGTGTTCTGGGTCACAGAGTAAGATATATCTTTAACTTTGGGTTATGGTAAAAGAAAATCTTGGAAGAAGAAAGGAGGCTACTGATGTCCATCCCAACATTATCCTAGAATAGGGCAGTGGCTAATAATTTGGACCCAGATCTGGCTTCAAGCCCAGGCTTCCTCCCCTTTGTTAGATGTGTGATCTTGAATAAGTTACGGAAACTCTCTAATTCTCACTTTCACTTTTCTTAAATACAAGTTGGGAATAATGATAATGTTTACCTCGAAGAGCCGTTAACAGAGCTGCTTTTGGGCACACTGGAGCCCAGTGCCTCCCTCTCAGGACAGATACAACCTGAGCAAGGGGCTCAGCTGAACCAATGAAGTCTGGATTAGATTTTAGCCCTGGCCCCTCTGCTGGGATGCTAGTGTGAAAGCAAACTACACAAGCTTCTGCTCTTATCAGGGTTAAATGGGATTATGCTTGCAAAATATTCTGTATGATGTCCAGAACAGGGCAAGCTCTCCCATAACCATGGGCTGTCATCATTACTGATTGTTACCCTTGTTAGAGAAGATGCCAAATCTCAATAGATTAAGGATATGGAGATATTGCATAGAATCTATCCTTAAAACAATCTAAATTTGGTGGAAACAACCTAAATATCCATTAACTGATCAACAAAATATGGTATATCCATATAATGGAATACTATCCAGTCATAAAAAAGAATGGAGAACTGATGTGTGTTACAAAGTGGATAAACCTAAGTGAAAGAAGCTAGTCACAAAAGGTCACATACTGAATATAAAATATTCAGAATATGCAAATCCATAGAGACAACAAGTGGATTAGTCATTGCTAGGGGCTGAGTGGGAGGAGGGAAGGGGAGTGGCTGCTTAACTGATGCGGGTTTCTTTACGGGTAGATGGAAATGTTCTGAAGCTGCATAGTGGTGATGGTTTTACAACACTGTGAATGTACTAAATGCCACTAAATTGCACACTTTTAACTGGTTTAAGTGGTAAATTGTATGTGTATTTTACAACTTTTTTTAAAAGCCCCATTCAACTTAAGGATGCTTCACCACTGCCCTTTCATCATTTTCCCAAGCTATCTCAAAGAAAAGAGTTTGCTTGGGAGCACAATGGAAAAGATTAGCTCGAGAGAGTGGTAGAGCTGAGGGAAGGTTTTCCTGAGAATGGGCAGAAAAGAGCAGGTTTGGAAGGAAGGGAGCCGGGGGAATGGAAAGTGACAGAGGAAGAGGGGAACAACACACTGTAGTCTCCCCTGCTGCACTTTGATGCAGCTCTGAAGGCTTCTTAAGGACCTGTGTTACCTGCTGGAAGGTTCTTGGGGCCACCGCAGCACAATCTCTTTGTTAGAAGGACCCTGAAGCAGTGGGGTGAACACAGATGGGCCCCTCCTCCCCTCCTTAGATGTGGCATGTATACTGTTGCTGTTCCTAAGGGAGAAATAATTGGACAGATAATTAATAATAATAATACCTCATGACTGCCTCTCTGGCAGGTGCTTAGCTATAGCCCCAGGAGCTTGGTAGCTGAATAATCCTCTATTATAAATTGATTTCTCAGTGAATAGTATTATTGGTATTAATAATTAGAGCCAATTTACTATTACATACACTATTGAGGGGAGCAACAATGTGTGTAATCTGCAGCACAAGATGACTTTTTAAATGCTTTGCATTGTGTCACGGGTATTTGGCTGTCCTTCAATATATTTACTTTCTTGATTATGTCTGACTTGGGATAATTTGAAAGTCACTTTGCATTCCCAGAGGAGGGCCATGCAAGTATCACTCTCCTGGTTTCTTTCCTTCCTGCAAACATGCTTAGCTCTCCCCATTCTAATAAATGTTGACCTTAAACTAAAAACCAGCTTTTAAAAATTCTATAAATAATATAATTGAGAGCAAGATATATTAGAATGATGGTAGCAGTAATTAATGAGTCTCAGTCTAATCTGCCTTAAAACATTTGGGCAATGTTTACTAGTCAATAACATTTAAATCTCCTTGATAGTCGTTCATCCAATAAACAAATTTTGAGGGCCATATAGCGGGTGCAGAAGATACAGAAATAAATAAGATCATTGCTCTCAAGGAACCACTGCTCTAGCAGAGGAAACAGATGTAGAAACAAATCTTTCCTCTCAAATTTAATAAATATAAGGAAAAAGCAATCAACTCAGCCTGGAATCAAGGCCTTCAGTGAGGATATACATGAGAGCTATCTAAAAATACTACCTCATGTAGCTATAAAATATTTGATTTTTTCCACTTAAGCATATTTATTTATTTTTCATTTCATATAATTTCAACTTTTATTTTAGATTCAGGGGCAAATGTGCAGAATTGTTACATAGATATATTGTGTGATGCTGAGGTTTGGGGTATGAATGATCCCATCACCCATGTAGTGAGCATAGTACCCAATAGGTAGTTTTGCAACCCTTGCCCTCTTCAACCTCTCCCCTCTTTTAGCCTCCAGTGTCTATTATTGCCCTCTTTATGTCTATGAGTACCCAATGTTTAGCACCCACTTATAAGTGAGAACACACAGTATTTGGTTTTCTGTTCCTTTGGATTATGGCATCCAGATGCATCCATGTTGCTGCCAAAGGCATTAGTTTGTTCTTTCTTTTTATGGCTGCATAGTATTCTATGGTGTATATGTACCACATTTTCTTTATCCAGTCCATCTTGGATGGACACCTGGGTTCATTCCATGTGTTTACTATTGTGAATAGTACTGCAATGAACATACAAGTACATGCGTCTTTTGGTAGAATGACTTATTTTCCTTAGAGTATATATCTAGTAATGGGATTTCTGAGTTGAATGGTAGTTCTGTTTTAAGTTCTTTGAGAAATCTCCAAACTGCTTTCCACATTGGCTGGATTAATTTACATTCCTTCACAGTGTATAAGTGTTCTCTTTTACCTGCAGCTTCACCAGCTTCTGTCGTTTATGACGTTTTAATAATGGCCATTCTGACTGGTGTGAGATGGTATCTCATTTTGGTTTTGATTTGCATTTCTCTGATGATCAGTGATGTTGAGCATTTTTTCATGTTTGTTAGCTGCCTGCATGTCTTCTTTGAGAAGTTCCCGTCTTTTGCCCACTCTTTAACGGGGTTATTTGTTTTTCGCTTGTTGAATTGCTTAAGTTCTGTATAGATTATGGGTATTAGATCTTTGACAGATGTGTAGTTTGTGAATATTTTCTCCCATTCTGTAGGGTTTCTGTTTCCTCTGATGATAGTTTCTTTTGCTGTGCAGAAACTCTTTAGTTTCATTAAATCCCACTTGTGAATTTTTGCTTCTGTTGCAATTACTTTTGAGGATTTCGTCGTAAGTTCTTTCCCAAGGCCAATGTCCACAGGGTCTTTCTGAGGTTTTCTTCTAGATTCTTGAAGTTTGAGGTCTTACATTTAAATCTTTAATTCATCTTTTCTTTTTTTTTTTTTTTTTGAGACAGAGTCTTGCACTGTTTCCCAGGCTGGAGTGCAGCGGCTGATCTCGGCTCACTGCAAGCTCCGCCTCCTGGGTTCATGCCATTCTCCTGGCTCAGCCTCCCAAGTAGTTGGGACTACAGGCACCCGCCACCACGCCTGGCTAATTTTTTATACTTTTAGTAGAGACAGGGTTTCACCGTGTTAGCCAGGTTGGTCTCAATCTCCTCACCTCGTGATCCGCCTGCCTCGGCCTCCCAAAGCGCTGGGATTACAGGCATGAGCCACCACGCCCGGCCAATTCATCTTTTGTATATGATGAAAGCTAGGGGTTCAGTTTCATTCTTCTACATACATCCAGCCAGCTATACCAGCATTATTTATTGAATGGGGAGTCCCTTCCACATTGCCTATTTTTGTCATCTTTAATGATGATCACGTGGCTGTAGGTATATGGCTTTATTTCTGGGTTCTCTATCCTGTTCCAGTGACCTATGTGTCTGTTTTTGTAACAGTACCAAGCTGTTTCAGTTACTGTAGCCTTATAGTATAGTTTGAAGTTAGGCAGTGTGATGCTTCTGGCTTTGTTCCTTTTGCTTAAGATTGCTTTGGCTATTTGGGCTATTTTTCTGGTTCCATATGAGTTTTAGAATAGTTTTTTCTAGTTCTGTCAAAAATGGCATTGATAGTTTGATAGGAATGACATTGAATCTATAGATTGCTTTGGGCAGTATGGCCATTTTAATGATATCAATTCTTCCAATCCATGAGCATGAAATGTTTTTTCATTTGTTTATGTCATCTACAATTTCTTTCAGCAGTGTTTTGTAACTTTTGTAGAAACCTTTCACCTCCTTGGTTAGATGTACTCCCAGGTATTTGTGCATGTGTGTGTGGCTATTGTAAATGGGATCGTGTTCTTGATTTGGCTCTCGGCTTGAACATCATTTCTGTATAGAAATGCTACTGAGTTTTGTACATTGATTTTTGTATCCTGAAACTTTACTGAAGTCAGTTCCAGAAGCCTTCTGTCAGAGTCTTCAGGGTTTTCTAGGTAGCCAATCATATCATCAGTGAAGAGATATTTTGAGTTCTTCTTTTCCTATTTGATGCCTTTTATTTCTTTCTCTTGATTTCTCTGGTTAGGACTTCCAAGATATTTTATTCATGTATGTAGAGCCAACCCAATCAAAGATTATAATTAACCTATTTTTAGTGCACCTCAGACTTTACCTGTTTAAACTATTATTAACATTTTTTTATTTATTATTATTACTTATATTGCACTATTATTGTCACCTTTATTGACATGTGCTAGCATCTTTCATCAACCTAAAGGAATTTCATAGCTGAAAAAGCCTAACTGCTTATGCTGTGCTAGCAAATGTCTCAGGCCAAAGTTCATAAATAGGAGTTTCTGACCATCTGCAAGAAGACTGATGATCACACCCAGACTTCAGCTGTGGGCTAAAGCAGATCATCTGCTGGACTGTCAATGTCATTGTGGTGTGTGACACTTGGCCTTGGCTGATTTACTGCCTTTCTTTGTAATCAACCTATCTCTGCAGTACAGTCCAGACACTCTAGGTCCAGGGCACTGTTAATGCATTGGTGATTAAGACATTGGTAGGACAATAAATGAGCAGAATTTTCACCTCTCCCAGGTCTCTAGATAGATATCAGTGTGGTTCAGTATTCTACATATCTTATTCCCTCTGGCTGGGGGGATGTCTCTTAAATACCATCCCTGTGGAAGAGTAAAGAAGGAAAAGGCAATTGAATCCTAGGTTGGAACAGATACAGACCTTAAAGGTCATCTCAACTCATCACTCATTCATTGATTTATTCATGCATCAATATTTAATGAGTGCCTACTGTATGCCAGGCACTGTTCATGGTGCTAGGAACAAAACATTCCATGGCTGATCTATGGAATTTATAGTCTAGTAGGGGAGAAAGACAGGAAACAAGTAAACCAATAAACGAGACAATAACAGATCTGAATCAATGCAGAAATGAGAAGGTAGAGGGGTAGGATGGTGTGGGCATTGAGGTGGTAGGCACTTCAGATAGGGTGGCAATGCTAATTAGAACCAGGAGACTAATGCCAGATGTCACCAAATTAGGGCTGGGAGCTTTAGCTAGAGAAATGGAAAAAGTATAAAAATAAGAGTTTAGCTATAACACAAGGGTCCTATAACAAGACCCAAAAACAAGTCTGAGTCTGCAGAGAGGTTTGATCTAGCTTTCACTGGGCACACAATTGTAGAGATTATTTAGCTGTTAGGGGCTAAATTTTGTCCCCCCAAATTCATATGTTACTAACACTGGTAACTCAGAATTTGAGATTGGGCCTTCAAAGAGCTGGTTAAGTTAAAATGAGGCCATTAAGATAGGCCTTAATCTAATCTGACTTGTGTCCTTATAAGAAGAGATTAAGACACACAAACAGACACCAGGAGTACCCATGCACAGAGAGTTGACCATGTGAGGACATAGTGAGAAGATGCCCATCTATAAGCCAAGGAGAGAGGCCTCAGAAGAAACTAAATCCTCTGACACCTTGATCTTGGAGTTCCAGCCTCCAGAACTGTAGAAAAATTAATTTCTGTTGCTTAAACCACCCAGCCTATTATGGTATTGTGTTATGGCAGCCCTAGCAAACTAATGTACTAGCCCAGGATCACTTGTATCAAATACTTTTTTATTCTTTTTTTATTTTAATTTTTACCTTCAACCAACTTACACTATCAGATACTTTTTAATATGCAGAATCTCATGTTCTGTGCCCCATCCAGGCTAAATAAACAAAAATTTGTGTGGGAAAAGTGATAGAAATCTGGATTTTCAATAAGCACCTCCTCCAAATAAAATAAGTTTAGATTCTCATCACACTTTAATTTTAGCAGTTTGAGAGCTACTAGAATTAAGACCAACTTGGGCCAGACATAGTGGCTCACCCCTGTAATCCTAGCACTTTGGGAGGCCAAGGTGGGTGGATTGCTTGAGCCCAGGAGTTCAAGACCAGCCTGGGCAACATGGCAAAAACCCATCTCTACTAAAAATACAAAAATTAGGCCGGGTGAGGTGACTCATGCCTGTAATCCCAGCACTTTGGGAGGCTGAGGTGGGTAGATCACTTGAGGTCAGGAGTTCAAGACCAGCCGGGCCAACATAGTGAAATCCCGTCTTTACTGAAATCACAAAAATTAATCAGGTGTGGTGGTGCATGCCTGTAATCCCAGCTACTCGGGAAGCTGAGGCACCAGAATCACTTGAATCCAGGAGACGGAGGTTGCAGTGAGCCAAGATTGTGCCACTGCACTCCAGCCTGGGTGACAGAGTGAGACTCTGTCTCAAAAAAAAAAAAAAAAAAAAAATACAAAAATCATCAGGGCATAGTGGTGCGCCTGTAGTCCCAGCTACTCGGGAGGCTGGTGGGAGCAGAGGTTGCAGTGAACCGAGATTGTGCCACTGCACTCCAGCCTGGGCAACAGAGTGACACCCTGTCTCAAAAAAAGAAGAGAGAGAGAGAGAAAGACAGGAAGGCAGGCAGGTAGGCAGGCAGGCAGGCAGGCTGGCAGGCAGGCAGGCAGGCAAGAAGGAAGGAAGGAAGGAAGAAAGGAAGGAAGGAGAAGAGAGAAAGGAGGGGAGAGAGGGAGGAAGAAAGGAAGGAAGGAAGGAAGGAAAGAAAGAAGGAAGGAAATATTGTTCATTTTACAGATGAGAAAACTGGGGCCAAAAGAAGGAAAACAATATGTGGAGTAGGACCTGCAAGCCAAGCTTCCTAACACAGAGCTTGCTGCTCTTCCCACTGCCCCAGCTGCCCCAGCAGGCCTGGGAAGCATGCTGTTGAGTCAGAGCTGGACTCACAGCAGAGACTGCCCAGCAATGCTGATTAGGCAATTGGCTGTAGTAGCTCCAGTAAACTCTCTCACTGGAACTGAGATTGAGGGTGTGTGGGCATGGTGGGTAATGGAGATCTACAGAAAGTAGGGCACGGAGCTTCTGATCACTCAACGACGCTGAGGCTATGCCCTTTGCTAACACAGCCCGGCTCATGGACTCAACAATTCCATAATGAGGTCGCATTACAGCTTCTAAACTCTGCTTGCTGTAGGGGAAGCCTATTTCTTCTTATTTTCTCTGACTGGGAAAGAAAAATAATTGACGACTAATGTGGTCAATAATAACTCTTCATATAATTAAAGGTATTGACTGATAAAAATTCAATTTTTTCCTTGAGCAGACAACCACTTTCTGCAGCCTTTTAGCAACACCCATTTCTTGACCCTTTTATCAATTTTGTTGTTTTCATAGTTTTTCAAATGAGTTCCACATTATGGAACCCCAAACTAGCCATAATTTACATTTAATACATTATTATTGAATAATTACATGAATAAAAGAAGGAATGGTTCTCCTTTTGTTCTCTCCTTCCTTCTAGGCTATGAGTTTCTGTGGTTTTAAAATACATATATGTAACAACAAAAAAAAACTCCTGACTTTACTCATAGAAAATCAGTCGGGCAAAATGTTAGCTTATGAGAAAAACAGATAGATTGTGTCAATTTTAATGTAATTACCAGCTTGTACTGACCTGGTCTCTCACAGTCTTATCTGGTTCTTTAGATATTGTGTTCATTTTCTGTCTTCTGATTATGTTGTCTTTTAGCTCAATCTTGTTTTTATCACCTTTTATTTTAAAGCAATTTAAAAAAAAAATAATGAGTTGTCATGGAAAACCTCAGTTCAGCTATTTACGTAGCTGTACCAGGGGCTCACAGAGAGGGAGTAAAGGATCTTTGGGGACATGAATAGATCTCAGGCACATTAAAATAGCTATGTAAATAAGGAAGGGTCTGAATGAGATCAGACTGGACTTATGTTTTAATAACTTACCAAGACATAAACGGATTCTGTTGCTCTCCTGCTCAAATATGTGTGTATGTACACATATATGTGTATAGATACACACATACATGTATAGCTTAACATGGATTTTGGCATAGCAATTGGTAGCAATTGATTATGAGAAGGAGGGGAAGAAGAGATGATTTTCCAAGCAGCCAGAGCATGCTTTCAAGGATAATGGAAAAATGTGTTAATGGACTTGTCTGTATGGGGGGAAATGCTTGATGAAGGGGCATTTTCATGGGCCCTGAACTGTACAGGACTTTAGGGGTGCACTTATCTAAATGCCTGGCCCTTAGGGTCGAGATAGCTGGTGGCTAATATAATCCAACAGTCCATCAAACATCAGTTCAGTCCAGCTGACTGGCTGGGTCTGTTATCAGCAGTGCCAATCACAAGAACCTGGTCATAGAATCTCAAAGTTGGACAGAGCGCTAGAAACCACTGCAACCACTCTTCCACCCAGACACAGTAACAGTACTACCTCATAAGGCTGTCATGAGAATGAAATGGGTTAATATTTGCTGAATACTTACAATAGTGTCTGATGCATAATAAGACCTTTGTGAGGTCAGTTAAATAAACACTGTTTGCTGAGCACCTGCCAACCATGGGCACTAGTCAAGGTGCTGTACCCACAGTCATATCATTTAACCCTCTCTCCAGCCCAGATGTCCTGATCCTAAGGGCCAGGCAGTTAGATGGGTATACCCCTAAAGTCCTATACAACTCAGGGCCCCTGAAAATGCCCCCTCATCCAGCATTTTCCCTACATATGGAAACAAACACCATTGTTTGAAAAAAGTAAAAAACCTTCTTTACACTGAGCTGAAATTTGCCTCCAGTGATTTCTTCTTGGACTACACCGAATAAGTTTCTTGCTCTTCCACTCCATAAGCCTACAAAATACTGGAGAACAGCTGTCAGGAGAGATAACAAACCCGAAGCCTGGAAATCACTCATCAAACCAGTTTTCTTCCTTTTAAGTGACAAATATGTGGGTTGGGTCAAAACTGGAAGAGAAGATCTGCTGCCAGGCCACAGTGCCCTTTGGTTTTTGCTTTCCAGATGCTCGGGAGCCATTCTGCAGGCAAGCAGACCTATTTGCAGGGACGGGCAATTGTTGCTGTGGTGCAATGAAGCAAGTGGGGCTGGGAAAGAATCCTTAAGAAGATGGTTCCTGCCAGATTTCTTTCTGCCAGTGCCACAAACTTTAATTAAAGCGAGCCCTCAGGCTGCACCAGGGACTACAGGTGCTGTGATGTTGGTGTCCAATGGGGTCAACAGAAAGAACTGCTAACTGTGAGTGAGGCAGCAGCCAAGATGCAAGCACCAGCCAACATGCAAAGAGAAAAGAGAAAATGAACCTGTGTTCCCTTCCGATAAGACAGTATTTACAAACCGGAGATCTGGAGACTGACAGGCGGGGTCCCAAACTCAGCTCTGGCACTTGAATAAACCAGATGACTTGGGACAAACTACTTAATGCTCCTACCTCCCCTCTTCCACACCTTTTCTTCCTCTATATAAGGAGGATGATAATATCTACTCTGTGGAGTTGTTTTTAATGATTTACCAAAATGAACAAATGTCAGGTATATTAGTTGTTATTATTTGAAAATTTCCCATATACAATCCTTACAGATACATTTGGAGCAGTCGTTACTAATCCTACTCTCCTACTCTTCTGTTTTTCTTTAATAGAGTCTTGCTTTGTTGCCCAGTCTGGAGTGAGTGGTGTGATCACAGCTCACTGCAGCCTCAACCTCCTGGGCTCAAGCGATCCTCCCACCTCAGCCTCCCAAGTAGCTGCGGCTACAGGCACATGCCACCACATCTGGCTAATTTGTTGTAGAGATGAGGTTTCACCATGTTGCCCAGGCTGGTCTCAACTGGCCTCAAGCAATCCACCTGCCTTGGACCTCCCAAAGTGCTGGGATTACAGATGTGAGCCACAGAGCCCAGCCCTTTTTTCTTAAGAGTAAAGGTCTCACTATGTTGCCCAGGTTGAAGTGCAGTGGTGTGATCATAGCTGACTGTAGCCTCTAACTCCTGGACTCAAGTAATCCTCCTGCCTCAGCCTCCCAAGAAGCTAGGACTACAGGCAGGCACACCATGCCCAGCTAATTTTTAGATAATTTCTCGTATAGACAGGGTCTCACTGTGTTGCCCAGGCTGATCTTGAACTCCTAGCCTCAAGCAATCCTCCTGTCTTGTTGGCCTCCTAAAGTGCTGGGATTATTAAAGGAGTGTCCCACTGCACCTGGCTGTAATCTCATTTTATAAATGAAGAAACTGAGGTTTAGAAAATTAACTCACTTGCCCAAGGTCACCAAGTTATAGACCGAGGAATGAAAATTTGATGTATCTGAGGTCCTCTTTTCACCCACTCCAGTAACAAACAAGAAAGCTCACAGCCCAGGGAAATCAGCCCCACCTGGTACAGAGGTGAGGGTGTGGAAAAGACAGGAGAGATAAACAGGAAACAGCATAGCACTAGGGTGGAACCAGGACAGGCAATGAATAGGAGACCAGAATAAAGCATGATTAAAAGAACTCTGTGCAGGCCAGGGAGTGGGAGGTGGGGAGAAGGTGTCAAGTTCATTGGACTGGTTGGAACCATCAAAAAAGGTTACTTGCACAGTATGCTGTGCAGATAGCCCATAGCTTGTTCCAGGAAGAAAGCCCTCCAAAGCCTCAACCTTCCTAACTCCTTAATCCAGGCAGGGAAGTGGTCCACATCAATTCAGTCTCCATCCCCAAAATACCCACAACCCTCATCTATAGTACCTGTTGCCCAAGAGTCCTTTAATAAGGTAAAGAAACTTTTATTCTGCTATCTGAGAAAACTGTAAAGCAGATCTGCTTAAAAAGCAGACACTCTGGGGAAAGCAACACACTGACTTTAAGACTGTGCTCTTTCTTAAAAAATTTCAACTTTTATCTTAGATCCAAGGGGTACATATGCAGGTCTGCACAGATACATTGCATGATGCTGGGGTTTAGGGTAAGAATGACTCTGTCACCCAGGTGGTGAGCATAGTACCAAACAGGTAGCTTTTCCAGCCCACACCTCCCTCCCTCCCTGCTCTAGTAGCCCCCAGTGTCTGTTGTTCCCATCTTTATATGGGAACACCGAAACTTATTCGGTGTAGTCCAAGAAGAAATCACTGGAGGCAAATTTCAGCTCAGTGTAAAGAAGGTTTTTTACTTTTTTCAAACAATGGTGTTTGTTTCCATATGCAGGGAAAATGCTGGATGAGGGGGCATTTTCAGGGGCCCTGAGTTGTATAGGACTTTAGGGGTATACCCATCTAACTGCCTGGCCCTTAGGATCAGGACATCTGGGCTGGAGAGAGGGTTAAATGATATGACTGTGGGTACAGCACCTTGACTAGTGCCCATGGTTGGCAGGTGCTCAGCAAACAGTGGTTATGTTTATGTTCAATGTTTATATGTTCAATGTTTAGCTCCCACTTATAAGTGAGAACATGCTGTATTTGGTTTTCTGCATTAATTCACTTAGGATTATGCCCTCCAGCTCCATCCATTTTGCTGCAAAGGACATGATTTTTTTTATGGCAACATAGTATTCCATGGTATATATGTACCATATTTTCTTTATCCAATCCACTGTTGATGGGCACCTAGGTTGAGCCCATGTGTTTCCTATTGTGAATAATGCTTCAATAAACATATGAGTGTGTGCGTCTTTTTGGTAGGATAATTTATTTTCCTTTGGGTATATACCCAGTGATGGGATTGCTGGATCAAATGGTAGCTCTGTTTCAGGTTCTTTAAGTGGTGCTACTCATATACAGAAGAATGAAACTAGACTCCTACTTTTCACCATATACAAAAATTATCTCAAGATGGATTAAAGATTTAAATGTAGGACCTAAAACTAGAAAAATCCTAAAAGAAAATCTAGGAAATACCCTTATTGACATTAGCCTTGGCAAAGAATTTTTGGTGAAGTCCCCAAAAGCAATTGCAACAACAAAAATTGATATATGGGATTTAATTAAATGAAAGAGCTTCAGCACAGAAAAAGGAACTATCAACTGAATAAACAGATAATTTACAGAATGGAAGAAAATATTCGCAAACTATACATCTGACAAAGGTGTAATATCCAGAATTTATAAGGAACTTAAACAAATAAGCAAGCAAAAAACAAATAACCCCACTGGGAAATGGGCAAAGGGCTGGGTGCAATGACTCATGCCTTTAATCCCAACACTTTGGGAGGCCAAGGCAGGAGGATCGATTCAGGCGAGAAGTTTGAGACAAACCTGGGCAACATAAGGAGACCTTGTCTCTACAAAACACTGGGGCATGGTGGCGCATGCCTGTGGTCCCTGCTACTCAGGAAGCTGAGGTGGGAGGAACAGTTAAGCTCAGGAGGTCAAGGCTGTAAGTGAGTCATGATTGCACCACTGCACTCCAGCCTGGGAAATGGAGTGAGACCCTGTCTCAAAAAAAAAAAAAAAAAAAAAAAAAACAAAAAAACAGGCAAAGGAAATGAGCAGACACTTCTCAAAAGAAGGCATACAAGTGATCAACGAACATGAAAAAATGCTCATCATCACTAATCATCAGAGAAATGCAAATCAAA
Organism: Homo sapiens; assembly: GCF_000001405.40. NCBI lineage: Eukaryota > Metazoa > Chordata > Mammalia > Primates > Hominidae > Homo > Homo sapiens. Next base: position 93,591,697 of record NC_000011.10, read on the forward strand.
ACCACAATGAGACCATTTCACACTAGTCAGAATGGCTATTACTAAGAAGTCAGAAAATAACAGAAGCTGACAAGACTGCAGAGACAAGGGAACATTTATATACTGTTCGTAGGAATGTAAATCAGTTCAGCCACCATGGAAAGTAGTTCGAATACTATACTATTAGACTCTAAGTACATAGGTGTTTATTGGTGAAACACCAGCCCCTAGATTTACCCTTAAAAAAGACTGTGTGTAGGCCAGGTGCAGTGGCTCATGCCTGTAATGCCAGCACTTTGGGAGGCCAAGGCAGGTGGATCACCTGAGGTCAGGAGTTCAAGACCAGACTGGCCAACATGGCGAAACCCAGTGTCTACTAAAAATACAAAAATTAGCCGTGCATGGTGGCGTGCATCTGTAATCCCAGCTACTCGGGAGGCTGAGGCAGGAGAGTCGCTTGAACCTGGGAGGCAGAGGTTGCAGTTAGCAGAGATCATGCCATTGTACTCCAGCCTGGGTGACAGAGAAAGACTTCGTCTCAAAAAAAAAAAGACTCTGTGTGTATATATATGTAGACATAAGTAAACATATAATTAATGGATACCAAACTATTGTCTGAGAACAGATTTTCTATTTTATTTATTTTTCTTTTTTTTTGAGACAGTCTCACTCTGTCACCCAGGCTGGAGTGCAGTGGCACAATCTTGGCTCACTGCAGCCTCTGCCTCCCAGGTTCAAAAGATTTTCCTCCCTCAGCCTCCCGAGTAGCTGGGTTTATAGGCACCCACCACCATGCCTGGCTAGTTTCTGTATTTTTAGTAGACAAGATTTCGCCATGTTGGCCAGACTGGTCTCAAACTCCTGACCTCAAGTGATCCACCCACCTCAGCCTCCCAAGATGCTGGGATTACAGGCATGAGCCATCTCGCCCAGCCTGAGAACAGGTTTTCTAGTGTCTGACACTAAGTGTTCAATAAATGTGGAAATTAAATGATATTGTTACAGAAAGAGCACCTTGTGAAGGCAAAGGAGATCAAATCAGCCAATTTTGCAATTTTGTTGAACCAGTTTTATTATAATTGCTCTTTACTGTTTGTGTAAGACTTGATATCTCTGGTTTGCAATTTTGTAGGAAAAGAAAAAAGAGTGATCAGAAGGAAATGGTACACTTGATTAAAACTATTTAAAAGGAATGAAAACACTAGCTGGGTATGGTGGCACACACCTGTAATCCCAGCTACTACTTGGGAGGCTGAGGCAGGAGGATCGCTTGAGCCCTAGAGGTTGAGGTTGCAATGAGACGTGATTGTGCCACTGCACTCCAGCCTGGGCAACAGAGTAAGATCCTGTCTCAAAAAAAAAAAAAAAAAAAAAAGAAATGAAAACATAGGCATGGGCATGTGTGTTAGCAGGTGTGTGTATGTGAGTGTATCACCAAAGATTTCCAGAACTAATTAATAAAGAACAGTTTTAATAGATTATATAGATCAAATAGGCCTGGCATATTGTGGGGCTTAATAAATGTCTGATATATAAACTGAACAGTTTTAAATAAATATATAAGTATATGCATATATATATTAACTGAACAGTTAATATATATAACTGTTCAGTATATATATATTAACTGAACAGTTAATATATATAACTGTTCAGTATATATATATTAACTGAACAGTTAATATAACTGATATGTTAACTGAACAGTTCTGAATAAATATATGTATATACATACATACATCAAATATATATGTATATACATGTGTGTATATATATGTGTATATATACACACACGTATATATGTGTATATATACCTATATGTATATATGTGTGTATACATGTATATTTATACATATATACACACATATATAAACATATAGGTATATATACATATATACACATGTATACATGTGTGTATATATACACACCTATATACCTATATACCTATAGGTGTATATATATACACACATCAAATATATATGTATATACATATATATTTGATGTGTGTGTATATATATGTGTGTGTGTGTGTATATATATATGTGTGTGTATATATGTGTGTGTGTGTGTGTGTGTGTGTGTGTGTGTGTGTGTGTGTGTGTATATATATACCTATGTAAGAAACTGAACTTTAAAAGAGAATTTTCAAGCAAAGTTTGCCTTAGGACATAGGTCAGGCTGGTCATCCACCTTTGGGTTGGTGCATTATTTTGGTGCAGTTGAAGAATTTACTTTAGTCCGAGCTGAGAAGCAGATTGATAAGTACTTGCATTGCTCTATTTGGGGCCCTCATCCCTTGTTTTAACCGTTATCTTCCTTGTTTCTCCCGTGTTTCCTTTTCCTTTTATTCTTTTGAATCTATAACACTGCCACAATGATTTTTCTGTTTATATGCACAAGATGTGTATTAATGACAAGGAGCATTCACTTAACAACGAAACTTTTCTCAAAGGAACTATCTTTGGTTATGGTTCATTTCTCATGGACGCTCCAAGGTTGTTCAATTTTCTTTTATCAGAGAAGCATTTCCCCAGGTCGCATTTCTGATCCTGAGAATTGCTAGACCTGTATAAGTGATTTGAGATCAAGTTGGAAATTAGGCATCTAAAACTGCAATATTTCCTATTGGTTCCAAAGGAATGTTGTGAACCAGAAGAAAAATTAAAAAATAAAATAAAAAATAAAAATAAAACTGCAATATTTCCTTAATGTCTCAATATAGTAACACCTCAGCCACATCAAATGTTGGAGGATGGGTAAAAATAATGAGCAAGTAAATAATTAAGGAAAATGGTGGGTAAAAGAGAAGTGTTTTGCTGGCATTGCCACAAATAAAATATTTCTTATCATTGAAATTTAAATGTAGTGGAAACTCTGCTCCTAAATTTTTTTTTTGAGATGGAGTTTCACTCTTGTTGCCCAGGCTGGAATGCAATGACACGATCTTGGCTGACTGCAACCTCTGCCTTGTGAGTTCAAGCGATTCTCCTGCCTCAGCCTCCCAAGTAGCTGGGATTACAGGCATGCGCCACCATGCCTGGCTAATTTTGTATTTTTATTTTATTTTATTTTTGAGACAGAGTCTCACTCTGTCAGCCAGGATGGAGTGCAGTGGCGCACCCTCAGCTCATTGCAACCTCCACATCCTGGGTTTAAGGGATTCTTCTGCCTCAGCCTCCTGAGTAGCTGGTACTACAAGCGCCCGCCAACATGCCTGGCTAATTTTTTTGTATTTTTAGTAGAGACAGGGTTTCACCATGTTAGCCAGGATAGTCTCAATCTCCTGACCTCGTGATCCGCCCGCTTCGGCCTCCCAAAGTGCTGGGATTACAGATGTGAGCCACTGCGCCTGGCCCTAATTTTGTATTTTTAGTAGAGGCAGGGTTTCTCCATGTTGGTCAGGCTGGTCTCGAACTTCCGACCTCAGGTGATCCGCCCGCCTTGGCCTCCCAAAGTGCTGGGATTACAGGTGTGAGCCACCGTGCCCGGCCCTAAAACATTTTAATATTTTAAATATTTTCCCACTTTAATGGGAGTCCATTTTACATAACTTAATCTTTGCTTGATTACTCAGTCATATTTTTCTGCACCATAAAATAAAAATATGTTTAGAGGTTTTTGAAGCAGTTTATTCCCTACGTTAAAGACTCTGGATTGACAGGCATTGAGTTTGGATGTCTTCTAGATGTATTAGATTATGTCTTCTCCTTCAGTATTAAATTATTGGCAATCACAGCTGCCACTGCCAGCACAGGTTGCTTCTAATCGTCAGTTGGCTAAGAAATCAGCCATTCAGTCCAGTTAAAATTATGTCTAAAATAAGAGTAAATCCATTCTAAGTGAAAACTCATGAAGCTCTAGTATAAGGAACAGTGCATGTGATGTGAGGCCATCTGTTTTATTTGCTCAGTACTTGATTTTCCTTCAGAGGCTTTTTGTTGATGGTATTTTTTGGTGGGGTGGGACAGATTTTATTTTATTTTTTGGCTATCTTCTAGGTTATCTATTTTGTTTCCGCTAGTTAAGGCTGCTACCTAAATGATTCCTGATTACTCTTTGATCTCAAGAGCTAGTCCCAAGGCTCTTTGTGTCTTTTGTTGGGACTCAGAAAACAATACCCCAAAATGAAGGTCTAGGAAACAGAAGTTTTTCTCTGACCTTTTGCCCTCCTGTCTCCAATTCTCCCCTGGGGTAGCCATAGAAACTAAAACCGCTCTTCCCCAGGTCATCAAAACCAGAACCTCTTTTTCTCACAGCCAGCCATAAACTAACTTTCTCTCCATCTCTCCACTTTTTTCTTTTTTTTTTTTTGAGATAGAGTCTTGCTCTGTTGCCCTGGCTGGAGTACAGTGGTGTGATCTCGGCTCACTGAAAACTCCGCCTCCCCGGTTCAAGCGATTCTCGTGCCTCAACCTCCCGAGTAGCTGGGGCTACAGGCACACACCTCCAGGCCTGGCTAATTTTTGTATTTTTAGTGGAGACAGAGTTTCACCATGTTGCCCAGGCTGGTCTCAAACTTCTGGCTTCAAGTGATCCTTCTGCCTTGGCCTCCCAAAGTGCTGGAATTACAGGCGTGAGCCACTGCGCCTGGCCTCCTTCCACCTTTCTATGTAAAAAGTTGCCACAAATAAATTATCTGACTACTTTGTTTGACTGTAGGTATAAGACCTCCATTCCAGAGAGGGTTCTGCCCCATACTCAGAAGGAAGGAATGCATGCTTAGAAAGGCCAAGAAGAATCTGGACACACAGGCCTTGCTGTGTTTCCCCTACTCACTCTGCTAACATTAGATCATACTCTTTCTGTCTAATCATATTTATGTATGGCTATCCATAGTTTGTTGAACCTAAGCATAAAAATGGACAATTTCCCCTGTATCTTTGGGTCTTCATTCTGAAGGCCCCTATGTATACATATTAAATAAATTTGTATTTCTTATCTCCAACTAACCTGCCTTTTGCAAGTTGATTTTTCAGCGAAACTTCAGAGGGCCAAGGGGAACTCTTGGCCCCTACACACCTTTGAGGGAGAATATTTGGCATTTCAAGAATTAGTTGAGTAGATTTAATTATAAGAATCTCTGTATTCAGAATTCCTGGCTTCTAATACAAAATCCCCTAATTCAGAGTCTGAAACATGCTATATACTAGAAAAATATCAATTCATGTCCCCTAAGACTGTGCCCTTATCCCCATCTTCGGAACTTATATGACATCTTGGCCTATAACTTGGATCTTCCTCTTCTCTTTCCTTTGTTTAAAAATAAAATGGCTTCACACACACACACACACACACACACACACACACACACACACACATCCTCCTTAATTGAAGTCCCATTAACTATAAATTCATGAAACATAAACAGGACTGAAGTTTATTTCTGAAAGATTACTAAGGTAAAGAAAGTTGCAAGAACATTGAATGCTGAAAACTAAAATGTGCTTAAAAGACATCACTTTAGAAGGATCAACCTACTGCACACATAGTCACTATGCTAATTATAAGCCCTTGTCAGCTCTAGTCACAAAACTGGCCCTCCCAGAACACCCACCTAGCTAAATTTTCACCTGGCTTGAGTTACTATTTGTATTGAAGAGTATAAAAATTGCATTTCTTTGAAAACATTCCGTAAGTCAGACGTTTCTTCTCCCAGGTTAGTTTCAATAAGCAAGGTTTGGCAGAGCAGCCCAGAGAAAGGAATTGAACCAAAGCAAAGCCAGGTATGCACTTTACTCATTTTCACCTTTCATTTTACAAAGAAGAGGGACTCTAATCTTTGGATTTGCCTAATGTATTTTGACAGCATGATCCTAGCTGCTCTTACAAAGATGCTGAATCCCAGGACGATCTTCCACTGGAGCCATTATGCCTTTCCCCCTACACCTTTTAAGCATGGCATCCTCCACAGACAATTATTCTTATATAGATAAGGCAGGCTATATTTTAAGAATTTCTGAGTTCAATCAGCATAATGGGTATACTGCAGGGGAGACACATTTTAAAGTGTTATTACCAGATGAGTATTTCCCAAATCCCTAAGTCATAAGGATAGAGATAGCAATTTATAAAGAGTATAGCAAAAAGTGCATTTCATAAAATGGATTGAACTTCATGAATTTCAATGTGGCAGGATATTCACTCTGCTGTTCTGCCATTACCAAACAAGATGCTTGTTATAAAAAAGAAATATGCATGACTGTTGAGGATGTTGCTTTATTAATGACCGTGTTCTGCATGCTGTGAAATACTTCACTGGAATGTCACCTGCACTGAAAGATATACACAAACTTTCTCACTAAATTATCTTACTGAAGACATTCAGAATTTGCTAACTCCACAAATCCCCAAATAAAAAAGCCAGCTTAACAAGCTCCCATGTCTTTAAATTTAAAGTGGGAATAAAAATACCAGAACCCTGACATGTAGGGATGATCCTTTTCCAGTGAGTTGTAAGATAGTTCTCTTTATTTAATTGCTCCAGTTCAGTTAAGTTTAATAAGCAAAAGCTGTGTAAAAAGCCAAGTGACTTATATTTTTAATCTGAGAATATATGATTGCCTTATGAAGTATTGTTAGAAGTAAAAATGCACGGTGCTTATTAGTCTGAAGATAATGAGCAGCAATTCTATAGAGGGGGCCGGGATTTCCTCTGCTGGGGGTTGGTGGGGGGACAGTGTATGTATGAACAGAATATACGTGCTTCCTTTCTGAGAGTAACCACTCCTCCTGAGCTCTTGGTTTTTACCTTTTCCAGGCTTTTTCAGGATTTAGTTCTTTTTTAATATATCGTCAGTCTCTCTTTTTTCTACTGGCTCCTCCCCCTCAGCCTATAATTCTGCTCAAATCTGCCTCAGCTTGAAAATCTTTCATTTGTCCTTTCACAATAGTATAAGGTCCATGCCTAAAATAAATCCTTATTCCATAGTATTCACAGTGGGTCAGCTTCCCTGACTGGACCCTGTCTGCTACACCTGCCCCCTCCCCTCCTTTCCAGTGCCTTTATCTTCAGCACTCAAACCCTCGTAGTAATGGCCTAACTGCTTCCTCTCCCATCAGTGCATCTTGACCAATGCTGCCAGCCTCATCTTTATCATGATATTCAAAGGATGAAGGGTATCTACCCATTGCCTGCAAAATACAATCTGAAGCGTGGTCAGGATCCTAACTTTCCAGGTTTATCTCCCACATTCTTACATGAATATTTTCTGCCAAATTGATCTAATCACTGTCACCTGATACTCCTTGTTCTTACCCACTCTACCTATTCCTTGACTTCACTTACCATCTTTCCTTCCACGGTATACTTCTGATTCATTTGTTCAAAGCCAATACATCCTGGAGATGCCAGTTCAAACCCCCTCCTCCTCTGCAAAGACTTTTCTGTCTCAGCTAGAACTGATTGCTGTTTATGGAGCAACTTCCTAAAGTAATTAGAGCCTTCTCTTGACATGTCTTTTCTATTATATGTGCCAAAATGCTGATTCTAAAAACACTTTTCCATTTGACACAAGATGAAACTATAATACAGAATTTCAATTTTAGTAGACCTCAGTCACCACTAAAAAGGAAACAAGCACTATTTAATGTTGAAATATATTTTCAAACAGAATAAAACATATTACTTATATGAAATGTTATAACCCTCTGTCTTCTAACATGAACTGAACTCTCCTCCCTTTTGATCAGTGCTGAAGATTCAGCTAACACAGCCAGTGAGGTCAGAAGGGCCAGGGCCAAGGATGTGTGGGGTCAGACTGGTGGAGGTGGGAATGAAGAGACATCCTGCACGGTCAGGAGGTCGCCTACATACAGAGGGATGGAGAAAATAAGTAAATGTGTTGATGATGATTGGAGAGGGGAAGACTAGAACAAACTTACAGTGATTGGTTAGAATTAGAGGTGTTGGTATGAACTCACATATTTGTAAATACAGAAATAGATGTGTATGTGTGCGTGTGTGTGTGTGTTGCAGATTGGGCTCTCTAGAAGCAAATGCTGAGATGAACTTAGGTGTGTAGGGTATTATTAGGGATCGAAATATGTGGAAGCAAACGTATTAGGCAGAAGAAATTGAACTGCAATGCAGGCTCAAGAGAGCTTTGGCCAACCCCATTCTTGAGCATGTGTGGCCTGTCAGAGTTGTTCCTCATTGGACCAAAATGACCAGCCTTTATAATCTTTTCCTAATCAGTATAAGATGTGCACTACCCCAGGCAAGGTGTGACACTAGGCAAGGCAATTCTTTGCAACAAGTCCTCTCTTAAAGGAGTCTCTGAGAGATACATGATTGTGTCCACCACAGTGTGTGTGTGTGTGTGTGTGTGTGTGTGTGTATACCTATATTTCCTAGCTCTGAGAAGGCCTAGAAGCAATGAAACTACAGTAGAATGAGCATATCTACTGCCCAGATCCTGGTTGCTAAATAACATTCTCCACTCAAAGAAACCAAGGATCCTTGGAAAATAGCTCATTCCAAGGCTGACACAGGGAAAGAAGAAGATGACTGGAATATCTTCTGCCAGAAAGCAAGGAATTGATCCACGAGTGATAAGGACCTGTCAAAAGGACACCATCCCAAAGAGGCTCAACTTAGCCAAATCCACAATGTTTTGCCATCAAAACAAATAATGATAGTATATTATAACCCACTGCATAAAATAGAAATCCATGAGACCATATTAATATAAATGAAGAAATTGGGGAGAAGGGAAGTATCTACCTTACAGTAGAATGACAACTAGTAATATTAGAAGGGTTAGTGAAATTTTAAAAATCACTCTTTGGCAACCATAATAGAAATAATCGATTCAGACAAGAATCACCAAAAGATACTAAAACCAGTAGGTAAAAGTTTAAGGAGGATTGGGTATTTAAATAGTCTCAATGTAGTCTCTCCATAAAATGCCTATTAATTACTTATTAAATAAGGTATAATATATTCTTTATCTTGACAGCAGAGAAACATGGCTAGACACCGTCTTATCAAGTGATAAAAATTAACACCTAAGTGAAATTCAAAAAAGAAAGAAAGAAGGTGAACGTCTCTAGTAATGGGGCAAGTCATCATCACACGCTCCTGAGATGAGGCACTGCAAAGAGCACAGTGTCACTTCTGTGAAATTCCTGCCACAGAGGGCATACACTGAATATAAATGTGAAGAAGTAGCAGACAAACCCAAACTGAAGGCCATGCTACAAAGTACCTGCTCTGTACTTGTAAAACAAACAAACAAACAAAACAAACATAGTCATGAAACACAAGGAAAGACCGAGGAATGAGGAACGGTCAGTGGTACATTGGAGCCAGCTGGTACTGGCTCTGCCCCACTCTAGAAAACTGATGCTGATCCCAACTGTGCAGTTCAGTGCCACAAAGCTGGTAACCTGAAATCAGCCAGAATGGGAATATTCACACCATAATCATTGGCAGCCACTACAAATCAGACCCCCTACCCCACCACATAAGCAGTTTAGCAGCACACCACAGGAAGGGTTCCCAGCTGAAGAGACTAAGGACTCAGACAGCTAAATGCAACACGTGATCCTGGAACTATAAAGGACATTATTGGGATTATCAGAGAAATATGATTGGGCTCTGAGGTAGTATTTACATGCATACCAATTAATACAATAGTATCGATTACATGGTAGTATTGTATTAATGTTACTTTCCTGATTTTGATGACTGTACTCTGGTTATATAAGAGGGTGTCCTTGTCTTTAGGACATATACATTGATGTGTTAAGGAGTAAGAGATATATCTGCAACTTATTCTCAAAGGTTTAAAAAAAACTATCTAGGTGCAGTGGTGCGTACCTGTAGTCCCAGCTACTTGAGAGGCTGAGGTGAAAGTTTCCCTATAGCGCACGAGTTTGAGTCCAGCCTCAACATGGCAAGGTCCCTCTTTTTGTTTTAAGAGGCAGGGGCAACATAGCAAGGCCCTTGCCTCTTAAAACTAAAAAAAAAAAAAAAAACCCTAAATATATAAATACATTTAGAGAAAGCATGAAAGGCAAAGGTGGTAAAATATTAATATCAAATTAGGAAATTAGGGATTAGGAAAGAAATAAAGGGTATATGAGAGTTCATTTTACTATTAGTGTATCTTTTCTATGAATTTAAAATTATTTCAAAAAATTATTAAGGAATTATATTTCGATCAAGTGCCAGTCTATGGCTCTCTTCCTTTTCTGCTGGAAGCTCAACCCCTTTCTCATTCAACAAAGTTAGAGAAATGCCAAAGGAGGAAACAGTGACTTTAGGAAGTGCTCATTTGCAGTACTGTGTAACTAAATGCTATCTCTGCTGGGCTGTTGTCCTCCTCTTTAGAAATATTTTGCTGTATACCATTCAGGACATAGACATGGGTAAGGACTTCATGGCTAAAACACCAAAGCAATGGCAATAAAAGCCAAAATTGGCAAATGGGATCTAATTAAACTAAAGAGCTTCTGCACAGCAAAAGAAACTACCATCAGAGTGAACAGGCAACCGACAGAATGGGAGAAAATTTTTACAATCTACCCATCTGACAAAGGGCTAATATCCAGAATCTACAAAGAACTTAAACAAATTTACAAGAAAAAAATCAAACAACCCCATCAAAAACTGGGTGAAAGATATGAACAGACACTTCTCAAAAGAAGACATTTATGCAGCCAACAGACACATGAAAAAATGCTCATCATCACTGGCCATCAGAGAAATGCAAATCAAAACCACAATGAGGGAGATACCATCTCACGCCAGTTAGAATGGTGATCATTAAAAAGTTAGGAAACAACAGGTGCTGGAGAGGATGTGGAGGAATAGGAATGCTTTTACACTGTTGGTGGGACTGTAAACTAGTTCAACCATTGTGGAAGACAGTGTGGCAATTCGTCAAGGATCTAGAACTAGAAATACCATTTGACCCAGCCATCCCATTACTTGTTATATACCCAAAGGATTATAAATCGTGCTGCTATAAAGACACATGCACACATATGTTTATTGTGGCACTATTCACAATAGCAAAGACTTGGAACCAACCCAAATGTCCAACAATGATAGACTGGATTAAGAAAATGTGGCACATATACACCATGGAATACTATATAGTCATAAAAATGATGAGTTCATGTCTTTTGTAGGGACATGGATGAAGCTGGAAACCATCATTCTGAGCAAACTATCACAAGGACAGAAAACCAAACACCACATGTTCTCACTCATAGGTGGGAACTGAACAATGAGAACACTTGGACACAGGGTGGGGAACATCACAAACTGGGGCCTGTCGTGGGGTGGGAGGACGTGGGAGGGATAGCATTAGGAGAAACACCTAAGGTAAATGACGAGTTAATGGGTGCAAGCACACCAATATGGCACATGTATACATATGTAACAAACCTGCACGTTGTGCACATGTACTCTAGAACTTAAAGTACAATTTAAATAAATAAATAAATAAATAAATAAAAAATACTTTGCTGTTTCCTTTTGGTTTGGTCTGGTTTGGCTTAATAGATACTAAGATACGGTAGTGTAATATTCTCAACCTTCATTACTAGATATTAAATATTATTTATTAAAATGCTAATAATTCACTAGTTTAAAAATTAAAAGTTGAGCCTCTAATAAATTCTTAAACAATTCAATTTAATGAACAGAAATAAAAAGGAGAGCAGGAATTTTTCCAAAATTTTTTCTTCCTTCCTTCCTTCCTTTTTTCCTTTTTTCCTTCCTTCCTTCCCTCCCTCCCTCCCTCCGTCCTTGTTTCCTTCCTTCCTTCTTCCTTCCTTCCTTCCCTCCTTCCTTCCTGTGGTGAATAAGCACTGTGTGTATGCTTAATCATCTCAAGCAGATTCAGAACTCCCTGAGACTTACACTTCTTTTGTCTCCCACTACACCTACCTGCAGTATCAGCCTTTTACATGGGTAATTGGGTTGCTGAATGAGACAACAGAGTTTACTGCTAATGCTGAAAAACCAGTGAGCCCCTTGGGGACAATAATCTGAATTGTCACCATAATTAATCAGAGAGTCAGGATGGAACCAAGTCCTGACAAAGAGTCCAGTGATCTGATGGGAATAAAGGTCTTCTCCACCTATCCCGTTGTCGCAAAGCAATTTATAGGAGAAAGTAGGAATGTGATGTGAAGGGCTTGCTGTGAACCATTTAGCAACATTTTTTTCTTAGGCTGTCCAGGTTTGTCAAATGCTCTCAACCTGACATTTAAGAGGGCCCTGCTGTGTTTCTCTTTAGGGAAGACTAATAATGCCAATCAGGAATTTCTATGCCTGTTTACTTGTAGTCAGATCAGTTCAGTTCCCTCTATTCCTTAAGTTCAAAAAGATGCAAAGGAGAAAGTTCAGGGTTGGTTACACGAATAATTAACAAGATCTGCTGCTCTGTAAGTGCATTTGCAAGGGAACCACCAGTCACCTAAGAGTGCCTGGGAGGAGCCGCCTAGGAGGATGCATGCCCACTGATTCTAGCAGCTTTCTCCCAGCTTGTGGGCCTAAGCATGGACAACGAGTAGTAGCCTTGGGCTTGACCATCAAGGGTGGCCTTTCTGGCAAAAACACATAGAACTCACACTAACAAATTGTGTGTCCACTATTGTTAACTCATAAATATAGATATTAAATCATACTATCACATTGGGGATTAGGAAGAAAAAGAGAAAAATTTAAAATCAACTTAACTTTTTTCAATCTTTAGAACATATTTTTCTCTGCATTTTGGTAACTCCCTAGTGACATTGCAAATGAGGTGCTTTTGCAATAGGGCCTTCGGGTTTGTAAGTATTGCTTAGGGAGCAGGAGGAAGCATTTAGGGCTGTTTCTGTTCCCCTCTCTCAGACTAAACCTCCCCCCAACCATAGAAGTATGTTCAAATTAGCCAACAATTAAAAATTTTGATTGAGGATAATTTATGGATAGTAAAACAATTAAAAATTTTAATTATTTTAATTATATTCAGTAAATACTATCACAGGAGGGATAAATCAAGGCATATTGGTATTTATCCTCTAAAATACCATTGTTTTATATCTCAAAACTTCCCCTTTTCCCTAATGATTTATACACATTAACTAGCAATTTCTTGCAAATACAGTGTGCCTTAAATTATTGTTTTATGTAAGGCTAGGCACGGTGGCTCACACCTGTAATCCCAGCAATTTGGGAGGCCGAGGCGGGTGGATCACCTGAGGTCAGGAGTTCGAGACCATCCTGGCCAACATGGTGAAACCCTGTCTCTACTAAAAATACAAAAAATTAGCAGGGTGTGGTGGCAGCTACCTGTAATCCCATCTACTCAGAAGGCTTAGGCAAGGAAATTGCTTGAACCCGGGAGGTGGAGGTTGCAGTGAGCTGAGGCTGCACCATTGCACTCCAGCCTGGGCAACAAGAACAAGACTCCATCTCAAAAAAAAAAAAAAATATTGCTTTATGTAAACAAAAAAGCAGAAACTGTGGAATATAACCCTTTCAGCACATCCTACAGATTTAATTTTAAATGTTCGATCAGGTGTTTTATACATGTTATGAATGAGTATAACTTTTTAAAAATTCCTATATTAAAATTATTCTTATTCTTCTGTCACCTTTTTGTAGCTGGTTATGTTTAGCAACCATTTAAAATACCCTTTAATTACATAATGCCAATCAAAATCTTGTCACGGTGGGCCGTGTGAGAGTCCTAGTCCTTAATCAACATTGCATTGTTTCTAATTTCACTTCCAAAGTATATTCTCATCTGGAGTGACAACATGTAAAAAAAAAAAATTCTTACATTTCACATCTCACACTTACAATCTAAACTGCACGGGACACAGTGGTAATCAGACTATATTGTTTCAATCCTAAATCTAACAGTAGGAGGACATGGGGCTCCTAATGGAAAGAATTAATCAGGGGCTTTTTTTGGTATTCATGGAAGGGGGAGATAATCTTTCTGCAGAGTGACATCCTTTTGAGAGAGCTCAGCTTCTGGCTGTGAAACCCATTCCCATGTGATTTCTTTCTAACAAGCCAGAAAGCTGCTTTAATCTTTAAACATGAAGGATCCTGCTTACAGTATCAAAGGTAGGCAAGTTCTCTTACTGAGGTTCAAAAGCAGATAATAATAAGAACCCAGTTGCTACTGTCAGGCTGATGTCAGGTCTGAAATCACTTTTCACTTGATTGAGCTATTTTGTCCTCAGAATCACTTTGTTCCTTTTGGCTGGATTTCCACCAGCCCCTAATTGTGAGCAGCACATCGATGCTTCCCCAGTGGCTTCATGTCAGAAGTTAGAGCCTCTGCATAGTAGACATGTTATTTAATATCCAGACTCCGTGTAGCCCAGGGATAGCCAGGTAGTTCTTCTCCACGGTGCTCCAGGATCACTTGCCCTGCTGCCCCAGGTGCACGCAACTTCCCAGCACGGCTCAGGGAGGAGGTCCACTCCAACCAGGCAGGTAACCAGGATGCCAGGCTTTTCTTTTCTTTTAAGGGATGAATTCTTCCTTCCTCTGCCTTTTATTTTATGTACGCCCTCAACAAATTGGATGATGCCCACCCACCTTGGGGATGGCAATCTCCTTTACTGAGTCCCCCAATTCAAATGCAAATGTCCTCTGTAAACACAGTCAAGACACTCCAGAGTAATGTTTAAACACATATCTGGCACCCTGTGGCCTATTCAAATTGACATATAAAATTAACCATCACAAGTTTACCCTTGTCAACTTGGCACCCATACACATCTCCTTAAACCATACGTAACTGCCACATAAAGACAATAACAAGGTCATAATTCCATCTAACATGATTAACAATCCAGCATTCTACCAGAAACACACGAACCCATTTCCCAGAAGGGAAGGTAAAGTCTTCATGTGATATTTACTCTCTCCTTGATATCCCATAACTTAAATAATATGATGTAAAATTAATCAAGGTTGAACATTGGAGCTAGTTTTAAAAATTAACAATATTTAAACACTATGCTATAAAATCAATGCATCTTATGTTACAGAATAAGGAAATGAGAAGAAAGAAAACAAAGCTACACACACACAAAATGGAGTCATAGCAAAATATGGAGGACGACAATCACAGTCTGTTTCTGTAACTGGTCATACGATCAAAGCTAGTATTTCTTCCACCACTTATTCTGTATTCCCTTTGCCTTCAGCAAGCACCTCATCTGGTCATGGTATTTACCCA
This sequence comes from Homo sapiens, assembly GCF_000001405.40. Lineage (NCBI taxonomy): Eukaryota > Metazoa > Chordata > Mammalia > Primates > Hominidae > Homo > Homo sapiens. The sequence goes on from NC_000011.10 coordinate 93,606,879, forward strand.
GTGGTGACCCAAACCTTTATTCCTGAAAGGTCTGAGTCATTAGTGGTCCTGTCTGAATTAGGTTGTAGTTTTCCACTGACCTTAATCACAGGGCATGGTAACATTAAGAGATGCCCTAAGGAATCTCGTGTCTTTCTGACATAGTTTTCCTTACCACCATCTGGGGGTAGTCCAGTTTCTACTTGGTAGTCAGGAACAATCACCCAGCCAGCACTGTAATTCATTTGTCTATTGAGTTAGAGACATGAGAAGCACAAAATGGCTGAGGAGCAGTCTTAAACTTGCAGTTCAATTAAATCATTATTGTGTCTCTCAGAGGAAAACTTTCCACCCTATGTAAGACCTCTAGGCCAGCAGAGCATAAGTCATGGGAACAGGAAGCAAAAATTGTACTAGTGGGTCACTAGGGCTAATAGCGAATGGTGTCCCACCTACTTTGACCCCTTGATTCCTGAACCTGTGAATCCCAGTCTTAAGAGAAATGCACCATATACTGGATGCTGATTCAGAGCATAGACAGCCTTCTAGAGAACCTTGTCCCAGCCCTACAAGGCACTGCTATATAGCTGGTGCGATTACTGTCTTCAAAATGTCATTCCACTGCTCTATGTAGCCAGTTGATTCAGGATAGTAGGGAACATGGTAAGACCAGTTAATTCCATGAGCATGGGCCCACTGCCACACTTTTGCTGTGAACTGAGTTCCTTGTAATGCTGTGTGGAATACCATGGTCGTAGATGAGACATTCTGTAAGTCCACGGATGGTAGTTTTAGTAGAAGCATGGCGCGAAGGGAAAGCAAATCTGTATCCAGAGTAAGCGCTATTTCAGTAAGGAAAAAACACTATCCCTTCAACGATGGAGGTGGATCAATGTAATTAACCTGCCACTAGGCAGCTGACTGATGACTCTAGGGAATGGTGTCATAATCAGGGGCTCAGTGTTGGTCTCTGCTGCTGGCAGACGGGGGACTCATAGGTAGCCTTGGCCAGGTCAGCCTCAGTGAGTAGAAGTCCACATTGCTGAGCCCATGCACAACCTCTATCCTTGTCACCATGGCTACTTTGTTCATGAGACAACTGAGTGATGATGGGGTGGCTGGAGAAAGAGGCCTACTGGTATCCACAGAACAGGTTATCTTGTCCACTTTATTAAAATCCTTCTTTGCTAACCCTTTGGTGAGCATTCACATAGGGCACAAATATCTTCACCCTTTTTGCCCATTCAGTATCTATCCACACACCTCATCTCCAAATTTCTTTGTCACCAATTTTCCAGTTACGTTCAACTCCCTGACCATCCAGCCAAATCACTGGCCACAGCCTATGAATTGGCATATAATTGAATATCTAGCCATTTTTCCTTCTAAGCAAAGTCAACCAGGGGGACTGCTCAAAATTCTGTCCACTGGGAGGATTTCCCTTCACCACTGTCCTTCAAGGTAGCCCAGAGATGAGCTGTAGTGCTGCAGCTGTCCACTTTTGGGTGGTACCTGCATATCATACAGAATCCTCTGTAAACCAGGCCTAAGTCTTCTCTTTCTCTGTCAGCTGATCGCAGGGAAGTTCCCATGAAGTCATAGATGCAGGCTGGAAGAGAGAAGGCAGATAGCAGAAGTGGGAACTATGGAAATTTGGCTTACTTCTTCATGTAACTTCCTTGTGCCTTCAGGGCCTGCTCAGGCCCAATCATGTGTATACCATTTCCATCTGATGAAGGAGTGTTGCTGTGCATATCCAACTTTGTGTGTTGGTGGCTCAGATAACAACCAGTTCATGATGGGCAGCTCAGGTTGCATGGTAACTTGGTGACTCATTAAGTATCAGTCTCTACTAAGGCCCAGTAGCAGGCCAAGAGCTATTTCTCAAAAAGAGACTAGTTATTTGTTGGTAATGGCAGGGTTTCGCTCTAAAATCCTAAACCAAGATTCACCTATAGGGACCTCCCAGAAGCTTTAAACAGCATCCCTATCTGCCACTGCCACTTAAACACCACTGGATCTGCTGGATCATATGACCAAGTGGCAGAGCAGGTTGCACAGCAGCCTGGACCTATTGCAGAGACTTTTCTTGTTCTGGGCCCTACTCAAAACTAGCAGCTTTTTGAGTCAATTGGTAAATGGGCTGGAGTAACATAATGAAATTGGGAAATGTTGCCTCCAAAACCCAAACAGGCCCACTAAGTATTGTGCCTCTTTCTTGGTTGTAAGAGCAGCAAGATGCAACTACTTATCCTTCACCTTAGAAGAAATATTCCAACATGCCCCATGTCACTGGATCTCTACCAATTTCACTAAGGTAGAAGGTCCTTGAATTGTAGTCATATTTATTTCCTTCCCTCTGATGCAAATGTCTTTCCACTAAGTCTAGTGTAGTTTCTACTTCTTGCTCACTAGGTCAAATCAACATAATGTCATTAATATAACCAATCAGTGTAATATTTTGTGGAAGGGAAAGGCAATCAAGATCTCTATGAACTAAATTATGACATAGAGTTGGAGAGTTGATATACACCGGAGATACAACAATGAAGGTGTATTGCTGGCCCTGCCATCTGAAAGCAAACTGCCTTTATGGACTGGTATGAAAAAAAAGACATTTGCCAGATCAATTCTGTTGCCTTACTAAATAATGCTGAAATAAATATTTCATACATAACTTTTATATTTAAAATGCAAATTATAAATATAAGATACATATTTACTTATACTTGTGCAAATAATTCTATAGGCCTGAGTGAAAGGGAATGTTCCACCTTTCTACCTTTTTTTTAATGACAAATTTCTGATAAAATTCCTTTTTACCTAATGAATGACTTCAGTTTCAAGATATGCTAAATGCATTCAGTTTCCAGTAGCACTGGGCACACATTGTATGCTAGAACTTGGTGAACTTGAGGACTGAAAGTTTCTTGGCCTGCTTGTCTGGAAAGTGCAGTGGTTCCTTGCAGACCTTTTGTCTTCATTATTTTCCAAATGTCTTCTGGGTTGTTTTCTTTAATGGTAACTAAATAGAATAATCCTTTTGGTGAAAGGAGATCTGGAACAAGGGGGAAAAACCTGTGCATGACTTCCTGACCATTTCTGCCAGCAGCCCAAGCTGCCTCTATTCCATGACTTCCTACCTCTTCAGGTGGAGTCACTACATAGAGGGGATTAAACACCAGAAGATCAACTTTTCCTTCAATATTGGTAGCAAACATTTGACCACATCTGTAATAACTGGTTGAATGTGGACTTTGTTACACCGTGCTGTCTTTAGGGTACAAGCTGCTGCCTCAGGGTTGATATCAGTGCACATGTACAAAGCCTGAGGACCTATCACAGAGGCTAGGAATGCAGATACTACACCAGACCCTGCCCCTATTTCCAGGCATATTTCCACTCCCGCCAGCTCGGCAGCCGCTACCTGGAGTACGTCCAGAAGCAGAAACGTGTCCTCCACAGGCTCATACACATCACTGAACATGCCTCAGCCCACATGCCCTTGCAATGGCGTGGGGAAGCTCTGGGCTGCCATCTTCCTTCACTGCCAATGCCAGGCTTTTCTTTTTGCCCAAAAGGCCTAGAGAGATGCTGGGTTTTGTGAAGATTTTCAGTATTCACTTATGCAATTTCAAGAGCCATGCTATAAAAAAGTCTCCCACCAAAAACAGAGTAGGGGAAATAGATAAAATAACTCTGACAGTGAAATTCTGTCAGATAAAAGCAAAGCTGAGATAAAGGAAAGCCAGATAAATACATCCCTCCACAGACCATTAGCATTTAGCAATTTATACACCTGCAACTCCAGATTTGAGTGAATGGACAGTCTGTAGTTTGAGGTATAACCCAAGGTTTGTGAAGTCCGCAAACTCCTACCATCAGTCTCAGGCTCACAGTCATTTTTTTTTTTAATCCACTAAAATTTTTTTTTGTATGTTGGACCCAAACAGTCAGTCTGAGGCTCTTTTGGAGGCCAGTTCTGGACCACAGTATATTCTCTACACTTCCTAACTTGAGGCAGGTCCTGGCATGACCGAGGATCTTCCTCTCTCCCTGCTTACAGTTCACTGTTTGCATAGGGTTTCCTATGGCTGCTATACCAAATTACCACAAGTTGATGGCTTAGAACAACAGAACTTCTTCTCTCACAGTTCTGGAAGCTGGAAAGAAGTTGCAGATCAAGGTGTTGGCAGGGCCAGCCTCCCTCCAGAGGCTCCAGGGGAGAACCCGTTCCTTGCCGCTTCAGCCCTGGTGGCTGCTGGCATTCCTTGACTTGCAGCTGCGTGACTCTAGTCTCTGCCTCTGTGGCCACCTTGCCTTCTTTTTTGTCAGTGTCACATCTCCCTCTGCTTCCCTCTTAAAAGGACACTGGTGATTGCAGTTAGTGTCCACTTGGATGATCCAGGATAATCTCCCCATCTCAAGACCTGTAACTTAATTTCATCTGCAAAGTACTTTTGTGCCGTGTAAGGTACCATGCAACGGCTCCGAGCATTAGGACATGGACATCTTTGGGGAGGGGGCACATGGTTCAGCCTATCATACTGTTCCTGAATGCTAAGACATGGCCTTTCTGTCACCTTAAGGTAGAGGCTAAGAGAAGAGAGCCAAGGAGTATATCTCAGTTTGGCATCATAGGGCATCCTAGGCTCCCAGGGCCTTCCTTTATTTAAACTACCAAATATAAAACAGAATTCCAGTCAGGTTGAGAGCCTCCAGATAATCGAGTAAGTTATGGAAGGCCTTTCAAGCAACCTTAAAACTCCCTTTTGGAGGATCCACAAAAAGACCTGTGTTTGATTCAACATACCATGTAAATTAAATACCATGTAAACCAAAGAAGTCACAGGCAGAGTCTACATGTAAAGGTGCCAGGGAAACTGCACCACATCATTTTACCACCTTTTTGGTCACCCATTGCTATGAGCAAATAGTTAATTGTATAGGACTTCAACAACCTCTCAGTGGGCGAGAGCAGAAGTTGGTGGCATTTGAATGTTTAAATCTGGCCCATAAGTCTTGGTGGGTTTCCAGCATGACCTTAATCTAAAATACATTCTGACCTAAATCACCTGGCTTTGCTAGCCTATGCCAACCAAATATACTGGATAATTATGCAGTATTGGACTTTGCACTGGTTGGGCACACACCTTTTAGCTTATCTTATCAAAGACAGCAATACAGCAATGCAACTTGGAAATGTAGAAAAACCAGACCTCAGCTGCAGCGCTGGATTTAATGGGCAATGCATAAGTAATGAGAAGAGCAATACGTGAAAAATAAAAGCAAGGGACCAAGAAACCTTGCCAGTAAGCTGGTGAGACATTGAAAGCTTTCCTTATAAACCTCAAAGCCTGCTTGCTCAGCTTGTGACCTAGGCCCACCCTGAGCTGCTCAGCAGTAAAGTCTACTCTGTATTCACTCTGAACCCATTCATTTTGCAAAATGTCCAGTAATAATAATGTCCCTGAGCTGCTAATTGATTGAGAAATGCTTTAAGAGCTTTATGACGGAGGGAAGGCACAATTAATTATTATTAGACCATGCAATTTATTAACTTTAAGGGCAAACAAAACCTCAACTGCAAGTGTTTCTTCATATTTCCTGTGAGAAAATAGACTTGTCAGGCCACTGTTCTCTGCTATTAGCAACGTCATCTCCTCACCAGGAATAGAATTTGCATATAGTGTCACAATATAAAGTTTTCTTATAAATATAGTTGGGAGCACTAATTTAGGGAATGTTTCATCTAAAATATAATTTGGCCATCATGTCTAATAACTGGATTCAAATGTAAATGCTTTTTAAGTATCTTAAATATCATAGACGTAAAAGTAGAAGTCATGAATTTGACATTGTTAGAAACCCATCAAAGGAACTCCACATCTATATAGAAAAAAAGGTTCAAAGCTATAAGATTGCTTTAAAAAGAAATATTTAAATGGCACTTACAAAATAATCTTCCGTATATGAATTAATACTGATACTATACTGTTTTCTGGTCCTAAAATATTTTCTAAGTGAGAAGTCTGATGTCTTTCTTTGGGAATCACCAGCCTATAGCTATACGCTAGCTACTACTCTGAAAAGCCTCTTTAAAAATGGGGAAGCCATAGATTGAAAAGCGTCCTCAAGAAATAAACCTAGAAATCAAGTTTTGGGTCTGTGATTAGTTATCCCACTAGTCGGATAAAAATTTTACTGAAAGTGTTTTCATATATATTCCATCTGTTTGGAAACTATCTAGATTCTTTGCTTGCGAGTGACAGACATCCAACTCTGCCATGGTAAACTAGGTAATGTAATACATTACCATTGTATACCATAATATATATAAAGTATACATTATGTATACTTTGTATACTTTATATACATTATCTTCCTCCCCATAACTTGTATAGCCATGGAAAGAGAAAGGAAGGAGCTGGTCTTAGGGATATGTATATCTAGGGACTCAAATGCTTTGGGGACTTTGTCCAACTTGTTTCTGGTCCTTTCTGCATTCTGGCTTCATTCACTTTGTTACAAGTAGAATTTCTTCACATAGCAAGGTATATGGCACAGGCCACTCTGGGCTTGCAGCCTCCTAGCTTAATGATCCTAAAGGAAAGAGAACTTCTCTCTTCCAGGTGTATTTGAAAAATTCCAGGGAAGGGCTCTTGGCTTACTTGAACCACATGATTATACATAGATCAATCACTGAGGACAGAGAGATGGTATATTATCAATAATATAATATAACTGACCTAGCCTGAGTAATGTGCCTATAATGCCCCCCTGATTAGTAGGGCAAGGGCTGTTTATTAATAAATAAATAAATAAATTCATCTATGAATTTATTGATTAATAAATTAATGAATTTATTGATTAATAAATTAATGAATTTATTGATAAATAAATTCATTAATGAGTTTATTGATTAATAAATTAATGAATTTATTGATGAATTTATTAATAAATTCATTATTTTTAATTTATTGATGAATTTATTAATAAATTCATTATTTTTAATTTATTGATAAATTAATTTTTAAATTTATTAATAAATTCATTAATAAATCAATTAATTTTTAAATTTATTAATAACTTTATTGCTAAATTAATTAATTTTTAAATTTATTAATAAATTAATTTTTAAATTATTAATAAATTAATTTTTAAATCTATTAATAAATTAATTTTTAAATTTATTAATAAATTTATTAAGAAACTGATTTTTAAATTTATTAAGAAATTTATTAATAAATTAATTTTTAATTTATTAATAAATTTATTAATGATTGACAAATGAATAATAAGAAGGTGTATTCGTTCATTTGGGCTGCTAGAACAAAATACCTTAGACCAGGTAATTTATAAACAACAGAAATGTATTGTTTACAGCTCTGGAGGCTAGGAATTCCAAGATCAAGGCACCAGCAGATTTGGTGCCTGGTGAAGGCTCATACTCTCCTTAAAAAATGGCACTTTCTCACTGTGACTGCACATGGTGAAAGGGGCAAATGGTTCCCTCAAGCCTCTTTTATAAGAGCACTAATCTCACTCATGAGGGCAAAGCCTAAAGGCCCTACTGCTTAATGTCATCACAATGGGGATTAGATTTCAACATGAATTTTGGAGGAACATGAACATTCAGACCATAGCAGAGGGACAGCACAGTTACTAAGAAAAGTGAGGGGATAGCCTCCGCCACTAAGGAAAGTGTTCTGTCACCCCCCTTCCACCCCCAGCTGGTATCTACTGCATTCTCTGTGCACACACAGAATGGCCACTTGAGGCAGACATCCCTAGTTAGCGGTGCAAAGTGCGTGGTCTTTGATGTCAGATAGAACAGAGTTTGAATCATGCCTCTGACCCTAACTTGTTGCATTACCTTAGGCAGATTACTAAACCATTCTAACCCTTAGTTTTCTCATATTAAAAATGGGGATTATAATACCTGATGTATAGCATGTGGTGATTAAATTAAATAAGGTAGGTAAAGGGGGCTATTTGTTGACTAAATGAGTGTCAGACCAGGACCAGGCACTAGGAGTTAATGGCATTCACACACACACACACACACACACACACACACACACATGAACACACACCTCAAAAGACCCAGACACTATTCCTGCCCTCAAGGAACCTAATCTAAACCACTTCTGGTTTGGGACAGCAAGACCTTAGATAGCTATGGACCCTCAAAACCTTCTTGTAATTTCAAATTCCATGTGACTCGTTTGGACCTTAGCCACACCCCTGGACTGGATCCTAGCCTTGGCTGCCCAGGCTTTGGTCTAGGGTATTCTCTCTGCTCCTCTCTCCAGGTCTCTGACCTCCCACCACTTAGTGAACAGCTACTATGCACCAAAGGTTACTATGATAATACTTTATATACATTATCTTCCTCCCCACAACTCTAGAAGGTTGCCCCCATTTTAGAGATGAGAAAATGGAAGCTAAGAGAAATCATGTGATTTGACCAGTTAACGTAAGCAGCAGGAAGTGGAGTCAGAGTTCAAACCCAGATCTGTCTGATTCTAGAGCCCACTCCCTCAAACACTCACAGCCTAGCCTCACAGCCTCCAAACTTTCCCTATTTCAGCCTGGGGTGTCTGGCCACTCCTCTTGGCGATAGCTCACTTCCCAGGACCTGCTCTCTGCCCCCTGGGCTTACCGCTGCAGTCCTTTCTCACCTGACACAACTCCCAGTCCTGGTCCCCACAGCACAACTCTGCTACCACCCATAATGCTGCATGAACTTAAGAAGCTGACAGTGTTTCCTGCCACCCAACATCACCTAACAGATGAGACTGAATTTTTCCAGTCTTCAAATCAGTTTTTTTAGTATAAAGGAAACTTCTTTGGGGATAGTCACTGAATAGCTCAAGCTTCTCTCTCCATCTGAGGAAAGCATTTTTGTTTGGACAGAAAGGAAAACAACATCTTCTCTTATGGGCTAACTCTTGTCTGTCCCTCCTCTGAATTCATATGTTGAAGCCCTAACTCCCGGTGCCTCAGAATGTGATTGTGTTTAGAGATTAAGTCTTTGTAGCAGGGTGCTGTGGCTTATGCCTGTAATCCCAGCACTTTGGGAGGCTGAGGCAGGCGGATCACTTGAGGTCAAGAGTTTGAGGCCAGTGTGGCCAACATGGTGAAACCCCGTCTTTACTAAAAAAATACAAAAAATTAGCCAGGCATGGTGGTGGAAGCCTGTAATCCCTGCTACTTGGGAGGCTGAGGCAGGAGAATTGCTTGAGCCTGGGAGGCAGAGGTTATAGTGAGCCGAGATAGTGCCACTGCACTCCAGCCTGGGTGACAAAGCGAGACTCCATCTTAAAAAAAAGAGATAAAGTCTTTGCGGAAGTAAGTAAATTAAAATGAAGTCATTGTGGTGGATCCTAATCCAATATGACTGGTGTTCTTATAAGAAGAAGATTCGGAGACCAAGCACAGTGGCTCAGACCTGTAATCCCAACACTTTGGGAGGCTGAGGCAGGTGGATTCCTCGAGCATAAGAGTTTGAGGCCACCCCGGGCAACATAGCAAGACCCTGTCTCTACAAAAAAAAAGTACAAAAATCAGCTGGGTGTGGTGGTGCATGCCCGTAGTCCCAGCTACTAAGGAGTCTGAGGTGGGAACATAACCTAGGCCTGGGGAGGTCAAGGCTACAATAAGCCATGATTGTGTCACTGCACTCCAACATTTTTTGAGATAGAGTAAGACCCTGTCTCAAAAAAAATAAAAATAAAAAAGAAGAAGAAGATTTGGAAACAGACCTGGACAGAAGGAAGATGATGTGAAGGCACAGGGATAAGATGGCCATCTGTAAGCTAAGGAGAAAGGTCTGGAATAAATTCTTTTCTCATGACCCTTGAAAGAAACCAACTCTGCTGACACCTTGATCTATCTTACACTTCTAGTCTCCAGAACCATGAGAAAATACATTTCTATTCATCCACTCACTCTGTGGGACTTTGTTACAGTAGTCCTAGCAAATCAATACATCTTCCCACAGTCACCCCCATCACCAGCAAATGAGCTTCCACAACTCTTTCCAAAGGAAGAGAAATCCATCAACAACCACTTGCTCCACAGTGACCAGTAAGGTGTCCGGCATTGTGCTTATGCACAGGAGCTACAAGGTGAGTAAGGAAGGACTGTCAGGAGCATGTGTTCCTTTTATTTTTTTTAACCTCCACATTCATTGGCTAACATAGCCATATCCAGGAATAGCAAATTCAAGGCACATGTATGTACAAAGTTACCCGCACACTCATAACCAGGATCAAGATCCAAATCAACCACTGAACCCTACCCACTGAGCCTGGATCACTGCCTCAGAATCCTTTCTAACACAGAGCTCTATGAATCACTACAAATAAGGCCAGATTCCCACTTGACATGAAACGTATGTGCCCTATGAGGGAGAAGCTCCTTATTGCTTTCCTAATATCTGTTTTCTTCTTCCTTACTGAGACAGCCTGTTTTTATTCAAGTAAAAGCAGCATTTCTCACCTTTTCTTTAATACTGTTCAGTGAAATACAATGGAAGATACTGACGGGAAGTCTCCTCAAAAGGACAAGTGACAATTGTATGCAATCTTATGTTTCCTATTCATCCATTCTACTTTCTGGGATGAAACAGTGATGACTGGAACTTCAGCAGCCATTTTGGATTATGAGTCCATGATGAGGATGGAAGCTAACACTGAGGATGAAGTAAAAGAAAGGTAGAAGAAATATGCTTTCTTGATGATTGTGGAGCCTGCATACCAGCCCTAGATTGCCTACAGCCAGACCCATGTGTTTGAACTATTATTATTTGGGTTTTCTTGTTATATGCTGCCAGACCTAAAATTTATTGATACAGCACCTATGACAATTATTGCAAAATGGCTTACTCAACACCAGTGATCAACTTCTTGCTGTATTCCTCTATTATAGAGGCTGGAAAGCTAAAAATACAAATTCCTGGTTCCCTTCCTTGCAGCTGGGGCAGCCATATGAAATGTAAGCCAGTTCTGCCATTGAATGCAAGCAGAAGTCTGCTGATGATTTCTGAAAAAGACTCTTTCATTTTCTTTCTTCTTTCCACCTGGAATGCAGATGCATGGCTGGGTGGCTCCATGGCCACTTTCGATCATGAGGCAACAAGCATGAGGACAAAGACACCAACAAACAGCCAAGCACCAGGCTCATGCCTGTAATCCCAGAACTTTGGAGGGCCAAGGCAGGAGGATCACGTTAGCCCAGGAGTTTGAGACCGGCCTGAGCAACATACTGAGACCCCATCTCTACAAAAAGTTTAAAAATTAGCTGTGTATGGTGGTGCATGCCTGTAGTGCCAACTACTTGGGAGGCTAAGGCAGGAAGATTGCTTGAGCCCAGAAGTTCAGGGCTGCAGTGAGCCATGATCTTACCACTGTGCTCTAGCCTGGGCAACAGTGAGACCCTGTCTCAAAGAAGAAGAAGAAAAAAAAGACACCAACAACCTAGAGATAGTAACGTGGAAATACAGGAAGGACCCGGTCCTCCATGGCATTAAGCAAGGGTCCTGCACTGCTTATCTCTGGACTTCTTGTTATGGGAAAGAAACAAACCCTATTTGTCTAAGCTACTTTGGATGGGTTTTCCATATTTTGTGGCTGAACACATTCCCCAAACCATCCCTATACTAGCCCTTCAGTTCTCAGCTGAGGCATTACCTTGTCTGAGATCACCCCAAGCCTGGGTGACTGTATTAGCTTCCTAAAGCTACCGTAACAAATTGCCACAAATTCAGTGCCTTAAAACAACGTAAATTTATTACCTCATAGTCCAAGAGGCCAGAAGTCCTAAATCAAGGTGGCCATAGGGTTAGTTCCTTCTGGAGGCTCTGAAAGAGAAATCATCTCCCAGCTGCTCTCCTGGCTTCTAGCAGATCCCAGCAATTCTTGGTGTTCCTTGGCTATAGCTACATTACTCCAATCTGCGTCAGTCTTCATATGCCCTTCTTCCCTCTGTGTGTGTGTGTGTGTGTGTGTGTGTGTGTGTGTGTATGTGTTTGTGTGTTTCCCTTAAAAGGACACCAGTCATTTGATTTAGGGCCCTCCCTAACCCAGTATGACCTCATCTTAACTTGATTACATCTGCAAAGACCCTATTTCCAAATAAGGTCACATTCACGGTACTGGGGTTAGGACTTAAACATGTCATTTGTAGGGACACAATTCAACCCAACGCCCCCTTGGAGACCTGTACTTACCATGTTAGTCACACACCACACTCAATTCATTACACTATGAAGAGCCTATATAATGGGACTTCAGACTGGCTTCTTGTTTCAGCCATCTCACTAATTATTTTAATGATTTTTAGCTCTGCAATAACTCAGTTTCTTCATCAGTTATATGGAAATAAAAATACTTGCTTTGTCTACAAGGTTAACATGCAATGCCACTGAAATAATGTAGATGACACAGCCTTGAAAAACATAAAGCTTTTTTAAGAAGTGAGACCTTTTGGAATTCCTCTCCTTCTTCAACAGCATCCTCATTATTCACCTCGGATTTTTGAATTTTTAACCATGAAAAGGAAAATAGGAATGAGCTTGGGTAGCTGGGAACAGTAAGTAGAGACAAGTGAGCATTCAACCTATTTTCTGCTTGCAGAGGGTACCCCAAAGACAGGTCAGGGGGAAGCAGGAGAGGGGCTGGAGCATTATCAATTGGACCAGGGCTGGGCTCAAAGGAAATGGTCCTGAGATGGCAGGCTGATGGGCCACCAGGCAAGCCACCAGGCACTTCACAAGCTGCAACTTCAAATACAATCTACGTTCTCCAAATTTTATCTTTCGTATTTACCTGGACCTCACAGCCTTGCTATCATTCTTTAGGGGTTCTAAAAACACAAACTGTTTAAAACGTAAGAAAAATACAGTAAGCAATGTAATAAAAGCACTTGTTATTCCTACTCAGATTTAACATAGGATAATATTTTGCCACATTGAACCCAAATCCTTTTTAAGAAACAAAGCATAAAATACAATGAAGTCTTCGCTTTGTGATGCCAGTTCCCTCCCCCATTCCCATTGTTTTGAAGTTGGTGTGTATCCTCCTGTGGTTTTGATACGTTTCTGCATATGCAGGTAGCCATATTAAAAATATTTAATGTCATTCCCTGCATTTTAAAATTTTCATAAAAGCATCATTCTGTATATACACTGCACTTGCTTTTTTTACTCAGCATGACTTTGAGATTTATCCCTGTTGCTACATATAAATCTAGTTTATTCATTTTAACTACTAAATGTTATTACATTATATGAATAAACCACAGTTCATTTTTCTATTCCCCTACTGTGGAACAATTAGACTGTTTCTAATTTCTTTAATATTATAACCAATGCTTCAGTGAACAAACTTTTGCATTCCTCTTCATGCCTGTGTATGAGAGTTTCTCTAGATCTATCCATAACCAATAACCATACAAGTACTGGGCTGTAGGGTATTCACATCTTCAACTTCACATAAGTTTTAAGCTTTAATATAATTGGAGTTAATCAGTTTATTCAATATGTTTTGAGCTTTGGTGTCTAATTTAGGAAATACTCGTCTCCACTTAAGGTCCTAGAAATAATATCATATCCTCTTCACTTGTTTACATTTAAGCCTTTAATTCACCTGAAATTAATTTTTGTGTATGGTATGAAGTAGGAATCTAATTTTGTGCTTTTTCATATGTATGGCTGGTTGTCCAGAACCATTCTTCAAAGGGTCCATTCCTTCTGCATTTATTCATAACCCATCCTGCTGGTATAGCCATTCCTCCAAATGGTGGAGGCTAATCGTCAGCTCTTTGTACTTTCTAAATTCTTCAAAATTCTCTCCTGCCTGTTCTTGGCTAAGTACTTTCTTAAGGAAAAATTTTAACTGGGTGAGTCAAAGCTGTCAACTTAAAGGAGCAACATATTTGATGGAAGAAGTTTAACTAAAAACCTGTTAGTACCTTTTGTTAGTGAGCAGAAGGCAGGCTTAGAAAGAGTCTGAACATAAGAGACCTTCAGATAGGGAAAGGAAGCAGTGAGTCTTGACTGGTGTGGCCCAGGTCAGGGAAGACCTGAGGTGGGACATTCTGGAGGGCTAGATACTTGAGGAAAGTGGAGGCAGGATGCCCCATTCTGCACCTTTCACGGCTTGCTGCAGGGAACCCCTGCACTACTGGGTCTCTAAGCCTCAGATTCCTAATATGTAAAATGGGTATAACAATACCATCCTTCCCATGCTGTTTTCTAGAAGATAGAAATGATGCACCTAACATCACACCTAACACACACTAAGGGAGCACTTAATGAAGAGTAGCTATACTTGTTATCACTATCAATTATCATTGGTTTATCCAGATTCATTCAATAATACTGGCAATCCTCAATTTCCTGGAACAAACTTTTAAGCATCAGTTCAAATGCATTTTACCATTGTGTTGGATGTCTCCAAAAAGGGCTGTGTATTAGTCCGTTTTCACACTGCTATAAAGAAATAACTGAGACTGGGTAATTTAGAAAGGAAAAAGGTTTAATTGATTCACAGTTCTGCATGGCTGGGGAGGCCTCAGGAAACTTACAATCATGGCAGAAGGTGAAGGAGGCACAAGGCATGTCTTATATGGCAGCAGAAAAGAGAGGGAGAGAGTGGGGAAGTGCCACGCACTTATCAAACAACCAGATCTCACTCACTGCAAGTCCCTCCCTTGACACATGGGGATTACAATTCCAGCTGAGATTTTGTCAGAGGCGTGTGAACCAGAGCAATTCCATCTTGAATAGGATGGAGGCTGAGATTTACTGGGCTGCATTCCCAGATGGTTAAGGCATTCTAAGTCACAGGATGAGACAGGAGGTTGGCACTAGATAGAGGTTGGCACAAGATACAGGTCATAAAGACCTTGCTGATAAAACAGGTTGCAGTAAAGAAGCAGGCCAAAACCCACCAAAACCAAGATGGCGACAAGAGTGACCCCTGGTCATCCTTTCTCACTGCTATCCCACCAGCACCACAACAGTTTACAGATGCCATGGCAAAGTCAGGAAATTATCCTATATGGTCTAAAAGGGGGAGGCATGAATAATCTATCCCTTGTTTAGCATATCATCAAGAAATAACCATAAAAATGGGCAACCAGCAGCCCTAGAAGCTGCTCTATGGAATAGCCATAATTTTATTCCTATACTTTCCTAATAAACTTGATTTCACTTTACTGTATGGACTCACCCTGAATCCTTTCTTGTGCAAGATCCAAGAACCCTATCTTGGGATCTGGATTGGGACCACTTTCCTGTAACAATTTGGGTGGAGACACAGAGCTAAACCATATCAGGCTGCCATCAATTCCTCCCCCACCTCATTGTGCATGCTGCTTCTGCCACCAAGAGGTGAAGTTGGTTCCTCTTTCCTTTGAATCTGGGCTGGATTTGTCACTTGCATTGGCCAACAAAATATGGACAAAGTGACCCTATGCTAGTCCTGGACCACCCCTTAAGAGTTTAAGAAGCCTGGCATTTATTTTTCCTCTTAGAGCCCAGCAACCACACTGTAAGGAAGTGCAGGCTATCCTCTGGAGATGAGAGGACCTGGAGGATGAGACCTATGTGGAGAGGCAGATACATGGAGGAAAACAGAGGTGCCCAGTGGACAGTCAGCACCAGGTCCCAGATATGTGAGAGAGACCTTCAGGGACCCTCTAGCCCAGTCCATCTGCCAGCTGAATGAAGCTGTAAGAGAGCCCAAACAGCACCACATCTGGCTGAAGAACTGCCTGGCCAACCCACAAAATTTAGGAAGATAATGAATTGCTGTTGTTTCAAGACACTAAATTTTGGGGTGCTTTGTTACCCAAAAGTAGATAACAGAAATAATCATAGATACGACAGCTCAAATATGATGGTTGTATTGTTCTAATACTAGCAGGAATGGCTGTTTAATCCATAAACATGATACATTTGCAATGAGAAATAATAGAAAATTCTACATACTGATGCAGAATGCCTAGAAAATCCAAGAGGGCCTGGGTAATGACATGCAAATGAAGACAAGAATTCCTCATCAGAATCAGACAAACTAGAAAAGTGCTCACAGTCTACCTGAATTCTTATTCTTTACCCTGGGACAATCTGGTTTTTTGTTTTGTTTTTTTTTAAAGAAAAGAGAGAAAGTATCATTTTTAAAAAGAAAAAAAACCCTTCAGTTCCAATCACTTTTCAAACTTAAGCAGAACGACTTTCACAGCTTCAGTCAAGTTTGTCAAAAAGTAATTTTCTACCTAATTTACTTTCACAGACCTTCTCAGAGGCCGGAGGAAAAATTCCTTTCTGACAAGGGTGAGAATGGAACTCACATTTCCTCCAAGGTTTCCTTCCCTCTGGCTACTTTGCACGTGTCAGGGGCACCAAGGACAGGCTCTGCTTAACCCAGCAGGCAGCCTGGAGGCAGAAAGTGTTGTGAATCCCTCAGCAGCAGGGCCAGGAACTTGCTTGCAATTCTCTGCCATGGCTGATCTGTTAGCCCCAGAATTGTGGTCAATTGGAAAGTGAAAACCTGGTTTCTTGGGGCTGTTCTACAGCTAAGAGTATGAGGAAATCCAGTGTGGCTTCTTGTTTACACAGGGGTCAAATAGAGGTGGAACAAACTGAAAACCAATTTTACTCCACTGTTCCTAAGTAATTTATGACAATGTGGACAGATAGAAATCTTCCCAGAAAAGAAAAGCAGACAGGTAAATTACTGTGGCTTTTTAAGTGATCTGTAGTATTTTTGCTTATCTTCTCTCTTTTTTCTTAAGCTGCTCCTTTGCCTCATTATTTCTGCATATAAATGAGAAGATTTTGTATTAGTGAATGGTCCTGAAGGACGACACCATTTCCCAAGCACAGACATCTCTGTGTTTGGTGTGCCCACCCCCACCAACTCACCCCAATCTTTTCCTTTGTGCCCTGAATCCAGCTGGGGGGCTGTCATGAAACATTAGTGATATTTAATTACAGGGCCTAATAACAGTGATTGAAATGATCATGCAGAGAATAATTCAGTGTATGTACCAGCACACTCAGACCTTTGCATTGTGCTTTTATTTGCATTCCTGGACTCACTTGTGCTTGCCATGTGCTGTGGGAAAAAGTTAAGGAGGTGGCCAAATCCCCTTGTAACCTCTGCAATTAACTTGTACAAAATATGGGCAGTTTTGACATAGTGGAGAGTACATGATCTTCGGCAGACTCTAAATGCACACTGACCATAGGGAAGCCTGCTAAGTCCAGAGTTCAGCTTTGCCACAAAGAGGAAACTGGAGGAGAGAATACCATGGTTGAGAGGGAGAGGATGGGCCTCCTGAACTACATTGGTTCAGCACCTGTTATGGACTGGGCTAGAACTTTATACATCTACATTTTCTCCATTAATTCTCCCACAAGCTCCGTGTGTTAAGTATTCCTATCACTCTGTTATTGATGGTTACTTCTCCTCCACCTCAAACAGTCTCCTCTCTAACCAGCCCTAGCTCTCTCCTAGTTACCTCCTACTAACCCTTGTGAAAGGAAAATAAATCCTGGGGCTCCAAAATCACTAAGTGAAAGGGAAAAGTCAAGCTGGGAACTGCTTAGGGCAAACCTGCCTCCCATTCTATTCAAAGTTACCCCTCTGCTCATGAAGATAAATGCATATCTGATTGCCTCCTTTGGAGAGGCTAATCAGAAACTCAAAAGAATGTAACCATTTGTCTCTTATCTATTTATGACCTGGAAGCCCCCTCCCCTGCTTCAATCCCGCCTTTGCTTCGAGTTGTCCCACCTTTTCCGAACCAAACCAATGCTTATCGTACATGTGTTGATTGATGTCTCATGTCTCCCTAAAACATATAAAACTAAACTGTGCACTAACCACCTTGGGCACATGTCGTCAGGACCTCCTGAGGCAATGTCACTGGCGTGTGTCCTCAACCTTGGCAAATTAAACTTTCTGAATTAACTGAGACCTGTCGCAGACATTTCAGGTTCACACTCATTAGGACTCATTCAGTTATTACCCAGTTCCTCTGAGAACGTTTCCCTTACCCTCCCCTGGGCCTCAGCTCCCACAGCCGCCTGCGATGACAGCTGGTATGCTATGCTATGCGGTAATTAGTTGTTTACTTTTCTGACAGCCTCCACTAGACTCCAAGAGGGAGAAATTTCATCTTACTCATTTTCGTGTCTCTCAAACTTAGCACAGTGCCTGGCATGTGATCTGTGCTCCGTTAAAATTTGTAGAATGAACTGAGTAAACTGCTCATAGGGATACAGTTAGCTTCCGCTTCCGTTTAGGTCTATTTGGCTCCAAAGCCTTATCACAAAAGTTTCTATTGAAGACTTTTTATTAAGTAGACATAGTATTCAGAGCACTGTTTCAGCAAAAAAAAAAAAAAAAAAAAAAAAAAAAAAAAAAAAAAAAGAGAGAGAGAAGAAAACTCATTATCCAAGTTTAAATTGATGTTAGAGGTCAGGGAGAATCTCCTGGCATTCTCCAAGAAAAGGCATTGAGTGATATGTTGCTGGTTGAGTACGAGGGTGAGTGCTGCAGCGCTGTGTAGAATGTATTAGTTGTTTGTAAATACTAGAGTAATTCTGCCCCCTTTCCAATCCTTCTGTGGCCCATGGGGTCACTGGGAGCAGAGGACAATAGCGTCTCCTGCTGCCTTTCCTAAGAGTACAATTTCAGAATATCTGGAAGAATACCCAGCCGAAGGATTTAATCTTGTCCCCCAAAGTAAAAACTAAACAAATAACTTTAATTTTCAAGCTTTGGCAAGGTATTCCAAGTATCCAACTGGTGGCCTTTAATTTATAGATGGCCAAAATTGACACCTTTTTTTTTTTTTCACTAAGGTGGCACAGGAAAAGAAACGTTTTAAAGAGATTGACAAAACTCTGCATAGCAATATAATATTCTACTTCTATCACGGGCAAGAGCATTTTAGTGGACCATATTTTAATTATAAATATGTTTCATTTCATCAGTATGGATTTAGACTGTAGTGTGTGTGTGTGTGTGTGTGTGTGTGTGTGTATTGTGAGGGTGTCCAAGTGAACTAATAGCTATATAGAGGATCACCAAGAAGGATGAGGAGCCCTATATGCACTTTATCCCAGCTAAAAGATCATGGAGGAAATAGTTAAAGCCCATCCTAAACTATTCTGCTAAAATCTGGACTAGTGTATATACAGGCATACCTCATAAATATTGCATGTACAGATCCAGATCACTGCAAAAAAAGCAATTATCATAATAAAGTGAGTAACATGAATTTTTTGGTGTTCCAGTATATATAGAAGATATGTTTATACTATGCTGTACTCTATTAATTGCGCAATTGTGTGTATCATTATGTCTATAAAAACAATATACATACCTTAATTTTAAAATGCTTTCTTACTAAAAAGTGCAAAGGATCATCTGAGCCTTCAGTGAGTCATAATCTTTTTGCTGGTGGAGAGTCTTGCCTGGATGTTGATGGCTGCTGACTGATCAGGGTGGTAGTTGCTGAAGGTTGGGGAGGTTGTGGCAATTTCTTAACATAACAATGATATTTGCCACATCAATTGACTCTTCCTTTCATGAAAGATTTCTCTGTAACATGTGATGCTATTAGGTAGCATTGTACCCACAGTGGCACTGCTTTCAAAATTTCACTCAGTCCTCTCAAATCCTGCCACTGCTTTAGCAACTAAGTTTATGTAATATTCTAAACCCTTTGCTGTCCTTTCAATAGTGTTCACAGCATCTTCACCAGGGGTACATTCTATCTCAGTAAACCACTTTCTTTGTTTAATCTATAAAAAGCAATTCCTCATCAATTCAACTTTCATCATGAGAGTGCAGCAATCCAGTCACATTTTTCAGGCTCCACTTCTAATTCTAGTTTTCTTGCTATTTCCATCACATCTGCAGTTATTTCCTCCACTAAAGTCTTGAGCCCCTCCAAGTCACTCATGAGGATCTGGGTTATCAGTAAAATAATTTTATTTATTTATTCATTTATTGTATTCTTTTTTAGGGACAGGGTCTCATTCTGTTGCCCAGGCTGGAGTACAGTGGTGCAATGATGGCTCACTGCAGTCCTGACCTTCCAAACTCAAGTGATCCTCCCACCTCAGCCTCCTGAGTAGTTGGGACTACAGGTGCAACATCACCACACCTGGCTAATTTCTGTATTTTTTCTAGAGACAGGATCTCACCATGTTGCCCAGGCTGGTCTTGAGCTCCTGAGCTGAAGCAATCCTCCTGCCTCAGCCTCCAAAAGTGTGCGGATTACAGGAATGAGCCACCATGCCTCGCTAGTAAAATAACTTGTAAAAAGTCATCCATGAAGATTGGAATCAACTTCTTCCTAACTCCTATTAGTGTTAATATTTCAACCTCCTCCTATGAATCATGAATGTTCTGAATGGTGAATCCTTTCCAGAAAGTTTTCAATCTATTTTGCCCCAATCCATCAGAGTAATCACTATCTATGGCAAGTATATAGCCTTACAAAATGTATTTCTGAAATGATAAAACTTAAATGTTAAAATTATTCTTTGATCCATGGATATTGTGTTATCAGGCATGAAAACAACATTAATCTCCTTGTACATCTCCATCAGAGCTCTTGGGTGACTAGGTGCATTGTCAATAAGCACTAACATTTTGAAAGGAATCTTTTTCTCTGAGCAGTAAGTATCATCAACGGTGGACTTAAAATATTCAGTAAACCATGCTGTACACAAATGTGTCATCATCAGGCTTTGTTGTTCCATTTATAGAGCACAGGCAGTAGATTTAGCATAATTCTTAAGGGCCCTAGGATTTTTAGAATGCTAAATAAGCACTGGCTTCAACTTAGAGTAGGTGCACTAGTCCCTAACAAGAGAGTCAGCCTGTCCTTTGAGAGTCAGGCCTTGACATCCTCTCTAGCTAAGAAAATTCTAGATGGTATCTTCTTCCAATGGAAGGGTGTTTCATCTACATTGAAAATGTGTTGATGGCATAGGAAAAAGAAATAATGCTGACTATTAGTGACTCCTGGGTTTTGGAAATCTGTGCTATGCATAGGATATTGAAGTTGAGCTTGAGTCTGTGAAAGGAAAATAAATCTTGGGACCCCAAAATCATTCAGCCAAAGGGAAAAGTCAAGCTGGGAACTGCAGGCAAACCTGCCTCTCATTCTATTCCCAAATAAGATAGGTACAAAGATTAAAAAGCTACATACCTCCATCACAATTTACCTACAAAGAAATTACTTGTGGACAAAGGACAGGCAGAACTCAAAGTCATTCTTGTGCTCACGTGAGACAAATGCATCTCTGATTTCTTCCTTTGCCCTATTTCACTAAGCCAGACTAATGCATAAGTGATGATTCCTGTAAATTGGACATTGGGTGAAAAGCTAATAAGAAACTCAAAAGAATGCAATCGTTCGTCTCTTATCTAACTATGACCTGGAAGCTCCTTCCCCTCTTCGAGTTGTCCCTCCTTTCCAGACCGAACCAATGTACATCTTACATATATTGACTGATGTCTCATGTCTCCCTGAAATGTATAAAACCAAGCTGTGTGCCAACCACCTTGGGCACATGTCATCAGGACCTCCCAAGGCTGTGTCATGGGCGAGTTCTTAACTTTGGCAAAATAAACTTTCTAAATCAATTGTGACCTGTCTCAGATACCTCTTAGTTTACAATTCAGTCCTCCATTTTAAGAGCCCAAGCCAGTAGAACTCTCTGGAATGATGGAAATGTCCTATATTTGCACTGTCCAGAACAATAATATGATATTTGAAAAATATTTTTGGTCTTTGAACCTGTTTCCTGGCATGCAACTCCTAAAATTCTTAGAAACTCCAAAGTTACGCCTTTTTGTATGCTAATAATTGATTGATGGCTGTCAGCCCCTAGGTAGCTTCAGGATAGAGGCTGATCCTGGAAAGACCAAGGCATGATTGGAGGGTTGGGACTTTCAGTCCATCCCACAACCTCTGAAGAGGAGCTGAAGGTTAAGTTAATTACCAATGGCCAATGGTTTATTAAATTATGTTTATGTAATAAAGCCTCCATAAAACCCCAAAAGAAGAGGGTTCAAGGAGCTTTTGGATAGCTGAACACATGGAGTTTCCTGGAGGGTGGTGTGCCTGTGGAGAGCATGAAACCTCCTTGCCCCTTCCCCCATACCTCATCCTATGCATCTCTTCATCTGTATCTTCTGTAATATCCTTTATAATAAACCAGTAAACATAAGTGATTCCCTGAGTTCTATGAGCCACTCTAGCAAATTAATGTAACCCAAAGAGGGTGTCCTGGGAACCCCAACTTGAAGACCATTGGTCAGAAGTTCCTGAGGCCTGGAGTTGTGATCTGTGGGAAGTGGGGCGCCGTCCTGTGGGACTAAGCCCTCAATATATGGTTTTTGAGGCTATCTCCCAGGTAGAACGCATCAGGATTGAACTGGAGGATACCCAGCTGGTGTCCACTGCAAAATTAATTGCTTGCTTAAGTATGTGAGGAAAAACCCCCATACATTTGGTCATAGAGGTCTTCTGTATTGATTGTTGTTGGTAGTGTGAAAGCAGAGGAAAACACTTTGAGTTTGAGTGTGTTTCCTATTAGAAGTAGCCACTAGCCACATGTGGATATAGAGCACTTAACATGTGGCTAGTGTGACTGAGAAACCAAATTTTTCAAATTAATGTTTATTACTTTAAATTTAAATTTAAATAACCACATGTGGCTAGTGGCTGCCATATTGGTTCAGCACAGGATTCTAGACAATCAAGTCAGGCAAACTTGAATTCAAATCCCAAATCTGTGTGACCTTACTTCTCTGAGCCCCAGTACCCTAAAATGGACATAACAAGATTTACTTCTAACCACATCAAGAAGGGAAGTTTCTGGAAGAAATATCATCACCCAACACTGAGAACTGTCTCTCTTTCGGGAGAGAGAATCTGATTTGCTATGTTCAGCCACTGCTTTGCCCACCCCATGCCCCCAATTCCTGGTGCAATCTATAGTGACAGCAGAACTGGCCTCACCACAGTGGAAACATGGCCACACAGCAGGGAGAAAGGGGAGACATGACTGATGCTGGTTTATCCTTAAGTAATGTCTCCCACATTCTTTATATTTTAGGAGTTCTTGTAAGCTGTCTTCAGTGTTTTTTGGAAAAAGATGGGAGAGAGGGAGATGGCAGGAGAGGCTAGGGATCTCAGGGAGCAAGGATGCAATTATCAAACAAACATTTCTCGAGTACCTACAACACAAAACTATGTAAGACACGATTATAATACAGTAAGCCCAAAGAAACTTTAGCCTCAGTGTCAACTTTGGCTCCAGTTGCCAACACCTGCTCTTCAGCTTTTAGATTCTCAGGCCTGTGTGATGAAAGCCAGTGTTCAGAGCAATGACCCAGACACTCCAAGAGCTTCCATCACCACTGAAAGATGAACTAACATGTTCCTGGAACTGTCTGAGGACAAGAAAATAGACTTGCTCATTTGGAAATATTTTCAACAAGATATGGACAAAAGAGCCCTCATAGCTAATTTTAAGTTAATCTTTATCTTTCAGTAAACAGAACACTCCATTCCCCATCAAAGCCCTCACTGTAAAAAATTTGTGTCGGCGAGAGTTGATAAGTAAAAAGAGATCAGAGAGAAAACAAACAACCCTGGAGAAGTATCATTTGGTGGTAGATGATCAGATTATTTCTGGCTTGCATGATCTGCATGTACCTGCAAAACTATGCAAAAGATACGACAAACACAAAACTAAGGGAAACACAAAACTAAGCCTACTATTTTTACACATCTGAGGGAGGAACTTCAGGAAAATCCTACAGGGGCCACCGCAGAGTAATTATGATAGTTAACACAGCAGGCACCACTGTTAGGCACTTAGTATATAGTAACTTATTTAAATAAGATACATATATATATGCATATACATATATACACATACATATACATATATACACATACATATACATATATATGTATGTGTCTTGTATATAATTCTGAAAGGTAGAGATTATCATCACTCCCACTTTACAGATGAGGAAACAGAGTTAATGAGTGAAGAAAACCTTTGGTTTACATGACACTATCTATTTTTAAAGAATTTTTGGTGGCCTAATAAGTCAATGTCTAAAGAGCCAAATATAAAGTTGAAAATAAACTAACATTCAGTAGTTGTCCAGACACCCAACCCAGATAGTTCTGGCTCAGAAATGGATTTTGGAGGGTCCAAATTAGTCATTCATCCAAGCAGGTGTTAATTCTGCAATTTTTAGAACTGCGGGTGTCTCTACGGAATCTACAATTTAAATTAGCAACAACCTCCACCCCAAATCATACATTAAGGTGACAACCACTTATAAAAGTCACTAAGATGTCCAACTTCTCAACTTTTGAGTTCAGTTGTGGAACTCAGCCAAGAGGCTTTTTAACTCAAGCACAGACACAGTGGGATGGCATAATTGCATTGAGTCAAGATCAAATTTGACAACAGGGAAGTCATCTATTAAAGAAAATCACTCAAAGAGCACACAGAATTGCTCGTTAAAAGTGATCATAAACCATGGTACAAATATTGATGTTTATTAACATTTTTATTATGGCCATTTTAAATGGATAGCTTAGCAGACTATTCATTTATCTGTTCTGTGGGCCCCTAACTTGGCTCTAATGAGTTTGCCTTATAACATTACTGAAATCAGACCATGCTGTAAAAGCCAGAGCTGAGCAGCCCTGTGGGGGTTTCTCAGCAAAATCAACAATGGACATATACCGTGTTATTGGAAAGGGACAGTGCCATGTAGAATGGCAGAACGAATGAAGTCACCATTGGCAAGAATATAAAATTAGGTAGTTTTGGAACAACAGGAAAGGAGAAAGCATTTACATTTTCTGTTTTGCAGTCACCATTGTGGGTGACACTCTGTCCTCTGCATTCCTTTTTCTTTCTAGTTTAACTTTTCCTCCTCTTGGCCCTAGAGGACTTTTCTCCAGGCTCTTTGAACAGAATAAAACATCCCTTCTATTCCTCTGCCCACTAACCTCTGGGCATGTATGCACTTCTCTCCCTCCCCTTTCTCCTCACCACACTGCATCTGTCTGTTTCAGCATTATCTTGCTTCGCTATGATCTGGGCCACAAGGACAGAAAGCCAATGTCTCTGGCAGGAGAGCAGGTGGGCAGGGCTCTCTTGACTGATGCCAGGCCCCACCTGCACATGCTGTGTGTTCCTGCCTATCCATATTCCCATTCTGGGTGCTCACCAGAGCTCTGCATACCCCTTTTGTGAACAGCTGGCAGGGTCATCATCGGAGCAGCTATGACAGTCATGGAAGTTCTCAAGTAGTATAAAAGGGAAAATTAAAAGTTAGATTTTAAGGCATGCGTAAAGGAGAATGGGATATTCTGAAAAGGGGTTTTGGAGACTAGAACATTTAAAATACAGTTAAAAATATAAGAAACTAGTTACAGTGGTTGCTTCTGGGGAGAGGGACCTGAAGACTGGGACAAAGTGGAAGGATGACTTCCTTTTAATTGTACTTAATCCTTTTGCAGGTTTTGGATGTTGTATCATGTGTATTTTTTTAAATCAGGCTTTAATGGACATTGGGGGTCATCTAGTTGAAGCTGAGATGTAAGGCATTATTTTTTAAGAAACAGAACCCCTGATAACTGCTCATCTGCCTTTCGCCAGATCTCCCTGAAGTCCTCTCAGATGGAGGCAACCCATTTACCCAGTCCCCATGTTTGCCCAGAGAATTGACACAAGGATGGGCAGCAGGTGGGACTCGTACTCTTCATACTGTGCTCAACTCATTTCTCATGCATCTTCATCTAAAAACTACTCCTTCAATGCTTTTGCCCTCCAGTATTCCACACTTAATAATGTCTACATTTATTGAGTTTTAACTAAATATATAGCATTGCTAAATGCTCTAAATACATAATCTAATTTCTTCCCATTCATAGATGTGAAAGCTGACACTAAGAGAAGTTAAGTGATTCCATGGCTGCTGTGTGCTAACCCTAAGATTCAAATCTAGGTGTATCCAAAACCTACACTCTCAATTCCAGCACAATACTAGCTTTCCTTCCACTCTCTGTTGCTTGCTTCTATTACCTCCTGTCACCCCCACATCCACTGAAGAGTTTTCCATGTGACATGGAATTTCTATCTTCTCCTTACCTCACTGTCACCCTGCCGTTAGGAAAGTGATTAGGCTGTCCTGTCTAATGGTTTTTGTGAATAAGGAAGAGAAGGAAAAAAGGAAGAGTGGAAAAAGGAGATGATAGGAGTGTGTAGTAAGGGAGAAAAAAGAGAGATAGAAAGAAGGCTGAGGGAAAATAAGAAAAGTAATGCAACAAGCACCTGGATAATTTTTAGAGATGTTCTTTCTATGAGTTTAAGAATTCACATGGAAACCCTGGGAGGATGGTAAAGAAGGCCAGGTAGGAAAAGTAGAGGAAGCATAATTAAAACCATTAGGAAAAAAGTAACCATCGGGAATATCCAGACATTACCTCTTTCTCACTCTCTATCACCACCTCCTCCCCCAACACATACACACACACACACACACACACACACACACACACACACAGAGTAAAGCACAGACAAATGTAGATTCCATTGTCGAGGATTCTGCTTCTCTTCTTCCTAGGACCTTGTGCTTTGGCTTTTCATTTCATGGTGTTTTATTTTTATTTATTTTTATTTTTATTTTTTTTTGAGATGGAGTCTCCCTCTGTCGCCTAGGCTGGAGTGCAGTGGCACAATCTCAGCTCACTGCAACCTCCACCTCCCAAGTTCAAGCAGTTCTCCTGCCTCAGCCTCCCTAGTAGCTGGGATTACAGGCAAGTGCCACCATGCCCAGTTAATTTTTGTATTTTTAGTAGAGACCGGGTTCCACCATGTTGGCTGGTCTCCTAAACCATAGTTTCTAATCCTGTGGCTAATGTTAATCCTACAAAGGCAATCTAGTCCTTAGGCAAGAAGGAGGTCTGCTTTGGGAAAGGGCTGTTACCGTCTTTGTTTAAACTATAAACTATAAATTGTTTCTGTCTAAGTTAGTTCAGCTTACGCCCAGGAATAAACAAGGACAGCTTGAAGGTTAAAAGCAAGATGGAGTCGGTTAAGTTAAATCTCTTTCACTGTCTGTTATATTTTTGCAAAGGCAGTTTCACTGGGATCAGGGAAGCTCAGGAGGACAGAGAGAGAAAGAGACATGTCTTAGTCTTCTTGGGCTGCCATAAAAAATTGCCATAGACTGGGTGGCTTAAGCAATACACATTCATTTCTCACAGTCCCGAAGGCTGGGAAGTCTAAGATCAAGGCACCAGCAGATTGGATGTCTGGTGAGGACCTGCTTCTCGGTTTGTTGATGGCTGCCTTCTCACTCTGTGTTCACGTGGCAGAGAGCAGAGAGAGAAAGGAAGTTTCCTTGCATTTCTTCTTATAAGGGCATTGACCTCATTCATGAAGACTCTACCCTCATGATCTCATCTAACCCTAATTAATGCCCAAAGGCCCTATCTTCCAATACTATCACATTGGGGGTTAGGATTTCATCATACACATTTGGAGGAGAGAGGGGAGACACAAACATTCAGGCCATAGCAGGACTTTTTTATTTTTTTTCCCTGAGACAGAGTCTCACTTTGTCACCCAGGCTGGAGTGCAGTGGCACAATCTAGGCTCACTGCAACCTCTGCCTCCTGGGTTCAAGCAATTCTCCTGCCTCAGCCTCCAGAGTAGCTGGGATTATAGGCATGCACCACCACACCTGGCTAATTTTTATATTTTAGTAGAGATGGGGGTCATCATGTTGGACAGGCTGGTCTTGAACTCCTGACCTCAAGTTATCTGCCCGCCTCGGCCTCCCAAAGTACTGGGATTACAGGTGTGAGCCACCATGCCCAGCCAGGACTTTTTTTTTAATTCAAAATTTACAAAGCAATTCTAGAAATAAAAAAGCATATCATCTCTCTCCCCCTACTCCCTGGCTAATTGATGGCCTGAAAGTAAATAACAATTATTGTCCTCCTCTCAGCCATCCCAATAAGCCATCCTACAGTGAAAAACAAAACAAAACAAAAACTACAGCCAGTTTGTGTACTAGGAACAAATAAGTAGAGAGTTCGTGTTTGGTTTTTGAACTCAAAAGTGCTTGCCATAGCCTTACTAAGGGACATGGGCGAGCGCTCACACACACAGACACACACACACACATACACATGCGCACACACACAGACACACACACACACATACACATGCGCGCACACACACACACACACACACACACAAATAGGACAATTATCTAGATAAGTAGACATCTTTGAATCTTTTAAGTTTCCTACAGCCTGTGTCCCAGGCAGAAAAGATGTTTCAAGTTCTGACGGGACTGGTTTGAAAGAGAAACTTTGAAGGATTTAAACAGTTTTCTGAACAAGGCAAAACTCAAACTGTCAAGAAGATTCGCATTACTTTCCTTATTTTCCCTCAGCCTTCTTTCTATTTCTCTTTTTTCTCCCTTGCTACACACTCCAGTCATCTCTTTTTTCCACTCCTCCTTTTTTCCTTCTTCACCAATGCGATTAGACAGGACAGGCAATCATGTTGTTCTGACTGTATCACAGTGTTTGGGGAATTAGAAAAAAATAAATGCCATACCTCATTAGAAGACTGTCAGCCTGGGAAAAAAAATCCAAGTAAGAGTCATGGGAGCAGAATATTTGGAGCTCTCAGGGAGCTCTCAGCTCATAATCAGGGAGATGAGAAGAGCTGCCTCTTCAGGGGATGATTTTACTTAATTAGCTGGGTTGATGGTAACAGGTATTCAAATCTTTTTACCGATGTTTGCACCATAAGCATGGGGCCAACCCTATAGCAGTTCCCAATAAATATTACCTCATTAGCATATTTTGGCAGAACATAAAAGCAAGGTCTGAAACATTATGCCACTGGCTTGCAAGCCACCGTGAACCCTTTTGTCAGAGACAATGGTAGCAACAAGCACCTGAATAATTTTTAGAGATGTCCTTTCTAAGAATTTGAGCATCCACATGGAAATCCCAGGGGGATGGTAAAGAGCCCTAAATTAGGAATCAGGCAAAGCAAATAACAAGTACTGTGTGCCACACATGTGCTGAGGAAGCTTGCAGATTCTGCCCTGGAAGCGCTGAAGTCGGCTGATGAGATAAAAAGTAAAGAAAAAATAATATACTGGTATAAATGCAACAATAAGGTTGAGAATATGTATGGAAGAATACACCCCTCTTTGATGAGCAGAAACCCAGAAAGCTAGCAACCTGTAGCCTCCACTTTCTTCTGCCCTAACCAGCTGCATTCTCTTCTCACCTTTTGGTTCCTGTCTGTGGCCCTGGGCCCACCCAAATGCTGACATGACTCCTGCCAAGACAGCTTTATAACAAAGATTCTTCATCTCTGAGAACTCCCAGTCTGCCGTTGACCCTGGTAGCCAGTAGCCCTTTGTGGTTCTCCATGCTCCTCACTTTTAGCGTATTTCAGACCAGAAATGACCATTCATGCCTTAGCCCCTACCTAGAATTTTGGACACCTGACTTCTGTCTGTTCCTGTCCACTGATATCCCACTCTCACAGGTCTTTGGCATACCCACACCTGGTAATTTGCCTCATGCCCAGACCCCAATGCTTCCTACTTTCCCATCCCTCTCCTTGGCCTGGTGGAGTCCTAATCTATGTCTGATTGGGTGGAAGGTGAAGACCCAGTATTCTTGCCCCAGTTAAGTGAGTTACATTATAATAATAAAAGAATGGAAAATGGTAGAATTTCCTCTTGTTATGACTTGTCATCCTTGTCTAGGTGAAATTACCCAATCAGTCCCTGTGATATGGTTTAGCTCTGTGTCCCCACCCAAATCTCATCATGGAATCAGGAATCCCATGATTCCTATGTGCTGTGGGAGGGACCCAGTGGGAGATAACCGAATCACGGGGGCAGTTTCCCCCATAGTGTTCTCATCATGGTAGTGAATAAGTCTCACAAGATCTGATGATTTTATAAGGGGTTTTCCCTTTCTTTTGGCTCTCATTCTCTCTTGCCTGCTGCCATGTAAGACATGCCTTTTGCCTTCCACCATGATTGTGAGGCCGCCCCAGCCACGTGGAACTGTGAGTCCATTAAACCTCTTTTTATTTATAAATTACCCAGTCTTTAGTATGTCTTTATCAGCAGCGTGAAAATGGTTTGTAAGGTTTGGAATCCAGAAAGAGGTCTCCATAGCTTTAAGAGACCAACCAAGAGGTCACCACCATATTAGAGTGATCCTCTTCCTCCTCTTAGTTATAAAATGAATTAACCCCACAGAGGAAGTCAGCAAGTATTATCACTACCTTCAAGAGTGCCAAAAAGTACTGCAGCTAAACCTTTTAATTGTTCAGGAGGTGGTGACGGACTGGGTATATTAAGGTCTGGTTCCTTGTGTGGCTCAAGTCCACATGAGGAAGGAGCAAGGGAGAGCTCACCAAGGGGACAGCCATGCCATCTGCCTTCTCTTTCTTTCTCCTGATCTGTACATCAGATTTGAAAATACTTCTTCCACTTTGCAATGGGGTGCTGAGGAAATATTGTGGGTCTCCCCACTGTACTAGAAGTCCCTAGGATGGAGGCAGCAACTTGCTTATCTCTATACCCCTATGCTTAGGTCAGTGTCTGGCACATAGTGACAGCATGATTAGTGCTTAGTGAACAAATTAATAGGCCTGTGTTTCACTCTGTTTTGAATCTACCAATTAAATATTCTTTCAGTTAATACTTCTTGAATTGAATTCAGTTATTAATAGAGATTAGGGGGCCCTTTCTGAAATGTTGGCTTAGGAGACCCAAAATTTTTAATTAAAGTACCAAGTCTCCTTCTATTTAGGCAGCACATAATCTTTGGCAAAAAAAAAAAAAAATAATTAATTCAGATCCAACCTAATCTAGATTGTAAGGATTCCTTTCTTAAGGTTGATGTCATTGAACTGTGACCTTCAGAGATTAGTCTGGCATTTTGAAGTTGGAGCCTCAGGTTCAACTAAGGTTCAGAGCAATCCAGTGAATGAAATTGACTAATAATTTTTCATTTGGACAAATTTCAAACATTCATGTAAAAATTATATGGTGTTTTCTTCACACACGGCAGGAATACTAATGGAAAAGAAGGTGCAAGCATCTCTCTCTCTCTCTCTCTCTCTCTCGTAATTCTGAAGCACTTAATTGGAATCTTGAATAACAGTGATGACTTGGAAATGGCTTTTGGAGCAGAGACAGTGCCTAAGAATTGCTTCGCCTGAACCTGAAATGCATTCACATGTCTACTAACCCAGACAGTTTTGAATAGGCACATGGGACCTACTGAAGATTAGTGGAGCCAGGACCCAATCCAATGGGAAATCTGTTC
The DNA here is from genome assembly GCF_000001405.40 of Homo sapiens. Classification (NCBI taxonomy): domain Eukaryota; kingdom Metazoa; phylum Chordata; class Mammalia; order Primates; family Hominidae; genus Homo; species Homo sapiens. Next base: position 93,638,325 of record NC_000011.10, read on the forward strand.
TATTTTCCTCAAAATACTAATGCATTCTCCCAGAGTTGTACTAATGCATAACTCCTAGGGAGTTAATAAGGCATTTTCTAAACTTCTTAATGATCTCCCAGTCACAAGGCCATTCTCTACACTGTTTGGTCTAAATTATCACATCGTCTTGCCAAGATGTGGCTGGTTCCTAGTGCAGACTGGCTCGAGGTGGAACTGGAAAGATGTCCGCATTTGTGTTTGTGGCCCAATTCAATGTTCTGCATCTTCCCCTACCCACTCTGTGCCATGTCCCAAGGCTGATGACCCTTCAGAAACCCCAGGCCTACAGAAGAAAGTTCTTCCCCAATCTCTGCTTTCAGGAAAAGATTGACATGTGAATTCATGTGATTGAATTTTCTGTTCTAAAATGTGTTCTTGCAGAATGAAAGTCTTTGTTCTCTCTAACTTGGGGTGGAGGGATGGAGAGAGATGTGTGTAGGTCGATGTGTGTACATGTATATATATATGTCTACATGGCTAAGGAAGCCCTTGCCCCATACCCTTCAAGCTCAACAAGTGTATTCTAAGCACTTTGCAAAGATAAAACAGTGTAGGGCAGTGACCCTCAACCTTTACTACATATTAGGATTACTGGAGAGGCTTTTGAAACACACCAATGCCTGGGCCTTACTCCAGCCCAGGTAACCAGACTCTCAGCCAATGTTTAGAACTACTGGCACAATGGAACATATCTGGGCATTGGCATTAGCAGATGTGGGTTCAAATCTCAGCTCTGATATTTACGAATGGCACAAACAAGGCCGTGATACTAATACTAATCACACTGCATTATAAAGCAGTAAAATGATCAGCAGGGCACCTTTCTCATAGCAGAGGCTCACTAATTTTGCTTCCTTTACCCCAGTCTGTCAGACATTTAAGCTAGGTGCTAGAAATTACTCACACAAAAAAACAAGTATCATGTCCATATCTGGCTCTATGAACAGATACTTTCCTTTTAAAGAAAAAAAAGTTCCCTAAAACTTCTTCCAGAGTAGTGATTTCTCACCTCTGGATACACATCAGAAGCACTCTCAGAGTCTCAGAGTTAAAAAAAAGAAAAGAAAGAAAAGAAAAGAAAAAAGAAAGGAAAAGAAAAAGAAACAATGCAGATGGATATTGGCTCCACCCCAAAGATTCTGATTTAATTTAATTGACCTCAAATAGGGCAGGCATCAGTATTTTTAAAAGCTTCTAATGTGAGTTCAGGATTGAAAAGATAGTATTCTAGAACAAGGATACACGTACTATTGTGAAAAAAAACAATAAATAAGTGGTCAAAAGATGGGTTTGCCTCCAGCTCTGCCACTGACAGTATGACCTTAGATACATCACATAAATTCTCCAGAATTGAAAATGGAGATAATAGTGTGTGGCTTAAAGAATAGTCATAAGAATGAAATGATATAATGTAAGTGAAAGTGCATTTTAAACCACAAAGCACTGCACAATTTTAGCTCTTATCATTCTGGAGATGATGATGTCTTGGGTTAGCTGCATGATTAGTCTACAATCCTTTCGAGATTGTCCAGTACCTGGGTCTAAGAAGGAGGGTTTGGATATGGGAATACATAAGGATTGATAACTGTCACAAGACTTTGATGACTTTCTCCAAATGGCAAAAGAGAAAGATTTCCTCTGGGTCAAGAATCCATTGAACTTCAAGGCAAATTGAAACAGAAAATTTCTTACCATCCCAAACAATTTATCTGATGGGTAATTAGTTGCTGAGACTGTATTTTTGCAATACAGTTTCTACTTCCCAAATTTGGCTTCCTCCTGATCCTCCAATACTCCCCCACTGACAGGTTTTTGAGGTAGACTGGAATAGTAAATCATTCCAATCACACAGGTCCTGGGTATCGGGTTTAATTTAGCTACCTGTGCAGTAGGATGCTGGGGTATTTTCAAATCTTTAGCCTCCGGCACCATAAATCAGTGTGAATGTCAGCCAAGAAAAGTATTGAGATGTGAGTTAGCCTTGTGTCTACAAATACCGCTCATTATTTCTGTAAGAAGGAGAAAAAAAAATAAATGTTCCATTTAAACCCTACTTGTGGCAGGTCTTAAAAATCAAGAAAGATGAATTGGGGAAGTTTCCTAAAAGCTGCTATGATTTCCCCCTCCCCCTCAGTTTTCAGACCCTCATTGCAGGCTGTAGCCATGTGTCATTCCGAGATTTCTTTAAACAGTGGTTCTCAACCTTGGTCGTGTCATTTGGGAATCTAGGAGAAATCAGAATCTCAGGCCCCACCTCAGACTTGCTGATTTAGAATCTGCATTTTTTTCTTTTTTTTCCTTTTTTTTTTTTTGAGATGGAATCTCTCTCTGTTGCCCAGGCTAGAGTAAAATGGCGTGATCTCGGCTCACTGCAACCTCCACCTCCTAGATTCAAGCAATTCTCATGCCTCAGCCTCCCAAGTAGCTAGGATTACAGGCATACACCACCACACCCTGCTAATTATTTTTGTATTTTTAGTAGAGACAGTGTTTCGCTATGTTGGCCAGGGAGGTCTGGAACCCCTGACTTCAAGTGATCCACCCGCCTTGGCCTCCCAAAGTGCTGAGATTACAGGCATGAGCCACAGCCTAGAATCTGAATTTTAACCTGGATTTCTCAGAGGTGATTCCAAAGCCCATTACAGGCATGAGCCAGCCTAGAATCTGAATTTTAACCTGGATTTCTCAGAGGTGACTCCAAAGCCCATTAAAGTTTGAGAAGCCCTGTCTGACAGAATCATCTCATCAAAGCCTCCCAAACCAATATGGCAGTTATTAAAACAAACTCAGCCAGGAGCCATTACGGGACTAGGTCAGGACCACACAGTTAGTTACTGACAAGCTGAGATGGGTCCCACAGGCCCCAGATCTGCTGGTTTCAAAAGCAGAGCACTTTCCACCTCACAACATTGGCCCTGATGTAGGGTTGTTTGGGTTTTGTTTAAACAATCATTGAGGACACAGTGTCTATAATTTATTTTACATCTTCTGCACAAAGCAGCTTCTCGGGGATTATTCTTCACAGACTAACTGCAGATAGAAGTAAAAGAGAAAAGTTGTAAGAGACACACCATCCAGAAAATGAAGATGATGAAAAAAATTCTACTGATAAGGACCTTGACAAGAAAGCTGGAGAAAGGCTTTAATCTATGGATTTCTGGTAACCCTGGAAACCGGCACCTCTGAAGCACTGGGATAAAAATCCTCAAAGGACTGGGATGAAGATTAGTAACATCATTAGATAGATGGCAGACAGAGCCCTTTGAGAAATAAATCAATACCCATACAGATGCAGAATACCAATATAGGAACCTTCCCCCACCAGGTGATGCCCCGTGGCAAAACACTGTGGCCATGTCCTAGGTATACCAAACATCAGTGGCTTTGACAGATGATGTGGCCCTGCCATCTTGCACTTTCACCCGCCTGATCCAAACTCTAAGCACCAGCAGTCCAGGCCGTGCCAGAGGCTGAAGGAGCAGCACTACATGAAGAAAGATCACTGGATTGGGTATAGAGAAACTAATTAGGTAAGTCACTTAATCCCTCTGTCAGTTTCCACATCCATAAAATGGGGGATAATAAACCTGCACTGCCTCCATCATAGGCTTTTTGAGTATCAACAAAGTTAATCCACGTGAAAGTGCTTGGGAAATCATGAAGGCTGATGATAAATTATAACTAGTGTTACAATGACTAGTTTTTTCCTGACCATGCAGGCATAGACACCTGAGACCCAGATTCACAACTATCTTGAAGAAAAGTGGTACAGGGGCCAGGTGCGGTGCCCCACACCAATAATCCCAGCACTTTGGAAGGCTGAGGCAGGCAGATCACCTAAGGTCAGGAGTTCGAGACCAGCCTGGTCAACATGGCAAAACCCCATCTCTACTAAATACAAAAATTAGCCGGGTATGGTGGCAGGCGCCTGTAATCCCAGCTACTCAGGAGGCTGAGGTGTAAGAATAGCTTGAACCCAGGAGGCAGAGGTTGCAGTGAGCCGAGATTATGCCACTGCACTCCAGCCTGGGGGATAGATCAAGACTCTGTCTCAAAAAAAAAAAAAAAAAAAAAAAAAAAGAGAAGAAAAAAAAAGAAAAAGAAAAAGAAAAGAAAAGTGGTACAGTACTATGCAGAAGCCACCAGCAGCTGGGCTGCTTGAATTGTTTGTCAAGCTGGGTGCTCATAAATACAGGTTATTTAGAAGAGACTAGAAATAAACCAGGGAAGGGCCCCTAACAAAACAACTCCCCTACTGGCAAGCTGCATTGCCTCATATTGCACCATTACGGCAGTCTTTTCTTAGTTGAAGCATTGTCCTTGGGAAGATTTTAAATGCAAATTTTCCTAGGAAGAGTAACATATTGACTGGTTACCAGTCATTTATTCTGAGTTAGTCTATTCACAGATTCCTCAGGTAGTGCTCTTAAACAAGGAAATTAAACGGTAATTTCAATAGTGGGAAAAAGATTTGGGACACTGAGACAGGCCTTGAGAGGCAAATCTGGGTAGTACATGTATTGAGTGGGATGCAAGACGGCAGAGGAGGCACAGTTTCCAAACTCGTGAGATGAACACTAAATAAAGGAGCGGTAAAGACTGCTGAACCAAACTCACTTACACTTTTTCTCAAGGTCTAAAAGGGGAAGAATTGGATCCTGTGCTTCTTTGCCTAATCCAAGTTCCTGTTTGCACTGATTCTTTGTCTTTTCCTCTAGGTAGCAGAGTTTACCTTGATATTGCTCCAAGTAATAGAAAAACAAAGCTAATTTAACATTCTTGATTATTTCTCCTCATATATCACCATTTATCCCAGACAAGTAGCTATCTGCAAGGCTCTCCTAATGGGTTTTTTAAATCAAAAGTTCTTTAAAGTGGGTTGGAAGGCTTTTAATATAAATTAAAAGCCTTCAATATAAATTATTGGACTCATATAATAAGTCCAATATAAATTGGACTTATTATATAAGTCCAATATAAATTATCTATTTTAAGAAAGAAGTACTCGATGTCCAAAAATGATCCTCTTAAGGCCATAGACCTGGGAAATGTTCTAGAACCCTCACTGGTATAACATGCTGCCTCAGTTTCCCCAGGGTGATCAGTGTGGAGAGCAGAAAACAAGGCAATGAGGGTCAGCAAACACCAGATGGACAGCTCACACTACTCAGATGGACCCTAACAAGCTGTGTTCCCAAAGTCTGCACATTTGTGAACCTTTAAGCCAGCCAGCTCATCCATGTCCCAGCTAGCACCTATCAGGGAACACAAACTGCCCAGGGTGTCCATACAGTCCCACTTGATCCCACCCTTGCTCCGAATCCCTGTGCTCCTCAGTTCTGGTGGATTGTAGCCTTACTGGTCTTCCCTTTCATTTATGGCCCTGCTGTCATGCATTGTACTTGACCCCTGAATTTTGATCCCAAATGTGTTCCTCAAAACCCTCGACTCATTGCAGTAGACTAGATTTACTTGCCACCAAATATTCTGATTCTCCTTTCTGTGAGGATTATAGAAGCCTTCCCTGTTGAACTCCAGAGTAGCTAAGGCTGACATGGCCAGTGAAAAGTGAGAAGTGCCACTAGGAACCAGAGCATGGCTTGCCATCTCTTTTCCCCAGGTCTCAACAACAGGGAATGCTTCAGGAAGAGACTGGCCTATCAGCCTGGACTCAGCACAGAGATGTGGAACACAGCTGCAACTGGCCCATGCTGGAAATAGGAGTGAGAAATAAACTTTTATTGTTATAAATATTGATATTTGGGAGTCTCATTCGTTACTACAGCATAACTGATTCACACATCCTTGAATTCCTACCACATACAGCAACTTCATACAGACAGACTGCCAGGTTTGACTCCAGCCCCAACACACCTTGATCTTCAGAGAGGAAAGATAGGCCCAGGGAAAAGCATTGTGATTTTTGATGATTTCAGCACCTGGGTAGTGGTATGTCATGTCCTGAGACCTCTGATTTCATCTTTCTAAGTTAAAACCTTTAACAAAATCTCATCTCAGAACATATAATCCTACTTGATACTAGGGTCACCTTTGAATAAACTAAGCATTATCATATGGGAAGGCCGGGGTGGACTCTCATTACATGGATCTCTTTTAGACCTTATAAAACGAAATCAACCACGTAGCCTTCCCAGGCCATCCTTCTACTCGTTTAGTAAATTACCAAACTCGATACAATACTACAAAATTGAATTTCCAAAAACCCAGCCATAATCATTAGAGGTGTTATTTTTCTATGTCAAATTTTCTTCATGTATGGATTTCATTTCTTCTCTTTATCGCCTTCTCAACAATGTAAATAAGATTGTAAGGTCAGAAGAACGCTGCTCTAGAGTTTGACAACGTAGGTTTAATTATGCCACATTCCCCCATTGTACCCATGGGCATGTTTTTAACTCTCTTGGGGCTTCCCCTCCTCATCTGCAAGTTTGGGATAACTACTCAGAGACTGCCAGTTGCTGTGGGGCGTGTCTGGCACAGAGTAAGTAGGCATTCCAGAACTGCTGGCTTCTCACTGTATTGCATTTTCCAAGCCCAGATTTCCTCCTTATTGATAACAGATAAATTCCAGGGAGATCTATTTTCAGGAGGCATTGCCCCCATTAAGCTAACGTGTTAAAATTGTGTACATGTGTGTTTTTCCTCCTGTCCCTACCCTACTACTCCAGGATGAGCATGGTATCTTGAGGGTGGAGATTGTGATATACTCTCATTTGCCACTTAAGTAGCTACCAAATGGCCTAGAGTGTAACAAATGTTCAATATATATATATATATAAAATGACTGAGTGGACTCAAAATGGTGAGTCTTAGCAAGTAATTTACCACTACTGATCCTTTCCACTTTTCTTTTTTTTTTTTTTTTTTTTTGGAGACAGAGTCTCACTCTGTTTCCCCCAGGCTGGAGTGCAGTGGCACAATCTCAGCTCACTGCAACCTTTGCCTCCCGGGTTCAAGTGATTCTCATGCTTCAGCCCCCCAAGTAGCTGGGATTACAGGCATGTGCCACAATGCTTGGCTAATTTTTGTATTTTCAGCACAGATGGGATTTCACCATGTTGGCCAGGCTGGTCTCGAACTCCTGATCTCAAGTGATCTGCCCACTGCGGCCTCCCAAAGTGCTGGGATTACAGGCATGAGCCGCCGTGCCCAGCCTTCATTCTACTTTCACTTTAGTTCTCTTCCTGTTTGTACATCCTTGTGGTAAGCATCAGATGAAGGCAATAGGAATGTGAGTGTGTGCGTGCATGCATGCGTCTATGTGTGTGTGTACACAGAGCACCCTGAGGTCTTCAGGAGAGGAGTATTGTGTCAAACAAAACATGTTTTAAAAATGTATTTTGTTGAAATAAAATTCAAGAGGAGAGATCCTGCACCTCTGTGGCTAGTCATCGTTCATCCCTTTTTAACTTTGCCATGCCCTTAGAGGTTCAGCACTGAACAGACCCATTCTGCTGTACCGGCTGATTTTTATTGTGTTCAGGGTGTACACAATTTATTAGCAGGAGTTACAGCCACCCAGTGATTTAAATTATACATGAAATCTAATAAAATTTTTAAAAGGTAACCAACATCCCTGTCTGTGTTAAGTTTTGGAAAGTGTGAAAAATAAGCTTTTTGGTTTATTCTCGAATAGATCTGGGTCTTTATCTGGCCTCCTTCATGCTTTCTCCCAAAGCTTGGGATTAGATCCAGAGGTGCCTAGGGGATCTCAATCCAGCACTTGGTAAAAAAAAAAAAAAAAAAAAAACTTTATTACTATCAGTCAAGCTCTCATTTTGAGGTGCTTTGAAAATATAGGGTAGTTCTCTCCCCAAAAGTACTTTTGGTAAATATAATAAAGTGCCAGTGCTTTGCAAATTGTGTTCTGCAGTCACCTCCCTCGAAGTTCCTGGGATGGAAGGGTTAAAATGCTGATTTCTGGGCTCTGCTTCAGATGGGTTGGATCAGAATTTCAGGGAGAAAGCTCAGGAATCAATATTGTTAATAAGCTCCCTAGGTAAATCTTCTATATACTAAATTGCGAGAATCACTGATATATTTGTTATGAATGTGGGTTCTAGACTCAGGTGGAGCCAAGTTTGAATTCTTACTAGCAGATTACTTAACTTCCCTAGACCTCAACACCCACACATCTGAAAAATTACCTTGTAATTTGTTGGAAAGATAAAGTGAAACGAGATTATGCATGTAAAGCAGTGCTTCTCAAACTCTGTGTGCATAGAAATCACCTGGGGATTTTGTTAAAATGCACATTCTGATGCAGTGGATGTGAGTTGGGGCCTGAGATTCTTACTTCTTGTAGCAAGCTTCCTAGTAAAGCCAGTGCTGCTGGTCCTCTATCCACACGTTGGGCAATTAGCAGGCCTACAGTAAGTTTTAATAATCATTAGCTCTTCCATTATTCAGCTTGGTGAAGATGGAAAGAGAGAGTGTGCAGTGATTTTTACGAAACCTTCATCATCCATTGGAATCACATGTGGTGCTTTGAAAAATGCAGATGCCAAGCCAGGTGTGGTGGCACATCTGAGGTGGGAGGATCACTTAAACCAGGAAGCTCAAGACCAGCCTGGGCAACACAGCAAGACCCCGGTCCCTTAAAAAATTTTAAATGAAAAAAATGCAGATGCCTGAACTCCTGTCTCTGAAGATGCTGATTTGGTATCTTCTCGGTGGAGCCCAGGAATCTATGTTTTTAAAGTGCTACAAGTGATCCAGAATAGATAGATGTAAAGTAATAAGTATCTTGGGTAAAACTTATTTTGTAGCCACTGAGAAAGTGTCCAAATGTCCCCCTGGTACAAAACTCTTATTCACCATAATGCCAGTCTAAAACACACTATCTGAGTCATGGCCATCCAAAGAGGAGATAAAAAATTTTTGCCTTAGACCCTAGGCTGCTCTAGAGCCTCTAGCAATTCTAGAGCCAGTCTCCATTGCCCTTCTATCCTTTACTGTGCAAAGGAAGAATGGGTTATAAGAGGCAAACACCATGGGAAATCCAACTCCATCACTTACTAGCTATGGGATCTTGGGCATGACTTTAATTTCCTGTTCCTCAGGTACCTCATCTATAAAATGTGGATAATATCAAACTCACCTACCTCATAAACACATTGTGAGAATAAAATGAATACCCTATAACCTTGCTGCTCAAAATGTGGTCCGTGGACCATCAGTATCAGCATCACCTGAGAGCTTGCTTGATATGCCAAATCTCAGATCTACTAAATAAGAATCTGCATTTTAACAAGATACCTTCCCCACAGTGATCCCTATGCAAAGTTTGCAAAACACCACTTTATAGTATTAAAAAATTATGAGGAAGAGTTATAAGATAAAATAGTCCTTATTCTTTAAGATCTCACAGTCTCATTAAGAAGGGGCAAGCTTTATATTATATGTGAACAATTAGAGAGGGCTACAAAGCCCACAAAATCAAATGATAAATAGTGTCCATACTTTTCCAGAAAACAGAGCAATTTAAAAAACAATAGCAGCAACCACATTGTTTGATCATCTTCCTAGGTCTGATTATAATAATCAGTGCTCTCCAAATGTTCTCGCAATCAAGAAACAAAGAATGATAATACATTGAAGTGGAATTAAAGGATGATGTTGTTCAAAACCAGAGTCAATTGTTTTGGGCACAGCTTCTGAACTTCCTGGCAAATCACCTGGACATCTGTGACAATGCAGATTCTGAAACTCCCAGAAAATGTCCATGCTGCTAGTCCACAAACAGTACTTTGAGGAGTAAGGGTTGGGGATTCAGGCCACCCAGGGCCTCTACCAGCAGCCATGTTTACCAGGAATAAATATGTCAGTACACTTTAACCCATCTGTGGGACAATGGATGGAAAGCGCTACCCTAACTCATCCCATTTATACTGGGACGAGAAAGTATTGTTTCTGCACCTGAGGACATCTTTAGTGCCTGATACACAGGGGGATGAGAGGGAGACAGCTGCCTTAGCTATGCTTATGTATAGCACCACTTAGTGGTGATATATGTCAGCCAATACTGCTGAGGAAACAAGGGAAATTGCTGTTGGATATATGATTCTACTGCCTGAGAAGCCTGTCAGTGTAAACTTTTCTGTTTCTCCAGAACCTGTGGAGTTGTGTTCATTTATGTGTCTCTCCTCGGAGCAGAACCTTGTGAGTGCACAGTTTCCAGGAACTATACGATGTTCTCCCTCTGACACCTGCTTTACGTATAGATGTTTAACAACTGTGCCAGCTCACCCTTCCCTGAACTCCCCAAGTAATTGGCTTCATGTCACTTTGCCTTGGTATAGCATTCCTACTCCCCAGATTCATGGTACTATATGTTTGATGGGTCACGTAGTGCTGTACCACCTCCTTCTACCTACTCATGATATAAAACTTTATCAAGACATTTACCTCCAAGGAAAGAATATGCTTAATAAACATTACCAAGAAAGCCTAAGAAGGCTCAATATTCAAATATTCATTCACATAACTATGTTCTTATTGGAGAAATCAAAAACTACAAGGGAAAAATGAATGATTTTGCATTAAAAATTTACCTTCTTTTTGGCAAAAACACCAAAAATAAGATGAAAAGACAAATGCTAAACTGAAAAAAAAATGGCAATTTAAACAAAGATTTAATGCAGAAAGAACAAGTCAGTACAGGAAATAATTGCAATAGAAAAGTGGACAAAGAATAAAATCTAGGAATTCACACAAATGATATATATAAACGGTCAAGAAATATATACAGAAAAACATTCAAATAATCCTAAAATGTAAATATTTGCCTATCAGACTACTAAAGATGAAAAGTATTGACAAAGTTGATAGGTTTTGTCAATACTTTTTCATCTTTAGTAATCTGATAGGCAAATATTTTCAGTTGGGTCAATAGTACTCTGTTGATGGGAACATAAATGGTTGAATGTGTCAAATATGTCTTTAATATTCATACCCTTGGTGTCAGTAATCCCACTCCTAAAAACCTATCATAAAAAGATAACTACACTAGAAGATGAATATTCATTATTTCATCCAACAGATATTTGCTGAGCTCTTATATGTGCAAGGCATTAGATTAGGAGTTAGGGATATTCTTTACTGGGCCAAGAACAAAATAAGCAAAGAAGCATTCATTATAGTCAAAGGAGACAAATGACAAAAACTGTGTGTGTGTGGTGGGGAGGTGTATGTGTGGGTGGGTGGGTGGGTAGTGGTGGTAGTGCTGGTGGTGAGAATGGTCAGGGCAAGAGAAGATGGAATGTCCTGCTCCTACAGGGTGATTAGGAAAGGGCTCTCTGTTAAGGACACATTTGAGAAGAGACTTTAAGGAACCAGGGAAACAAGACATAGAGATACCCATGAAGAGATGATTCCAAGTGAGGGAACAACAGGTGTGGAGATGGGAGCATGTTGGTGTGTCTAAGGATCAGCAAGGAGGCCGGTGAAACTGGAGCACAGTGAGGGAGGATGGAAACTGAAGCAGGTTGGATGGGGCCGAGGGATAGTGCTCTGAGATAATGCAGGACATTGTCAGCCATAGTAAGACCGTGAGGTTTACTTTCAATGAGACAGGCAGAACCGGAGAGCCCTATGCAGAGCAGTGATGAGCAATGACTTGAATTTGTAAAGACCCTCTGACTTCTTGGTAAGCAGAAAAGCCACTTGGAAGCCATGATAATCCAGATAAGATATGATGGGGGAGAGGACAGCAGAGGTGGCTGAAAGTGGTTGAGTTCCAGATACGTTTTGAAGATAGAGCCATCAGGATTTCCTCACGATACAGATGTGAGTTGTAAAAGAAAGGAGTCAAGGATGATTCTGAGATTTGCACTTGTTAGTATTATATTTATTGAGATGGGGAAGCCCGAGGAAGAAAATTTGGGTGAGGTAGACTCAGAAAAATCAAGGGCTTTCCACTTGTCAAGTTTGAGATGTGTCTTAGACATCTAAGTAGAGATGTTAGGCAAGCAGTTGGGTTATGAATCTGGAGTTCAGGGAAAGGTCTAGGTTGGAGATATATATGTGGGAGTAGAATGCTGGGATTTAGTCCTGAGTCCAGATGAGATCACCTAAGGAACAAATGTAGGTAAGGAACAGAAAAGTTCTGAGAATGGAACCCCACGATAGTCCAAGATTTGGAGGTCAGGAAGATGAGGAGAAACAGACAAAAGGGACTGAAGAGCAGTGGCCAATAAAATAGGAGAGCCTCCTAGAAGGTGGTGTCCTGGAAGGCAAACGAATTCCAACAAGTAATGATCAGGTGTCAAGTGCGGTTCAGAGGTCAAGGAAGATGAAGTTGGAGGACAAACCAAGGGCTTGACAACATGGAGGTCATGGTGACCTTGGCAAGAACTATGTGTGGAGGAATGTGGACAAAACCTGATGGAGTGGGTTTAGGAGAAGCAAGAAAAGATGATGCAAGGCTGATAAGAATAAACAACTCTGTCAAGCATTCCAGGTGTCTAAGGAAACAAGAAAATGGGCTGGAGTTGGAGGTGGAGTGATATCAAAGAAAAAAATTTTTTTTAAAAGATGTAGTCTCATTCTGTTGCCCAGGCTGGAGTGCAGTGGCGCAGTCTCGGCTCACTGCAATCTCTGCCTCCTGGGGTCAAGCAATTCTCCTGCCTCAGCCTCCCAGGTAGCTGGAATTACAGGCATGCACAACCACACAGCTAATTTTTGTGTTTTTTTTAGTAGGGATGGGATTTCACCATGTTGGCCAGGCTGGTCTCAAACTCCTGGCCTCAAATGATCTGCTCGCCTCAGCCTCCCAAAGTGTTGGGATTACAGGTGTGAGCTACTATGCCCGGCCCAAAGAAGATTTTTTTTAACGAGATGGGCGTTATTATCTCATATCTGTTTGCTAAAGAAACAGTATAGCACAGAGAGGAAAAATGGCAAAGGAAAAACAGGGACAACTGTTTGATTAAGGGAGATAGGATGAGATCTAATAAATAAAAGAGAAGATACCTTGGAAAGAAGCAAACACAAAGAATTTATTACACAATTGTTTATAGTGGTAAAAAACCTGAAAATTAATAAAAAGTTTATCAGCAGGTACTGGGTAAGCAATTTAAGGGGTTTAAGTACAAAACAACAAAACATAATCATTAAAACTGTTAGTGAAGATTCTATATTTATTTACATGGTAATGCATGCACAATAAAAAGCAAAACGAAACAAAACAAAAACCAGCATAGTCAAGTCCTGACTAAAAATGATTAAAAGTGCTTTATCTACATAAGATTCGAAGATAGTTTCTGCTTTCTTCTTTATGATATTCCATATTATTTTTTACAATAGACACATATAATATGCTTAAAACTCTTTTCTCTCCTTAGAGCCACTGCCTAAGGCAGGCAGTGCCTCTCGCTGAAGCTCTGTTAGAGGCTTTGAATGGTGACTTAATATCAAGTCCTTTCAAGACTTCCTCCTTAACCTATCTACCACTCCCCACAAACAGCAATACAAATCCCAACTCTGCCACGTATTAGCTGCTTGCTTTCGAGCAATGTATTTAACCTTCACAAGCCTATTCCTTCACCCGTAAAATAATGATTTGAAAAATCTGCCTCAGAAGATTGCTGTGTGGGTCAAGGAAGACAATGTAGGTAAAGTGCCTAGCACAGTGCCTGGCACGTAACAGGTACTGAATACCAGGCTGTTGTTACCTGGGTGTGCTACCCTCGTGCACTAACACATTTCGAGAGGATGACAATGGGGGACCCTGCTCTTGCCAGTAGCAATGCTGCTGCCTTTGCTTTTTCCTATTTCTGGTGATGCTGTTCTCCTCTTGTCTGATGCAGGGGAATTTGTGAGAATAGGAAAAGAAAAAATTTCTGAGTCTTCTCACTCGCCCACAAATATTCCAAAATTTGGCTAATCCGCCCCCTAGTGGCAGACATTATAATTTCTGTCACTTTTTTTCCAACTGGAATTGCAAGAAAATACCCATAAAGGATTCATTTGAGATATTTGCCGCATCTCCTACTACCGGCCTTGTCACTACCATGTAAAGGCAGGACAGTGCCTAAACTGGCCCATTGCTTGCTTCCTTATGTTAAGGCTTTGAATGTCTTTCTTAAAATGCAAACATGCGCCTAGGAAGAGTAGTCTAACTGAATCCTTCAGCCTGAACTAGCTAGCCTGAAGGACGAGATGCAGAGTAGATGAGGGTCAGGAGAGGCCATGAGAGGCTAGCCATAAAGGTGAGTCATCAAGGGGGCCTGTGGCTATCTCAGGGGTGAGGAGCAGAAGGCACAGGTGCCAAAAATGCTTTCCCTGCTCCCTCAAAAATCATAAATGTTTATCTAGGAGTCATACCTTAGAACAGAGATGGATGTCATAAAACTAGAACATAGCTTTTTTTTTTTTTTTTTTTGAGACAGGGTCTCAAAAAGTTGCCGTGCAGTGGCGTGATCATGGCTCACTTCAGCATCTATCTCCTGGGCTCCAGTGATCCTCCCGTCTCAGCCTCTTGAGTAATTGGGACCACAGGCACATGCCACCACACCCAGCTAATTTTTTTTTTATTGTTAGTAGAGATAAGGTTTCACTATGTTGCCCAGGCGGGTCTCAAACTCCTGAGCTCAAGTGATCTGCCTGCCTTGGCTTCCCAAAGTGCTGGGATTACAGATGTGAGCCACTATGCCTGGCCTGGAACCTACCGTTCTTGAAGGAAAGGAATGCAAAATTTCCTAGCCCAAAAGGTGACTCTTTTTAACATGTTAGTATGCATTTGTGCTGGCAAAAAGACCCTTAGATTTTGAGTCAAAAGACCAGGGATTGAGTGCTCCTCTTGTGGTTGACAAGATGAGTAATAACAGGCAAGCTATTTAGCCTTTCTGAGCGTGAATTTTGTCATCTGTAGAATGGGCATGATGGTGGTAATTCTGCTCTCAGTGAAATGTGTATGGTTTTGTTTGTTATTTAGGTCTTCCTGAGATTGGCGTGCCGTGACTAGGGTTGAAGGTGAAAGAGGGACATTTACTGAAAAGGTACACACCTCTTCTGACCTGGGCCTGGCGGCTTGATGACATTAGATTGTGAAGCCCTTAGCTCTTTAATAAAGCTGAGGAGAGAATGTGCAGGATGCATAGATCCCTATCAGAGAGCTTGGGGAAAATCCCAAAAGTGAAATCCCAATAGTGAAGTCTTAGGAGCAAAGATGGGAGGGTAGAGAAAAAGAAAGTGGGGGAAAAGGCAGGGGCAGAATAGAAGCTTGAAACTTGCTAAGTATTACTGGAGATGAGATTTCAAAGAAGTAGGATAAGGGCTTTATCTAACGGAGAAAGGTCAACATGAGCCCAAATGTGGAACCCACAGACATGGTGTGAGGGAGATGGAACATGCTGGAGGGGCCTCCGGGAGCTCCAGAAAAGGTGATTCTGTAATGGGTGGTGCATGACTGAAATGGTGATAAGACCATATGCAACAGATCTGACTTCAGAATTGGGTCATCAGGTGCCACTCAATAGGAACAAGTCAAGTAAAAGAGGGTACACCAGGCACAAAGTTTAATCACACCAGACATATAGTGGAAAAGGCCTCCCTACTAGCCAATGAATTAAAGCCCAGAATTATTTTTTAAGCTAGATCATACTACAATAATCAGGACATGGATCTGAAAAACAGTCTATTATTTGTGAGTACATACATTCTTTCATTTGTTCATCAGATATTTATTGAGGATTACCTATTGTTCTAGCCCCGTAGAGATGCGGTTTCCTTCAAGGTAGAAGGTGTGATTAAAGTTTAGCAGAGAAAGTTCAGGATACCTACAGATCACAGCTGGCTAGAAGAGAAACACATATAGCATAGACCATTGTTCACACAAGAACTCAGTAAATATTTATTGAGTGATATGTTTTGGCTCTGCATCCCCACCCAAATCTCACCTCGAATTGTAATCCCCACATGTTGAGGGAGGGACCTGCAATTCCCATGTGTCGAAGGAGGGACGTGACTGGATCATGGGGGTGGTTTTTCCCATGCTGTGCTCATGATAGTGAGTGAGTTATGGTTTTATAAATGTTTGGAAGTTCCTCCTTCGTGCTTCTCTCTCTCTTCTGCTACCCATGTAAGACTTGCCTGCTTCCCCTTCCACCATGATTATAAGTTTCCTGAGGTCTCCCCAGCCATGCAGACTGTGAATCAATTAAACCTCTTTTCCTTATAAATTACCCCATCTTGGGTATTTCTTAAGAGCAGTGCAAAAAAAGGAATAATACATTGAGTGATTGGGGTGGAGTCAAATACAATGGGGTGAGCAGAAAGGAATGGGAAGGGTATGGACTTTACTGTTAGAAATGTCTGGGTAAAAACCCCAGCTCTGTCACTTGAGCCATGTAATACCAGGCTACTTAAGGACTCAATAAAATGGTAGACATTAGAATTTGTAAGACAACATTTGCCTTGAAAGATGGGTAGCTTTTAGATTTGTGGCTATGAAGGGAAGGGCATTTTTATCTCACTACTTATCAGTGCATACTTAGCTTGATGCTCTCAGGAATCATCCTTTCCATAGACAAGCTCACATTTTAAGCCAGCAGCACAGCAGGCATACTAGGAAGATGTGGGCAACACTTGGAGTCACACAACAGTAATTCCACACTAATAAGAAGCAACTATTCCACCTACTTTGCCCATGCAAAATATTATGATTTTATACTGCGAAATCCTGAGTTGGGAGTCATATGAACAAACGGGGTTGTTTCAAGTACTTCACAATCCTTGCACTAGCTTCAAGAGGAAGTGTTAGGACTTAACTGTGTTCCTCAGGAAACCATATGTTGAAATCTCAAGCCCCAACACCTCTGCATGTGACTTTGTTTGGAAATAGGATCATTGCAGATGTAATTAAAGATGAGATTATACTAGAGTAGAGTGGGCCCCAAACCTAGTATGACTGGTGTCCTTGGAAAAAGGGGAAATTTGGACACATACACACACACACACATACACACACACACACAAACACACACAAACACACCCACACACAGGGAGAACGCCATCTGAAGCTGAAGGCAGATATTGGGATGACGCATCTGCAAGTCAAGGAACTACCAGAAGCTAGGAGGTTTAGAACAGACCCTTCCCTAGAATCTTCAGAGGGAATATGGCCCTGCCAACAGATACTTTGATCTCATACTTCTAGCCTCAAGAATTGTGAGATAATTAACATCTGTTGTTTAAGTTACTCAGTTTGCAGGACTTTGTTATGGCAGCCATAGCAAACTATTAAAGGAAGTCTTTACAGTTTTTAAGAAAGGAGAGAGAGAATGTTTGGGGTAGAAACAAGATACCCTGCCCAAGGAGGGAAAAGCAAAAATGCAAGGAGACAGCTGAAGAAAACGACCCCCAGAGATGAGTGTCTGAGGCTGGATCAGATGTGTAGATAATACTGAGAGGGAGGAAGTTGAAGAGACAAAATTTCCTTTGAACAACAATACATCATAATGACTCTAAGAGATAAGATCTGTACATAGGAGACTTATACTGAAGGGTCTGCTATAATGCAATGAGAAAACTAAGCTTGTGGTTAGGAAATATCACCAATTCACCTGTTGATTCCAAAATGTCCAGTATAGCATCGAGCTTATTTACCTCATATAGGGCTTTGTGTAGAACAGTGTTTCTCAAACTTTCATGTGTATACACATTGCCTGCAGATCTAGTTAAAACACAGATTCTGGTTCAGCAGGTTTGGGGAGAAGCCTCAGAGTCTGCATTCCTAACAAGCTCCCAGGTGATGCCAACACTGCTGGTCCTTGGACCACCCTTTGGGTAGCAAGGGTGTAGGTTACAGTTATGTTCACAGGTAAATGAAAATAATTTTGGACAAAGGGAATGCTAAGTAAACAGAACTGATTGATGTTCTTGTTCTCTGTAAGCTGGATCAGTTCAAGTGAGTCAAATGGCAGTAACAAAGAAATGGTGGTACGGCAGTCACCTGCCCTGAGTCTGGACTGGTGGCTAAATCATAGGAGGATCTTTTATAGTTATTTATATGCTTCTATGTAAGATATTTAGAAATTTTCTATTTGATCTTTACGACGCAAAATTTTAAAATGTAATCTTTACAACTGCTCTATGAGATAGGGTAGGTATTAATATTTCTGGCACACATGGTGCATAATAAATGTTTGGTATTTTTATCCCTATTTTATAAATAGAGATTGAGCTTTGGAGGTTAACTGTTGGTCAAGTAGATGTTCAAACACACATCTTCAAAACTCTTCCCCACCCTACCCAAGCCCCCTCAATGGCTATGTACTTTTTTGGGTTGTATATGATTTCCTTTTTTTTTCTTTTTAACTAGACTTCTCTCTCTCTCTTTAAGCATGAAACTCAAACTCTACCCACTTATGTCTTAACAGGTATTCGTATTTTTGATACACATCATATTAGCAATGTGCTGGGAAAGATTTAAAAGATGGAACAGAGCCAGTGAATTTCCCTATTATCTCCTCTTGCTTCTTACTGTCTTTAAGCAAGTGGCTCAATTCCTTGGCTCAACTCCTACCCTATACCTCTAAAAAATATTTACAGCTTTTAAAAGTTTTTCTCAGCCTATCCTTCCTCTCCTGCCTGGCACTCTTAATTTCACTCCTGGTAGTAGCTCTAAATTATTCTACCGAGACACCGTCACTTGTTAAGCTCCTGTGGTGTGTATATTAGGGAGAAAGAGGGCAGTTAGCATATGGTCAGATGGAAGTTCTTTGATTACTTTTGTTCTTGCAGAGATCCCCCTTTTTTCTGGTGTTTATACATAAGAATTATTGAGGGTTCCTCCCCACTTAAATATCATTTGCTTATATTGGATGTGGATAAAGATGAAACAGTGAAACCGTTGCCATCAGAGAAACATCTTAAACTGTTCAAATCTTAAATGGCTTCAGTTGCATTTTGAAGAGTGGCAGCATTATAAACCAGTGACACTAATGTCATTACTGCTGAGGACAATTCTTCCTCTTGATCACTGGTTACTGAGGTTCATTCTCAATAGGTTAACAATACTAGAAACTAAATACACATACTTCTCCCTAGGCCTAAACTCTACAAAAAGACTGAATTAAAAATCAAACCAGGCCGGGTGTGGTGGCTCATGCCTGTAATCACAGCACTTTGGGAGGCCAAGGTGGGAGGATCACTTGAGTCCAGGAGTTGAAACCAACATGGGCAACAAAGCAATAGCCCATCTCTACTAAAAAAGAAAAAAAAAAATCAAATCCAAAACACCAATAAACACATTTAAGAGTTTGGGTTTTTTTCCCTCTCTTGTATTCTAAAATGAATGTATTAAAATTAAAGCCAAAAAAGGTAACATTTATTGCACATGTTGTGCCAGACATTGTTTCAAGAGCTTTAAACCTCACAAGAACCTGAGTACTTTCACTACATCTCTTTAAGAGATGAGGAAACAGACTTTTAAAGAAGTCCAGTAACTAGCTCAAAGTCACAGAGTTAGCCAGAAATTTAAATCCATTTGGAAGAAATCTATGTAACATTTTTATTTTTCAGACAGGGTCTCACTCAGTTGCCCAAAGTTTACTTACTGCAGTGGCACAATCATAGCTCACTGCAGCCTTGACCTCCTGGGCTCAAGCTATCCTCCCACCTCAGTCTCCCAAGTAGCTAGGACTACAGGTGCACACCACCATACCTGGCTAATTTTTAAATATTTTTGTAGAGATTAAGTCTCCCTATGTTTCCCAGGTTGGTCTCAAACTCCTGGGCTCAAGCAATCCTCCTGCCTCGGCCTTCCAAAGTGCTGGGATTATAGGTGTGAGCCACTGTGCTCAGCCAAGATCTTAAACATTATTCTATACTATCTCCCAAGATGTCCAGATGTGTTTGTCTATGAGAATTTAAATAAAAATCTACAGCCCTTTTTAATTTGCAAAAAAATAGAAATTCCCATTCAAAGCAGCTTCAGTAGAAGACTGAATGGCTGCTACCAGTTTGCTGCAGAATAGGCAGGCATATTGACCTCAGGTATGGCTAGATCCAGGGACTTGAACACTATCCAAATTCTCTCTCTGCGCTCCTTGCTGTCACACTCATTCTTTCAGACCAGCTTGTGGGGGACCACCTGGGAAAGCTCCAGGTTTACATCCTAACATGAGCCCAGAGAGGAAAATATTTGTCTCTGCTGTCTCCAGTGCCAATTCCTGTGAAAGACTCTGATTGCCCCAATTAGGTAACATACCTGTACCTCGGTTGGTCACAATGGCAATGGAAACAAGAACTGCGATTTGTCCAGTCTGGGTCACATGCCTACCCCGGTAGCCTAGAGGTCTGGGTCTGTACCAGAGGAGGAGAGAAAGGTGTTCGACAGAAAAATAAAATAAATAACTGCTAAACTACCTAGTATGTGTATACCCCTCTAGAGTTTACAAAGTGCTCTCATATGATTCATGCCTTTTGAGTCTCACAACCATCCTATAGAGAGGCGACATGAAGTATTACTAAGAAACGTGGTGGATTAAGATGGCTACAAATTCTTTGTCACTGCCTCCATTGAGAGATGGAGTTCATTTCCCTTTCACTTGAATCTGGCCTGGCTCCATGTTACTTAACCAATAAAATGTGATACAACTTACTACAACTCGTTCTCTGCCTCACCTTTTAAAGGACTTGCAGCTTCCACTTTATTCCTCTGCGAATGCTCACTCTTAAGATGCTCCCTCTCCAAACTAGCCACAATAGAGTGAGATGTCCAATCTACATGGACTGGTCATGAGTGGACACTCCAGTCAACAGTTCCAGCTGAGCTCTCAGCTGCCAGCCAACGTCAGCTGCCAGCCATAGTAAGTGACCCATGTTGGACATTCCAGGGTGGTTCGGTTGGCAGCAATTGATCGCCAAAACAGAAATGAAGACTCATTGATTTGAGGTCCCACGGCTAGAAAGTATCTGTGGTAATGCTAAGCCAGATGCTCTGACTCTAAGCCCACTTGGGCTTTGATTCCTCACTGCCTTCTATTAAAAACAGAACAAGTCTCGATTCAAAATCTCCAAGTGTAGAATTTCTGCCAAGGATGCAGGTTGAGGAAGTGAAGCATGTAATTTGGTCATTTATTCAGCTTTGTTCATTTATGCCAGGCAACTGAACAAAGTGCACTCCTGGTTCTCAAGAAACTTAGAGTGTAATCAATAGAGAGCCCTCTAAACAGCTCATTTCAATAAGAACTCCTAAGTGCCATGGGGCAGCATGTGCAGGAACCCATGTCCAGGCACTAAACCTAGCCCAAGGGATGAAATAATATGCACATGTTTTATCGGGTATGGAAGAGTATCTCCGTGCCTGTATGGAGGATGCTGAAAAAATGTTTAAAATGAATACAAATATTCTTCAAGATAAATGTGACAGGAAATGGGGAGAGAGGCTGAGAAGAACCCTAATATTTGGGAAGGAAACGTGAATTCTAGTCCTGGTTCACCCTTGACTGAAATGTGCCCTTGGCCAAGTTGCTGAATCTCTCTGTAACTCAGTATCCTGATCTGTAAATCTGAGGTGGAATCACACTATTTCTTCCTGTACCTTCCTTCCTCCTACTCCATCCCTTTAAGTTTTGGTGTTCCTCGGAGTTTGGTTCTTTGCTCATTGCTCTTCTCACTCTGCAAATTCTCCCTAAGTGATCTCATCCATTCCGCTAGCGTTTGTTATTACTCATGTAACAAGGAAATCCCTTTATGCTTAGCCTAGTTCTTTCTGTGGGCTATCTACCGATGTATTCATCTGCTTACAGTACATCACTGGATGTTCTACAGGCACATGAAGTTCAATATACACAGAGCTTGGCTCATCACCCTACCCACTTAACTGCCATTTCTGATTTCTCCCTTTACAATCAAGAATCAACACTGCTACCCAAGCTAGTGGCCTATGAAATCAACTTCACTTTCCCTTTTCTCTCAATCTCACATGCAATTGTTTGTCAAGTACTGCTAATTTTGTGTCCTAAGTTTCTGAAATGCATCCCTTTGTCTAGATATCTCATAAACAGCTCAAATTCAAAATATTCAAAGCTTAACTTATTACTTCTCCCTCCTGGTTCTCTTCATGTGTGTTCCAGGAGGATGTTATCACTATCTACCCAGGTGCTAGGTATCTGGGACTTGGGCATCACCCTTGTTTTCTCCTCTTGTGCCTCCCATAACCAGGTAACCACCAATTCCTGATGTTTGGCTTCCTATTCAATCTACTCACCTCTCTCCATTCTCATTGCTATTATCTTTCACTTTCTGTAGTAGTATACGGCCTTCTGTCTTCACTCTCTCTGACCTTTTCCCCACTGTGCAGCCAGATCTGATCGTGTCAGCAACTTCCCATCCCCACCCCCCATTTTTAATCCTTTGATTCCTGATGTTTAACCCCCATGACCCAGACTGCAAAATCTAGTATAGGCATCATAATCCATCCAGAGTAACATAATGTACTCGGCACATAACAGATACTCAATAGGTATTAACCTGTGCTCACCGCCTGATTATTGGTTATTTACAGCAGATAAATCCGTGAGGTGCTCTCCGTGCGCTGTACCTCTGGAGGCACAGGGTAACATACGGCTCATTGTTGTTATGAGCTGGAGGCCTTAAATGAAAGCTATAAGACGTTAACTGCGCATAATAGTACCAATGAATTCCGTAGTCAGTACAGAAAAGGATGCATATCCCAAGATATCTTCATGATGGGGCCTTAAAACAAAAGTCACCCTCATGGCTCTGCACTTTTTTTTTTTTTTTTTAGACAGGCTTTGGCTCTGTCGCCCAGGCTGGAGTGCAGTACTGGCGGGATCTCGGCTCACTGCAACCTCCACCTCCTGGGTTCAAGCGATTCTCCTGCCTCAGCCTCCCGAGTAGCTGGGATTACAGGCGCCCACCACCACGCACGGCTAATTTTTGCTGTTGTCGTATTTTTTGTAAAGATGAGGTTTCACCATGTTTTTAAAAGGACTTGGTCTTGAACTCATAACCAAAAATACATAACCTCGAACTCTTGGGCTCAAGTGATCCTCCCGCCTTGGCCTCCCAAAGTGCTGGGATTACAGGCGCGAGCCACCGAGCGCGGCCCATACGGGAAAACGTCAAAGCCTGACAGGTGTGACAAATAATGGGCCCCTAGGCAGGCTGGGGCTGGCGCGTGCCTGTGCGCGTGCGCGGGGCGCGGGGTTTTTAACACCGCGCAGCCTTCCCGGCGGCCCCCGAGGAAGGCGGGACAGGGCCTATTCCCGCGGTTTGGTCCGGCCATTGGCGGGCGGTTTGAATGACGGAAGTGACGGCGGCTCGGCGATGGCTCTCCCGCAGGCGCAGAAACGGCTGCTGGGCAGCTGATGGGCAGGAGCTTACCAGGCTGGCTTGCTCTGAGCTGCGGTTACTGTGTCCAGGCCCCGGGTTCTCAGGTGAGTCAGGGATGCACTGGCTTCCCAGTCGCCCCGTAGGAGCATGACTCCCCGAGGCCCAAGAGCTGGGATTGTATTCCGGAGGAATGGGATCCCAGGAAGGCGCCTTGTTGCGAACGCAGGTACGGCTCGCGTTTCTCAGGCTCCGCAGGCCGTGGGCCCTGCCCGCGGTCGGGCTGGCGGCTGTAAGGAGTGTCCGGACCAGACCCGGTAACTCAGTGCGAGAGGCTTTGCGCGCTCTCCTGGGGTCGGGTCGCGCGAGCTTCCCACGCAGCCTCCCCTGTCGCGGAGCTTCCGTGTCGGGGGAGGGGCGCTTCCCCCAGATCACCCGCGGACATGGCCTGCCACCTGGTAGCTGTTAAAAGAGCCTTGCCTGGATCGTTTCATGCAAAGAGCACGCTCTCTTTTGGTGTCTGCCACCTTAATCTCACAGTTATTCAATCCTGTCACAAACTCAACTTTTAAAACAATGGTGAACTTTTGAGTCCTTAATACTTAGAGTGTATTTGAAGACTTCACGCTAAGTCACATAGACGTCAGAACAAACCTTTTGGGGTAGATATTATTATTCCCTTTATACAGTTTAAGAAAACGAAACCAAAGTGACTTCAGTGACTTGGCCAGTATCTTCCTGCTAATAAGTGGCAGTGTTGGGTCTTGAACCCAGATCTTCCAAGTTTAGTGTTAATTTTGTGATTACTATGTACCAGGAGCCATTTAATCCTCAGGACGAAATCTTGCAAGATAAGTAGTATAATCTTCAATATTGGATAGTAATAAAATGTAGAATTTAAAAATCCATATTACTAAGAATAAATAATTAATAAACAAGTAAATGGGGCAGCAGGGAAAACTTCCTTACAGCAGGATTCCGATTGATAATTGTAGAAGGAATAATGGAAATAGAAAATACTATTTGGTAAACACCACAGTAGTTGTTTCAGACAACAGTCATCAATGGATACTAACGTCAATGGGCAAAAGTATGATGAAAAGCATATTTCTGTAGCCTCTACTCTGTCTTCATGAGATATTTATAAAGGAAAAGTAGTAACTACAGAGGAGAAACCTGGTGGACATCATCTTAACCAAGTGACCAAAATTCAGCATCATTTACCTCTTGATAACAATGCACTGAAAAGGTGCCTAATCAATTCTGTGGTGTTCTTGCCAAAAATACATAACCTCAGTTTAATCACATAAGATTAGACAAATCTAAATGGAGGGACATTCAACAAAGTACTTGGCCAGTATTTTCAAAAATGACAGGGTCTTGAAAAGACAGACTGAGAAACTGTCCCAGATTAAGGGGGACATGACAACTTTGACATGAGAATGTAACTCACATATCTTAATCTCCTGCATTCTGAAATCTCCATTTGCACTGAGGCCATGCTTCCCATGGGCTGCTCCTAGCCACTGACAGTGGCAGGCCTGTTCCTGAGAATCTCCCCACGGGTTCTTGCTGAACATTTCTTATACTGCATGGCTGTCTAAGAGGGGTCTACCCATTGTTACTTCCCTCCATTCAGTGTTAGACTTACACTGAAGTCTGAGGCGCTTGTAACTTTTATCAGCTCCCTCCCATTTTCCCTCACACACGCATTTCTCCTAATAAAATATTTGCAGGTTTACTCCCATCTTAGCGTCTGCTTTTTAGATGACACACAGTTACACAGCAACAAATGCAATGTGTTATATCCTTGGATTGGCTTCTGGTCCAGAAAATAGACATTAGTGTGATAATTGACAAAAATTGAATACTGCCTGTAGATTAGTAAAAAATATTGTGTCAGTGTTAATATTCAGATTTTGATCATTGTACCATGGTTATGTACAAGACGTTGACATTTGGAGAAGCTGGGGAAAGGGCAAATGGGAATTCTAAGCCTGAAATTTCCAAATAAAAAGTTTAAAAAATTTAAAAATTATACACAAGAAGAAACAGTTATTCTATCGCATTTTAGGAGCTTAAAAATAATAAATGTTTATATGTTTTTCAATAATCCTCTGAGATGAAGTAATGGATACCTAAAATTTGAAATATTAGGATTTTTTTCCTCTTAAAGTATAAGAATAAAACACAAATCTAGGTATACCATTTGAGGAATTTTTACATATGTATACACTTGTCTAAACCATCATACAGATCAAAATATATAAATTTTCAGTACCCCAGCAAGCTTCTTTGTGCCATCTCCGAGTCAGTAACTTCCAGTAAGGTAACTTTATTTTTACCTCTCATGGATTAGTTCTGCTTGTTCTTGAACTTTATATAAATCAATTTTGTTGTACTTTTTTGTGTCTGGCTTTTTAAAAATTCAGCAATATTATGTCTATGAGATTCATCAGGAATTAGTCTTAATTATTTAAATATGAGGGAATTTCTTAGACCTTCAGACAAAATAATAAAGATACATTGTGAAGATTAATCTTGTTCTTTTTTCTTCTTTGTTAAATTTTCTGTTTTTTAAATTCTCACTCTCAAAAAACAACAGCTTAAATAAAATTTTCGCCACTCCACATATTTTTGTGTGTTGGAAAGTTAGGAGCCATTTGGAATAAGGAAACCAGATTCTTCCCTTGGCTCCGCCACTAGATGTTGTCACTCAGGGAAAGTCCTTTAACCCAAGAGGCCTTGTTTCTTCATGTATAGCATGAAAAATATAATCAGTACTTTAGTTACCATTACCAAAGCCGTGTGAATATTAGATGAGTAGGATGCATTAAAAGATTTTTTTAATGCCAGCAGTTAGTCCTTTTTGGTGTTAGAGTCTTATTGAAGGTTGTGATGATTGTGTATAGCTCTGTAGCACTTCACATAAATTAACTCATTGAGTCATTCATTCAGTCAACACACTTACTGAAGTAACTACCTATGGGCGAGACACTGTTTTCAGGCTATGGACATAAAATGGTGAATAAGTCCATTCTGCCCTGATGAGCTTACATTCTGATGGAGAAGTCACTGGAAAGGTATTAGTCCCTGTTAGGTAATCCCACAGTCTCCTAGCCCCTATTCTGTTTACACCTGGTTGAAAACATTGTGCATCCATAGTATGTGAAATATTACCTGGTAGTTATTTATTAAATTTAATTGAATATTAAAATTTTTATTAAAAAACCCATAGCCATTGTCCTTCAATTGTTAGGAATCTAACTAGAAAGAGCAAACTGTAATTGATGAAAAACTACAGGAGGTAATACCAAGACAACATAAAATTAGTCCCCATCTGAATGTATAGGTAATAATGTATTAGAGTTGGGCAAATCAGGAGTGGGAAATTGCAACAGGAATTATCAGAGGACAGCTTCGTAGAGGAAGGAGGGCTTAAGCCAGCTTTAGAAAGATGTAAATATTCAGTAACTGAGATTGTCTGCCTGGTCATTGTGAGGGAGACCTGAGAAATGTTGATTGTCTCAGATAAAATGCTCATGTACTCATGTAAAGTGTCTAATTTTTTGGAAATGGCAGTAATAGGAGCCAGTTAATATCAGAATTACCTGAGGAGGGTATTCAAATTATAGAACTATAGATTCTTATATTTATTCCATTTCTTTTTGCCTCGTTCCCCCAAATAGGAGCATGTTATAATCTAGGGAGGAGAGAGAGAACACAGTGTGAACGGTAGCAACAGAAGAATAGATCTGGGCCGGGCGTGGTGGCTCACACCTTTAATCCCAGCAACTGGGGAGGCTGAGGCAGGTGGATCACTTGAGGTCAGGAGTTCGAGGCCAGTCTGGCCAACATGGTGAACCCCTGTCTCTACTAAAAATGCAAAAATTAGCTGGGTGTGATGGCGCATGCCTGTAATCCCAGCTACTCAGGAGGCTGAGGCAGGAGAATCACTTGAACTCAGGAGACGGAGGTTGTGGTAAGCCAAGATTGTGTCATTGCACTCCAACCTGGGCGACAGAACGAGACTCCATCTCAAAAAAAAGAAGAATAGATCTGGAAAACTAAACGCTTGATACAGCCGAGCAAGTCATTCATATAAAAATTACGTCACTATAATTATTGAAGAATTGTTTACTGTAGATTATAGAACATGGGATTGATGTGATTTCATGAGGTAACAATGACACTTGGTGATCAAGTTATATGCAGTAGACTGGGAGTTGAATCTAGGAACAAAGAACCCTTGAAATTACAGCAACCTTGCTAGTTATGAACAAGTTATGAAGGTTCTAAAGTGTCAGATTATAGTTTTGAAAACATTTATTCTATGCTAACATCTTTTTAGGTCTTTGTGCTTTTTCACATTTAAGCTCAGTAAACTCTGGAAATGCTAACCAGGAATAAGTCAGGTCCAGATACTCGAGGTAGACAATCTGCTATAAACAGGAGAAAACTTTTCTGAGTAATTCTGATTCAGTCTTCATTTCCACTTTCCCACCCTTCTGAGTATCACTGATCTAAGTGTGAATTTATAATTGCTATTTGTAAATAAGTTGGACTTCGTTTACTCAAATTTTCCTTGCATGTATATAACCCTTTAAATATCAAAAGTATTAACACGAATTTTAAAAATTTTCTGAGCAGGCATGGTGGCTCATGCCTGTAATCCCAGCACTTTGGAAAGCTGAGGTAGGTGGATCACTTGAGGCCAAGAGTTCGAGACCAGCCTGGCCAACATGGTGAAACCCCATCTCTACTAAAAATACATAAGTTAGCTGGGCGTGGTGGCATGCACCTGTAATCCCAGCTACCCTGGAGGCTGAGGCATGAGAATCGCTTGAACACGGGAAGCAGAGGTTACAGTAAGCTGAGATCGCACCACTGCCCTCCAGCCTGGGTGACAGAGCAAGACTCTGTCTCAAAAAAAAACAAACAAAATTATTCTAATCTTTGCTGCCCTATTTTAATGTTACATTATTTTTATAGACATTTTCCTTTTTGAATTCAGAACTGTCATACATAAAGTACACAGAAATGAAGAGAAAAGTCGTGAATACTCACAAGCTGAGATTGAGTCCTAATGAGGAAGCCTTCATTTTGAAGGAAGATTATGAAAGAAGGCGAAAACTAAGATTGCTACAGGTATGACTTATTTGTAATAAAGTTTTAAATTCCTTTCTTCCTCAAATTACTTGTATTCTTTTACATTAGAGTGTTCTAAATGTTGTATTTAAAAACCTCTTCTGGGTATACGAGAGCCCTGGTTATTTGGTATTAACTAGTTTTGGAACACTTGAAAAATAGGCTGAGATGGTTAAGTACATTGTAGAAGAGTTGGAAGATAGGTATTATTTGACTCGAATATTGAAAATAGCTCTTTATCTTTTTTAAAAATGGTCTGTAATTGGTAACAGGAAGCTTAGATGACTTTGAAGAATGCTAATTGGAAAGATTATTAGCTGCTGAAACAAATTTATCAGGAAATTGCAGATAACCCTTTTCTAGAAGTGTTTTTAAAGTAAGTTTTTGTGAAGTATGTTTCAGGCACCATTCTGTCTAGAATCAGAAATGATGTACAACAGAAATGGAGTTCTCATCTGGCTCTGTCTGTACTCTGGGCTATAGATTTTGTTGAATCATATTTATCGCTTTAGCTTTTATAGGTTATTAGAGTGATAATGGCAGTCCTTTTGGGAGTGGGCGCTGAATAAAAGCTATCAGTTTGGAGACATTAGATATAGTCTTGAGATTTTTACTTTTTGTACATTCACTCAGATTTTCTGCTTTAAATAGTCTTTATCTAATACAAGATGAGTATCAAAGAGAGTTGACAGACTTAAGAGAATTCATTTGAGTTCCTCTTTCCAAATAGCTTTTCAAAAAAGTTTAAGTAAACCTCCTTTCATATAACCTGTTAAATATGCATTCTTTAGGTTCGAGAACAAGAAAGAGATATCGCCTTACAGATAAGAGAAGACATAAAACAGAGGAGAAATCAACAATTTACACGTTTGGCAGAGGAGCTAAGGGCAGAATGGGAAGAATCACAAACTCAGAAAATACAGAACTTGGAAAAACTGTATTTGGCAAGTTTAAGAAGTATGGGAGAGGGACATCGACAGGCCAAAGAAAATGTGAGTGAGATCTTATTTGACTACCCTGTTGTGGCAGTAATATTAGTAAAAAGTAAATTATAGTTGTTGAATGCTTTTCTGATAACATTTTCATGCATTGAATTTCTTTGGGGCAGCTTGAACTTTTTTATAAATTTAATGTAATTTGTGAATAATAGGCTCATTTCTTACTAAGAGTTATTTCAAGTAAAATCCATGTCAAATAAAATTGGTCTTCCTATGATGTTCAAGTTAGCATTATTCTCTTCCAGTACTCCTCTATCTGGGGAAATAATAATCTTCTGAATCAGAAGTTGTTGTCCATCTCAGGCATTTTTTGACAGATTTGGTGGGGTGAATTCAACCCCCCAACAAACATTTTTTGATGACTTTCAGAAAGTCACAGTAAGTCTGCCCCATTATTTTGATTTATTGTGATTTATGATGTGGAAATACTACAGTCCCAGAATCAGTCACATACAGTAAACAAGCTAGTTACAAAGAAGGTAAATCTTTGATAACAACTAGTGAGAAAGAAAATATCTTAAGACTGTGGCAATCTGTTTCATGGTCCTTGGTTTTAGTCTGTGTTTTTAGTAATAGCCGTAAGTTCTGACTCAGGTTTTTGTGGTTTTATGCATGCCACATTAAGTTTGTGCCTAATGCAATGTTTCCCAAACCTCTGTTATTTGAATACCATGTTCACAATTTTTGCCCTGACTGGGAAACTACCCATATCACTATATATTTTACGTACTTTAACCATGTCCTAAGTAGTTCGATATCCTATTTATATTTTTGTAATAATGTTAATTGATTGCATTAACTTTACATTAAAATGTTTGTGTTTGTCCCCCCTAATATGGCATATCATCAGTGGTACTGTTGTCATGCTCTGGGAAACACTGCTATAGTATGTAGAAAGAAGATGACAAAATTGATAAATCACTTCTGATATCATATGAGACACATTTCTATTATTCTTGTTTAACATGACATTTTAAGTAATATATATTTTTAGGAACCTGATTTGGATGCTTTGGCACAGCGGGCAGCAGAAAGGAAAAGAAAAGCAGATTTGAGGCATAAAGAAGCCTTGAAAGTACAGAAAAATCAAAAAGAAATATTACTGAAACAAAAAACCTGGTAAAGTAATAATTTTTACTATAATCTCAACTGAAACTAACATGGTTGAAAGTAGAGGATACATAGGATACTGTGTAAGCAAATATTAAATAAACATAGTAGCATATTCATTGCATTTGTTAAACTTGATTTAAAAATAATGTTGGGGACAGGGAATGATTTGCTTAGGTGAACATAGTAACTAATGAGCTTTCTTTTCTAGTTGTAGTTTGAGTTGAGTTTAGCAGCAGTTACTAAGTTTCTGAAAAAATATATGGCTACTTCAGAATGCATGTCAACCAATGTCTGTTTCCGATGTAAACATGAAATAAAAATTGATGTGATTAAGAACATTAAAAGAGGTTGTAGACTCTGGAAGTCATTAGTATTTTTTGCATGTTGTAAAAATTAAAGGGCCATTCACAGGAAACGTGAGTGAAGCAAAGTAAAAAATTAAGGGCCCTGTTACTAGTTAGCAACAGCCATTTTTAACAACATTTCTGTTTTTTTTTTTTTCACTCTAAAGAACATTATAAGTTTCTTGGGTTGGTCCCCACCATAGAGCTTTCTGTCTTTAGATAGGCCTCTCTCAATTTGTAAACATTTTCTTAACATATGTATAGACTCTTTACACATGTAAAGCTTACTGAGCCTGTGGAATCAGACTAGAGGATTTCTTGAGCCTATGACTTACATATTTTTAACCCTGTTGTACTATAATATTATCACTGAGAGATTAATTGATGACATCTCTTGTTTCTTAAGGCATATAAAAGCTCGAAAGGAAGCACTGCTTGTGGAAAAAGAGAGATCAGCCAAAATTACAAGTCTGCCACCTCCTCCTCCAACTCTTTTTGAGGTGAGTTTGAGTATTAAGAGGAACTAGGTCATAATTCTTCTTTACTATTATAATTCAGTGGAGGTCAGAATGACTATCACTTAAACTTAATTGTACAAGTTTTCTTGTACAATTAAAAACTTGTACAGGAGTATATCTGGAGTATGTTAAAATAATTCTAGATATCATTTCACCTGTAAATACTTTAGTATGTATCTCTGATGTATAAGGACTTTTTTCTTAGTATAATACTAATATTGTTTCCAATATTATTTAATACCCAGTATTTGTTCAGCCTTCCTCAATGATGTCAAAAAAATTTTGTTGTTTGGAAAACTATAATGGTTTTGGTTTTGAAAAATCTTTTAATAATTCTGCCTTTTGAAAAAATACCCTTTATTTATTTATTGGGGGAAAAAACTAAACTATTCGTCCATTAGGCTTTCCCACACTCTGAATTTGGCTTATTTTAAATGGTCAATATTTTACAGATAAGTTTCAGTTAAGTTAATAAATTTACATAAGATTATAAAGTATCCAGGTGTGATTTTAAAAAAGAAAAGAGGAAAAAAATATTATAAAATAATAAGGATCTATTTTTTATGGGAGTAAAATGTGTGCTTTTGTGATTTGAAGCTTATTTTTTTTAAAAAAATGTAATTAAAGCAGAAATTTTTTAAAATACTTGTTCTCCACATTAGCTTGTTATAGTTATTGAAATGGCTATTTGGATGATTGTCAAAATTACCTAGTTATTTTTATCTGAAGAATGAAGTAGAAGTAAACCCAGAAATACATAGTTGTACATACAAGTATATTCTGTATAAGCATAAGTACCAGATACTCACTTCTTAGGCCTTTCAGTTTGTCAGCCTTCCTGCTTGTACGTTGAGCCATCTACCATGTAACATTTGATCCAACAAAATTCAGACGGAAAAGTTGTATTTCAGTCACTCCTTCGGTACAAAGTGACATGATAAAAGCCAGGCAATGTATTATCCATGATGCCTTTTGATTATTTTTGTCTTAATTCTTAGTATTTATAACAAGCCAAAGTCAAAAATTTATAAAAAGTAAACAAAACTCTGTAAGTGCTTTGACAAGCATGAATTAATCAGTGGGCATGAACTATTTAGTTCTTTTTTTCTTTTGAGGCAGAGTCTTGCTCTGTCACCCAGGCTGGAGTGCAGTGGTGCAATCTTGGCTCACTGCAGCCTCTACCTCCTGGGTTCCAGCGATCCTCCCACCTCAGCCTCCTAGGTAGCTGGGATTATAGGCATCTGCCACCATGCCCCGCTAATTTTTCTGTTTTTAGTAGAGACGGGGTTTCACCATGTTGGCCAGGCTGGTCTCGAACTCCTGACCTCAGATGATCCACCCACCTCTGCCTCCCAAAGTGCTAGGATTACAGATGTGAGCCACTGCACCCAGCCTCGTTCCTTTTAGGAAAACAGGATATATTCCTTGTTTTTCCTCTCTGCCAGTTTTCAGAGTAAAGGGTTGGGGTAATAATCAATGCCATTGGTGGTAAATGGGTTTTTTTTTCCTTTCTCTTTTGTTACTATCACTGTTAACTTGTGGGGGTTTTTTACTCAATATTACATAGTCAATTATAGTCATTCTTTTTCTTCTCACTGATGTTCGTAATATCTGAAATTTGGTCAGCAGGAGACTTGAAGTTGTTTCTTGCGTCCCCGTGACTCCATGAGCATTTCCTTGCTCTGTGCCCCAGCAAATGACCTAGGCTTAATTTACTCTGTCCCGTATCTGGTATCTCCAAAGACCCCTGATTCTTTTTAGTGGAGAAGTGGTACTTATAAACTAAGATCTGGGTGATTATATTCTTGTTTCACTAAAAGGCATTATTTTAGAAAAATACATTACCCAAGCCAATAAAGGTGTTTGGGATAAGGCAGTGTTTCTGAATGTCTTGAGATGGTTGTGAATTTATGGCATAGAAGGGAGGGATAGGATTTTAGTTTGGGAAAAGCTAGGTTGTGGGGTATTTGGGGGCCAGGGAAATGCACCATATAAGAATATTGTGTCACATACACAGGATATAGATGCATCTGTATCACTGTTTCTCCAAGCAGATAAAAATATAAATGCTGAAAATCCTGGGGAAATAAACCTAGACTGTTTAGTCTTCTCAAACCAAGGTCTTTCCTTAATTTAAGAAAATATTATTTTTTGAGAGAGCTATTTACATGGTGAAGAGAATTGATACTTCTTGTGTACCTAAGATTTTATTTATGTCAGGTTTTTTTATTCATATCTAATTTAATCACATTAGCCCTGCATGTTAGATATTTCCATTTAACAAATGAAGAAAATTGAAGGTCAGAAGTTAAGTAACGTAACCAAAGTCCTTTAATAGGTAAGTGCGATAACCAGAGTTTATGTCAAGGTCTATTTCTATAAAGCTCATGATCTTTTTACTGTGACACTTAGCTTCCCGTGAATATACTTCAGAGTTCATGCTAACTGTTCAAGTTAACTACTTATATATTAAAGTCTAGGAATGTAAACAACCATAATCTTTTCATAGGTCTGTTAAAGAATGAAGTTTGTATTGAAAACCCTGAGATGCTATGAAGACTTCTCATGTATCTATACCAGATGCAAGAGAAAAATGAGCTTTGTTTTACTTCTTCCCTTGCTTATACCTTTTTTTTTTTTTGAGACGGGATCTCACTATGTTGCCCAGGCTAGAGTGCAGTGGCTCTTCACCAGCCCCATGATAGCTCACTGCAGCCTTGAACTCCCAGGCTAAAGCAATCCTCCTGCTTCCGCTTCCTGAGTAGCTGTGACTACAAGAATGTGCCACAGTGCCTGGCATTTTTTTTCTTCTTTTCCATTGCTGCATGAGCCAGTGTCAGGTACTCCAGAGTAGAAAGCTGGTTTTGTCCTGTACTTGGGTAGATAAGGCTAGAAATAGTTACTGTGGAGCAAAACTAAGGCTGGAAGATAGAACACAGGAAGTAAATTAAGTGATTTTAAATTATTAACAGATCATCCTAATTCTGCCAGGCTAAGGACTGATTTCACTAAAAACTTAGGTGCAATTCACTGGAAATCCTGTTATAATCAATAAGGATTCATAGTAATCAAAATCTCAAATCCCAATTTTGGGAGGATTCCAAATTCAATCTATACATAATTGCCTTTACTCTGGAAGTACTGGTACTTTAAAATGTGTAAACTGAATCCCATTTGTATATCAAATTACATCATTTTAGAGACTTGTTTTCTTCAGAGTTCTTCCTTGTCAAGAAGCCTATGGTTTATTTTTTCAAGGCATTGATTTAAAGTCTACTAAGATTCTTCGTAGAGTGAAGCATTCTAATGTGTACTACCATCTCTGAATTTTTGTTTTGTGACTTCAGTTTCTTACTGAACTTTAATATTAACTAGTTAAAGCTGAGTGTGGTGGCACCTGCCTTTGATCCTAGCTACTCAGGAGGCTGAGTTGGGAGGATTCCTTGAGCCCAGGAGTTCAAGACCAGCCTGGGCAACATAGCAAGACCCTGTCTCAAATATATATATGTATATGTGTATATGTATGCTAGTTAATGTTTTCATTAGTGGTCAGTTTAATCCTTTACCTAAATGATAAGACCCTGAATAAGGTCCTCTATTGTACATATCTGGATGTATATCCAGGTATTTGCCAATTAGTTATCTTCTGACTGGTCTAGGTAATTCTCAACTTTGGCTGTACATTTATCACCTGTGCAGCTTTTTTTTTATTTTTTATTTTTTGAGACAGAATCTTATTCTGTCGCCCAGGCTGGAGGGCAGTGGTGCAGTCTCGGCTCCCTGCAACCTCTGCCTCCTGGGTTCAAGCGATTCTCCTGCCTCAGCCTCCCAAGTAGCTGGGATTACAAGTGTGTGCCACCATGCCTGGCTAATTTTTGATTTTTAGTAGAGAAGGGGTTTCTCCATGTTGGTCAGGCTGGTCTCAAACTCCTGACATCAAGTGATCTGCCTGCCTTGGCCTCCCAAAGTGCTAGGATTACAGGTGTGAGCCACAACGCCTGGCCGCAGCTTTTTAACAATGCTAATACTGGGCTCTGTTCCATGGATTCTGATTTAATTCGTTTGGTGTGGGGCCAAGACACGAGAAGTTCTTAAAAACTACTCAGATAATTCTGCTCACATCAGACTGTACATTTTTACTTGGATTTTCTTAATCCCCCCTTCTTTTTTTTTTTTCTTTTTGAGACAGATTCTTGCTCTGTCGCCCAGGTTGGAGTGCAGTGGCACAATCTTGGCTCATTTTGCATCATTGCAACCTCCGACCCCTAGGTTCAAGCAGTTATCTTGCCTCAGCCTCCCTAGCAGCAGGGATTACAGGTGTGTGCTACCATGCCCATCTAATTTTTGTATTTTTAGTAGAAATGGAGTTTTACCATGTTGGCTAGGCTGGTCTCAAACTCCTGACCTCAAGTGATCCACCTGCCTTGGCCTCCCAAAGTGCTGAGATTACAGGCATGAGCCACCGCGCCCAGCCCCTTCTTGTCCTTTATATTGTTTCTGTTCACTTGAGTCCTCCTCATCATTCCACACTCATATATGTTATAGCTAAAACTTTGGTTAATTCTCAACCTATTCTTATTTAAACTTTTCTCCCTCCCAACCTGTGTTGCATTTGTGATGTCATTGAATTAGCCAGGCATGGTGGTACATGCTTGTAGTCCTAGCTATGGTAGGCCGAAGCGTAAGGATCGCTTGAGCTCAGGAGTTACAGTGCAGAGTACAATGCCACTGTACTCTGGCCTTGTCAACAGGCCTTAAAAAAATTAAAAGTGCTTTTTATACATTAATTGATTCTTACAGTAATTGTCACAATGATCATATGGTATAGCGATAGCTATAAACCCACTTTTCTTGAGAAAGCCGAGGGACAGAAAAGTTGAGGGACTTTGCTAAGTTTTCACTACTGGGATATAATACAGAAGACATCCAGCAGAAGTGTTAGCATTTCTTTGTGGATATTTTTTTCATCAAATTATCTGTAAAATGCATGGTTTATTATTTAATTTATGTGTAATCGTTAGAACTTCTAGTTAGAACTGTTACTGTGAGCTCCTTGAAGCCAGGGGCCATTATTTTATTTTACTTCTCGTTGTCGTTCACAGTGCCTTGTGTAATGTTTAACACATAGTAGGCACTTAATATTCTTTGTCAGTTTAGTTAATTAATTTAACATCAGTATGTGATAGGTTGTGATGGACTGAATCTGCCTTTACTACAAAATACAGGAAAGGGAAGGGGGAAGGTAGTTTACTTTCATTCTTCTGAGAGTTGTTTTGTTCTGGAGTAAGTGTAATTTAAATATATTGGCAAGTGTTTCAGGACCAAAATTCAAAATACGTCATTAAACATTGAGAAAATAAGACTAATGTGAACTACAGTAGAATTTTTGTGATTAGATATGGAAGAGGACATAGTAGTGCATGTTGTTGTCTTATAAATATAATGAAGTGCTTTTCATTTCATTTGATATGGCCTGTAAGCCCTTCTATATTCAGGAGATTTAAAGATGAAATTTCTCTATAAATAACTTAAAAATTGAGATGAATAAAACACATTTAGTTAGCGACACCTTGAAGATGATTTGAAATACTGATGAATCTGGTACTTTTATTAAAATTTGAAGTAATTTAACTCAAAAAATTTGATTTCATTATGAGCAGATATTTAGCATGTTTTGGATGCGGAGAACTCATTAAAATACAAAATTACTTTTTTTGCATTGGATTCAGCTTTAAGTGAAAATTAATGCTTTTAACCTATTTTTTTATGTTCTCTTTTCCAGAACATCGAAGTAAAAAGAATTTCTGCAGTCAAAACCAATAGTTCTACCTACCATCATCTTCACACTTTTGTGAATAGAGAGACAGACACAAAACGGGTGATTGACTTATTGTTTCTTCATGCCCTCGCTTTATTATTTCTGTGTGCATTGAATTGAATTATATCTTAGTTATATGTATGGTGTTCCCAGATTTCAAAATTTGGACAATTGATAATAATAATCAAAACCTTTTAAATGCTTTGAATTTTCATGTCAGGCATATGATGGTTTAATATGAATTAAAGAAACTAGTTGGCTATTTAAATGGTTATTTTAAAATAGCAGATTTTAAAGCTTTTTTTATCATAAAATATTACATGCTATTTGTGGAAAATTTGGAACTGTACATATAAGTGTAAACTATTGGGAAAACACCAATTCTGTCACCAAAGTGGAATATAGTTAATGTTTTAATAAATTCATTATAACCTTTATTTAAATATAAACATATACACACACTTTTCAAAACATGATTTTTAGTGGCCACTTAATATTTCATGGTAGCATTTATTTAACCATTATTTTATTTTTTGCTTCTGTAAGTAATGTAAGCATTATCTTGCACGTTTTTATCCACATCTCTGATTATATATAAATTCCTGAAAGAGAAAGTATTGGCTCCAAACTGTGTAACATTTGATACAGATCATTAAATTGCTTTTTAAAAGCATCAGCAACATAGGAGAATGACCACCTTACCATAGCCTTTTCTGCACTGAATATTATGTTTTAAAAATTATTGCCAGTCTTAAGAGTAACAAATGATATATTGTTATTATAATTGCTATTTCTCTGTGTCAGTGGGGGTTTTAATTTTTTTCATGTTGAATATATTTCTCTACTAGGAAAATAAATTTTATAGCATTCCTGTGGCATTTAGAATGCAACAAATACACATTTTGGTTGACTGCTTAATAGCAGGTATTAAAATATTCAGTTAAGAACTAAAATGAATATCATCACAGAATGAACTTCTAAGATGCAAGAGTAAATCTGAGATTTATTTAAAATTGTAAAGTATTATTACAGTTTCGATATTATGATGTAGGAACAATAACTTCAATTTGTTGCTAACTGCTTTACTGTTTACTGCATTTTTGTGATTTGAAAAGATGCTACCTTTTAACTAAGATTGATGATGAATTTTTTTTTACCTAACTCTGTCAGCATAGGGTGCTGCTGATGGTATTAAATTAATATCCATAAGCTTTCTTTTTTGATAGTAACCAGAAGGCCTACCTCCTTTTCAATTTTTGGACTTAAAAATTAGATCAGTAGTTATAATGATAAAGGGTTAGAAAAAAGTTCGGGACCACAAACAAATTTTGTTTCTAACAGTTTTATGAAAGTATTCCCACAAACTAAAGCTTTGTGTACTGAATGAAGATATGATTTCTGAATATTTTCAGAAATGGGTTTATTACTGAACACATTTTTATTCGAATATTTTCTTTTATTTGCTGCTTTACTGTATCACTTAGGAAAAGTCTGTCCTTAAACTTTGGATTTAAAATGTGATGACCAATGTGCTTGGCTTTCAAGATAAAATTACCTCTGAATTTTCATCTGCACTCAACTTATATCACATGCACAATAATTTTAGCATCTTCCCTGGAGGAGTACGATATGATCTTTACAGCAGGTATCATATAAAAAATATTTGCACGCTTGGCATATATGTTTGGGTATTTTTCTTTAGCAGCTTTCTGCAAATAAACTTTCATTTGTTCAGTCAGCCTTTTTAGCACATAAGAGCTGCTATTGTGTGTGTGTGTGTTTTTAATATCCTGATAAAGTAATTCCAAAATCTTTTATATGTCATAATATATATCTTTGGCTGAAGAAGATTTATGAAAGTGGCCTGCTGTAGTCCTACTTACAGCCAGTAATTCTCTACATTTTGTTTTGCTACATTCGCTACCTCTACACACAACTGAACAAAACATCATACGCTTAAAAGTCCTACATTACATATTCATGGGCTTCATCATGTCTATTCTTTGTCAGTGACAGTTACGTAGCATTTTTTTCAAATGAACTTTGCATTCTGAAAATATTCAGTCAGATTAACTGTATTGTTTGTGGTGAGACCCAGAAATGTCTGCAGAAAAGTGAAGCTGAATCAGTTAAATTCATCATCAATTTTCCATGCTCTATTATATCTAAAAAGATTTCTGTCCAAATATCTGATGTACAAGATTCAGAAATGTATTTAATAATAGCATTTATCATTCATATATCTTTGATCTTCACATACTGAAAATAGAATCTAACATTATTTCAACCAGATTTATGGTTATGTTTTTAATTGCATTGACACAAATCTATAGGGGATTGTCTTCCTAAAGCTGTATTATAAATCTTGTTTTGAAGTATGATCAATAAGAACAAAATTTGTTTGTGGTCCCTAACTTTTTCTCTAACCCTTTATTCATATCCTTTATATGCTTTTTTATATCTGGACTGATATTTATCATTCATGTTGTATGCTATTTTGAAATTTTTCCTTTCTTTAAAATTTTGGTTTACCAAAATTGACATACTGCTTTTAATTTATCTTCAAGAGATGTGAAGAATTCATAAACAACTTTTTTCTTGAAAACCTCATGGCTGAAATGGATTGAAATATTGTTCTCAGAGGTTATATTATTTAATATCATACATATTGATATACTAAATACTCCTACAGATTATAATTTTGATTTAATCTAACTTTTTTTGTCTTACCTGATGTTATTTAGTTTTGCATGAATATTTAGTGGCTCAAAGCGGTTATATTCTTGATAAATTTGTTTGGCCAGTGTACTCTTTGTTAATTTAATAACTGTCAATCTCTCTACCTATTTATCTCACCATGTGAGAATTTTTAATAATCTTACACTTGAAGTTAACAGCTTTTTTGGTCATCATTAATTGTTTCAACTGGCTGGCAGAATTTCAACATACAAAAGACAGAAAAAGACTTTTACTGCTGGTTACATTTAGAATATTTACCTATACTTGAAAGTGAATGTTCAGATAATAAAAGTAAATCCAGGCTGGATGTGGTAGCTTACGCCTGTAATCTCAGCGCTTTGGGAGGCCGAGATGGGAGGATTGCTTGAGACCAGCCTGGTCAACATAGCAAGACCCATCTCTTTAAAAAAAAAAGTAAATCCAGACTCTGTGCCTCTTTCTCTTTTTTGTGTTATTTATGTTAATGAGATTTGTGGGTATTTACCTTTCAATACTGTCATTTTAATGAAGTTTCCTTTTTTTTATTTTTGAGATGGAGTCTTGTTCTGTCACCCAGGCTGGAGTGCAGTGGCACAGTCTTAGTTTACTGGAACTTCCGCCTCCCGGGCTCAAGTGATTTTCCTGTCTCAGCCTCACGAGTAGCTGGGATTATAGGTGCCCGCCACCATGCCTGGCTAATTTTTATATTTTTAGTAAAGACAGAGTTTCACCGTGTTGGACAGGCTGACCTCAGGTGATCCACCCACCTCGGCCTCCCAAAGTGCTGGAATTACAGGCATGCGCCACCACGCCCAGCAAGAGATTTCTTTGCTTACAAAGTGATGGATAAATGTGTTTGGAGGAGTATAACCTCATCTGGTTTAAAATGAGTAACTCGTAAAGCTTTATACTAACAATTTGATCCCTTTCATAGGTACATGCCGTTGATAATTGTGGACATTTTAAAATATAACTCTTCTTATATTTTATATATGTAGAAAACATGATTTTAAGGTTGTTTTGTTTTTTAGTTACTGCTTGTCTCACACTTTAAAAATTTTGCCTACAATTTTTGATTGACTGCTAGCCAGATGCTCGTTTGGCTGCTGAAGAGGAAGCTAAACGATTGGAAGAACTACAAAAACAGGCAGCACAAGAGAGAATGGAACGGTTTGAAAAGGCACATGTACGGGGATTCCAAGCAATGAAGAAGATCCATTTGGCTCAAGTAAGACTTATATTCTACCCATGACCATTACTCATGGACTTACTAATAGCATTGCAGGACTGATTAGTGAATGAGCTCAAAGAAAGGTAGGAAGGGTGGGTGTTCAATATAGTCTCTGATTCATATGATTTCAAGTTTCCCAACTTTCTTTGCCCTCCAATTTCAAGTTCTGATTGGGTTAAGCTATTCTCCCAGTGTATTGCTATTCTAAAAATTTTACTAATGAATTTATTAAAAGTTTAATATTTTAATATGTCCAAAAACAGCCTGAGGAAAAAAATCACTTTCCTGATTATTTCAATAGCATATGTGCTCTATAAATTTGAGGATTCAGTTCATTAAATTTGTATTGAGCAAAGCACTTGTTGGCTTTGCAGAATGTTGTTTCAAAAATAAAGTCATGATCCTTGCTACCGGAGCTTTTAAAAAGTGACAGTCAATAGGCCAGGCATGGTGGCTCATGCCTGTAATCCCAGCACTCTGGGAGGCCAAGGCGAGCAGATCGCATAGGCCCGGGAGTTTAAGACCAGCTTGGAAAACATGGAGAAACCACGTCTCTACTTAAAACAGAAAAATTAGCCAGGCATGGTGGTGTGCGGCTGTAGTCCCAGCTACTCAGGAGGCCAAGGTGGGAGGATCACCTGAGCCCGGGACAAGGAGGTTGCGTTGAGCTGAAATCACACCATACCACTGCACGCCAGCCTGGGCCACAGAGCGAGACCCTGTCTCAAAAAAAATTAAATAAAAAGTGACTGTCAAGTCCAGTCGAGGTAGCTCAGGCCTGTCTCAGGCCTGTCATCCCAACACTTTGGGAGGCCAAAGTGAGCAGATGGCTTGAGCCCAAGAGTTCAAGACCAGGCTGGGCAACATGGTGAAACCCTGTCTTTACCAAAATTCCAAAAATTAGCCAGGCGTGGTGGCCTGGGACTACAGAGTCAATACAGTCAGTCCCAGTTTGGGACTGTGTTGTGGCCTGGGACCTCATTTCCCGAGAAGGCTGAGGTAGGAGGATTGCTTGAGCCTGGCAGGCAGAAGCTGTCATGAGCCGAGATTGCACTATTGCACTCCACCCTGGTGACAGAGTGAGATTCTGTCAATCAATCAATAAATAGTGACTGTCATCAATATGTAAAATATTGTAATGAAAGCTGG
Source organism: Homo sapiens (assembly GCF_000001405.40). Lineage (NCBI taxonomy): Eukaryota > Metazoa > Chordata > Mammalia > Primates > Hominidae > Homo > Homo sapiens. The sequence goes on from NC_000011.10 coordinate 93,680,705, forward strand.
CTTTATAGTTTTAGCTTAACTTCTGTCATGCTTATTGTTCATTTAGTGCTTAGTCTTAAAATATAGCATAAAAATGATTCATCTTATTAGAAGTCTGATTTTATTTTCTGAATTTGACTAATGCATTTGGATTTTTTAAATACCCATCTTAGGAATGAGTTTTTAAGTACTTCTTAAAAATGCATTGGAAATTAAATTTTCTTATGAAAGGTTATTTTTATAGTTTGAACTAAATCATGAGCTTCTCCCTTAAATTTTTAGCTTTCATAAACTAGGAGTGAATTATGACTAAAATAACTGAATGTCTGAATTATTATCAGTAATTCTCCCCATCTAAGGTTTAAACCTATAGTAAAACAGACACAAAAAGCAGTCATAAATTGAACAGATTCTTCCATAAAAGCAGTAATGTTTAGTAGTTAAGCAAGTGGGCTTCACAGTCATTCTGCCAGGATTTATCTGTCTTCTTCACCACTCAGCTGTTTGATCTCAGGCAGATTAGTTAACCTCTCTAAGTTCTGTTTCATGTGTTGTTTTTTTTTTTTTTTTTGAGACGGAGTCTCACTCTGTCGCCCAGGCTGGAGTGCAGTGCTGGGATCTTGGCTCACTGCAACCTTCACCTCCCGGATTCTAGCAATTCTCCTGCCTCAGCCTCCTAAGTAGCTGGGACTACAGGCTCGCGTCACCACACCCAGCTAATTTTTTTTTTTTTTTTTTTTTTTTTTTTTTGTGACAGAGTCTTGCTCTATCACTCAGGCGGGAGTGCAATGGCGTGATCTTGGCTCACTGCAACCTCCACCTCCTGGGTTCAAATGACTCTCCTGCCTTGGCCTCCCAAGTAGCTGGGACTACAGGCACATACCACCACGCTTGGCTAATTTTTATATTTTTAGTAGAGACAGGGTTTCACCACGTTAGCCAGGATAGTCTCGATCTCCTGACCTCATGATCCGCCTGCCTCAGCCTCCCAAATTGCTGGGATTACAGGCGTGAGCCACCATGCCCAGCCCAAGTTTTTTGTATTTTTAGTAGAGACGGGGTTTCACCATGTTGGCCAGGCTGGAACTCCTGACCTCAAACAATCTGCCTGCCTCGACCTCCCAAAGTGCTGGGATTACAGGTGTGGGCCACCAAGCCTGGCTGTTTTTTGTTTTTGTTTTTTTTTTTTAACCTCCCCTGCCACACCTCTCCTGATCATCTGTTTTGTGAGGATTCAATGAGTTTTCCAAAGCCCTTGGAAATGTGCCTGGAATTTCATAAGCTCAGTAAATGTTAGTGGTAGTGGTCATTGTTATAAATAATCCAAAAGGAATAATATACTAGCTTGCAGTGAGCTAGAATAGTACACTTACTCAAACAACTTTAGATAATTAGAATCTTAGTATAAATGAAATAAGTTCATTTATAATTTTCCTTTTCAGGACATGGCAAAAAAAATTCATCCTCAAAAGACAAAATAGTTAAAACTTTACAAAAGAATAAGTAATGTATATATGTTATCACTTTTTAATTTATTTTTATTTATTTTTTATTTTTTGAGACAGTGTCTCACTCTGTTGCCCAGGGTAGAGTTCAGTGGCGTGATCTTGGCTCACTGCAACCTCTGCCTCCTGGGTTCAAGCAATTCTCCCGCCCCAGCCTCCCGAGTAGCTGGCATTTCAGGCGCATGCCGTCACGCCCTGCTACTCTTTGTATTTTTAGTAGAGACGGGATTTCGCCATATTGGCCAGGCTGGCCTCGAACTCCTGACCTCAGGTGATCTGCCTGCCTTGGCCTCCCAAAGTGCTGGGATTACAGGTGTGAGCCACTGTGCCTGGCCCATTACCATTTTTTTAATGCAGGATTTCTCTACGTTATAGTAGACTTAATGTTCCTTATATAAGAAGGTTGTTAAAAAAAAAAACCGTGCAATCTCACTGCTAATAGAGGATTTCATTTTTCCTGTCTGAACCTTTTTGCTGCATACTGTATTGTGGCCTGGGACCTTATTTCCTTCTAGTGTCTATATTAACTAATATTTGACTTCTACCTGCTTCTCCAGTTTTATCTTCCTTCCCTAATCATCCTTGCCCTCCATGCCCTAGCTATAATGAACAGTGTGCTATTTTCTGAATATCCCGTGCCTTCATCTCCATACTGTTGTGCTGCAGTTTTTTTCTTACATGTACTCATTCTCTTTCAGCCACTTTTGTCTGGCTAAATCCTTATCCCATCCCAAGGAACAAGAAGTCTTGCCTTGTTCTCCCTCCTTACCTTCTACCACCAAAATTCCATTAGATAACCTCATTAAAACACTGATTAAACTTTCATATTAGCCATACTCTTTAAGCTTAAAGAAATACATTCAGATCTCCTTTAATAATGGAAATTCATAAGAGTGTGAGGTAACAAGAAATATTCTATGTTAAGCCACAGTCACCCTGGGTCTTGGTGCTTACCTGAGATAGGTATATGGAGAACTGGAACAAAGTACATCACAGGAGCCATGGCAACTTATATAGACATTAACTTCATGACTTTCCTCAGAAAGGAAAACTGTAGCTGGCAGACACTTTTTGCAGCTTTATGGCCTAACCAGTACCACTCTTTCATTGTACTTACTAACATAACACTACTTATTTGTTGGTCTTACTACTAGGGTAGGGTTGAGATTGTGTCCCTAGCACTTAATGTGGTATCTGGTATTCAGCAAATAATTGTTGAATGAATAAATGTCTGTCTTTTGGCTGAACAAATAATAGAGGAGAGGAGAGAAGCTTAGACCCTGATCCTCATTTCCCCTACCTGCAACATTGTTAATATTACCATACAAAGTTTGTGACTCAGTTTTTGTTAATTCTCTTTATTCTTGAAGAATCAGGAGAAACTAATGAAAGAACTCAAACAGCTACAGCAAGAGGACCTGGCACGTAGGAGACAGACTGTAGCACAAATGCCACCACAACTAGTTGAACTTCCATACAAACGCAGTGAAATGAAAGAAGACTGGCAGAGAGAATTGGAATTTGCCTTTGAAGATATGTACAATGCAGACAGGAGTAAGATATTTTCAGTAGGGCTTTCAATAGTGATTTTATACGTTTTGGTGGGAAAATATGTTTGTAATGATAAAGCAGTTTTTATCTTGAAATGAGTTCTCTGTTTGAAGGAGGCCCCCCATATTTTAGATTGAGACATTACCGTGGCCTTTGCATTTTTGTGATCCAGTTATTTTTAATCATTTTGGAATGGAAACGTGTCTCTATTTTTCTTTTTTAAGAGGTGAAAGGGAATCTGATTCTGCACCTTGAACCAGAGCCCTTGCCCACTGTGACTAATCAGATCCAAGATGAAGAGCTGGACCTTTCAATGGAACAAGAAAATTTGGGTGCAGCTGAAGACCTTCCAGTGACAGAAGCTGAAATATGTTCTAGTGAAACAGATGGTAAAAACCCTTCTGAGCTAAATATTACAGTATTTCACAGAAAAAAAAAATGCTAACCATTAGCCAGCAGTTAGGAAAATCTGGTCTGATATAAGTGCAAGCAATGAGTAATACTGATGGGAGCAGTAGCTAAAGGATACAACGTTTTTATATTTCCATCATTGACGATCCTTTTTCATATGTGTAGGAGGAAAGTTTATTCAGACGTACAGATGATCTGAAGATTTTCAGGTTATTTGAGTTGGGTGCTCAATTCTGAATTCATTAGAAAGGTTGCATGGTAAACATATCTGATAGCAATAACTTAAGCATACCCTGAGAATGACCCTGTGTGGCATACACACCTGAATGTGTGTTCTGAGCTAGGGAATCTGGGAGTAGCCAACCTGGAGGTTCATTTCTTGTCTATGAGGAACATCTGAGCCCCTGTCCCATCCCGTGGAACATGAGCCATACAGAGGATCAAGGTGTCAAGTTTTGGGTTGAATGAAAGTTGTCAGGTGGAGATCGTTAGGAAAAGGGTACTAAGTGACAGTACTATTTAAACTGCATGCTTTTTGCAAGCGGTTGCAGTTCTTCTGTCCAGCCTGCTGCCACTGGACTCTCCCTTATGTGTATGCCCTCAGTGAAACCCCAAATCTCATTGGCTAGCTCTGGATCTCTTATTTGGCATCTTGAACCTGGTGCCATCCCCATTTGAGTGAGTAGAGGTTCAGCACGACAAAGATCAGCATAGACTTGTCAGATCATCAGAGATCCTACTGGTATTCAGTTATTTCTAGGTACTTCGTGTGTAATGATGGATAGCACAAATTTTGATCTCTCAAACATCTCTATCTCCAACATTCTGAACTTTTTTACTTGGCTGTCCCATAGTTAAAACTGCATGTCTAGCAATAAATTTATGATCTTCTCTTGCCTACTAAAACTGTCTCTACCTGTCTTTTCTATCTTAGTGAATGGTATCACAGTCTGCAGTTACCCAAGCCAGACCACTGGGAGTTACCTTTAATACTTTCCTTTTACCTGCATGTCTCCTTAAAGACCAAGTCCTCTTCATGGAATTCAGCTATTTTTGCCCCGTATCTACTGGTATTTCCTTTGTTTAAAACCACTGAGGCTTTCTTATCGTCTTCACCCTACACTGTGAACATAGCCTTTTGGGATTCCAACTTTATGTAGGCCTCCTATTATGTAGGCCTCCCATATCTACTGGTATTTCCTTTGTTTAAAACCACCCAGGCTTTCTTATCATCTTCACCCTACACCGTGAACGTAGCCTTTTGGGATTCCAACTTTATGTAGGCCTCCTATTAGACTCCTCAAGTGAGGGCTCTAGGCCTTATTCATGTCTCCTATGCCTACATTGTTGTCCAAACGGAAGCCTAAGGTTACTACCAGCAACTGGGGAAAAAAAAGCAGCAGCAGCTTAAGGTTACTGTGTTTTGACTTTGGCATAAGCTTAGCAGAAGATGGTTTCAGGGCTGACTTGCCTTCCCTCCAAGCTTTCCACTTAAATTTCATTTCTGTCCTCTGCAGAACCTTTTCTTTTCATGCCAGGTCAGCTGTGTCTTTGTTTGTTTGTTTGTTTGTTTGTTTTGAGATGGAGTCTTGCTCTGTTGCCCAGGCTGGAGTGCAGTGGCACGATCTTGGCTCACCACAACCTCCACCTCCCGGGTTCAAGTGATTCTCCTGTCTCAGCCTCCCAAGTAGCTGGGACTACAGCCACACACCACCATGCCTGGCTAATTTTTGTATTTTTAGCAGAGACGGGGTTTCACTATGTTGGCCAGGCTGGTCTCGAACTCCTGACCTTGTGACCCGCCCACCTCTGCCTCCCAAAGTGCTGGGATTACAGGCATGAGCCACCATGCCCGGCCAGCAGTGTCTTTAAAAAGATATTCTTACAGCCAGGTGCGGTGACTCATGCCTGTAATCCCAGCACTTTGGGAGGCCAAGGTGGGAGGATCATTTGAGTTCAGGAATTCAAGACCACCCTGGCCAACATGGTGAAACCCTGTCTCTACCAAAAATACAAAAATTAGCCGGGTGTAGTGGCGCTCACCTGTAATCCCAGCTACATGGGAGGCTGAGGCAGGATAATCGCTTGAACCTGGGAGACAAAGGCTGCAGTGAGCCGAAACCACACCACTGCACTCCAGCCTGGGCAACAAGAGTGAAACTCCATCTTAAAAAAAAAAAAGATATTTTTACTCTTTCATGCAGCTTTTTCAGTTATTTTCATTGGGAGTATCAATATCTAGTTTGTCACAATGGAAGTCTTGCCCAATCTAAAGGGACAGTTACACTTTAGCTCCTGCTGATCTCATTTGGTCTTATTGGCTTGGTGTTGCCAAGTTGTTTGTTTGTTTGTTTGAAGCTAGAAATCTCATTGTTTTTAAAAATCCTTACTTTTAAATATTGGCAATGAATTTACTTCTTAAAAATGAGTGGGTTGTGGACTAATGGTAAATGAAAGAAGCCAGGCAGAAAATAATACCTAAATGTGTGATTCCATGTTTATATGAAGGTTTTAAAAAAACAGGCAAAACTAATCTGTGATCTTGGGGTTAAAGTAGGGGCTGTTTTTAGGGGTGTATTGACTGGGAAGGGACATGAAGGAACCTTAGTCCTGGTAATGTTCCACATGATCTGAAAGGTGGTACATTGACATATGTGAAATTCAGTAAGCTATACACTTAGGTTTTTGTGCACCTTGTTCTTTGTGAATTATAACTCAATTGGAATTTTTTTTAATATAAGTTAGACAAAACTACAATCTGCCTATTTTCAACCTCTTAAAGATATTCTTAAATTTTATTCCTTGACTAAGCCAGAGAAATATGTACTTGCATCACACTTTTGTCCTCTTAGAGAACTGTTCGTATTATACTGAGTTTTGGCATTAAACTATCAGCCCACATGGGAAAATGTTTGAAGAAATACTTGTGTTGTTTTTTTGTTTTTGTTTTTAACTGAAGGGATCTCTGTGTGAAGATGGGTGGGAGACATTTTTCCCAGATAGTGCCAAGAATAATTTGGGAGCAGTTGATTTGCTTTTATGGCTATGATGTTTTCCTCTGTAGCTCACTAAGAAATACAGAGCCATATTTGGGACCATTCTCTAGTGTAGACTATAGAACCTCACAGCATATATTTTCAATACTAATCTTACCAGCAAATTAATTAGAAGTTACACATTCATTTATCATTTAGCAAGCAAAATAAACATCTTCCTGATAAGTTTTTTAGGCTTGATATTTGTGTTGCATACATGTTTTTGGAAAATACTTGAATTTTGGCACTTTTACTATTTTCAGTTGAAAAAATTATTTCTAGTTATAATGATTGGAGTCAGATAGCATTGTTGTATATACTGTTAAATCGTAAATATGAGGAAAATAAAACTGTGCTTTTAACTAGTGGTTATAGCAGTAACCGAATATAAGATGGAACAATTTGCCTGGTAATACAATAGATGCTAAATAAGTTTTTTCCCTTTTTCTTTCTTTTAGTTCCCTTGGTAATGAAGACCCAACAGATTCCTTCAAAAGTTCTTTTTAAAAAATTATTAAATAAGATCCGAAGCCAAAAATCTCTCTGGACAATTAAATCTATGTCTGAGGATGAAAGTGAAATGATTACGACTGTTAGTGAAATTGAGAGTAAAGCACCAACGGTTGAGTCAGGAACAATTGCCAGCAAAGAGAGAACGTTATCCTCTGGGCAGGAACAAGGTATTTCTCTCCAAGAGTCTCATTTTCTATAAACCCTTTTAAGTTGTTCAAAAGTAGGTTCGTTTCTGAAAAATCAAAGAATAGAGGTTAAAAGGAACAAAACATAATCCTGCTAATTAAAAGCAACAAAGAAACATTATAAAAGCCTTAGTGAATCTTCTTCCGGACCACTTTTAATCTAGTATAGTTATTTATATATATTAATTGCAAAGTAATCAATGAATCAAAATTAACCAGTTCCTTATTGAGATGTTCAGGCTGTTTTCTAATTTTTCTTGGCATTTTTGTGCTACAGTGGGCATCCTTTTAGTGAAGTCTTTGCCCACATCTTTATTTCCTTAGGAAGGACTCTTTAAAGAATAACTCCTGATCAAAGGATATATGAGCATGTTAATGGCTTTTGAGCGTGTTGTATTCCCACTAGGTATTTAGTTTCTTATTTGCTAATTTTAAATACTTTTCTGATTGGAAAAATAGGCTATTAACTATATTTCCAGAAGTTACAAAGTATCTTTTCACACACAATTCAAGTATCTCCTTGATTGGGATGATTTTAAAAATGTGATTGGATTTGTATAGAAATGTTTTGCTTCTATGCTTTTGATAAGAGTGACTTGTGGTCTATATTTGGGTTTTGGATTTTATCCTGAGTCCCACAGGAAGCCTTCTTGAAGTATTTTCTTCCCTTGGCCCCTTGACAGCACCTTCACTTGGTTTTCGTACTTTACTATTTTCTCTTGCATTTTCTTCGCTGTTTATCCACATCTCCATAATGACTAACCATTGTTAGTCGTTGGTTAGTCTACAGCTCATTCCGCAAGTCCCTTCTCTTTATATCAAAACTCCCTAGTTGATCTCAAATGTCACACTTTACATTATCATCTGTAAACTGATGTCTCCCAAGTATGCATTTCTATTTTTGGCCTCCTGTTTGAACTCACCTTACTTATTTAACTGTTTCCTTCTCTTGTATATCTAATAATATCTTAAATTTCTTCAGAAGTGACCTGTTGATATCCCCTCCCACCACATACCTGCTTTTCCTACAGTATTCCACATTTCAGTATCTGGCAATATGTTAATTCCCTTGCTCAAGCCAAAAAGCTTATAGTCATTCTGGTTCCCTCTTTTCATATCTTATGTATCTTATGTCCAAACTATTAGCTGATCCAGTTGGTCCTACCCTCAAAATATATCCATAGTCCAACCATTTCTTTCCACCTACATCCTAGCTTAAGCCATGTTCATTTCCTAGGGTAGATTCTTGTAGTAGCCTGCTATCATCAGCCTTTGCACCTCCCTGTTATTGTCTATTAACATAGTGGTCCTCTTAAAAACAAGTAATCTCATGTCATTTCTTTGGATGAAGCCCTCCAGTAACTGTCAGTTTCACTCAGTAAAAACCAGAGAGTTTATAGTGGTTTCAAAGCCTTATGTGACCTGCACACATACACCCCCACCACCACTACTCCCATACTCACTACCTCTCTGACTTCATTTGCCTGCCACACCTCCCTACCCATCTTCTGCACTGTAGATGCCAGCTTGCTCGCTGTTTCTCAGACAGCAAACATAGGACTCGTGGTCTTAGCAATTGCTAATCTTTTTGACTAGACTTCTCTTTTTCTTGGGTATTTCCTTGACTCACTCCCTCACTTCCTTCACATGTTTACTCAACTATCCCTTTCTCAGTAAGGCCTTTTCTGACTATATAAAATGGCACACTTCTACCACTCCCCACCTCTACCCCAACCTCCACACCTTTTACTTCCTATCCCCTTTACCCTGCTTTCCCCCCATAGCTCTTATCAATATCTGATGGGCCCAGTAAAGTGACTGGTGCTTATTTTGCTTATTATCTTAATGCCTACCCCACCCATCCATAAGGACAGGAGCTTTGATTTTGTACATTGCTATGTCCCCAGAGTCTAGACTACTGCCTTGTACAAAACAGGTGCTCAGTTAACATTCGTTGAATTAATTGAATAATTTAAAGCAAGAGAGGTAAATTTGGAATCTAGACATATATATGATATTTAAAGCCATGGGCATAGAAAACCACTTGGAGGGGAAATAATTTAGTGAAAAGAGGGCTTGTAAGACCATCTGAGGGATTCCAACATCTAGAAGATGGCTAGAGAAAGGGCAGATAGCAAAGTCAGTAAAAGGAGTGGCCAGAGAAGTAAGGGAGAATATGGTGTTGAAGTCCAAAAAAGGGAACTCTCATAGTCAATCCGTGACCAAGTTCTTTTGATAAAGGGCCTGGCTGGGCGCAGTGGCTCACACCTGTAATCCCAGCACTTTGGGAGGCCCAGGCGGGCAGATGACGAGGTCAGGAGGTCGAGACCATCCTGGCTAACACGGTGAAACCCCGTCTCCACTAAAAATACAAAAGATTAGCCGTGCATGGGCTGGGTGCGGTGGCTCATGCCTCTAATCCCAACACTTTGGGAGGCCGGGGCAGGCAGATCACGAGGTCAGGAGATTGAGACCATCCTGGCTAACATGGTGAAACCCTGTCTCTACTAAAAATACTAAAAAGTAGCTGGGCATGGTGGTTGTGGGTGCCTGTAGTCCCAGCTACTTGGGAGGCTGAGGCAGGAGAATGGCGTGAACCTGGGAGGTGGAGCTTGCAGTGAGCCGAGATCGGGCCACTGCATTCCAGCCTGGGTGACAGAGCGAGACTCTGTCTCACAAAAAAAAAAAAAAAAAAAAAGTGAGCCAGGCGTGGTGGCGGGCACCTGTAGTCCCAGCTACTCGGGAGCATGAGGCAGGAGAATGGTGTAAACCAGAGGCAGAGCTTGCAGTGAGCTGAGATCGCACCACTGCATTCCAGCCTGGGCGACAAAATGAGACTCCGTCTCAAAAAAAAAAAAAAAAAAAAAAAAGATAAAGGGCCAATATGAGCAGGCTTTCACCATTCTCATCTTGCTTTATTCTCCCCCTTGCCTGACTAAAACCATGCACACTGATCTCTCAGTTTCTTGAATGGGCCAAGGTTTGTTTCTTTATCCTCACGGGGCCTTTTATACCCATTGGTCTGTCTGGAAAGGTCTCCTATACATCTTCATGTTGTTTACCTGGCTGGTTCTTCCTTACCTTTCAAGTGTCTGCTTAAATGTCGTTTCCTCAGAGAAATTTCATCTTGCCCAGATTTATTATACTCTATTGTATAACCCTTCACTTTTCTTATATAGTACTTATTACAATTTCTAATTTTATAATTTTTTTCTGGGATAATTATAAGATGGTTCTGCCACCTACTCTGTAAAGCCTCCTTGAGGCATTTTCTCATTTACTGTGGTATCCCCAGCATCTGCCACATAAGTAGGTACCAAATGAATTAATGAGTGAATGAACGGATAGCTCCATGCAGACTATCTGGCTACCCAAATATGATCAGAACAAATTGCTTTAACTTCCTTCTCTGCTCTGGTTTCACAAATTATTTTTTAAAAACCTAGTATCCAAATATATCAAAGATACATTGACATTTTGTTAGCTTCTCCTTTTTAACTTTGATACCTTGTTGTTTCCGCTCTTTTTATGCCTTTCTCCTATGTTTGAAATCCTATCAGCGTATCTATTAAATCAGTTCTTCACGTTTTCACAATTTCAGTCTTTCATCTCTGTTGTTATTATTAGGCTTGGGTTTAATGAGAAATATATCTGATCATCAGGAAGGTTACTGGATCTTAACTAGATGAGACATTCAGATGGCCCTAGATTGAATGTGTTAATACCAGAATTTTGTTATTTTGCTTTAAGTTTGACAATGATTATATATTCAAAATAACAGTGGTATTATCTATTACAGTTGTTGAAAGTGATACACTAACAATTGAGTCTGGACCACTTGCTAGTGAAGATAAACCACTTTCGTGTGGTACAAACTCTGGAAAAGAACAAGGTATTTCTTTTTATCACATCCTCAAATTAAATTTGACTCCTTGCATCTTTTTTTTAAATAAAATTACATGTGATATATTAAGAAAGGGCATTATAGTGGTGTCAAAATTCTAAATTATTGAAACTAATTTTTGTTTGGGGCATTCCCCTAGAAATAAATGAGACTCTGCCTATCACAACTGTAGCTCAGAGTTCAGTTCTACTTCATCCTCAAGAAGCAGCAGCCAGGATTAGAATGTCAGCAAGGCAGAAACAGGTAATTTGAAATTTTATTTTTAAAGGTTTATTTTTCCCCTAGGTACTATTATATAATTTTGTTTGGCCAATGAAATTTGTCTTAATGTCTGGCTAATTTTGATATCATGTTTTTGACATTGTCTTACACAAACATTCAGCTGATAAAATGCGTGTTGTCTTTGCCCATACTGCTCATTCAACCCTTATTGTGTCTGCTTTATATTTTATATATTTGTATAGATCTTCCCTATAAAATTTATTAGCTTTTAAAAAGCAGAGACTATCTTCTTTAAAAAATTCAATTTATCCTACACAGTTTCTGATACAATGCTTTGTACATAGCAAGTATACAATAAATAATTGTTGAATTAACAAGTCCTTGTCATAATATTAGACACTCAGATGGGCTTTGTAATCCCACAAGTTTTTTGAAAAATAATACTTCAGAGGAAAAACTTTTAATATACAGCGCCCTTTTTTTGCTCCGTCGCCCAGGCTGGAGTACAGTGACACGATCATCGCTCACTGCAGCCTTGACCTCCTCAGTTCAATCCTCTGACCTCAGCTTCCTGAGTAGCTAGGACTACAGGTATAGGCCACCATGCCCAGCTAATTTTTTTTTTTTCCTAGTAGAGATGACGTCTTGCTATGTTGCCCAAGCTAAACTTTAACTTCTTTAGGCTGGGCATAGTGACTCATGCCTGAAATCCCAGCACTTTGGGAGGCTGAGGTGGGCAGATCACTTGAGCCCAGGAGTTTGAGACCCACCTGGCCAACCTGGTGAAACCCTGTCTCTACTAAAAATACAAAAATCAGCTGGGTGTGGTGACACAAATCTGTAGTCCCACCTACCCAGGATGCTAAGGTGGGAGGATTGCTTGAACCCAGGAGGCGGAGGCTGCAATGAGTCAAGATCACACCACTGCACTCCAGCCTGGATGACAGAGTGAGACTCTATCTCAAAAAAAAAAAAAAAAAACAAAAGGCCGGGCCCGGTGGCTCACGCCTGTAATCCCAGCACTTTGGGAGGCTGAGGCGGGTGGATCACGAGGTCAGGAGATAGAGACCATCCTGGCTAACACGGTGAAACCCCGTCTCTACTAAAAATACAAAAAATTAGCTGGGCATGGTGGCGGGCGCCTGTAGTCCCAGCTACTCAGGAGGCTGAGGCAGGAGAATGGTGTGAACCCGGGAGACAGAGCTTGCAGTGAGCCGAGATTGCGCCACTGCACTCCAGCCTGGGCGACAGAGCCAGACTCTGTCTCAAAAAAAAAAAATCCTCCTTAACTTATGACTTTGGTCTCATCTACTTTTAATAAAATATTTTTTTAACCCAACTTACCTCGAAGGAGGCTAATTATTACTAAGCAGGCCAGTTTATAGTCCTAGTTAGTTTTTTCAAAAATACAGCTGGGGAATAATTCCGTGAGCCAGTATTTCTTCTCAGATAAATACTTTCTCAGGCCAGGTGCAGTGGCTCATATCTGTCATCCCAGTACTTTGGGAGGCTTAGGCGGGCGGATCACCTGAGGTCAGGAGTTTGAGACCAGCCTGGCCAACATGGTGAAATCCCATCTCTACTAAAAATACAAAAAGTATCTGGGCGTGGTGGTACGCACCCACAATTCCAGCTACTCAGAAGGCTGAGACAGGAGAATCGCTTGAACCCAAGAGGTGGAGGTTGCAGTCAGCCAAGATTGTGCCACTGCATTCGCCTGGGCGACAAGAGCGAAACTATCTCAAAAAAAAAGAAAAAAAGAAAAAAAGAAAAATTTCTCATCAATAGTCTAGAACAGTATTGTTCAGTAGCACTTTCTGTGATGATGGAAATGTTTTATATCTATGTACAGTATGTACCTGTTAGCCACATGGGCTGTTGAATAAAATAGTGTAACTGAGGAACTAAATTTTAAGTTTTATTTAATTTTAATTAAATTTAAGTAGTCACATAAAGCTAGTAACCACTCTATGGACAGTACAGTTGTAGATGTACTACAGAACTGTAAACAGTCTAAATTCAGGGGCTCCTATGAGTAAGGGAAAGTAAGGAAGAGGAACTGTCTGGGAACTCAGTTGAAGCCACTGTTGCCTAACTAGGAATAGGTAAAGAATCAGGTCAAAACATTTTTTATTTTGAAAACAAGATCATTGTTCATTATCTCTAGTAGAAGTGCTGCTCTTTATATAAGAAAACAACGTGCATTCCTTTTTTTACTTATTCAGTAAATACTTGTCTGTTTATCAGGGACTGTAGAGTAGTCCCTGCTTATCCACAGTGTATATGTTCCAGGACCCCTAGTGGATGCTTAATAGTACCAAACTGTGGATAATATTGATTCCTGTATATACTATGGGTGAATTTATTTTTCCTTCTTTATAATTCCACTGATAGAAGATTTACTTTTACCATAGATCTTAGCAATCAGCGTATAATTTTTTTTCTTTCCTTATTGAGAACTTTCAGCTTTTCACTAAAAGGAAGCACTTTACAGCCTCTCTTTGACATATCAAAATTGCCAGCATTACTACTCTTATGCTGTGGAGCCACTGTGAAGTAAAATAAGGGTTATTTGAACACAAGCACTGTGATGCTGCAACAGGCAAGTTTTTGTAACCAAGATGGCTACTAAGTAACAAATGGCCTGGTCCAGTTTACAGCATGGATATGCTGGACAAAGAGATTATTGATGTTTTCAGCAGTACAGAGTAGGACAGTGCAAGATTTCATCACACTACTTAGAATAGTGCATAATTTAAAACTTATGAATTATTTCTGGAATTTTCTATTTAAGATTTTCTGGCTGCTGTTGACCCTGAGTAATTAAACCACAAAAGCTAAATTGCAGATAGGAGGGGACTAAGGTGCTGGATTTGGCAGGCTAGTTTTGTCCTCATGAAACTCATAGTTACTCAAACATGTTCATATTACTTAGAGTGTGAGTGTGCTTGTATAGTATTAGAGTTTATGTGTTATCTTTCTGCCATTTTCTTCTGTTCCATGCCTGACAAAAAAGACACAGAATGTTGTTCATTGCTTCTAGATAACTATCCCTCTTAATGAGCATGGTTAAGAAGTCAAAGTATTTTAGGAGGCCTTGATATTTAATTTCTTTAGTCATTATTTATACTATTAAATGTGTGAACATAGAATTTGGCTGTACATCATTTGCTACTTCAAGGTAGTTCTTCAGTGGTGATCAGGGTTTCACTGTGCTCTCAGAAAGTAGAAATAGTTAATGTATTTATTCTTTCTTTTCCTTCTGCCTTTTTTTACTTCTATCCCTTTTTCTCTTTTTCCCATTTCCCATCTTTTACTCCCATCCTCAGTCTGTCAGTGATAACAACAGAGATAAAGCATCAACACTTACTTCTTTGAAAATTGGTACCCTTGGTGAAGAAACCTAATTTCTTTTAAATGGAACGTGTGTTATCTTTGCCTTTGTATGAGTTTGTTGTTAATAGATCAATAGTATTTTGTTACCTAGATAATGGAAATAGAAGAGCAGAAGCAAAAGCAATTGGAATTACTTGAACAAATTGAACAGCAGAAATTAAGATTAGAAACTGACTGCTTCAGGGCTCAGCTGGAAGAAGAAAAAAGAAAAAAAACTCAACCGACTGGGGTAGGATGCAGAAAATCTCATCACTACATAAATCATTTGGTAAGGGGGGCAAGAAAATATGAGCACTTGTAGCGTTTAGAAAAGTAAAATGGATGGCTGGGCGCGGTGGCTCATGCCTGTAATCTCAGCACTTTGGGTGGCCGAGACAGGCAGATCACTTCAGGTCAGGAGTTCGAGACCAGCCTGGCCAATGTGGTGAAACCCCATCTCTACTAAAAATACAAAAATTAGCTGGGCATGGTGGCACGTGCCTGTAATCCCAGCTACTCCAGAGGTTGAGGCAGGAGAATCGCTTGAACCTGGGAGGTGGAGGTTGCAGAGTGAGATTCCATCTCAAAAAAATAATAATAATAAAAGTAAAATGCCTTTGTAATTCTTATTTGGTCTTTTTTTGATATAATGTATGTATATATGAATAAATTTGCATCAGTTACGGCTTTCATCTTTCAGTTTCTATAGGATACTAATAGATACGACCATGGTTTGTAGGTAATGCGTATGTTGAGCTTTTGGACCTGCACTGAAGGAGAATGACAGATTAGTTCATTTCTTACTAATGGAAATGCCAGTCATTTTATAAAAAATAAAGCTGTATGGAAGTTTACAATTATAGAACTGTATGTAAAAATACTTCAATACTTACTTCTAAATTTGCTTTTTAATTAGTAACTTTGTCTTTTATTAGGTTGGCATTGCTCCAGCATCATGCCCTGTAATTTCTGATGAAGATAGTCATAGGCAGATGATTCGTAACTATCAACATCAGCTTTTACAACAAAACAGGTATTAGCTAGGGTATAATTTATATGTGATCGTATGTGGCTACATTTTTAGGATTTATTGTTTCATTTATATGAGGATCTAATTTGGATTTCCTTAGAATTATGGCATTTAGAACTGCCATTCTTAAAGGACAATGTGAGTGTAATTTCTTTTCACCATGAGTATTGCCAACCCTAGATTGCTGTTTGTTAAATTTAATGTATAGACATGGGGCTTTTTATTTTTCATTAAAAAACAATAATTGTTTGCTTTTGTTTTTGGTAGGTTACACAGGCAGTCTGTTGAAACAGCCAGGAAACAATTACTTGAATATCAAACTATGTTAAAAGGAAGGTGCCCATCGGTGTCAGCTCCATCATTGATAACTGATTCTGTTATATCAGTGCCATCATGGAAATCTGAGAGACCGACTGCTATATCAGAGCATTGGGATCAAGGTCAGAGACTCAAGTTGAGTCCTAACAAATACCAACCCATACAACCTATACAGACCTCCAAATTAGAACAAGATCATTTTCAGGTAGCGAGACAAAATCACTTTCCACAAAGACAGGTGGAAACAACAGAAACATTACGCGCTTCAGATATTTTAACCAATCAAGCTTTAGAATCACAAGAACATCTAAGGCAATTCTCTCAGACTGAAACACAACAGAGAGACTATAAATTGGTCCCCAAAGATTCTGAGACACTTTCAAGGGCTTTGTCACATGACAGGCAGCTAATATCACAGGATGCTAGAAAAATATCTGAAACATTTGGGGCAACAACTTTTCAAAGTTTAGAATCCCAACAATTGTTCTCAGAGAATAGTGAAAATATATCTTACCATTTAACTGAACCTTCTTCATTTGTACCACTGGTACCTCAGCATTCTTTTAGTTCTCTGCCTGTTAAAGTTGAGTCAGGAAAAATTCAAGAACCCTTTTCAGCCATGAGCAAAAGTACAGTTTCCACAAGCCATTCTATAATCAGCCAAATGCATGATAGGCCTTTGCTGCCGTCAGAGAATATCACAGCCCAGCAAGGTAATATGAAGGCCCTCCAAGAACAGTTAGACCTACAGAAGAAAGTTCTTCAGGCAACTCAGGAAGCTCAGGAACAGTTGCTTTTGTGCAAACAGAAAGAAGTGGAACAGCAAACGGGCCTCTCGGTATTCCTTCCCTTGGTAACTCCAGATTCATCTGCTTTATTGCCTTCTGCCAAAGCAGATTTGGGGAGAATCCAGGAATCTTCACCAACCAAGAATAATATTGCAGTTTCCTCAGACCATCATGTGATCTCACAACTTCAGGATAAGCGTTTGAGTCTTTCACAGCCTATCCTATCACAGCAAAATAATTTTAAATTTCTCCAAGAGCAGTTGAATATTCAGAAGGATAGCCTTCAGGCTAGGCGAGAAGCCCAGGAAGTATTGTATGTACATAAACAGAGTGAATTGGATAGAAGAGTATGTTCCGAACAGGCTGAGCCCTCTTTCCCATTTCAGGTAGCTCAGCATACATTTACTTCACTACCATCTGCTGATACAAAATCTGGAAAAATACAGGAGCAACATTCATCTAAGAGCGAGAAAGGACTTGTTTCATGCCAATCTGACATCCCCATATCTCAGGATGGGTCTTTGAGTTTCCTACAGCAGTTCCTACCTCTACATGATAGTTTGAAGTTGCTCCAAGAACAGTTGACTAAACAGAGGGATACTCTTCAGGCTAGGCATGAAGCTCAGGTGGAATTACTTTTACATAGACAAAGAGATTTGGGGGACAGTAAGTCTGGGCTGGTGAGCTCTTCATCCTCACCAGTGGTTGTTCAGCATTCAGTTGCTTCACAAGCTTCTGCTAAAGCTGAGCCTAGGAGAATTCAGGAGCTTTATTTATCTGAGAAGGAGAATGTAGGTCCCTCCTGTCATTTGATAATCCCAACATTTCAGGATAAGTCTCTTAGTTTTCCACAGCATAGCCTGGCACAGCAAGAAAATTTGACAATACTCCAAGAACAGTCACAAATACAAAGGGTAATACTTGGTGCTAAAGAAGGAACTCAGGAATTTGTACACACAGAAAGTGAATTGGAGAAAAGAATTTCTTCTGAACAGACTGGCACCTCCTCATCCCTTTCCCAGGTGGATGAATCTGAGAGATTCCAGGAATGTATATCAATCAAGAGTGACAGTACCATTCCCTTAAGCCATCCTAAGATCCCAAGATGTCAGGAAAGACTTTTGAGAGTTTCACAACATATGCTACCTCTACAAGATAATTTGGAGGAACACCAAGCATGGCTAGACACTGAGAAAGAAGCCTTTCATTTCAGCCAGAAAACCCAAGAAAATACATCTTCTGAACAAACTGGTTCATCTTCATTCATACCCCAGTTGGTACAGCTTTCATTTACTTCGTTAGCTTCAGCTGAGTCTGGCACAATCCTGGAACCTCTTTTTACAGAGAGTGAAAGTAAAATTTTTTCAAGCCACCTTCAGATCCCACAATTGCAGGATAGGCTTTTGAGGATATCGCAACTTATCCAGCCTCAACAAGATAATTTGAAGGCACTTCAAGAACAGTTAGCTACACAGAGAGAAGCCATCATTCTAGCTAGACAAGAAGCTCGGGAAGAATTACTTTTACATCAGAGTGAATGGGAGGGAAGAATATCTCCCGAGCAGGTTGACACCTCTTCCTTACCCCTAGTACCACAGCATTCATTCGCCTCATTACCTCTTAATGAATCTGAAAGAAACCAAGAACCATGTTCAATTAACAGTGATAATATAGTATCCTCAGGTCACTCAGAGATACCAACATTGCCTGATGGGCTGTTGGGTTTATCACATCTTGTTTTACCTCAACAAGATAATTTGATTGCACTTGAAGAACACTTGCATGCACAGACAGATTTCCTTCCTTCTATTGAGAAAACCCAGAAAGAATTGGTTTTGTCAAAACCATGTAAATTTGAGGAAAAGGTATCTTCTGAGCATTTTATCCAGTCTCACCATGGTGATTTGCAGGCACTTCAACAGCAGTTAGATACACAGAAGAAAGCCATTCGATCTATACAGGAAGTCCAAGAAGAATTGCTTTTGCAAAGATTAAGTGAATTGGAGAAAAGGGTATCATCTGAACAAGTTTGCTCCTCTTCATTTGTATCCCAGGTGCCTGTTGCTGACTCTGAAAGAACCCAGAAGTCTTTCCCAACCAAAAGTAATGATACTCTTCCCTCAAGTCATCGTGAGATTCCAAGATTACAGGATAGACTTTTGAGTTTATCAAAGCCTATTCTGCCTCAGCAAGATAATATGACAGCACAATTGGATGCACAAAGGGAAGTGATGTATTCTTATGAGAAACCCCAGGAAGAACTGTCTTTAAACAAACAAAGAAAGTTGAACAAAAGTGAATCTGCTGAGCATACTATCCCCTCTTTGTTTCTACCCAAGGAAACAGAGCATTCGTTTATTCCACTACCTTTTGCAGAAGCTAAACCTAAAAGCACTTGTGAATTGTATTCATCCCAGAATGAACATGCAGCCCCCCCAAGTAATCCTGTGATCCCAGGGTTTCAAGATAGACTTTTGAGTTTTTCACAGTCTGTCTTAACTCAGCAAGATAACTTGGGACTTCAGAAACAGTTGGATCTACAAAGAGAAGTTCTGCATTATAGCCAGAAAGCCCAGGAAAAATTGCTTGTACAGAGACAAACAGCATTGCAGCAGCAGATACAGAAACATGAAGAGACTTTGAAGGATTTCTTTAAAGACAGTCAGGTATGTTTTAAACCTGAATAATAATGAAACACTAGAAGTTTAAACCCAAATCAGTTTTTAATACTAGGATTACAAGTTTTCAGTTATTGAGAAAAAGTAGTTTGACCTTAACTGTGCTTTGATTTTTCACCCTAAATGATGTGGAAGTTAAAACAAAAATCGATCCACCCACATGGTGTTTATGAGGTTAATAGTTACGTGAAGTCCAATTAATTTTTTTAAATTTTCTTTTGTTTTTGCTTTTTTTTTTTTTTTTTGAGACAAGGTCTCGCTCTGTTGTCCAGGCTGGAGTAGAGTGGCACCATGTCGGCTCACTGCAACCCCTACCTCCTGGGTTTAAGTGGTTCTTGTGCCTCAGTCTCCCAAGTAGCTGGGATTACAGACATGTACCACCATGCCTGGCTAAATTTTGTATTTTTTTTTTTTTAATAGAGACAGGGTTTCCCCATGTTGCTGGGATTACAAAGTGCGGGGATTACAGGTGTGAGCCACCACACCTGACCCAAAGCTCAATTAATTTCACCTGCAAACACACCACAAAACAATGTAGATTCTTATTTTAGAGTTTTGTTTTAATGTATTTTAAGCTTACCATAAGATTTAAATTGTAAAAATAACTGGTTAGCAGAATTTCTCTTATGCAGCAACAGACATTGTGCTCTTTGTTGACATTTATATACAAATCAAAATCAATACCATCTTTTTTCTCAAGTGACACTATTATGGTTTGTTGTAAAACGGGCATGATTTTAGGCTGATGTAGAGCTGGACCTGCTGCTTTTATCTGAATTGTTCATAAGACTCGGCCCAGTGACTCATTCATAGTTGCCCTATCTGGGAGACAAGGGTATGTTCTAAATTTGAATGTATCTGTTTTATTTTAAAAGGCCAGTTCTGCTGGACATGGTGACTCAGGCCTTATAATCCCAGCACTTTGAGAGGCCGTGGCAGGTGGATCTCCTGAGCCCAGGAGTTCAAGATCAGCCTGGGCAACATGGCAAAACCCTGTCTCTACAAAAAATACAAAAATTAGCCAGGCATGGTAGCATGTACCTCTAGTCCTAGCAACTCTGGAGGCTTAGGTGGGAGGATGACTTGAGCCCAGGAGGTTGAGGCTGCAGTGAGCCATATTATGCCACTGTACTCCAGCCTGGGCGATGAGGGAGACCCTATCTCAAAAAAATAAATAAATGAAAGGCCACTTCCTAAATTTATTATTTAGTCTAAATAGAATTCTACAAATCCTTTGATGTCGAGAAGAAGCTTGAGTTGGGTTCAGGAAGAGTTAACGTCAAGAGATTTACTGGTCATTTAAAGGAAAAGTAATGGCAAAAGAAAAGCAGAGGGAAATACTCAAATATAATCTCTTATGGAAAGATGAAATGGAGGCTAAGTTTTTTTTTGTTTGTTTTTTGTTTGTTTGTTTGTTTGTTTTTGAGACGGAGTCTTGCTCTGTCACCAGGCTGGAGTGCCGTGACGTCATCTTGGCTCACTGCAACCTCTGATTCCCTGGTTCAAGCGATTCTCCTGCCTCAGCCTCCCGGGTAGCTGGGATTACAGGCATGCACCACCATGCCCAGCTAACTTTTGTATTTTTTGTAGAGACAGGGTTTTGCCATGTTGCCCAGGCTGGTTTCAATCTCCTGACATCATGATCTGCCCAACTCGGCCTCCCAAAGTGCTAGGATTACAGGCGTGAGCCACTGCACCTGGCTGTAGGCTAAGTTTTTAAGTCCAAGGCTGTGAATGGTTGTTGTTTTTGTTGTTGTTGTTGTTGTTGTTTGAGACGAAATCTTGCTCTGCTGCCCAGGCTGCAGGCTGGAGTGCAGTGGCACGATCTTGGCTCACTGCAACCTCTGCCTTCCAGGTTCAAGTGATTCTCCTGCCTCAGCCTCCTAAGTAGCCAGGATTACAGGCATGCACAATCACGCCCAGCCAATTTTTGTATTTTTAGTAGAGACGGGATTTCACCATGTTGGCCAGGCTGGTCTTGAACTCCTGACTTCAGGTGTCCTGCCCACCTTGGCTTCCCAAAGTGCTGGGATTGCAGGCGTGAGCCACCGCGCCTGGCCGAATGGTTGTATTTTCAATGGAAATATCCTTTTGGCATTAGAAGCATATCTTATTTTTTATATATAGATAAAATTTTGTGATTGATGGAACTATTTATTTGGTTTACGTTCTAATTTAAGAAGGGAGATATAAATCTAATGAATAATGCTTCACATGATCCCCCAACTTGTGCTTCCCCACCCTCATCTCCACTTTTTCAGATAAGTAAGCCCACAGTTGAAAATGATTTAAAAACCCAGAAGATGGGGCAGCTCAGAGACTGGTTTCCTAATACACAAGACCTAGCAGGAAATGATCAAGAAAATATTAGGCATGCAGATAGGAACAACTCTGATGATAATCATTTGGCTTCAGAAGATACTAGTGCCAAGCAAAGTGGTAAGATAATTGTGTTTGATTGTAATTATTTCACTGATTATTCCTTGTTTTCGTCCCCTGTAGCTTGCTAGTTGAAGAAAAGTTAGAAGTATGTTAATAGATTTTGTATTGTATCCAACTTTGTCATTGACTTAATAGGTGAGCATCTGGAGAAAGATCTGGGGAGAAGATCCTCAAAGCCACCTGTAGCAAAAGTCAAATGTGGTTTGGACTTAAACCAGCATGAACTTAGTGCTATACAAGAAGTAGAGTCACCAGCAATTGGCAGAACTTCTATACTAGGTAAATAGATGCTTTGATAAAACAAGATTTTTAAATAATTTGCCAGTTTTCTACTTTTTTTTTAGATGGAGCCTTGCTCTGTTGCCCAGGCTGGAATGCAATGGTGTGATCTCAGCTCACTGAAACCTCTGCCTTCTGGGTTCAAGCAAATCTCCTGCCTCAGCCTCCCGAGTAGCTGGGATTACAGGCGCCCGCCACCACACCCAGCTAATTTTTGTATTTTTAGTAGAGACAGGGTTTCACCATATTGGCCAGGCCGGTCTTGAACTGCTGACCTCAGGTGATCTGCCTGCTTCAGCCTCCCGACGTGCTAGGATTACAGGCGTGAGCTACCGCACCTGGTCTACATTTTTTCAGAGTGCTAAATGTTTTTTGTTAAACTTATAGCAGAAAAAGGAGATGGAAAAAAAAAAAAGAAACCTAGACTGACTTTCATGAAAAGGAAAAAATGGCTTATTTAAACAGTATTTAAAATTTGGACTTAAGGAAATGTGGCATTGGTAATAACTATGACTATGTAGTTTCTTTATCTTGTATATGGGGAAAACAACTTATTGTAGGCAAAAATTTTTTGGTTTTCCATCTTCTGACAGTCTTGCTCCCCGTTTCCTTTCATGTCTGCCTTCTAAATGTGTTTCTTTTAGGATACACTCAGGTTTTTTTTTTTTCTCTTTTCCTTTGTCACTTTCTACTTTCCTACCTTCACTGTTCTGTTCTTTTCTTATATTTTTATAGGATTATTATGCTTAAATCCTGGCTTTGTGGTCAATTAGATATATTTATTCACTGTACTACTTTCTACATCCAGGTGTCAGAAAAAAATAATAAAACACTCATCCCTGTAATTCTTTTTTTTTTTTTTTTTTTGAGACAGAGTCTCGCTCTGTCGCCCAGGCTGGAGTGCAGTGGCGCAATCTCGGCTCACTGCAAGCTCCGCCTCCCAGGTTCACGCCATTCTCCTGCCTCAGCCTCCCGAGGAGCTGGAACTAGAGGCACCCGCCACCAAGCCCAGCTAATTTTTTTATATTTTTAGTAGAGACGGGATTTCACCGTGTTTGCCAGGATGGTCTCCATCTCCTGACCTTGTGATCCGCCCGCCTCGGCCTCCCAAAGTGCTGGGATTATAATCTTGAGCCACTGCGCCCGGCCCCATCTCTGTAATTCTTAATAAATAGTCTTATGTGAATTTCATAATTTTTTTTAGAATTCAGATTCACTAAATAATTTTCTCGATCAAATTTATCAAAATAAATTATTTTTTAAAGGGGAACATTAGCTTTGTCAATAGAAAGGTACTTAGAAGTTGTATCCCCATTAGTATAGTAGTTGAAAAAAAAGCTGTAATGTTAATATTAGCTGTTTGATCTTCAGCTATAAAATATTGTACCTGTGTTTCTGAGCATTTGAAAGAATTAAGGGAGGTATGCCAGGTGCAATGACTCACACCTGTAATCCCAGCACTTTGGGAGGCTGAGATGGGAGGATCGAGACCAGCCTGGTGTAATGCAGGGAAACCCCCTCTGGTGGCGCTTGCCTGTAGTGTTCAGCTACTTGGGAGGCTGAGGTAGGAGGCTCACTTGAGCCCAGGGGGTTGAGACTGCAGTGGTTTCTTTTAAGTCTAGGAGTAAGTCTAAATAAGTCAAGACCCCTAGGTAGGTGAACTAAAATCCCTACCAAAACCCCTGGTAGGTGAACTACCAGGCCCTCATGATCTTTCTCTTCCTCCCTTCAAGACTTAGTAAGTGTCATTGGTTTGGTAAACTTATTCAGATTTCCTTCTCATGAAGTCTTGGTCTCATCATAGCCTTTACCATACTTCTTAGGGTAATACTTCTATCATCATATTACATGCAAGTAATTTAAAAAGGGAAATAGCGCTGAAAGGTATAACATAAAACAGCAGTTCTTCCTGCCCCTACACACCCTTTAATACCACTCACTAGAGGCAGTTACTTTTCAAGTATTTTAAGTATTTCTTCTTGTATTTACTTCCATAGTTGCAGTGGGTTTAAGCAAAAATTAAGCTAAATTGTCATTATGGTGATACATAGACCTTTTTTGCTGCGGAGTCCATTAGTATATTATGTTATTATATTTTATTTTTCTAAACTTTTTTTCATGTAGTAAATTGTCTTATTTATTTAATTTGCTTAAAGTTTTTAGAGTGTCTGTCTTTCCACTCTCTACTACTTCAGTTAAATACCTCTCAATATAATGTAGTTTGTACTATTTTCTCTTTTTGTGGAACACCTTTTAGTTGGAAGTTGTATGGGCCGTGCTATGCATTCTTAACAAGGGTGTTTTTTCCCCCAGAGGGATAAAAATTGGTTCTTGGGGAGGT
Source organism: Homo sapiens (assembly GCF_000001405.40). Lineage (NCBI taxonomy): Eukaryota > Metazoa > Chordata > Mammalia > Primates > Hominidae > Homo > Homo sapiens. The sequence continues at coordinate 93,705,261 of NC_000011.10, forward strand.
GAAAAAAAACTTTTACTATTTATATGTACAAAGCACAAATATGCATAAATAGATATACAGTATATTTGTGGTTATTAAAACTGAACGGGGGTAGAGGCAGTTTAAAAAGGAAAAGTCTAAAAAGACTCCTTAAGGGATGATAAAAATAAGGTTGAGAAATACTGATCTATATTGATCTTTCCATTTTTTCTTCTCTTTCTTTTTCTTTGGGTTTTGTTTTGTGGGCTAATTTTCTTAATTTTGTGTTCTGACTTTTCTTTTGAACTTTTGATGATCAAATTGTAGTTTCTAAAAGGTTACTCTTTTTCTCTGATTATTTTCTTTTTTTATAGCATCCTGCTATTGTTTCATGGATGCAGAATGTTGTCTACTTTAAATATTTACAGTGGATTTTTTGGTTTGGGTTTTTACATTTTTTAGTTCTTTCATTTTTTTGTTGTCTCTGTCTTATACTTTAGAACCTTTCCTCTAATGTCTTCATATTTGAACGGGATGCTAAAAGGCCAATTGGAGGTTCTCTTGGGGTGAGGGGCTATATGTGCTGTTGGACTTTATTGGAAAAAGTATGGCTTTGTAGTGAGGACGCTCACCTTAGTATCTGTAGTTCCATTCCTTGAGAGAAGTTTAGTTTCTTCAAAGAAATACCTTTTAAGCTTGATATAAGCCTGGCTGTTGATATTATTGAGCCAGACCTAGGAGATCTGGATTGAGGATGCAGACTTTAACACCCTCTGATTTCCTTATGGCATTCTGTCACCCCCTTCCACTCTTGCCTGCTTTCTGTGCCTGATCCCCTGGACCCCAGAGTGTATCAGATTCGTTTTCTCCAGAGAATAAACCTTTAGTTTCCTCTGGGGATGATGTTGATGGACAGGGATCTCAGGAGAGGGATAACTCTTCCAAGTGCATAGTCTTAAATGTTCTGTTTTTAGTTTCCTGCTGCATGTATTCCTTTTGTAGTAGTGCCTAGCGCCCTTAATTCCCAATTTTTGGGGCGATGCTTTATCAAAATATAACCTTCAAAGAGGTGCACAAATCATGTTTGTTTCATGTAAACACCACCAGGTCAAGAAGTGGAACATTAGAGAACCCAGTAAACACTTCTCTTTTACCTTCCCAGTTATCATCCCCTGTCTTCTAAACCATATCTTGATTCCTATACCACAAATTAGTTGTGGTTATTTTTGAACTTTATATATAAATTATGAATGCATGTTATAATGGCTGGTAAATTCTCCACGAATTTTCTTTGTGATTAGTCAATACTGAGGCATAATCTGATGTGGTGAGGTAGCAGCATCATTAAAAGCTTAGTAAAATTGAATACAAATAATATAAAAGCTTGACTGTGAAAGGTAAGGAATTATTGCTATATACAGTAAGTCTTTAAGAGCTTAGATTTCTACCCATAATATAAATTGGCACTTTAGTTCTAGCTATTAATAGTTCCAGAAATTGAAGTGGAAATATTTTTTCCCCCCCAGGTAAACCAGGTATTTATGAAGACAGAGACCCCCTGCGAGTCTCAATAAGCCGAGAACAAAGTTTCTTTGGGAGCCCACTGGCCCATGATCCGTTTAGTTGTCTTCAACTGGTTGGCCAAGAGAATGTCTGTGGTGATGACTATGATGAAGCAGGTGAGAAATAAATGGAAAGTGGAATTGTATGCACAAGGATATGTGGACAAAAGATATTTATTATTTTGTTATTTGTAATGGTGAAAAATGGTAAATAAACTTAGTTACTGCTGTTAATGGAATCGTTATGATGCAGTTAACTATATTGTTCTATGCAGTTGTTAAATGAGTAATTTTGCTTTTAAATTGTTTTATTAAATGCCAGTAAGAAGTTTATCAAGGTAGGAGTTTTATACAATTGGCAGCATCCATAAATTTTATGTTTAAGCCTATTTGTAACAATCCATATCTAATTAAATACTGTTAAATATTTTAAAAATTCTATCTGTGGGCATTCTAAATAAGCTGTTTTATGTTTATTTTTAAATATTTGGAAAAATAAAGATAATTAGAAGGAAAAATATTTAAATCACTTAATCCTAACACCCAAAGACAGCCAATGTTAATCTTCTCGCTTCTGAATTTATATATGTATATATATATAGCACAGGATATTTTATATATAATTTGTGTACTGATCCTACAAAGTATAGTTGTAGTACTATTTTATTAGTTGTAAGGCATCTTTTAAGAAGTTACATTTTGGCCGGGTGCAGTGGCTCACATCTGTAATCCTAGCACTTTGGGAGGCCAAGACTGGCAGATCATGAGGTCAGAAGATTGAGACCACGGCTAACACCGTGAAACCCTGTCTATACTAAAAATACAAAAAATTGGCCGGGTGTAGTGGTGGTCACCTGTAGTCCTGTAGGGAGGCAGGAGAATGGCGTGAACCTGGGAGGTAGAGCTTGCAGTGAGCCGAGATCAAGCCACTGCACTCCAGCCTGGGCGACAGAGCGAGACTCCGAGACTCCATCTGAAAAAAAAAAAGAAGAAGTTACATTTTATAGCCAGATTTATTTTTATTTTAGCTGTACACCTAGTAAGATAATTTACTTGTATCTATACAAGATACCTTACTTGTATCTATAGTTGAGTGGAATGAGAGATGAAGGAAAGGGATATTCTTTTGAGGGTTTATTAAAAAATTGACTTTAACATCTCTTTAAATTGTGGATTAAAATAACTGTAAAGGATATAATTTTCAGTGAGCTATAATTTTTGACATTTTAAAATAAAACAGATTATTCTTTTTTTAATTTTTAATTTTTGTGGCTACATAGTAGGTGTATCTATTTATGGGGTATATGGGATAGTTTGATACTGGTATACAATGTGTAATATTCACATCATGGTAAATGGGGTATCCATCACCTCAAGCATTTATACTTTATTACAAACAATTCAATTATAGTTTTAGTTATTGCAAAATGTACAAAGAAATTATTCACTATAGTCACCCTGTTTTGCTATCTAACTGCTTATTTGTGCCCATTAACCATCCCCACTCCCCCAACGACCCCCAACTACGCTTCCCAGCCTCTGATAACCTTTGTTCTACTCTCTATCTCCGTGAGTTCAGTTGTCTTAATTTTGAGTTCCCACAAATAAGTGAGAACATGTGAAGTTTGTCTTTCTGTGTATGGCTTATTTCACTTAACATAATAACCTCCAGTTCCATCCATGTTATTGCAAATGACATGATTTTGTTCCTTTTTATGGCTGAATTGTACTCCATTGTGATACGTGCCACTTTTTTTTTATCCATTTGTTTGTTGATGGACACTTAGGTTGCTTCCAAATCTTGGCTATTGTGAACAGTGCTGCAGTCAACATGGGAGTGCAGATATCTCCTCAGTGTACTGATTTACTTTCTTTTGAGTATATACCTAGCAGCAGGATTGCCGAATCATATGGTAGTAATATTTTTAGTTTTTTGAGGAACCTCCAAACTGCTCTTCATAGTGGCTGTACTGATTTACATTCCCACCAACGGTGTTCCCTTCTCACCACATCTTTGCAAAACATTCATTATTACCTGTCTTAGATAAAAGCCATTTTAACTGGACTGGCAGGATATCTCAAAGTAGTTTTGATTAGCATTTCTCTAATGATCACTGGTGTTGATTGAGCACCTTTTCATTTGCCTGTTTGCCATTTGTATTTCTTCTGAGAAATGTCTGTTTGGATTTTTTGCCCATTTTTTAATCAGGTAATTAGATTTTTTCCTACAGAGTTGTTTGAGCTCCTTATATATTCTAGTTATGAATCCCTTGTCAGATGGGTAATTACAAACATTTTCTCCCATCCTATTGGTTGTCTCTTCACTTTATTGATTGTTTCATTTGCTTTGCAAAAGCTTTTTAATTTGATGTGATTCCATTTGTCCATTTTTGCTTTGGTTTCCTGTGCTTGTGGGGTATTGCTCAAGAAATCCTTTGCCCAGACCAGTGACCTGGAGGGTTTCCCCAATGTTTTCTTTTAGTAGTTTCAAATTTGAGGCCTTAGATTTAAATCTTTAATCCATTTTGGTTTGATTTTTGTATATGGTGAGGGATAGGGTCTAGTTTTATTCTTCCATATGTGGGTATCCAGTCTTCCCAGCACCATTTACTGAAGAGACTCTCTATTCCCCCATGTACGTTCTTGGCACCTTTCTCAAAACTGAGTACACAGTAAATGTATGAAATTGTTCCTGTGTTCTCTATTCTGTTCCATTGATCTGTGTGTGTCTCTTTTTATGCTAGTACCATGCTGTTTTGATTACTGTTGCTCTGTAGTATAATTTGAAGTTAGGTAGATTCCTCCAGTTTTGTTCTTTTTGCTCAGGATAGCTTTGGCTATTCTGGGTCTTTTGTGGTTCCATATAAATTTTAAGATTTTTTTTCTATTTCTATGAAGAATATCATTGGTATTTTGATAGGGATTGCATTGAATCTGCAGATTGCTTTGGGTAGTATGGACATTTTAATAATGTTGAGATTCTTCCAATCCAGGAACATGGAATATCTTTCCATTTTTTGTGTGTCCTCTTTAATTTCTTCCATCAATCTTTTACAAGTTTCATTGTAGAAATCTTTCACTTCTTTGGTTAATTCCTAGGTATTTAATTTTCTTTGTAGCTGTTGTAAATGGGATTACTTTCTTGATTTCTTTTCAGGTGATTTGCTTTTGGCATATAGAAATGCTACTGGTTTTTGTATGTTGATTTTGTATCCTGCAACCGTACTGAATTTATCAGTTATAATAGTTTTCTTGTGGAGTCTTTAGGTTTTTTCCAGATATAAGCTCGTATCAAAGGATAATTTGACTTCTTCCTTTCCAACTTGGATGCTCTTTATTTCCTTGTCTTGTGCGATTGCTCTAGCTAGGACTTCCAGTACCATTAATATGTTGAGTAACAGTGGTGAAAGCAGGCATCCTTGTGTTTCAGATCTTAGAGGAAAGGCTTTCAGGTTTTCCCCCATTTGGTATGATACTAGCTGTGGATCTGTCATATATGGCTTTTATTGTGTTATGTTCCTTCTGTACCCAGTTTTTTAAGGTTTTTATCATGAAGGAATGTTGAATTTTATCAAATGCTTTTCCAGCATCAATTGAAATGATCATGTGGTTTTTGTCCTTCATTCTGTTGATAGGATGTATCACATTGTTTATTTTGCATACATTGAACCATCCTTGCATCCTTGGGATAAATTCCACTTGGTCATAATGAATGATCTTTTTAATGTGTTGTTGAATTCGATTTGCTAGTATTTTAGCATCAGTATTCATCAGAGATATTAACTTGTAAATTTTATTTTATTGCATCTTTGTCAGGTTTTGGGATTAGGGCAATACTGGCCTTGTGGAATGAGTTTGGAAGTATTTCTTCCTCTTCTGTTTTTCAGAATAGTTTGAGTGGGATTGGTATTAGTTTGCCTTTAAGTGTTCGGTAAAATTCAGCAGTGAAGCGATAGTGTCCTGAGCTTTTCTTTGCTGGGAGACTTTTTATTTCAGCTTTGATCTCATTACTTGTTATTGGTCTACTCAGGTTTTGGATTTCTTCATGGTTCAACCTTGGTAGGTTGTATGTGTCTAGGAATTTATTCATTTCTTCTAGTTTTCCAATTTTGGCCTATAGTTGCTAATAGTAGTCTCTAACGATCCTTTAAATTTCTGCAGTATCTGTTGTAATGTCTCCTTTTTCATTTCTGATTTTATTTGGACCTTCTTTTTTTGTAATTAGTCTGACTAAAGATCTGTCAATTTTTTAAATATTTTCATAAAACCAATTTTTGTTTTCTTGATCTTTTGCATTATTTTATTTGTTTCCCTTTCATTTATTTCTCCTCTGATCTTTATTATTTCTTTTCTTCCACCAACCTTAGGTTTGATTTGCTCTTGCTTTTCTAGTTTTTTAAGATGCATTTTTAGGTTGTTGATTTGAAGTTTTTCTTCTTTTTTTATGTAGATACTTAAATAGCTATAAATTTCCCTCTTAGTACTGCTTTTGCTGTATTTCATAAGTTTGGGTATGTTGTGTCTCCATTATTTGTTTCAAGAAATTTTCAGTTTCTTTATTAGTCTCTTCATTGACCCACTGGTCATTCAGGAGCATACTGTTTAACTTCCATGTGTTTGTATAGTTTCCAAAATTTATCTTGTTACTGATTTCTAGTTTTATTCCACTGTGGTCAGAGAAGACAAGTGTTATTATTTCAGTTTTGTTTTTGTTTTTGTTTTTGTTTTTGTTTTTGTTTTGAGACAGAGTCTAGCTCTGTCATCCAGGCTGGAGTGCAGTGGCACGATCTTGGCCCACTGCAGCCTCCATCTCCTGGACTCAAGCAATTCTTCTGCCTCAGCCTCCCAAATAGCTGGGACTGCAGGCATGTGCCACCATGCTTAGCTAATTTTTGTATTTTTAGTATAGATGGAGTTTCACCATATTGGCCAGGCTGGTCTCAAACTCCTGACCGCCCAGGAACAAGTGATCCGCCCACCTCAGCCTCCCAAAGTGCTGGGATTACAGGCTTGAGCCACCACTCCTGGGCTATTTAAGTTTGTTTGTTTTTTTTTTTTTAATGTTTTAAGCCTTGTTTTGTGGCCTAACATGTGGTCTGTCTCTGACAATGATCCATGTGCTGAGGAGAAGAATATGTATTCTGTAGCCATTGGATGAAATGTTCTGTAAATATCTGTTAGGTTCATTTGGTCTATGGTGAAGATTAAGCCCAATGTTTCTTTGTTGATTTTCTGTCTGGAAGATCTATCCAATGCTGAAAGTGGGATGTTGAGGTCTCCAGCTATTATTTTACTGGGGTCTAGCTATCTCTTTAGCTGTAATAATATTTGCCTTATATGTCTGGATGCTCCAGTGTTGGGTGCATATATGTTTATAATTGTTACATCCTCTTGCTGAATTAACCCCTTATCATTATATAATGACCTGCTTTTTTTTTTCCTATGGTTTTTGTCTTGAAATTTTATTTATTTATTTATTTTTTTAAGACAGAGTCTCACTCTGTCACCCAGGCTGGAGTATGGAGTACAGTGGTAGGATCTTGGCTCACTGCAGCCTCCGCCTCGTGGGTTCAAGTGATTCTCCTGCTTCAGCCTCCCAAGTAGCTTGGATTACAGGCATGCGCCACCACACCTGGCTAATTTTTGTATTTTTAGTAGAGACGGGGTTTCGCCATGTTGGCCAGGCTGGTCTCGAACTCCTGACCTCAGGTAATCCACCCACTTAGACCTCCCAAACTGCTAGGATTACAGGCATAAGCCACCACACCTGGCCAAAGTCTATTATTTCTGATATAAGTATAGCTACTCTTGCTGTTTTTTGTTTTCCATTTGCATCTTTTTCAATGTTTTTGTTTTCAGTCTGTGTTTCTTTATAGGTGAAGTGTATTTCTTGTAGGTAACAGATCATTGGATCTTGTTTTTTTATCCATTCAGCCACACTATGTCTTTTGCTTGGAGAGTTTAGTCCATTTACATTGAACATTATTATTGATAAGTAATGATTTACTCTTGTCATTTTGTTATTTGTTTTCTGGTTATTTTTTGGTCTTCTCTTCCTACTTTTCTTTCTTCTGTTTTGTTGTTGTTGTTGTTGTTGTTGTTGTTGTTGTTGTTTTAGTGAAGGTGATTTTCTCTGGTGGTATGTTTTGATTTCTTGCTTTTTATTTTTTTTTTTGTATCTGTTGTATGTTTTTAAATTTGAGGTTACCCTGAAGCTTGCAGATAATATCTTATAACCCATTATTTAAAACTGATGACAACTTAGGAATGATTGCATAAACAAGCAAAGAGAAAACTAATAAAAGCCCTATACTTCAACTTTGTGTCCCTGCTGTTTAACTTTTTGTTGTTTCTATTTATGTCTTATTGTACTGTCTATATCTTGAAAAGTCGTACATATTATTTTTGATCTGTTCATCTTTTTGTCTTTCTGTTTAAGTATGAGTAGTTTACACAAAACAATTACAGTTTTATAATATTCTGTGTATTTCTGTGTACTTACTATTACCAGTGATTTTTGTACCTTCAGATCATTTTTTATTGCTTACTAATGTTTTCTTTCCAATTGAAGAACTCCCTTGATTATCCCTTGTAGGACAGGTCTGGTTTTGATTAAATCCCTCAGCTTTTGTCTAGGAAAGTCTTTGTTTCTTCTTTACTTTTGAAGGATATTTTTGCCAGATCCGCACTTTTAATGTGTCATGCCACTCGCTCCTGGCCTGTAAGGTTTCCTGAAAAGTCTGCTGCTAGACGTATTGGAGCTCCATTGTATATTATTTGTTTATTTTTTTCTTGCTGCTTTTAGGATTCTTTCTTTATCCTTCACCTTTGGGAATTTGATTATTAAATGCCTTGAGATAGTCTTCTTTGGGTTAAATCTGCTTGGTGTTCTCTGTTCCTCTTGTACTTGAATATTGATATTTTTCGCTAGGTTTGGGAAGTTCTCTGTTATTATCCCTTTGAACAAACTCTATCCCTGTCTCTCTACCTTCTCTTTAAGGCCAGTAGCTCATAGATTTACCCTTTTAAAGCTATTTTCTAGATCTTGTAGGCATGCTTCATTCTTTTTAATTCTCTTATCTTTTGTCTCCTCTGTGCATTTTCAAATAACCTGTCTTCAGGTTCACTAATTCATTGTGCTTGATCAGTTCTACTATTAAGAGACTGATCCAGTCTTCAGTATGTCGATTGCATTTTTCAGCTCCAGAATTTCTGCTTGATTCTTTTTAACTATTTCACTGCCTTCATTTTATTTATCTGATAGGATTCTGAATTCCTTCTCTGTGTTATCTTGAGTTTCTTTGTTTCCTCAAAACAGCTACTTTTGAATTCTCTGTCTGAAATGTCACATATCTGTGTCTCAGGGATTGGCCCTTGGTCCCTTATTTAGTTTGGTGAAGTCATGTTTTCCTGTATGGTCTTGATGTTTGTGGATGTTCATTGGTACCAGGGCATTAAAGAGTTAGGTGTTTCTTTCTTTTCTTTTTTTGAGACGGAGTCTTGTTCTGTCTCCAGGCTGGAGTGCAGTGGCATGATCTCAGCTCACTGCAACTTCTGCCTTCCAGGTTCAGGCGAATCTCCTGCCACAGCCACCCAAGTAGCTGGGACTACAGGCGCGTGCCACCACGCCCAGCTAATTTTTGTATTTTTAGTAAAGACGGGGTTTCACCATGTTGGCCAGGATGGTCTCAATCTCTTGACCACATGTTCCACCCGCCTCGGCCTCCCAAAATGCTGGGATTACAGGCGTGAGCCACCATGCCCTGCCAAGAGTTAGGTATTCCTTACAGTCTTTGCATTCTGGGCTTGCTTGTACCCATCCTTCTTGGGACAGCTTTCTGAGTATTCAAAGGGACTTCAGTGTTGTGATCTAAGTTTTTGGTCACTGCAGCCATGTCTTCATTAGGGGATACCCCAAGCTCAGTAACACTGTAGTTCTTGCAGACTCATAGAGGTACTGCCTTGGTGGTCTTGGATAAGATCCAGAAGAATTCTCTGGACTATCCAGCAGAGACTCTTATTCTTTACCTTCCTGTCTCCCAAACAAATAGAGTCAGTCAGCCTCTCTCTCTCTCTCTCTCTGTGCTGAGCTGCCTGGAGCTGGGGGGAGGGGTGACACAAGCACCCCTGTGGCCATCATCTCTGAGACTGTGCTGTGTCAGACCTGAGCCAGCACAGTACTGGGTCTTGCCCAAGGCCCACTGTAACCACTACCTGCCTACCATCTTTGTTCATTCAAGGCCCTAGGGCTCTACAGTCAGCAGGTGGTGAAGCCAGCTGGTCTTATGTCCTTGCCTTCAGGGTGGCAAGTGGCCCCGGGCAAATCCAGAGATGTTGTCCAGGAGTCAGTGCCTGGAATCGGGATCTTTAGAACTCTACTGGGTACTCTACTGTGGCTAAGCAGGCACCAAAATCACAAACAAAGTCCTTTCCACTGTTCCCTCCCCTTCCTTAGGCAAAGGACTCTCTCCCCTTGTCCACCACCACCACAGGCCTATGGAGAGTACTATCATGGTACCACTGATGATCACTTAAGGCCCAGTGGCTCTTCAGTTAGCTTGTTGTGAATGCTGCCAGGCATGGGACTTCCTTCAGGGCAGTGGGCTTCCTCCTCTCTGACCCAGGGTAGGTTCAGAGATGCCATCCAAGAGCCAAGGCCTGGAATCGGGGACTCCAAGATCCCACTTGGTGCTATTCCCCACTGTGGCCAAGCTGGTACCTAAGCTGCAAGGCAAAGTCCCCTTTATTCTTCCCTCTGCTTTTCTCAAGCAGAAGGGGTCTCTTCTCATAGCCATCACAGCTGTGAATATGCTGGGTCACACATGAAGCCATCATGTCTCAGAGTCTCACCTAAGGCCCATGGCATATACTACTTGGCTACCACTGCTAGGACCCAAGGGCTCTTTAATCAGCAGGTGATGAATCCTGCCAGGACTGGGTCCTTCCCTTGAAGGCAGCAGGTTCTCTTCTAGCCCAGGATGTGTCCATAAATGTCATCCAACAGCTAGGTCCTAGTATGGGGACCTCATAAGTCCTCCCAGTGCCTTATTCTTCTGTGACTGAGTGGGTATTCAATTTGCAAAACAAAGTCCTCTTTATTCTTCCCCTTCTCTCCGCAAGCAGAAGGAGGGGGTCTCTTTTGGAGCTGTGAGCTGTGCTGCCTGGGATTAGGGGAGGGGTAGCACAAGCACTCCCTTCGCCACCCTAGCTGGTTTTCACTAGGTCATGTGACCCCTCCAAGTCTACAAGCTCTGAGCCCAGCACAGCACTAGGACTTGCCTAGTGCTGCAGTTGCAGTCTTTGTGGCCTAAACAGCCTTTCAAGTTTGTTTAGGACTCCAGAGCACTAAATTTAGCCCGTAGTGACAAGACTTGCCAAAACTCAACTTCCAACTGCTAGAGTGGATACTTCCCCTCTGGCTAGGGCTGGTCTAAATGCTCCCTCCAAGGGCACTGGCAGAGTTCTACTTGGTGCTGGCCACACTGAGTTCCAATGCAAAGTCCCAGAATGGCTGAGCTCTCCTTCCCCCAAGCATACAGATTCTCTCTCCGCACCATGTGGCCACTGCCTGGAGATGAGGGAAGGGTGGTGTTGGCATTTCAAGACTGTCTTTGCTATCCTCTTCAGTGCCTCTGTCAGCGATATGAAGTTAAAACCAGGTACTGTGATTGCTCACCGGATTTTTGGTTCGTATGAAGGTACTTTTTTATATGGTTGCTGTTGTGTAATCAGGAGGACCAGGGAGAGACCTTGGGGTGTATACAGGAGGGTATCTTTATTATTGAGTGCACTCAGACCCAGCAGACTCAACGTCTAAAGACTGGGCGCAGAACAAAGACAGTACTTGGCTTTTATACACACTTCACAAAAGGGGGTGGGCTAGCTTGAAGCAAGCTTACAGTGGTGTGAAAGCAGGGATACAGAGGCAGGACAAAGACAGTTAATCAAATTGTAACAAGTTCATAACTCAGGATTGCACATGACCATCGCTGTGCAACCCAGATGCCCATTATCTAGATTTTGCTCTAAAGAGCCTTGCACTGGTTTATCTCGTAACCTTCACTATGGTGCCTAGGCAGCTGTAGTTCAGGCCTGCTTAGGCTTCTCATGACCTTTGATGTACTTCTTAGACAAAACAGAATTCTTGAAGTTACTAGTTACAGAGAACAGGAATCTATAAAATCTATAAACTTATACCATAAAACAAAGGAAAATTTGTTTTTCTTCTCCCTATGTTGAAGGAGTGCTGGGAGAGTCTACAGAGCACATTAGATAATATTATTAAGACTTTTCCTGGGTCTGGGCTGTGCCTGTTGCTGCCTCTGGGACAAGTCAGCCTAATACAGGAAAGCTTATTTCTCTTTAATTTTATTTTTCTTTAATTTCCCGCCTCAGTTGCCAACTTTGAAGTTCCTGTGGTGAGGACAGTTGGTGGAAGCTTCTATTCCGTCTCTCTTGCTCCACCCCTACCCGCTGCATCACTTTTTTATTTACACAATGGATATTTGCATTTTCTTTTTATTCTATTTGTTGATAACCTCTAGCTAAAGACTACGAGGAACGCACCTATAGTTGAACAAAGCTGAGCGTCTGACCTGTTGCGGTGAGGGGGAATGCATACCATGGGCAACCACGAGGCATCTCAGTAAATGGCTATTTAGGAAGGACTTATAGGATTTGGGCTTGTTTTAGGGGATTGGGAGAAGGATTCAAGGAAACAGAGCTTTTTGGTAATTAGTATTGGATGTTGTCAGGAAGCAGGAGTAATTCTGTTTCAGTACCTGAAAAGTTCTTATCTAGGAGGTGGTAAGAATGGAAGTGAAGCTAAAGTTGTAACTGGTAAAACAGCAGCAGTCACTCCTATTAGCCAGGATAAGGGAATGCTTGGCCATTCTTGTGGTTTAGACAATATTCATGGTTTTGTCTGTGTTCAGATGTGGTTACAAGGGGTCTCATTTTTTTTTTCTTTATCAGGGTCACAGAGTGGCCATTTCTGAGACTGGCATTCCATGGAATTGTTGATGTTTAACAGAACACCAGGGCATTACCTGATAGTGCCAGGTCAGCTCCTGGATACCAGGGACGGCTTTTCTCTTTCTCAGAATCATTCCCAGATTCAGATTGTTTCAAATTTCTTTTATTCTGTTTTGAGACAGGGTCTTGCTCTATCACCTAGGCTAGAGTGCAGTGGCACAACCACAGCTCATTGCTGCCTTGACCTCCTAGGCTCAATTGATCCTCCCACCTCAGCCTCCCGAGTAGCTAGGACTACAGGCATGCACCACCCCACCCGGTTAATTTTTTAATTTTTGTAGAGACAGGGTCTCACTGTGTTGTCCAGACTGGTCTTGAACCCCTAGGCTTGAGCAGTCCTCTCACCTTGGCCTCCCAAAGTGTTGGGATTATAGGCGTGAGCCACCACGCCTGGTCCAGATTGTTTCTATTTTAGAAAGGTCTGTCTTGTTACTACTATTCCATTGTTTCTGCCCCACATCTTGATTTAACAGATTTTTAAGATGGAGCCACTAACTGCAAACTTTGTACTGTCTGCCCTTGTAGGAAAACAGGAAATGGTGCCTTCCTGCATGGCATGAAAAGATAGCAGTAAGGTGTTACTTTCATTATGTCACTTCCCCTTTTTAGGAACTGTTATCAGTGAACCACATCCCAAATGACGACAGTTATTTCTCTTCCAGCTTTCAGGGACCTATCCACTGAATCTTTGAACATCTTCAGTGACTCTGATCTTGCTCCTTTCTCTCACTTTTATTTTTCACTTCTTACTACCACGCAAATGCTGCCTTATTTATTCATACCTCCACTGAGGGAGTCTTCTAGGTATATTACAGATAACAGTAAATAATTGTAATTATTATTAGTGAATTGAACATCCCAGATTAACTTCTCATTTCCCAATTAGCTTTTAAAATGAACTGCTTAAGAATAGAAGAAAAAATTAAAACTCACTATAAAATTTCACCAGCCAACCTGGGTGACAGAGCAAGACCCTGTCATCCAAAAAATATATTGTATTTAAAGACAAATGTCAGCCAGGCACGGTGGCTCACGCCTGTAATCCCAGCACTTAGGGAGGCCCAGGTGGGCGGATCATAAGGTCAGGAATTCGAGACCAGCCTGGCCAATATGGTGAAACCCCGTCTCTACTAAAATACAAAAATTAGCCGGGCTTGGTGGTGCGCACCTGTAGTCCCAGCTACTCAGGAGGCAGAGGCAGAAGAATCTCTTGAACCCGGGAGGTGGAGTTTGCAGTGAGCCAAGATCGTGCCTCTGCACTCCAGCCTGGGTGACAGTGAGACTCCGTCTCAAAAAAAATAAAGACAAAGATTTGCGATTAGCTTTGTTTCCACTTCATTAATCATAATATATATTATTTTATGAATAAATATCTGTACTTACATACAGATAGATGTGTACGTGTGTGTGTGGGTTGTTTTTTTTTTCCGGGTTTTTTTTTTTTTTCCTGTTTTTTTTTGTTTTGTTTCAAGGCACAGTTGTTCACACTGTTGCCCAGGCTAGAGTGCAGTGGTGCCATTATAGCTCATTCACAATCCAAAATCCTGGGCTCAAACCATCCGACTGCCTCAGCCTCCGAGGTAGCTAGGACTACAGGAGCATGCCACTATGCCCAGCTAATTTTTTATTTTTTTGTAGAGATGAGGTCTTGCTAGGTTGCACAGACTGGTCTGAAACTACTGGCCTTAAGCAATCCTCCCACCTCAACTTCCTGAGTTGCTGGGACTAGAGGGGTGAGCCACCATGCCTACCTGCTTGTTTACTAGGTCTACATTTGAAAAATAATTCTCCTGGTCCGAATGTAATGAGTTATCTCAATTGATTATTTACAGTCAGTTACAGATCGGACTCTTTGTTCTATTCTTTTCCCTGTTCTCACTACTGCACTTGACTAGTCTTAAAAAAAAATAAAATGAATAATTAATAATTGTTACATAAACATTTAAGAAATATACCTTTAATGTGCATACCTTCTAATATCACTGAGATTATGAAGCAGAATTTTGTTTATATTCAGTGAAGCAGTTTTAATTGTATTTTTCAGAGCCATAGACTACAATATGTCTTGGTGAGCTTTCTCACAAGTGTCAGTTGGTCACTTGGAATAAGAAGGAAAATAAGCTCAGAATACATGATTGTTAATATGAGACACAAAGTATAATTTTAATGTTTTAATATCTCAAATATAATTAGGAATGATAATTCATCATAAAAGTAATATATGCTCATTATGAATTTAGAAAGCTGTAAAAAAAAAAAAAAGCTGGGCGTAGTGGCTCATGCCTATAATCCCAGCTACTCAGGAGGCTAAGGCAGGAGGATCACTTCAGGCTAGCAGTTCAAGACCAGTCTGGGAAACATAACAAGACTCTGTCTCGCCAGGCGTGGTGGCTCACACCTGTAATCCCAGCACTTTGGGAGGCCGAGGTGGGCGGATCACCTGAGGTCACGAGTTCGAGACCAGCCTGGCCAACATGGTGAAACTCCGTCTCTACTAAAAATAGAAAAATTAGCCAGGCATGGTGGTGTGTGCCTGTAATCCCAGCTACTCAGGAGGCTGAGGCAGGGAGAATTGCCTGAACCTGGGAGGTGGAGGTTGCAGTGAGTCGAGATTGCGCCACTGCATTCCAGCCTGGGTGACAGAGCGAGAGTCTGCCTCAAAAAAAAAAAAAAAAACTGTCTCTAAAAAAATGAAATAAAATAATAGAAGGCACTAAAAGGTACAGTACAAGTAAAAATTACTCCTTGTGCTACCATTAATAAACAACCACTGGTTACATTTTGGTGTGGTTTTTTGAGACGGGGTCTGGCTCTGTTGCAGAGGCTGGAGTGTGGTGGCACATTCTCGGTTCATTACAACCTCCGCCTCCCAGGCTCAAGCAAGCCACCCTCCCACCTCAGTCTCCTGAGTAGCTGCGACTACAGGTGCCTGCCACTGCCCCAGGCTAATGTTTGTAATTTTTGTAGAGATGAGGTTTCACTGTGTTGCCTAGGCTGGTCTCGAACTCCTGCACTCAAGCGATCCACCTGCCTCAGCCTCCCAAAGTGCTATGATTACAGGTGTAAGCCACCGCACCTGGCCCTGGTGTTTTCTTTATTGTCTCTTTTATATGCATGTTTTCGCATCTTTAGGACCACACTGTGTTTATGATTTAATATTCTTGCTTTTCCACTTAAAACAGTGGCAAAAGCATTTCTCATCACACTGGTTCTTTTCTAGGTTTTAGACCTAATATTCAAATTTCTTAAAGCATTTTATTCATAAAATAACAATAGCTACAGTTTTCCAGGAAAAAGTATATTGTGCTGACTAGTGAATGTTTTTAACAAATACGGTGAATTTTTTCTTTGATCTAAGACAAGACAACTTTAAGAAGCAAAATGAGAAAGTAGATTGTAGGAAAGCAGGGAATGGTGTCCTGTGGTGCTAAGAATTTGATTTGTCTTATCCCAACTATATTTTTCTCCCATCTTGAACTCCAAAATCCATTTTTCAGTTAAGCTGAAGGAATCTGTTGTTGAAAATCATGCAGTGTTAAGTTATGCTGTGGAGGAAGAACATGCATATTTGGGTCCAACTGTGAAGCCAGATGATAAGGTTAGTAATGTCTTAATGTTCACTCGATTTTTAGAGCTGTTTGGCTTCGTATTCTCTTTTGTTTAGTTTACAGAAGCTATGTTATAACATTAAAGTCAGTGCTTTCTGAGATCTGCTTTTAGTGAAGTGGATCAATGATGAAACTAGCCAAATCTGAGCATCAGAAGTCTTTCCAGTCTACCTGATGCATGATCTCTACAGTTCTGAGAAGCAAAACTATAAAACAATGTAAAACAATAAGGGCATATGTCTGGTGTGTGTGTGTGTGTGTGTGTGTGTGTGTGTGTGTACGCACATGTGTTTATAAAGATAACAGCTGTAGGAATGAATGAGATTGAGGGTGGGGGGGTGCGTATGTATGTCTATGAAAGCCTAATCATTTCTGGGCAATGATGAAAAGGTTTTACTACTGATCTTTGTAACTATGATGGTTTCTACACTTGACCTGAGCTCAGAAGTGACAACTGCTGGGGTTGGTGATTTGGGGTTTTCTTACATACTACTTGCTACATTGTGGTATGATATTCCCCTTAATTTCTAGGCTAAAACACTGTCTTATGAACCATTATCTTCAGCAACTGTTTCCACTGGGAGCCTTTTAAGTTATGAAAACACAGATTTGAGCCTTACAGATCCAGGTAATAAGGTCAAAATGTTTATAAATAAGTTGAAAGACCGGCACCAGTTGAGTTGCAATACAGTGATGGAAGGAAGCATTGGGTTTTCATGATACACCATGGGGAACTATTTCTCTAAATCTCACAAGTAAAGTATGGCCAGGCGTGGTGCCTCACGCCTGTAATCCCAGCACCTTGAGGTGGGAGGATCGCTTGAGCCCAAAAGTTTGAGACCATCCTGGGCAACGTGGTAGAACCCTATCTCTACAAAAAAATACAAAAGTTAGCCAGGTGTGGTGGTAAGTGCCTGTAGTCCCAGCTACTCAGGAGGCTGAGGTGAGGGGATCGCTTGAGCCTGGGAGGTCAAGGCTGCAATGAGCCACAATCACGCCACTGCACTCCAGCCTGAGCAACATAGTGAAACCCTGTCTCAAAAAAAAAAAAAGTAAAATATTCACACCCAGCAAAACATTGGCGCATATGGTATTCTAAATATTACTGGAAGTAACAGGGATGCTCTGTAGATCCCCAACAATACTTTTGAGAAGCAGTTGCTGATATATTTTTCCATTCAGTGGAAACCTATCCGAGCAAATTTCATGGTTGCACTGATCTCTTAACAATATGTATTACCATGCTTCTCCACTAAAATATGTCTGTAAGGAAGTACCCAGTACAGTATGTCTGTAAGGAATATTCCATTAAAAGGAATATAGTGTCGCTGTCAATTACATTTTTTTTTCTTTTGAGATGGAGTCTTGCTCTGTTGCCAGGCTGGAGTGCAATGGTGCAATCTCGGCTCTCCCGAGTAGCTGGGACTACAGGTGTGCGCCACCACGCCCAGCTGATTTTTGTATTTTTAGTAGAGATGGGGTTTCACCATGTTGGCGAGATGGTCTCCATCTCTTGACCTCGTGATCCACCCACCTCGGCCTCCCAAAGTGCTGGTATTACAGGCGTGAGCCATCACGCCTGGCCTATTTACATATTTTCATTAAACTCAATTTTCAGAGTCATTTTCAGAGCACATGGATGATAGCAAGCAAGAATCTACCACCAGTAAAGAAGAGGAAACAAATATTATAAGTTCCATAGTTCCTTCAACACAAGATATTTATCAGCGGCAGAACTCTTCAGACGTTCATAAATCTCTGTTGCCTGCAGTGGATGAAACTACATGTGGTCACACACACTTTCAGCAAATGATAGACAAGTACATTAATGAAGCAAATTTGATACCTGAAAAAACAGATTTGCAAGGTAAAATTATTTTAAAGCAATACTTTTATGTAAATTAAGTTTTAAATTTTCACCTTTCATCATTTTAAATTTTATGCAGTGATTGTTTGAGCTTCATGTTCTTATGGCCTGCTACAACACCGTTTTACCACAGAATATATTGAGGGCATTTAGTGAGAAAGGGGATCTGGAACCAATTAGACTCACTGAGGCACATTTATAGGAGATTAATTAGCAAATCTTCCTTTGCCATTGCAGAGTTAGCTATTACGGCTGAGGCGGTATTACTGATAAATAAGAGCAGGAGCTCAGAAATCATACAGTTCTGGATTTGAGTCATAGCCTGACCATTTCCTAGCTGTAAAACCATGGGCAAGTTACTTTTTAATCTTTTATAAAAGAGGAATATTATAGATTAAATGAGATAGTGCACATAAAGCACAATGTCTGGCCCATAGTAACACTGAATACAGTGAGCCTTTTTCCTTTTTTAAGCTTATACTGAAGCAGTGGTTACATATGTCCTGTTGATCCTCATTAGCCTCATAAGGCTGTGGAAATGGAAATTCGTATTTGTCAAAAGTTTGTTCATACCTGTAATCGTAGCACTTTGGGAGGCTGAGGCAGGAGGATTGCTTGAGCCCAGGATTTCAAGACCAGCCTGGGCAACACTGAGACCCCATCTCTATTTTAAAAAAAAATTTTTTAAATTTAAAAAAATTAAATTTCTCTAAAAATAAAACTTAAAAAGTTTTGGTCACTGAGAGGATCCATATTTTGGACCTTTGAAATAATCATGATAGGACTTAACTTTAAAGCATCTGCTGATCATGGGGGAAAAACTGAAGTTTTTGTTACACTGGAGTTACCTGAAAATAAGCGTTTATGAATATGTTCTTAATACTCCTTTTCTAGTGTTTACCTTAAAAATAAATTTATGATTTTTTTCCCTCAAAAATTCTAACAGTTGACCTTGACTTTCCAGAATTGGAACACATTTTTCCTAATTTGCATCATCAGCTGTTTAAACCCTTAGAACCACATCCAGATTTTGACTTATCATCATCATCCTCTGGGATTTCTCCAGACAACAGAGACTTTTACCAGGTATATTAAAGTAGATGTCCCATTGCAGTGAATATCTAAAAATAGTTTTAAGCCATTTCTTCTACTGGAACAAAAGTTCTTCTAAACCCTTACCTAGAATCACATGGAAGTCTGGGCACAGTGGCTCACACCTGTAATCCCAGCACTTTGAGAGCCCAAGGCGGGCAGATTACTTGAGGCCAAGAGTTCGAGACCAGCCTGGCCAACATGGCAAAACCCTGTCTCTACTGAAAATACAAAAATTAGCCAGGTGTCGTGGTGCGCACCTGTAGTCCCAGCTACTCGGGAGGCTGAGGTGGGAGGACCACTTGAGCCCAGGAGGTGGAGGCTGCAGTGAGCTGAGATCGTGCCACTACACTCCAGTCTGGGTGACAGAGCCAGACCCTGTCTTTAAAAAAAGAAACAAACAAACAAACAAAAAGAATCACATGGAAAACTTAAATAAAAAATAAAAATAAATCCTATTGTCCAGACTACACCCTAGACCAATTAAAGCAGAGTTTCTGGGAGTGCTCAGATAGTACTAATTATTATTATTATTTTTTAAGCTCCCCAAGTGATTCTAATGTGGAACCAACTTTGAAAACAGCTGCATTGGGCCGGGTGCGGTGGCTCATGCCTGTAATCCCAGCACTTTGGGAGTCTGAGGCAGGTGGATTGCTTGAGGCCAGGAGTTTGAGATCAGCCTGGCCAACATGGTGAAATCCCATCTCTACTAAAAAACACAAAAATTAGTTGGGTGTGATGGCATGCCTGTAGTCCCAGCTACTCGGGAGGCTGAGAACCGCTTGAACCTGGGAGGCAGAGGTTGCAGTGAGCCGAGATCGTGCCACTGCACTCCAGCCTGGACAACATAGTGAGACCCCATCTCAAAAAAAAAAAAAGGAAAACAGCTACATTAGAATTTTGTTTGTCCCATCCACCTGTCTCCACCTAGGGAGTATGATGCCATAAAAGGCTTAATAACAACTTTTAGTTGTGGAACATATTTAAACAGTAAAGTAAATACAATTTTGCAAAATTTAAAGTATCCTCCTACACAGTCAAAGGAGCTGAGATTTAAACCTGAGTCTTTTTGCTTCCACTTCCTGATGGCCTGACATTTTAAAGTCTCTTTCATATTGATTGAAA
This sequence comes from Homo sapiens, assembly GCF_000001405.40. Taxonomy (NCBI): domain Eukaryota; kingdom Metazoa; phylum Chordata; class Mammalia; order Primates; family Hominidae; genus Homo; species Homo sapiens. The sequence continues at coordinate 93,725,507 of NC_000011.10, forward strand.
AGAACTGGATTTGAAAAAGCAAATCATTGCTGTCATAGTGAAGTGATAATTAAGGAAGAGTAATACCAAAGGAACACAATGATTATTGTTTCAATTGTTAATACCTAATCAGTATTTCAGCCTTTCCCTTTTGTTTCCTGCCAGAGATCAGATTCTTCATCTGAAAGCCACTGTGCTACTGGATTATCCAAAAGTACAGTTTATTTCACAGCACTGAGGAGGACCAGCATGCATTCTTCTCTTAACACAAGTCCGAATCAACAACCTGACACTAACTTGGCTCATGTTGGAGCTCACAGTTTTGCTACAGAAAATATTATTGGGGGTATGTATGACTAAGTTAGAAAAAGTTAATTTTTCCATGATTTTTTACATCCATTTCCTTAGAAATTAAGCCTAGCACCTCTTGGTTTGTCTTCACCCCTGCTCTCACCCCTATCCTGGGTGTTAAAAAATATTTAAATTACAGAAGTAATACATGCATTTTTTTAAACAATACTGAACATTATGAAATAAAAGGAAAAGTGTTGCCTCTTGTTCCTCAATTTCCCTACCTCAATCATTATGTGATAGTTAACAGTTTAAGTATTATTTTTTTGTTTGTTTTTTTTGTTTTTGTTTTTGTTTTTATTTTGTTTTTGAAGACTGAGTTTCACTCTTGTTGCCCAGGCTGGAGTGCAGTGGTGCAATCTTGGCTCACTGCAACCTCCGCCTGCTGGGTTCAAGTGATTCTCCTGCCTCACTCAGCCTCCCAAGTAGCTGGGATTACAGGCATGTGCCACCACACCCAGCTAATTTTCTATTTTTAGTATAGACAGGGTTTCACTATGTTGGTCAGGCTGGTCTAGAACTCCCGACCTCAGATGATCCACTCGTCTTGGCCTCCCAAAGTGCTGGGATTACAGGTGTGAGCCACCATGCCCAGCCAGTTTAAGTATTCTTCTTAGGCCAAGTATAGTGGCTCACGCCTGTAATCCTAGCACTTTGGGAAGCTGCGGCAGGAGGATCCCTGGAGCCCAGGAGTTCAAGACCAGCCTGGGCAACATAGAAAACAAGTATTCTTGAGCCTTTGGTACAAATGATTATATATACACACAAACATACATGAGATACACAAGGATGTACAAATTATATATACACACATGGATAATTGAGATACACATGGATGCTTTATTCTCTTTTCTGTTATTAAAGTCATATTCAGTTCTTATAGAGGAAAACATCCTCAGTTTATAGCCATATTGTCCTTATTAAATATTAATAGAAAAAGAAAAAATACTTGGTGTGAGCTGTAGTTTGAGAAATCACTGTGACCATCCTTATCTTTGTATTCATGTTTATACACATCAACTTTTATGCCTAAAATTGTAGGTTACTTGCAATTGGATGATAAACTATTAGAGACTGTCAGTATCCAACTTTTACAACATGTAACGATGATTAACTGATTTTTGAATTTCTTAATGCAGGATCTGAACAATGTTTTGAACAGCTTCAGCCAGAATATTCTTCACAGGAGGAGAGCCAGCATGCTGATCTACCAAGTATTTTTAGCATTGAAGCAAGAGATTCTTCCCAAGGCATGAAAAATCAGAACTATCCCTCTGAAGAACATACTGAAATATTACAAAACAAGAAAAAAATTGTTCATTTCCAGCTTTCTATAGGAAACTTAAGTTCAGTCTACAGTTCATCTGATGAAGCTAATGTATTTGATCAGTTAAATGTACAGCATAGCACTCCATGTGGTTCTAACTCTAGTGAGTGCTCAACAAAACACCAACTAGAAAGCAGAAAGGAAAGTATGGGCTTTGAAGAACTATCAAAAAGAGGGGTTGTTACAATGTTACAAAGTCAAGGACTCATTGAAGATAATAAAAATGAAACCTGTAGGGTTTTAGACATAAATCCACAGGTAGAGGAAACTGACTCTCGATTATGTGTAAGAACAGTGGAGATGGGAACTTCAATTCAGGCACCATATTCCTTAACTACTCAAAATGAAAAATATTTTGAGAATTCAGCTGAAACAGACATTCCAAAAATCACCAAAAAACTATCTCAACTAGGAGAATCAGAGCTTTTTGCAAGTTCTGGATCATTTTCATTACAGAGCTCTATACCAGTCTGGGTAAGTGAAATCAGTGTTGTATAAATAACATTTAAATTCCTTTTTGGGAAAAAACTTTTTTCTTCTAAAATTAGAGATGAAGTTCCCACTATGCTACCCAGGCTGAACTCAAACTCCTAGGATCAAGGGATCCTCCTGCCTCAACTTCCGAAGTAGTTTGGACACACCACAATGCCTGGCAGGAAAAACCTGAAACAAAATACAAGCAAAACTGCTTGTTAATATTGCTATCCAGCTTGTGATCACTAGAAATATCCAGCATAATGCAGAAACTTAAAAATTTGAAAACTGTCTTCTGAGAGTATTTTACAAAAGATCCTTTTTCTCCCAATTCAGATATCCTTTCTCCAACTTCCCTGAAAAATGGTGGTTCTGCCTGTGCTTCAGCACTTTCAGTGTTGAGCCTCATTCCAGTGCAATGAATTCATCCATTATTGGAATAAGTATTGGAAACCTGCTCCTCATATTAAGCAACTTATAATCTGCTTGCTTTCAACACCAGTCAACTGGTGACTGGTTTTCATCTAGCAGTATGTGCAGTTTATCCTTCCACAAATAAACATAACAGATTGAAAATAAGAATTACAACTAAACCACGTTTTATGTGGCTGCTTTTGTTCTTGTTGTGTTTAGATACTTTTGAAACATTATCTGTTAGCAGTCAGTGGCCCACATTTGGTAGCAGCCCAGTCGACCCCTGCTCCCTTTAAAGGATACAATTCGGCACAGCCAACCTGCATTTATATTTTTTGCCCAACACTACAAGCATTTAGGTTTGTAATCATTGTGGTAGATACCTTTCAGTCCATTGTCACACTATTTCATCCCCTCCCCAAAGTAGGCTCCAGTATTTCTACAACTGAATGCTGGAGTTATGGAAGCCTAAGGAAATCTGATCTGTTGGTCTTTGCCAATCATTGCTTTTCTTCCTCCATTTTCACATTTATATACACTTGCAAAAAATGTGCATTATATACAAAACGATTAGTTTAAGTCTTTTAAGGCTATTTTGACATGGTTTTCCTTTTAATTGTGGTTCACAGGAAACAGAAACTGGCCATGGTATAATGGAAGAACCAGAACTTACTTTAATAAGCACCACTGATACCAGTATTGCTGAAATGGATTTTGCAAATTTAACCCTAGAAGAGAAGAGCGAGAATGAAGCAAAATGCTTCTTTCAGGTAAATTTAAGCTTTCCTTCTATTTTATTCTATTACAAGCAAACCAGTTGATTTGTCTCTTACAACTTATCAGAAGGTACTCATTGGAGGGAATTATGCTATGCATTTAACTAAGCCGACACCCCCACCAGCTCTCAATTTGTCTTAAACCTTCACTATTCTGTCAACCATTGTGCATTTTCTTTTAATCCCCACTCCAATTTATGCCTGTCTCCAAGACTGGCAGAACTAATCTTATACACCTAGTGTTATAGTGCCAAGTTGGAAGTTTTACCTAAACTTATTCCCAGATATTGAAAAATGACTTCAGAACAACTGGTAATTTTACTAGGGGAGTAGGGAGGCAATAAGAATAAAGCTATCTAAACAGAGGCCTAGAGGTGTGAGGGCAGTGGAGCCTAAGCCCAGTTCAAGACCAGCCTGGGCAACAAGGCAAAACCCAATCCCTACAAAAAATACAAAAATCAGGCATGGTGGCGGGTCTCTGTAGACCCAGCTAAGATTGAGGCTGCAGTGAGGTGTGATCATGCCGCTGCACTCTAATCTGACAGCAGAGCAAGACCCGCTTAAAGCGTTTAAAAAGAGTAAAACATGCAACTTTCTTGCCATTAGGTGAGTGAGTTTCTGCCTCTTGTATCAGCAACAGAAGCCTCAGATTATCCAGCTGTATCAGAACTTTCCATAGAAAAACCAAGGACAGCATCTACAGGTAAGCCTTGGACGGCCTCCACACTTCTAATGGAAAGTAGATACTTTGCCTATTTCTGTCATAAATTTCTTTTCCCCCAGCAGAAACCCCTCGCAGGCTTACACCTGTACCAGGGAGCTTACAAGAAGCATTTATAAAGAGGAAAAAATCATTTATGGAGAGATCCCACCAGAGGCAGAAAGAAATAAGGAATAAAATTCATGTCTCTGAAAATTCTCAAATCAAAACAGTTAAAGAGAAACCATCTATAAGTATGTTGAATTTTTAAAATCTTCAACCAACTCCCTGAAATGTTTAAAGCCTTGTGTTTACAACTTGATTTCACTTTTCTTTCCTCAGGTTCATCTGTGAGTCGTCTAAAGGGCGTGAATAAAGTCAGAGCATCTTTTCCTGAAGACAGAAAGACTACACAGGCTCTAAGGCACCAAAGGGGTCTAAGGTAGGGTTAATTTTTTTTTTTTTTTTAGTGATTCACTTTTTGCAGTGTTTGTCTCTAATTCTATATAAATTCTTTACAGGTTATACAATCAACTAGCTGAAGTGAAACAACAAAAGGAAGAAAAAACAAAACAAGAAGCTTATGCCCAAAACAGAGCAAGGGCAAAAGAATTCCATAAGGTGAGTATAACTGAGGGAGAAGGACTTAATTTTTCAAGCATGAAGTACACAACTGAAACTCAAATTTTTATTCCTTCCACAGAAAACACTAGAGAAACTTCGAGCCAAAAATACATGCTGACTTTCTAGAAATAGTGTAAAGGTTTTTTAATTGTGTATATGTAGCATTAGACAAAATTATTTAAAGTCAATAAATTGTTATTCGAGGAATTCCATGTTGTGATTTCTTCCACTGTCCATCAAGGTCACTTTAGATCCTCTAAAGAGCTGGAGTCAAAAGATTTATCTTCAAGTTTGCCCTGAAGAAGAGAAATTTTGATTAACCTTTAAAACTCTCACATGGCAACAATCCTGGATTATTACGTTTTATATCTCCTCAGGAAAACATAGCACCAAACATTAGGAGTGCTATGGCTTCCTATAGAGAACTTCCATCTTTGGTCACAGCGTTAAGAGCTCTGGGTTTCACAGCCTCATAAGCCCTCTTTGAAATGACCCATACAAATGTCTTTTCTAATGCATACATACCTTTTTAATGAAACTGATCCAGTTGTCCTGTCAGCCCTACATAACAATAGTATAAAAGTAAATTTTACATTTCCAGAGATGAGTGTACAGTGAGTGAACATGAATGAGTCCCTAGAACGAGCCTGAGTTAACTCTACTACAAACTGCTTGGTTATTAGCAACCCACAAGGGTTACAATATAAAGGCAAAGCAAATTTGCATGATTCAAGAGATCTAGGAGAATTTTCAAATCTCACTGATTTTAAAGAAAAATCACATGTGGTTCACATTTTATTTGTATTGCATTTCTATTACAGTTAATCAACTGTTCCCAATAAGCTGATTGCTAGCAAAGTAGCAGATAGAAAACCTACTGGGAAATTTTTTTATGGTCATGTCCACAGCAAATGAGAAACTGCATTCTAAAAGCCTTGGTAATGACCATTACACCCTTGAGCAAATAACTTATAGTTAAGATAAAAACCATTACTTGCCATAATTACTTTGGCTTCTGTCATCTCGTTTTAATATGGATATACTGATGAAGACTTCAAAATTCACCTGTGGAAAAATGTGTATTTCAAATTTATATTTACTATTAAGTACATAAATCTATCTTTCAAGAATGAGGTTGCTTAGGTTCCAAAGTATCCTGAAACCCGGCACCCCAAGTAAGGTATTGAAAATTCTATGCTTAAAATAGCTATTTAAACTAATAGGTATTTTTAAAAATCAATGATCCCATGCCCATTCATATCCGAATTTGCTCTATGATCATGTTTCTGGTAACTTTTACCTTTGAGCTTTTATAATCTTCTGAAATACAATGCAATATTTAATGTAAATGGATGTTCAGAAAGGCCATTTTCATTCAGCCCCTTCAGAGCAGTTGAACATTTCGCCCATCATCATAACATCGTTAATAATGAAGTTTAAACACATAATAACGTAAGCCTAGTCCTTTTTTTTACTCCTAAGTGGTGATAGATGTTGCAATAGCATTGCTAGATAAATAAATAACCTAAAATAACATTTGGAGAAAAGCTAGTATTCAACAAAATAACCTGCATGGCCTTTTAAGTAATGAATTAACTTACCAAGAATCTTTGGGATCTAATTTCTTCAACCAATTTACTTTAGGGTCCTAGAAGTTGAATTGTACAAAGTACAGTTACATTTTGACACCTGATCCAAGACACAGTAATGTATACCACATTACAATGTTTCAGTCAATATACAGCACATAAAAAAAGTGGTCCTATAAGAGCTGAAAATTCCTTATTAAATGTTATTTCTAATATTGAAAAGTCAACATTTTTCTCCTACATTTTTACTCATAAACATAGCAAAATGTTACAGGTCTCATTGTCACCACTGCAATATGCATACTGTGATGGAAGCATAACCTGTCTCAATTTAGCCACATTAACTATTTTTGGACACCATGATCAACAGTGCCCATTCTCTAGAATGAGGCATTGTAAAAGTCTTTAAAGCTTAGTAGTGTATTTGTACGAAGTTCTTGTTATGCTGGCAGTGCTACTGATAGAGGGAAACAAGCAGAATCAATAGAAACAGAGAATCTTACCTTTTTACTGTAGGTGGTGGGGATCTACCTGGTTCTCAATTTGACACCCTGGAAAAAAAAGCATTGCTTACTATTTTAGAGTATATCAAACTGAACACTCTGAGAAACCTACACAAATACTGTATCAGTAGAAATACCAGGTTTAACAAGCACAAAGCCAAGAAAACCAACGATGCCAGATACTGAATTTCTATAGCACTGACCTTTGAACACCCTAGCAGGTGTAAACTGCTGAGTGCAGATACCATGCAGTGCAATTATGACTGAACTGTACAACTCGTATTCCCAAATTTGCAATATTGCTGAGAAATGCTTTCACAAACCTCTCAAATTCCTTTAACAAGTACAATAATTTGAGCTTTTTTCCTAATTGTCACTGTAATAAGGAAGCTACATTAACTACATTTTAAGCTACAACTCTAGTCTTTGCCTAATCTTTGCCCAGTCTCTCTATAAAACTTAAAGATGGAATATATACATGTAACTTAACAGATCAGACAACAAACGTCAAGCTCATTGTTGCTCAAACTGCCAGTTACACAAAATTCTTTTTATGTAATTCATATCCCTATTGATTCAACATATCCACACAGGTTTACGTGACTTTAGGATGAAATATGTGTAACTGCCAGTTGAATAATGATGCAAAGAACACAGGTAGTTTCGTTTGGTAGGTATAGACATGCAGTCTCTTCATTTTCCTTCTCTATACAAATATATACATTGTAATATTTTTGCCAGTATCTTACTAATTCTGTGTTATACCTGAAATACTGGGATGGTGTAATTTCTATTTTTCATCTTTTGAGTCCTTGATTATTATAAGTTAAATATTTTACTTACCTCTCAACATGAATGAGTTCAAATCACATTCATTCCTATAGAAAGTACCAATTAAAGATTTAGAAAGGATACATTTCCAGTTATTAAAACTAAAACCCAAGTATAAATTTAAGATCCAGTTTATTATACAGCCATATCCAGCTCTGTCAGAATTAAGTTTTAGTTCATGCCCGTTATCATTCAGCAGTTGAACAGTTAAATTCATCATCTGAACTGTAATCATTATTTCCCAAAAGATTATACTGTCACCAATTAAAACTTACCTAAGCGATCACTCAAGAATGGTACAGATGTGTGGAGTATGCCAATACCTAAGGTAAAAAAGTAGATTATCTGGTTTTTCATAACGTTTAGCAACCGTCTTTTTCAAACTTTTAGCAACTGTCTTGTAATTCCTTCCCACAGATCTAACAATAGTCCTGTGAGTAAAGTAAAACCACAGAGTTACTCTATGAGGCGTTTCCAACGATGTGCAGGCTACAGGAAAAGCCCCATCGGGATAGACCTCAACCACTATTTACAAGGTTTTGATTTTTTTTTAAAGACACAGGATCTGCCATGTCTTTTAAAAATCGTGTGATTCTTGCTGAATCACTTGAGCCCAGGGGTTCGAGGCTACAGTGAGATGTGGCAGGATCACATCTCACTGTAGCCTCAAACCGCTGGGCTCAAGTGTTTCTCCTGCCTTAGCCTCCAGAGTAGCTGGGGACCACAGGCACCACTGTGTCCAGCTAGTATTTATACACATAAATAACAAAGTCTAACACTCCATAGGAAAGAAATTATGAGCAGAAACTGCAATATGCTCTTACAATATTGCCAACTGCAGAAACTTCCTACTACGTTAATCACAAAAACAATAATTTCACAATCACGTTGTGCTTAGGAGCCAGAGGAATGATAAATAAAAAGTAACATCAAGTAGCTCCTTTACATGAACCAAAGGAAAAAGATTTAAACTTAAGATTTAAGTTTAAAGTCTAACTGTTGTTATGAACTTCAGTATTGCAACAGAGGATGTTGTTTTCCCAATTCGAAGATTTCAGCAAATTTTAATTCTTGGCTCAAAATTAATTGTCATCCATTATAAAATACAGGAATATAATGTGCCTGTAAGTTACGACTTTGGCATTATATAACTTTTAATCAAACTCTACATCATTCAAATTTATGAATTCTTATGACCTGTGTAATCATCTTTTATTATACTATATTTTGCATTAAACCATAAAATCCTCTGCCTCATTTTAGATTGTGCATTAATTCAAAATAATGCTGTAGGCTTCAAGTAGGAAATCCAAAGTTCTGATTATTGCTACAAACTAACAAATTCAGGACCCTCTAATGCTTGCAACTAAAATGAATCTGACACATCACTATAAAATGTGTGAATCTAGGATTCTTCTTTTCAGAAATCAGTATAAATGGGAATTAAAAGCATGGTAGAAATGTCCCTGAATAAAATGAAACTTGCTCTGACAACATACTGTTTCCTACACATAAACAAATATGATGTGAAAACTCAAATTGAGACATACCTTTAACTCCAGACACCATGTTCTCAAGATAAAAGCCTTTAAAACAAAAAGCCATTGTGTATATCATCAACATGAAATTGGAATGCAAAATTAATACTGCTGAGGATTTCCCTCATATCCCATGCTGTTTATCTATTCTACAGGCCTGGAATCAACCTTTTTTTCTTAAGAGACAGGGTCTGTCTTTGTTACTCAGGCTGGAGTACAGTGGTGCCATCAAAGCTCAGTGCAGCCTCCAACTCTGCCTCAGCCTCCCCCCTTTCTGAGTAACTCCAACTACAGGCACATGCCCCAGTACCCAGCTAATTTTTAAATTTTTGTGGAGATGTGTTTCTTACTTTCTTGCCTAGGCTGGTCTTGAACTCCTGGTTTCAAGCAATACTCCCACCTTGGTGTGGGGATTGCAGGCTTGACCCATTGCACCTGGCCTGGAACCAACCTTTATGGCTATCAATACTCCCATCAATCAACTGTCTCAGGTATCATAATATCCCTTCTTATATGTATCAAAACTCATACTGAACAATGAGTTCTGGGTTGCAAAAGAGGATTTATTTTTTGCACCTATCTGTAAGTCTTTGTCCACGTTAAACAAAAACATACATAAGTGCAGTCCCAAAATGCACTACATAGCAGAGTAGTCAGCTCTATCGTGGTGATCAAAATAATGAACATCGGGGTAATGACTGGTTCTCCCCAGGTATACATGTTGAATAAATGTGTATGCCTTTTCTTGAACTAATAAAAAGTGAAAATGGTAGTTAAAAGTAGTATTAGGCCAGGTGCCATGGCTCACACCTATAATCCCAGCATTTTGGGAGGCCAAGGCAGGCGGATCGCCTGAGGTCAGGAGTTCGAGACCATGGTGAAAGCCTGTCTCTACTAAAAAAACAAAAACTAGCTGGGTGTGCTGGCTAACGCCTGTAATCCCAGCTACTAAGGAGGCTGAGGCAGAATCGCTTGAACCCGGGAGATGGAGGTTGCAGTAAGCCAAGACTGCGGCCATTGCACTACAGCCTGGGTGACAGATCGAGACTCTGTCTAAAAAAAATAGTATTAAAGATACTCTAAATTTGGAAAGGGAAATGAGGTTATTACAATACTAAGCATCTGACAGGTCACTTGTCATGGCTGAACAAAGCTGGGATAAAATTACAGCATTTCAAATCCCCTCTTCAAGATGGTTGGGTGTCAAGTTACTTTAAGATTTTCTTTTCAAAATTAAAATCACTACATTTCATTGTTTCAATACTCACAGGACACCTGTAAGCTCTTATTCAGAAATCAAATGACAATTTCTCAAATTTTTCTATGTATTTTCTCTGGTGTTTTAATGGTTTTTTTTCTAATTATTACTACTTCACAAGTTTCTTTCACAAACTTCTTCACAGGGTTAAAAATTTTTTTTCTTGTTATAAAGTTCTGGGTTTCAGAATTTCTTCACCACCAGACTGGTACATATATCCACATTTATCTTTATTCATTTCTATGAAGTCGTTTTTTCTATATGCTTCACCTTTGACATTCATGATCCTGTCACATTTTCAGGCCTCTCTGTCCAGTATTTTTGGCTTTTGTAGCTCTCTTTTTAGACAAAGCAGCTTCTTCAGTAATATCCTCTTCTTCTAAGTATACACTCAGTCTTACAGGGAATTCAGAACTTACTATGAAACTATCCCCCTGCATAAAACAAACAAAAAATCATGGATTAAGCAATAACTCAAATAGTTTAGTAATTACATATAGCTGAATGCCCTGGATTACTTCAGATAACCTAGAGACTACATGTAGATGTTAAAAATCCAAATTAACATTGCTTATTTTTTCATTTGACATCCTAACTAGCAATAATATGTATCAGAATGCTACTTATTAAAAATAGTACTGAAAACCCCATGTTCTTTATCAAGTCTCTAAAAAATTATTTTCCTTCTTGCATTTCCTGCAGTAAACTTATAGAGCTTTTCAAAAGTTAAATGAAGTGTAAGAGAAAAACTAAATATAATTCCTTCTGTATCAACCAACTCCTGCCTTCCCAAAATGGAATAGGAAAAAAATAAGTCACTTACTGCCAATTTGATATCACATTCGTTATCTTCAAGATGTGTTGCATCCTCATCCTCTGCTCTGTAATATTAAAATTTATCATCGAGATGACAGAATCTTCGATGACCTAATTAGTTGTATATTCCACTCTGAAATATAACTGAAACTGCAATACTAGTCAAAGGAAACACAAAATTTGAGAATTTTGTGTTCTGGAGAATTCTAGATGAACGGTGTGCCAAGCTTGGCTCAACTGTAATAATCCCAATTGTCATACTCTGTATCTTTGTTCATTATTTAAGTATAACTATATTAAAGGCAAAATATGAAGCAATTAACATAGAAATTTAATTTATAACCTATTACCAAAGTATTTCATATGATTCCACTTACGTTGACTCCTCAATAGGAGAAATGGATCCATCATCATCCAAAAATTTGTATCTACGACTGTCAAAATCTTCATTTTCTAAATCTTCACCAACATTCATTTGCTTCAATGATTCTTTCAGGTGGTGTTCATACTTCAGTTTTTCAATATAGTTAAAAAATCCTCTTGCAACAGCTTGCTATATATTAAAAACACCATAAGTATGTCGAGATTTTATTTTTAAGACCCAGCAGGTGCCTATGTTCAAAAAGGGCAATGCCCCCCCTTAGCAAAGACTCTGAATTTGCTATCTTAACTACTCCCCACTTGTGGACTTATCAAATGCTGATTATTAAAATTCACATTACAATTATGAATTTACCTAAGCTGGTAACATGGAAAAGTGAAGTACATATCTTGTCATGTCTGGGACTTACTAAAGGCATTTTAAAATGTAAAAACAGGAATAAGATTTCTAATGTTTACTATAATCACCTTAAACTTAAGAGATTAACTGAAGAGATTAACATGTATTAATCCTCCCAAATAAAATTTCAGGTTCTGGCAAGGGATCATAAATTAATTCTGAATTCATTCAACATACAACTCTCAAATATTTAAAAAAGTCTACTCCTAAGTATTAGCGTATTTTTCAGATAATTGGCTTAGAAACATCTAGGCCTTAAGAATATATCCACTGAACATAAGGCATGTGTGGTTTTAGTTTAGGTTACTGCAAAAGTAATTTCAAGTTATGTGAGCTTTTATTATCCCCACTGAGTTTTAGGGTTGTGTTTAAAGACCTGAGATGGGATAAGATCAAAGGATTTTATACAAAGAGCCTTGGAGCACTATCTTTTAAATATGGCAAAGTGTAGTTATATTAAGAGATACAAGTCAAGATTCAGTTGAAGGATAGGGTGGACTTTAGGGGTAAGTCAGTATAGAAGAGTATCAAAATTGCAGACAGTCTGTTCCCAGTATATCTGAGACAATTCTAAATTGGCCAACAAATCATTTTGGGCATCTTGAGTTATGTGTAGCCATGTATGTAAAATGCTGACTCACCTCAAACGTTAAAATTTTTCTCCAAGGTGCGTTTTTTTCATTCTCTGATTCTAAAAATGGGAAGCCAGATCCTCTGCTTCTAAATTGTTTCTTCTTATCTATTAGTGAGTATATAGGATTTCTCCTTCCTTCTGGTCTTCCCCGTGGTCTTCCTGTTGGCTGGTACCTCCTCTTTTTCTTTTTTTTATATCTCTTTTTCCTGTTCTTGAATCTTTCAAAAATAGCTTTTATAGTCAATGGTATTGGTTCAAAAGATGAGTCACTTGATGAATCACTTGCGTGAACACTTTCAGGTGTACGAACAAATTTTCGAATGGGGTTTCTTTTCTCCCCTTTAGGTGAGTAAGGGATACACTGAGTTTTAAATAAGCTGCTATCAGAAGAGTTATCACTAGAAAAATGGGAAAAAAATTAATTTCATCTTCTTTTCTTACTGCTTATTACCATTAATACCCAGTCCTAAATGTACATTTCTTCCAAGACCAACTCAGAAAACATGCCCAGAATTAAAAATTTTTTAAAGGATGGGCTCAGAACCAGCTAGCCTTTCTACTGATCATCCTATTTAAATAGCCCATAATGCTACAGCTCTTATTAAAGAGTTTTGTAGACATCGTCTTGCTGTCACCCAGACTGGAGTGCAGTGGTGCAATCACAGCTCACTGCAACCTCAAACTCCTGGAAACTCCAGGGATGCTCCTGCCTCAGCCTCCCAAGTAGCTAGCTAGGACTAATGGCATGCACCACTATGCTCAGCTTACAAAAAAACTGTATCTTTCAAGACAATGTATGAGCTCCAAAAGGCTGTATGGTTCGGTTCACTGCTAAGAGTGTCTGAGTAAAACAAACACAGCCTACCGAACCGGAGGATGTAGTCTGGAAGAGATGCTAATATGACCCAAAGAATACATTTTTTCTCGACGAATGTGTCCCATAATATATTCACATTTTGAATTTAAAGTATTTGCAATGCTATTATATCAATCTATGTAACTAGATAAACTTGGAAGGTCAGTGAAATCTAGTTTTCCTTCTTTCCCAATTCCTGAAAATTATCTTTACTGTCACTCATTATATACAATAGTTTCTCATAATTCAGATACAATAAACATGATTGAATCCACTCACCTTCGATTTGCAAGTTCCACAGCATCAGATGTCACATGGTCAAGAGAATCTATTCCTGATTTATCCATCAATTGCTCTTTGTTTTAAACAGTTTTCTGAAATTATGAAATTTAGTAAATATGACAAAGCTTCCCTAAATATTGACAGTATCTACTACAGTGTTGAACGTGGTCAGACTATGCCAATGATTTCAGGCGAAATCATTTACCAAGGTTAAGCTTCTTATCCATTTCAGATCAGTTTCTTTAAAAAGAAATCCAGAAATTCTATTCACAGGTTCTTTCAGTTGTTACCCTCTAAATGTATTCAACGCAACAAGATTCCAAAAAAGTACCGTCCCTTCCAACAAAAGCATCTTTCAATATAAGTAAAAAATGTAGTTTTATCATTAGCCACATATTTTAACGTACAATTACCAATACAGTATTAATGTACAATTAAAAGCCGTTTTCCAAGATCAAAGGGGGAATTCCTAAAGCAAAGTGTGCCCTATATAAACCAGGAAAAGGATCTCCAATCAATAAACCATTTTAAACTCCTAATCACCTCTCCATTATAATTCCTAGATTCTTCATTCCTAGATTCATTTAAGCAACTGAACTTTGTCATATTGTATCTTTGCCATTATTGGTGGAAACTGACAAGTTCTGAATTCTCAACCTTTTTCAATGAACTATCATAATTCTTGTGTCTTCATCCCCATGGTAGAGAGTATACAACATACCAAAAAAAAAAAAAAAAAAAAAGAAAAAGATTCCTTCTTGTGAGCTAAAAGAAAAAAGAAAAACAGGTTGGTCTGGGTGGCTCAGGCCTGTGTAACACAGCACTTTGGGAGGTCGAGGCGGGCGGATCGCTTGAGCCCAGGAGCTCAAGACCAACCTGGGCAACGTGGTGAAACTCCGTCTCTACAAAAAATACGGAAATTAGCCAGAATAGTGGCGCGCGCCTGTGGTCAGGAGGCTGGGGTAGGTGGAATACCTGAGCCTGGGAGGTGGAGCTTGTATGTAGTGAGCCTCAGCAACACAAGGAGACCCTTGTCTCTACAAAAAATTCTTAAAATACTGGCTAGGTGTGTTGGCCCGTGCCTTTGCTCCCAGCCACTCGGGAGGATCGCTTAAGCCGCGGTGGAGGTTGCTGTTAGCCGAGATTGCACCACTGCACTCCAGCCTGGACGACAGAGCAAGACCCTGTCTCAGGAAAAAAAAAAAAAAAAAAAAAAAAAAAAAAAAAGGCATGGCAACAAAAATTAAAGATAACTACTTATTTCATTATTGTACATGCCTTAGTCAATCTCTTGTCTCATTCTGTAGCTTCTTGGGACCTGACATGAGTCATTACATATAAATCCTAGGATGAACTAGCAAAATATTTAAAATATGAAACGATAAGGTCACCAAGAGCTCAGATTTGTTAAATGCCCCCTGTGGTATTTTCCTGGTACAAGGTCTTACTAGTTTTTTTAAGTACAAGATTCTACAAAGTCATTAAATATCGAATGCTCAAAAACGGAATTCAACAAAAATTTGCCCCCATGCTTTAACGGTATACCTGTAGTTAATTTTTTTTAAAAGTAGGGATTATCAAAATAAAGCTAGCTCAATAATCACTTTTTCGAAGTGTTTAGAAGACACTCCTACTTGGGTGTCGATGCCTCCGTGGGGATTCTGCAATTCTTAGAGGCCACGTGGGCAGAGAGCGGCGCTTTACCCGGAGCTAACGCTGTGACCACCAGCGCCTCTCACCCGGCAGCGCCTAACCTGCAGAAAACCGGCGCGAGTAATGGGTACCTCACATACGAAGGTTAAATCATTTAAATCACGTAATAAGGTTAAACTTGTCCGCAACACGATTTAACACCTCCATCTCAAGATATAATGAAGCCCGTCCACACTACAACCACGTTTGTGTGGGACTCATACCAGCCGCGTGGCGCGGAGTGGCCTGCGGCCGTGATCCCTTCACCCTCTCGGACCGACTTCGGAGTCTCGATCCTCCGGACCAACGAAGGGGCCCCGGGAAACCCCAGATATGCAACGCCTCCCCCGCCCGCCAGGCCCGGACGGCCTCGCCCTCTTAGCAACCTACCTAAAACGGCCTCGCAGTGGCCCCAACCGCGCACTTGCTGCTTGTAACCCAGGCCTCGGCCCAAAACCCGCGACTGGCCTGGTGTCCTAGAGCTCTGTACACACCACCCTCCCGACCTCAGCCCTCCAACTCCCGATAACCAGCCGACCTCCTCCAACCGTGCGGAAGAAAAGGGTTGGCTATTTCCGTGGCCCAAGTAATAGTCAGGCCGAAATCTCGCGATACAACTTAGCTTCCGGGAAGAAGGCGAGCGGTGGGAGGAGACGCGACGTGGGGGCGCCATTTTTCTCGCCGCGCAGGGAGGACTGACTAACGTGGGCGGAGCTCTAGCTCGCGTATTCTGAGGAGGCGGGGTTGGCCTAGGCGAAGATCCGGACTCTGGGTGTTTTGCTACCGTGACCGTTTAGGTGAGTGGAATAGCCAAGAACATTTCGGCAAATAACAAAAACAAAACGTGCGGTCACTTGTGAGTGGATGAGAACTGTGAGGAAACAGCCTCTCAGCCCGGTTCGTTTCCGGTGGTCTCGCGTTTGCTGAGCTGTCGCCTGGCTTTCTAAATCTGGTCCCGGGTGTGTGGCGAGGGTGACGGGTGGGATGTGTGCCTGAGTGTTTTGTAATCCTTTGTCTATTTCTGCCTTCAGAAACCCTTGTGTGTTAAAATATTGGAGAAGGCTCATTCTTTGACCATGACTCGAAGTGTGTAACCTTTGTGCTGGACGCCAGTGTTATTCCATAGCACGCCCAGGTCTCCTCCCCACTTTTGCACCTGTTTCGTAAGCTCACCCTTTCTGCCTCCCAGGAGTTGGCTAACATGTCACAAGTGAGACCTGTGGAGGATTTGTTTTTCCTAAGTTTCCTCCTACATCCCCCCTGCCCCACACCATTAGTTCCTTGACCGGTTCCTGAGTTAAGATTAAACAGTGTAAACTAGTTTAGTTTTGGTGGGGTTTTTTTCTCCCAAAGTAATTTTTTTTTTTTTGAGACCGAGTTTCGCTCTTGTTGCCCAGGCTGGAGTGCAACGGTGCGATCTTGGCTCACCGCAACATCTGCTTCCCGGGTTCAAGCGATTCTCCTGCCTCAGTCTCCCCAGTAGCTGAGATTACAGGCGTGCGCCACCATGCCCAGCTAATTTTTGCATTTTTAGTAGAGGCGGGGGTTTCTCCATGTTGGTCAGGCTGGTCTCAAACTCCCGACCTCAGGTGATCCTCCCGCCTCGGCCTCCCAAAGTAATTTTAAAAAGGAATGAACTGGTTTGATTTTTCCGCTTTCAAAATTCTGTTTTCATATGATAAACCACAAAAATCAGTAAAGCTGTCTAGTCTTATTTTATAGTTCACATTTTAGGATTGAACGGGCCTTAAAAGTAATCTGGTCTCTTTACCTGCTTTGCTCCATAGTTTGGACAATTCCGGGGATAAAAAGTCCGATCCTTTAGGCAGCCCACTGCATTTGATCCACAGGGTCTGGGCAATGACGAAGCTCCAGGACTGGTATGGCATGTCCCTCACTGCCGTATTCAGCAGCAAGCCTAGCTGTGTAATTTGTGAGGCTCAATGCAAAATGAAAATGCAGCGTCCCTTGTTCAAAAAGAAGGGGAAAAGTGCTATTAAAGGGAAGGAACATTTAACTCCTAATGCAGAATCATTGAAATTTCACATTTCATTTTGTATTTTTTCTTTTTTCTTTTTTTTTTTAGAAACAGAGTCTCGCTCTGTCGCCCAGGCTGGAGTGCAGTGTGGCCCGATCTCAGCTCACTGCAACCCCCACCTCCCGGGCTCAAGAGATCCACCCACCTCAGCTTCCCAAGTAGCTGGGACTACACGCGCCCGCCACCACAACCGGCTAATTTTTGTACTTTTAGTAGAGACCAGGTTTCACCATGTTGGCCAGGCAGGTCTCGAACTCTTGACCTCAAGTGATCCGTCTGCCTCGGCCTCCCAAAGTGCTGGGAGTACAGGCGTGAATCACCGCGCCCGGCCACATTTGGTATTTCTCTGTTTGTGTTATAGAGACAGGGTCTTGCTCTGCCACCCAGGCTGGAGTGCAGTTGAAGCAGGATATTCCTCTGACCCCTTCGTGGGTCTTGCGGCTGCGGTGCCTCACTTACTTAGCCCACGGCTCTCAACTCCTCGCGGGAGGGGGGGCGCGAGTGAATGAGGCGGGAACTGGAGTGCTGGAAGCCACGAACTCCAGTCACCCAGGCCTGCTGCGCTCCACCCTTTATGGGAGGGTGCGTGGGGGTGAGCAGATGCTGGAGCCGGAGCGAGCGCTTTTGGTCGCCGGTAGGAGCGAACTCCATGCAGGCCCTGCGGCTGTGTCTAGGGGATGCCCGCGACCCCTGAAGACCCACAGCCTGTCTTACAACCTGTCATGGTTGTGAAAAGTTTTGAGAGAACGTCTGCACAGTGTCTAACGGTGTCTGGTATATAGTGTGCACTCAAATGGTAACCAGTTTAGTTGCGATAGTTGGTCTACCCCTCCAGGTGTTAACCTCTGCAGCTCCGTTTCCCTTCTAGACCCTATTTCTGGGCCATCGACTCCCACCAATTAGGCAGGAAAATACTGTTTGCCTCCATCTGGCCCAAGGCTGTATTCCTGGAGTTTATGTGAGAACCTAACTCCTTTCTCAGCTCCAACTGTAACCCTCTCCCCACCTCCAACACACACATAAACACTCACATACACATGCTACCACACTGCCTGCTGTGCCATCAGCCTGCCTGAAGTTCACATCATTTTAGAATTGGACGGGCCTTCATAATTTAAATTTTATTATGAAAAAGTGATAGTCTAAGGAACTCATTTGATTTTTTTGTCTAAATGTCAAATATAGAGTAGAACGCACAAGTGTCTGTTATAGAAATACTTGAGAGTCCTATATG
Organism: Homo sapiens; assembly: GCF_000001405.40. Taxonomy (NCBI): domain Eukaryota; kingdom Metazoa; phylum Chordata; class Mammalia; order Primates; family Hominidae; genus Homo; species Homo sapiens. The sequence goes on from NC_000011.10 coordinate 93,744,204, forward strand.
CACTGTTATCCACAACCATTTAAGCACTTATCCACTAATCCCTAATAAGTACCCCTAATAAGTACATTTCTAAACCAGTTATTCAAGCTACATCCTCCCAAGATTGGACTTTGTTTCTACTTTGGTAGGGACATAAATAAACGGAAACAACTGACCTAACTTTTTACTAAAGAGATAATAAAGGGAATAAAATTAAGATTACATTTGGATTTTAACTTGTGTTCTTATTCCTACTGCCAGCAAAAATATGTAAAGTGTTTTTATCATTATAAATGAATATACTATTCATTGTGCAGATTTTGACATGTTCATAAATAAGTTAGTACCCAATGTTTGCTTGATAAAGAATGTGATAAAATGTTAACATTTGGGAAATCTGGGTGAAGAATGTATAGGAATTATTTGTATGTAATATTTGTCAATCTGAAATTATTTAAAAGAAAAAGTTAAACTGTCTCATTCCTGAACAATTATAAATTATTCAACCCAAAACTGAAGGGGGCCTGCCCCTCCACACCTGTGGGTATTTCTCGTCAAGTGGGAAGAGAGACTGAGAAAATAAATAAGACACAAAGTATAGAGAAAGAACAGTGGGCCCAGAGGACGGGCACACTCAGTATGCGAGGACCTGCACCGGCACTGGTATCTGAGTTCCCTCAGTATTTATTGATTACTTTTCACTATCTCGGCAAGGGAACTGCGGTGGGAGAACAGGGTGATGGTGGGGAGAAGGTCAGCAGGAAAACATGTGAGTAAAGAAATCTGCGTCATAAATAAGTTCAAGGGAAGGTACTGTGCCCAGATGTGTAAGTAGGCTAGATTCATGTTTCTCTTTACCCAAACATCTCAGTGTAGCAAAGAGTAACAGAGCAGTATTGCTGCCAGCATATCTCCCCTCCAGCCACAGGGTGGTTTTCTCCTATCTCAGAATAGAACGAATAGTCGGCTTTACACGGAGACATTCTGTTCCCAGGGATATGCGGGAAACAGAGGCCTTCCTCTTTTACTAATCCTTCTCAGCACAGACCCTTTATGGGTGTCAGGCTGGGGGACGGTTAGGTCTTTCCCTTCCCACGAGGCCATATCTCAGGCTGTCTCAGTGGGGGGAATTCTTGGACAATACCCACGCTTTCTTGGGCAGAGGTCCCTGCAGCTTTCTGCAGTGCATCATGTCCCTGGTTAATAGAGAATGGAGAATGGCGATGACTTTTACCAAGCATACAGTCTGCAAACATATTGTTAACAAGGCACATCCTGCACAGCCCTAAATCCCTTAAACCTTGATTCAATACAGCACATGTTTCTGTAAGCACAGGGTTGGGGCTAAAGTTACAGATTAACAGCATCTCAAAGCAAAACAATTTTTCTTTGTGCAGATCAAAACGGAGTTTCTTTTGTCTTCCTTTTCCACATAGACACAGTAACAGTCTGAGCTCTCTTTTCCCCACACAAAACTATGTTTAAAATAATTTAAGTATGATTATATAAGATTTGGGGGCCGGGTGCAGTGGCTCACGCCTGTAATCCTAGCACTTTGGGAGGCCGAGGCAAGTGGATTGCTTGAGCTCAGGAGTTTGAGACCAACCTGGGCAACATGGTGAAACCCCGTCTCTACTAAAATACAAAAAATTAGCCGGGCATGATGGCACATGCCTGTAATCCCAGCTACTGGGGAGGATGAGACAGGAGAATTTCTTGAACCTGGGAGGCGGAGGTTGCAGTGAGCCGAGATCATGCCATTGCACTCCAGCCTGGGTGACACAGCGAGACTCCGTCTCAAAAATTTGGGACCGTTAATAAACAGTTATATATATTTGGGAGATTAGATTACATGTATTAAATCAAGAACAATAAAAGCTGGTATTTGATAAAGTACTAAAGTAAATATAACATCCTAAATGTTTGCAATAGAATGATTATAGAGGATATGTTGTTGGAAAGTACCAGAACTAGAAACCCAGTTTCTAAGCAACCTGTGAATCTTTGGAAAATTAGAAAAAAAAATTTGGAAGAATATTTCAAATGGCTGAAGATCACCGTTCCACTTGCTAAATAGGCATGTTAAGGGCAGAGGCCACTCAGATTAATGAAGTGTTCTATTAACAGTTTTAACGAGAACTCCTGCAGTACTCTTAGAAACACCCTTAAGAGTCTTGTCTGTGTTCCCTGTTGTGATTGGCTTGGAGTAGGATACCTGTCTACCTCATATTACTTATATTTTTCCCTGTCTTCATTTTATCTCCCTCTGGTTGCATACTTCATCACTGAACACTTAAGGTAAGATACTAATCTCTGTGTATGTGCACTTATTTGTTACAAAGTATACTTGGCATATATTTTATTTTTTAGTTGCAATGATAGAAAAGCATATATTTAAATATCAAATTATAATTGGATAGATTATCAGAATTGAACATTAAATCTATTTACCAAGAAAGTATGTTTATTTGTAAATGAAAATAAAAATTTGAATTTCAAAGGCTAATCATTCCATAAAAGTTTCCATTTCTATTCGTAATTTAAATTTTATTTTGAAAAAGTGATAGTCTAAGGAACTCATTTAATTTTTGGCCTAAATGTGAAATATAGAATAAAAAACACACATATCTATTACAGAAATACTTGAGATCCTATATGTACTATACAAATCCTATATGTACTGTTATCTACAACCATTTGAACACTTATCCATAAACCCCTAATAAGTACCTTTTGCTTCAAGACCTATATTCCTTAGACCCACCATTAGAAAATTGGATGTTCACTCCAGCTATATGATATTTAAAAAAAAAATGAATCAGCTGGGAGCAGTGGCTCACACTTGTAATCCCAGCATTTTGGGAGGCAGAGGATGGCTTGAGGCCAGGAATTCAAGACCAGCCTGGGCAACATAGTAACACCTTGTTTCTATTAAAAAATTAGTTTTAAATTTTAAATTACAATAAAATAAAGTGTAAGTATTAAAAGGCCACTTGTCTATTTCTCACTTGGAATATTAAATGCTGGAAGCTGTGTTTGCCTGTTTATGAAGATAGAAACCTAAATGCCCTTTTGTTCTGTTTATATGTTTGAATGCTCAATGTTCATTTCCAGAACAGAAACTGTTCATACTTGGTGCGCTGTGGACTCTTGTGATAATTAACCAAGAGTAGCTCTATTTGTCCAACCTCACACCTAAAGAAGAAAGAAAATGGCTTGTGCTGAGTTTTCTTTTCATGTACCAAGTCTTGAAGAGCTTGCTGGAGGTAAAAACAATATTAACTTTGGATTTTTAAAAATTATCCCAAGAGAAAATTCTTTTAAAAAGATTCTAAGATCTATCTATATCTTACTACTTATGTATATCTATATCTTACTTATCAAAATAATACTTTTGGTACAGAATTCATTTTCCATTTCAGTATCTGTTCTGTCCCATTTTTATTGAGAAAGTCCAAATTCTGTCTAAAAAAACTAAAATTATAATTTATAAATTCTTTTTTCTTTCACTTATAGATTATTGATGATACCAACTTTACAAGATGTAAATGATTAGTAATCCAAGACTTAAGCATGTGTGATGCCCAAAGAGTCGCAAAATTTTGCTTTAACTTTTTTCACTTACATTATTCTTTAAATGTATACTCTACTGTTGTATGTTAATCATATTCCCAATATAATTCCCCCCCACCACTGATAATGACAGACTGCCAGTGAACTTGCTTTGATTTAAGGCAGTTTCCCAAGATAAATTAGGAGGGAAGATAGTCAAAAAAAGGAAAACAAAAACGAGTACAAAAATGAAGCCAGGAATAGTTGTTATCCAAAACTGTAAAGTCTGTCAGAATACTAACCTTTATTTAACAACCTCTAGGTTCTGTTCTAATGGTAACTATAGAACCTTCGCTTGTTTCTCAAAATGTGATGTTCTGGTAGTTCATTTGTCATCCTGATAAGATTGAAGTTAAGAAATAGACTCATTTTTGCTTTGTTGTAACTTTCCTCTTATAATCTTTTTTTTTTTCCCTAATTGAATGGTAGCTAATAAACAATCTGTATTGTTTGGCCTGTATTTCTTTTTCATCAGTCTGTCTTCCCTAATATGACAGGGCAGTTAGGAATTTTTTCTTTTTCTTTTTTCTTTTTGTAGACATAGGATCTTGCTCTGTTGCCCAGGATGCTCTTGAACTCCTGGCCTCACTCGATGCTCCTGCCTCGGCCACCCAAAGTGTTGGGATTACAGGCATGAGCCACCATGCTTGGCCAGATTTTTTCTTTGATTGCTTTTCTAGAATCTGTTTTCACTTTTGTGTTTGTTTCTATTTTCCTTCTATATGTGCAGGATATATTCAGAAAAAGTAGAAATTTTATGGCCTGGCACAGTGGCTCATGCCTGTAATCTCAATACTTTAGGAGGCCAAGGTGGACAGATCACTTGAGGTCAGGAGTTCAAGACCAGCCTGGCCAACATGGCAAAACCCCATCTCTACTAAAAATACAAAAATTAGCTGAGTGTGGTGGTGTGTGCCAGTAATTCCCGCTATTCAGGAGTCTGAGCTACAAGAATCACTTGAACCTGGGAGGCAGAAGTTACGTTGAGCCAAGATCGCGCCACTGTACTTCGACCTGGGCAACAACACGAGACTCAGTCTCAAAAAAAAAAAAAAGAAAGAAAGAAATTGGCAAGGTGCGGTGGCTCATGCCTGTAATCCCGGCACTTTGGGAGGCTGAGGCAGGCAGATCACGAGGTCAGGAGTTCAAGACCAGCCTGGCCAACATGGTGAAACCCTGTCTCTACTAAAAATAGAAAAAATAGCTGGGTGTGGTGGCGGGCGCCTGTAACCCCAGCTACTCGGGAGGCTGAGGCAGGAGAATGGCGTGAACCTGGGAAGCAGAGGTTGCAGTAAGCCGAGATTGCGCCATTGTACTCCAGCCTGGGTGACAGGGTGAGACTCCATCTCAAAAAAAAAAAAAAAAAAAGACATTTTGTAAGAACTTTTGATCCTTAAAAGTACATAGGCTGATGCAGTGGCTCATGCCTATAATTCCAGCATTTTGGGAGGCCAAGGTGAGCAGATCTCTTAAGCCCAGGAGTTTGAGAGCCACCTGGGCAACAAGCCAAAACCCCATTTTTACAGAAAATACAAAAATTAGCCAATCATGGTGGCATCCACCTGTAGTCCCAGCTACTGGGGAGTTTGAGGTGGGAGGATTACTTGAGCCTGGAGATCAAGGCTGAGTGAGCCAAGATCATGCTGCATACCACTGCACTCCAGTCTGGGCGACAGGGTAGGTAAGGCTATCAGAGTGAGACTCTGTCTCAAAAAAAAAAAAAAAAAAAAAAACTGTTGAGGCTAGGTGTGATGGCTCATTGTAATCCCAGCACTTTGGGGGACCCAAGGCAGGAAGATCACATGAGTCCAGGAGTTCGAGACCAGCCTGGGCAATATAGCAAGACCTGGTCTCTACATATAAAAGAAAAAAAGAGAGAGGGAAATACATTGGTCTTACATTAATAACTTTGAGACACCTATGCTTTTTTACATTGTTACTGAGGTATAACTATCTACAGTAAAGTATGCTAATCTTGAGTGTACAGCTTGATGAATGTTAACAATAGTTACACCTATGTAACTACTATCCAGATCAAAATGTAAAATATTTCCAACATCCCAGAAGGCTCCTTTGCACACCTTCCCAGTCAGCCTTGATCCATTGCCTGTTTCTGAGATGCATAAGGTGAAGTAATATTGTATGTAGTGTTTTGTGTCTGGCTGCTTTGTTCAACATATTGTCTGTTACCTTCACTGAAGTTGTTACATGTGATTGCTTACTTTTTAAAAAGTTTAAATGTTTGCATTTCAGTTGGTTTTTGGAATCTTCTCTCAAAAAAGAAGGTAATCCTCACCCTCACACAAGTGCAGGCTGTTTATCTTCAACAGTTGAAAATCACTGTAGAGGAAGTATTTATATATCTTAGTCTACGTTGTATCTTGTGATTATGTCTAATGTCTAATTATATTCATTAATAAGACCATTTCCCCCTTCTTTTTTATTATACAAGTTGAGATTGGGAGTGTGTTGAGAGCCACATACCACTTTTGATACGTGGTAGCCAAGTTTTTACCTAATGTTAAATAATCTTATTCCTTGTCTTTATTAGTTATGCAGAAGGGGTTAAAAGATAACTTTGCTGATGTCCAGGTCTCTGTAGTTGATTGCCCTGATTTGACTAAGGAACCCTTTACCTTTCCTGTAAAAGGTAAGCAATTTTTGCAATTAGCTTTTGTTTTTTAGTCATAATCTTTTTCTGAAACTAGAATTATTTTTAAGGACATCTTAAATTATCTACAAATAAAGGATATTGTCACAACATTTAGGCTAAATTGTGCCAAATTTCTGTGCTCACTCTTCTGATATTGGTTAAATTTCATTTCATACTCTTGTGGAAAAGGATTGTGTTTTATTCACTTATGTAACCTTCACAGATTGTAGAATAGATATCCAATAGGTTAGAATTCTTTGTATCACACGAGAGTTTTGCTTTTAATTGCTCAGACTGTTATGGAAACTGATTTTAATTTTTATGATTTTATTTATTCAAGACCAGAAGGGATCCTAAAAGCCTTGTATTTGAATGATCTGTTAAAACTAATCCTTCAACAAATTTGCCAAGTGAGCATCCACTGTTTGAAGTGAGAAGGAAGGGAAATTAGTATTAGAAGAATAAAATAATTTGTCAGTATGATAGATAGTTAGTTGATGTTTCAGTTTTTACAATAACACCACAAGGTAAGTAGTAGCCCTTGTTTATAGATGAGAAAACTGAAAACGAGAGAGGCTAGATAAGCTCAGTGTAAATCATAACCAGGATTCAAATGCAAGTCTGTTTCCAAAGTCTAACCCCCTCCTGTTATACCCTATTATGATGAGGAATTTGAGGATAAACACTCAAAGTGTTCTTTTTATTATGTAATTAACATCTTTGCTAAAAAGGAGTTTGCCATAGAAATTCTGGACTCTAGTTCTGTCTTAGAACAAACCTGACTTTGAGATAACATTAGCATGAGGGGATTTGAATTGAATGTTTTTTGGGGGCCTTTACAGCTTAAACAATCTTTGATTTTAAGTAGAGCTGTAAATTCTAGAAGGCTTGTGTACCATGTGGCAATTTCTTTTAGCTTCTTCAAAGGATTTAGCATAGTACTTTTTTATAGTTTTTTTTTTTTTTTTTTTTTTTTGAGACAGAGTCTCACTCTGTCACCAGGCTGGAGTTCAGTGGCGCAATCTCAGCTCACTGCAACCTCTGCCTCCCAGGTTCAAGCGATTCTCCAGCCTCAGCCTCCTGAGTAGCTGAGACTACAGGCATGTGCCACCACGCCTGGCTAATTTTTTGTATTTTTAGTAGAGACAGGGTTTCACCGTGTTAGCCAGGATGGTCTCGATCTCCTGACCTCGTGATCCGCCCACCTCGGCCTTCCAAAGTGCTGAGATTACAGGCGTGAGCCACCACGCCCAGCCTTGATTTTTTTAAAAATATGAGTGTAATGTATTTCCCCTGCTAATTAAGTAATTAACTAAAATTAAATAAAGGTCAGGAGACAGAAGAGTACAAGAAAGAAGGAAAAATGGTTAATCTTTTTTTTTTTTTTTTTTTTTTTGTGTGTGTGTGTGTGAGATGGAATCTCGCTCTGTCGCCCAGACTGGAGTGTGGAGTACAGTGGCACAATCTTGGCTCACTGCAATCTCTGCCTCCCGGGTTCAGGCGATTCTCATACCTCACCCTCCCAAGTAGCTAGGATTACAGGTGTGCACCACGACACCTGGCTAATTTTTGTATTTTTAGTAGAGACGGGGTTTCATCATGTTGGCCAGGCTGATCTCGAACTCCCAGTCTCAAGTGATGTGCCCGCCTCGGCCTCCCAAAGTGCTGGGATTACAGGTGTGAGCCATCATGCCCAGCCAAAATGGTTAGTCTTAATTTTGTCATGCAGAGTTATGCTTGGAAGAAGTGTTTTCTGGTCAGTAATTTGTGAGTCTTTAAATTGCAATACTAGAAGCCAGATATGCATCTAATATGTGTATGTATGATCTTTCATAAACATAGGAGTTTAAGACCAAACTGGCCAACATGGTGAAACCCAATCTCTACTAAAAGTACAAAAATTAGCTGGATGCAGTGGTGTGTTAGACATTTTCTACATGAACTGGTCTTGCTAAGATCACCAGTGACCTTAAAATGTTTACTAGTACTATTTAACCTCTCCACGTATTTCATACTGCTTGGCCATTGCTGCCTGACATTCTCCCCTAGGTTCTATCTTCTCTATCCTTGTTTCACCTGTTCTTCCTTTGTGCCTTTCCTTCCTCTTTTCTTCCATATTTTCCTGGTTCCTTTTTCTTTCTAATAGTCTCTTAAATATTGATCTTTTCCAGAATTCTTTCCTTAGCCTCTTCTTATTTCTAGTAATCTATCTGGGTATTTTTTAAATCCACTCTTATGGTTTTAATTACTACCTGAATATAACTTTGAAATTTGTACATCTCACCTAGATCTCTCTGGGTTTTTTTTTTTTTTTTTTTTGAGACGGAGTCTCGCTCTGTCACCCAGGCTGGAGTGCAGTGGCGCGATCTCGGCTCACTGCCAGCTCTGCCTCCCAGGTTCACACCATTCTCCTGCCTCAGCCTCCTGAGTAGTACACCCAGCCTCCTGAGTAGTACGCCCGGCTAATTTTTTGTATTTTTGGTAAAGATGGGGTTTCACCGTGTTAGCCAGGATGGTCGCGATCTCCTGACCTCGTGATGTTTTGTTTTTTGAGACAGAGTCTTGCTCTGTTGCCCAGGCTGGAATACAGTAGCACAATCTTGGCTCACTGCAACCTCTGCCCCCGCCGGGTTCAAGCAATCCTCCTGCCCCAGCCTCCTTGGTAGCTGGGATTATAGGCTCCCGCCACCATGCCCAGCTAATTTTTCTATTTTTAGTAGAGATTCACCATGTTGGCCAGGCTGGTCTCGAACTCCTGACTTCAGGTGATCCACCCGCCTCAGCCTCCCAAAGTGCTGGGATTGCAGGCGTGAGCCACCATCTGAGAATTTACATTGTACCAGAGCAAAATATTTTAAATTAAAAAACAAGAAACAATTTTAGCCAAAAAAAGGAAAACCACCCCAAAATAGATTTTTTTTAAAGAAATAAGGCGTCAAAGACATTCTAGAAACCTTACCCAATCCAAACTTTGGCCCCAGTTCTAACCCTTGCCCTTGCCTTGTATTGCCTTTATGCCACCAACTTTATAAGCCATGCTTGGTTATGATGATTATTAGAGACACAGGTACTTAAAATAGGACAGGGGTTCTAGCCACTATGTCTTCCAATCCCTGTTATTTGTAAAACTTTATGATAATGGAGAAGTTATATACTGTTGGCATTTTATTATTAAATTAGATGTTTGCCTGTTTTTAAGGTGGCTTGTGTTTTTGTTTTTTGGTTTTTTCTTAGGCATCTGTGGGAAAACTAGAATTGCAGAAGTTGGAGGTGTGCCTTACTTATTGCCTCTTGTAAACCAAAAAAAAGTAAGTACTTTTACTCTGCATATTCACATGAAGATTGTAGAAGTTGGGTTGATTACTGTGTTTATTATTAGAAGACCTGTTGATCAGTTGGCAAGGAAGTGCTAATGGATCAGTAATAAAAGGTAAACCAGGGACTTTGTACAAGTTGTGACTTAAATAATATTTTTTCCTCTTCTATAGGTTTATGATCTGAATAAAATTGCAAAAGAAATCAAGCTGCCTGGAGCCTTTATTCTTGGAGCAGGAGCAGGTCCATTTCAGACTCTCGGGTTCAATTCTGAGGTCAGCATATATAAGAAAATTATTTTACTTTATTGGTTTGACATTTGGTTTGTCTTTTTGCTTTTAGTGCCAAAAATCCTACTTTCTGAGTGAATTGTAAATCTCTCTGCAGGTTTGATACTACTTGATGTAGATTTCTGCTATAGCACACACTCCAACTGGACTAACTGTAATGGAGTACTAACTTGTAGTTTTAGATTTTCTTAGGTCATAGCTTCAGCCTTAGATAAATGCAGGGTTCTATGGTATTCTGTTGAAGGTTCTGGATTATAAAATATTTATATTCTTACAGGATTCCGAGCTTATCTATAAATCTTTGCTTTGGGTATGCAGGCAGCTTTGGATTAGAAGATGAATGGAATATTAGTGATCTAGTCAACTCCTTCTTCCACACCAAATAGTAGGAAACTATCACAATAGTATGATGGTTATTTATGAAAGTTAATAGTTATTACTAGTATATATTATTACCATATGAAAATATTACTGTTTCTTTGAATCTCATGAATACAAGACTTCAGTCTGCTCATTCTCTCATAACCTCTTCAGATATGAATAGTAGTCATACAAGTTCTTTGCAGAAACATTAGTACAATTTGCCTAGTGTTCAAGTTAGGAAAAAAAGTTAAAAATTTAAAATAAGATATTTAACGCAAGTTATAGATACACTGTAAGAAATCCAATAAATATCTTTTTTTTTTTTTTTTTTTTTTTTGAGATGGAGTCTCGCTCTGTCGCCATGCTGGAGTGCAGTGGCGCGATCTTGGCTCACTGCAACCTCCACCTCCCAGGTTCAAGCAATTCTCTTGCCTCAGCCTCTTGAGTAGCTGGGACTACAGGTGTGTGCCACCACGCCCAGCTAATTTTTGTATTTTTAGTAGAGACAGGTTTTCACCATGTTGGCCAGGATGGTCTTGATCTCTTCTCTTGACCTCGTGATCCGCCCCCCTTGGCCTCCCAAAGTGCTGGGATTACAGGCATGAGCCACAGCGCCCGGCCTATAAATGTTTTCCAAGTTTTTTATGTCTAAAATTAAATATTATGTATTTTATGTTCTCTTATTAGGACTTGAACTAAAATGTCTTAAAAGGATTAAATGTTTTGTAACATTATTCAAGATATTCTCTTTGCAGAGATACAAAGATTGACTAATTGCCTCACTTTCTTTTCAGTTTATGCCAGTTATTCAGACAGAAAGTGAACACAAGCCTCCTGTAAATGGAAGTTACTTTGCCCATGTGAACCCTGCAGATGGAGGGTGCCTACTGGAGAAATACAGTGAGAAATGTCATGATTTTCAGTGTGCATTACTGGCTAATCTTTTTGCCAGTGAAGGCCAACCTGGCAAGGTGATTGTGTCCATAAAAATACAATATTCCCTAAATGTTCTCAGAAAGCTAAAAATGTGAACTTTTACTGCCATAAATATGGTTTTGCTAAGAAAATTAGTTTCCCACTTTGGGAGGCCAAGCTGGGTGGATAACTTGAGGTCAACTTGAGGTCAGGAGTTCAAGACCAGCCTGGTCAACATGGTGAAACCCCATCTGTACCAAAAAATACAAAAATTAGCAGGGTGTGGTGGTGTGTGCCTGTAATCCCAGCTACTCGGGGGGGCTGAGGTGAGAGAATCGCTCAGACTCGGAAGGCAGAGGTTGCAGTGAGCCAAGATCATGCTACTACCCTCCAGTCTGGGCCACTGAGTGAGACTCTGTCTCAAAAAAAAAAAAAAAAAGAAAATTAGAGCTTCCTAAGTCAAAGCTCTTTAAATAACCCAGTAATGAAAGGTTCAGAGAGTATGACAGGCAGAGCAAAAGTCATCTTTAAGGTTAAGAATAATATGGCTGGAGGCCAGACGCGGTGGCTCACGCCTGTATTCCCAAGCATTTTGGGAGGCCAAGGTGGGTAGATCACCTGAGGTCAAGCATTTGAGACCAGTCTGGCCAACATAGCGAAACCTCGTCTCTACTAAAAATACAAAAATTAGACAGGGAAGGTGGCACATGCCTGTAGTCCCAGCTACTTGGGAGGCTGAGGCAGGAGAATTGCTTGAACCTGGGAGACAGAGGTTGCAGTGAGCCAAGATTGCACCATTGCACTCCAGCCTGGGCAACAAAGCAAGACTCTGTCTCCAAAAAAAAAAAAAAAAAAAAAAAGAATAGTATGGCTGGCACAATGGCTTATGCCTATAATTCCAGTCCTTTGAGAGGCCAAAGCTGGAGGATCACTTAAGGCTGGCAGTTTCAGACCAGCCTGGGCAACATGGCAAGACCCTGTCAAAAAAAAAAAAAAAAAATTTTTTTTTTTAATTAGCCAGGTGTGGTGGTACATGCCTATAGTCCTAGCTACTCAGGAGGCTGATGCAGGAGGATCCCTTGTGCCCAGGTGTTTGAGGCCGCAACGAGCTATGATCACACCACTGCACTCCTACCTAGGTGACAGCAAGACCTGTCTTAAAAAAAAAAAAAAAAGACTACTTAGTAAGCAAGACCTTTTTCTGAGAACTAAAAGGTAATAGAATATTAATTTGGGGAGTGAGTTTGTCATCTACATGAACCATACAGCTAAAATAAATAATGCCTACTTACAGGTAGTAAATAGGTTATTTGCTTCTTTCTGATGAATCACACATTGCTCTAGATAGAAATGGTGGTAGCAAAAACTTACAGCAAGAACAAAGTAAGGAAAACTAATGCCTTACTTGATATTTACTTCCTATTAGTACACAAAAATATGATTTCAGTGTTAGCTTTTGTGAAGACTCTCCAGTTTTGGAAGTAGAGATAGCCTCTTCAGCTACTTTGAGATAAGAGATTGAGAAGTGAAAATACTTAACGTCCAAGTTGTGGAGATAATACAGAATTTTAAGGGAAGTGAGAAAATGTAATCATTTTCTCCTCATCCCCACTTACCAAAGGTTAATTCCTTTAACCAAAGAATTACCAAAGGTAATTCTCAATCTTTGACTGCCTCGACACGTATGTTAAGAGTCTCTAGACTCTCTGCACTGAGAAACTTGTCTTTCTCAGTTTCTCAGTTCAAGAAAGCATGCTTAAGACTTACTAGTAAATTACATGTAACTGATAAGTATGTGTGTGTGTGTGTGCATACATATATATATGACTGATCAAAATTCACGGGATTGCAACATCTCAACTCAGATCTGGGGGCTCTAAGCAAAGAACAGAATATTTGCTTGATAGAATTAAATTATATAATGTTTTATTTCAGTAGTTATTTTGCAGCATAGTCAATGGTATGCATCTTTATGTCCTCTATAGGTAATTGAGGTGAAAGCCAAAAGAAGAACTGGACCACTTAACTTTGTGACTTGTATGAGAGAGACCCTGGAAAAACATTATGGAAATAAGCCTATAGGAATGGGAGGTACTTTCATAATTCAGAAGGGAAAAGTGAAGTCTCACATTATGGTAAGAGCCCATGTGTGCATACATGCATGAAGGAGTTTGTGTGTGTGCACTTACTTAAGATCTTAGGATTTTTTTTTTTTTTTAAACGGATCCTTGCTCTGTTGCCCATGCTGGAGTGTAGTGGCACAATCTTGGCTCACTGCAACCTCCATCTCCCGGATTCAAGGGGTTCTCCTGCCTCAGCCTACTGAGTAGCTGGGATTATAGGCATGCAGCATCACAACCGGCTCATTTTGTAGTTTTAGTAGAGACAAGGTTTTGCCACATTGGCCAGACTGGTGTCGAACTCCTGACCTCAGCTGATCCACCTGTCTCGGCCTCCCAAAGTGCTGAGATTACAGACGTGAGACGCTGCACCGGGCCAGATCTTAGGATTGTAAAGTATGTGTTGGGAATTCTACATTTGAAGACACTTTAAACAAATCCTTTTTATTATGATTGTATTACTTTAAAATTTAAATGATAATTTTATAAATCAGATTGTAAGATAATATCTTTGTCCATGTTAGTATATTAGAACTTTATTTTGGATATGTTTGTTTTTAAGATCAAGATAAATTCAAGGCCTGCAGAGTGACTCATGCCTGTAATCCCAGCACTTTGGGAGGCCCAGGTGGGAGGACCGCTGGAGGCCAGGAATTCAAAACCAGCCTGGTCAACATAGTGATGATGGCAGCGGCAGGCTCTCTGGAGCGGCTGCAGCAGGGAGGCACGGCTGAGGCTACACACTCTATGGAGCGGGTGGGAGCTGAAGACAGGTGGGAGTCCTGCCCCTTCCGAGTTGGCGCTGGAGCTCCGTTGGTGCCGCTGCAATCGCCCAAGCCATGGCTGTAGTCCCTGGCATCCCTGTGCTCTCCCAGTGGGAACAGGCGAGAGCCCCAACTGCCCAGGCGCAGCTGCAGCAGCTCAAACCCGCGGCTGCAGACCTGGGTCTCCCGCTCCACGGAGCAGGCAGGAGCCCTGCCTTCTCCACACAGCTGCAGCTGCCCAAACCGTGGCTGCGGACCCAGGCATTCCTGCATTCTTGGGGGTCTGGGAAGGCCCCCACTGCTCTTACAGGCTTGGAAATGCCTGCTCCCACTGCCTGGCTTCTCCCTGCTGTCGGCGCCTGCTCCGATCCAGGAGCAAAGTCAGGCAGAGCCCGGTCGCTGTCGCAGCCCAGCCAGGTGTGCACACGCTCAGGGCACTGCTGACACACCAGCCCCCTGCCGTCCCGGCCCCTTCTGGATTTGGGGCGCTGACACGAGCGTAGAAGGGAAGCTGAGCGGCGGCTGAGAGCAGCTCCCCACTGGCCTTCAGGCACCCCTTGGCACCTACAGCCTGGATTCCGTGATCGGCAGCAGGAGGCAGACAGGTTCCGGGGCAGAAGGGGGCGGGTTTCCGGTGAGGCCCCACTTTCGGGCCAGGGAAGGCCTGAAGGCTGGGGGCCCAGCTGCCAATCCCACACACCAGAGTGGAAACTTGTGGTGCTTTTTCCAGGCCCACTGTGATCATCCCACTGCACTCCAGCCTGGGTGACAGAGCCAGACCCTGTCAGGAAACAACAGATGCTGGAGAGGTTGTGGAAAAATAGGAATGCTTTTACACTGTTGGTGGGAGTGTAAATTAGTTCAACCATTGTGGAAGTCAGTGTGGTGATTCCTCAAGGATCTAGAACTGGAAATACCATTTGACCCGGCAATCCCATTACTGGGCATATACCCAAAGGATTATAAATCATTCTGTGATAAAGATACACGCACACATATGTTTATTGCAGCACTATTCACAATAGCAAAGACTTGGAACCAACTCAAATGACTGGATTAAGAAAATGTGGTACATATACACCATGGAATACTATGCAGCCATAAAAAAGGATGAATTTATGTCCTTTTCAGGGACATGGATGAAGCTGGAAACCATCATTCTCAGCAAACTATCACAAGATCAGAAAACCAAACACCCCATGTTCTCACTCATAAGTGGGTTGTTGAACAATGGGAACACATGGACACAGGGAGGGGAACATCACACACCGGGGCCTTTCGGGGAGTGGGGGACTAGGGGAGGGATAGCATTAGGAGAAATACCTAATGTAGGTGACAGGTTGATGGGTGCAGCAAACCACCAGGGTACGTGTATACCTATATAACAAAACTGCATGTTCTACACATGTAACCCAGAACTTCAAGTATAATTAAACAATAATAATAAATAAGTAAAATATATTTTTAAAATTTTTAATTCTTAGTAATATTCAGTATGTTTACCTATGTAATTATCTTTTGTTGTAGCCTGCAGAATTTTCTTCCTGCCCCTTGAACTCTGATGAAGAAGTGAATAAATGGTTGCATTTTTATGAAATGAAAGCTCCTTTGGTTTGTCTACCAGTTTTTGTCTCCAGAGACCCAGTAAGTCTGTGTCTGTTTTTTATATTATACTACAATGATAATGCTTGATTTTTAGGATAATCTTTAAGAACTAGGCACTTTTGTGTTTGTTGTTGTTGTTGTTTTGAGACAGAGTTTCACTCTTGTTGCCCAGGCTAGAGTGCAATGGCAGGATCTCAGCTTACTGCAACCTCCGCCTCCTGGGTTCAAGCGATTCTCCTGCCTCAGCCTCCCGGGTAGCTGGGATTATAGGCATCTGCCACCATGCCTGGCTAATTTTTGTATATTTAGTAGACGGGGTTTCACCACGTTGGTCAGGCTGGTCTCAAACCACTGACCTCAGGTGATCCACCCACCTCTGCCTCCCAAAGTGTTGGGATTACAAGCATGAGCCACCATGCCCGGCCATGTGTTGTTGTTATTTAAGAATGAGGGTAGCCTCTAGAATTATTTTGGAAGATAAGGGAGCTCTTCACCATCCTATGAGTTAGGCAGAGCAGATTTTACCTTTGAGAAAATGAAGGCACAAGCATTTTAAATAACACCCAAAATTATTTTATTAAATAGCAGGTGTAGTTGGGCATGGTCACATGCCCCAGTATTCTTAGCTACTGAGGAGGCTGACTTGAACCCAGAAGTTTGAGACCAGCCTGGGTAACAGTATAATCCCCATCTCAAAAAAAACAATTAGTAGAGTCACAACTAGGATTCAGGTCTCCTGTCATCTTGTTTGGTGTTCATTATATTATAATACTATACGCTAGAAAAAATATTACAGACCAATTCAAAGCAAATACCTACTAAAATATTGGTCATATCTTCTCTTTTTTTTATTTTTTGTGACAGAGTCTCGCTCTGTTGCCCAGGCTGGAGTGCAGTGATGCAATCTCGGCTCACTGCAACCTCCGCCTCTTGGGTTCATGTGGTTCTCCTGCCTCACCCTCCTGAGTAGCTGGGATTACCGGTACTCACCACCACACCCGGCTAATTTTTGTATTTTCAGTAGAGACAGGGTTTCGCCATGTTGACCAGGCTGGTCTCGAGCTCCTGACCTCAAGTGATCCGCCCGCCTCAGCCTCCCAAAGTGGTGGGATTACAGGCATGAGCTACTCCGCCTACCCTGGTCATATCTTGATCCAGTGATTACATGCCTAGGATATTATACTTAAATATATGCATAATTGTGTAAAATTACTAGTTAAAAGGTTATTATTACAGTATTGTTGTAGTAGCAAAAGAATTAGAAATAATGCAAGTGTCAGTTGAGAAGTTACATACGCAATAGAATACCATGCAGGTATAAAAGAATGAGGAAGCTCTTTTATGATTTCATATACAAAGATCTCAAAACTATATTGTTACATGAAAAAAAGTTACATGCAGAAAAGTGTGTACAAAATACTACATTTGAGTAAAAATAAAAGTAAGTATTTATGGAAGGATATACAAGAAAATGCTTACACTGGTTACCTGCTAGGAAGGGGAGTGAGTGGTGAGGGCAAGAGAGAAGAAGATACATTTTACTGAATACATCGTTTTGCCCCCTTTGAATTTAGAACATGTGAATGTATTACCTATTTAAAAAATAAAAACTATTGCAACGTAAAAAGTTATCCCTCCCCCTTAAACTCTAATCAATAATTTGAGTACTAACATATTGTTTGTCTGTTATCTTAGGGGTTTGATTTGCGACTGGAGCACACTCATTTTTTTAGTCGTCATGGAGAAGGTGGACACTACCATTATGACACTACTCCAGATATAGTGGAATATCTTGGATACTTCTTACCTGCAGAGTTTCTCTATCGCATTGATCAACCAAAAGAGACGCATTCAATTGGGCGAGATTAAATCAGCTGATACTTATTTAGAAAAAGAAATAATTAAGGTTAATTAATTGATTGACTTATTAATTAATACTGATATAAAACCAATAGAAATGATCCCACAGGCCAGGCACAATGGCTCATGCCTATAATCCCAGCACTTTGGGAGGCTGAGGCAGGAAGCACACTGGAGCCCAGGAGTTTGAGACCAGCTTGGGCAACATAGCAAGACCCTGTCTATTTTTTTAAAAAAGTAAAAAATAGAAATTATCTCACTACTTAAATCCCATTTTTTTCACTTCATATGAAAGAACATATTGATAGTATATTCTATATTATTTCATAGATCTGTCTGAAAGAGATTGGGAACAAAAATATCTAATTGAGATATTCTTTAATTTTTTACATAGCAGCTTTATTTTTTTTATTCTGTAGTATCAGCGAAATCAGTCATGTTTATACCTTGAATATAAATATCAGGAATCATGCAATTATTTCTACTATGTATTTAGTAGTATCTTATATTTGTATAACATTATTACATTTTGCAAATTAGTATCACAACTGCTAAGTAGATGTTTCTGAGTATTAGAAAAATCAGTGTTATTACCTGCAGGATATTAAAAAACATTTGAAAAAGAGAAAAAGAAAAATCAGTGTTTAGAAATGTTGATAGTTATTGAATCTTTGAATTGAATTTTAAAAATCCATTCTAGTAATCAGAGTATACTTTTTTTATAGAACAAGGTGGCAGGTGGGGAGCCCTTTACCCTTCTGGTGAAGTTAAACCATAGAAGTTTACAATTTGCCTTTCACAAACATTAGCAGTCCGGGCATGGTGGCTGAAGCCTGTGATCCCAGCATGTTGGGAGGCCGAGTGGGAGGATTGCCTGAGCCTAGGAGTTTAAACCAGCCTGGGCACCATGGTGAGACCCCATCTCTATTATTTAAAATGTTTCTTAAATAAAAAAAACACAAACATTAGCAACTAGTTGGCTAGCCATAATTCCTCCCTTGTTTCGATTGCCAGTTAGAAGCAATTTTTATTTCACTGGTTATTTGCAAGAGAAGGGGTAAAAAAACAGCATCAGAGTGCAACACTGAAGTGAGCTTACTTTAATTTGTAAGTGAAGCTGTTGCTGAACATGACCACTATCGTTGCTGAAATATAAAATTATACTCACTGATTGTAATGGTTGAAATTTTCCTGAATAATCATTAGCCAAAGATCAACTCTCTAATGGTGCTAATGGCAATCTAGCTAATGTGCAAATTTAGGAAGTCTTCAGTACTAAGTACATAATTTTCAAATAATATTTTTTAATTGTCTACTTTGGATGTTAGCTATGTCTTGTGAGTATAAATTCCAATTTTAAGCACTATTTTGATGCAAAAAAATGAATAAAAAATTTAATTTATGATATGTTTGTAATATCTTACCTCCAGACAAAATAATATTAATAGTCTATCATTTAACAAATATGTATTGAACACCTACCCTTCTCTCTGGAGTGTACACTTCATGTGGGCAAGGGCCTTGTTCACGACTGTAGCACTAGTGCCTTTAACTGCTAGCAAAGTAGCCACTCGGATGATTATACCAAACACTTTACTAAAGCTGGGGATCTGTCTAGTGGGGAAGACAAACAATAAATATATAATATGTCAGGTGGTATTAAATGCTATGAAAAGAAAGGAGTAGATGGACTGTAAAGGAGGATGCTATTTTTTTGTGGCCATCCCGCACTGAGACAGGATGCATTCCACACTCAAAATTTGGTTCACATGTCCAGACTGATAGCCAAGTTCAGTGGCTCACGCCTGTAATCCTAGTACTTAGGGAGACCAAGGCAGGAGGATCACTTGAGGCCAGGAGTTCAAGGCCAGCCTGGGCAACAGAGAGAGACCCCCATCTCTGCAAAAAAAGAAAAAAAATTTTTTAATTATCTGGGCATGGTTGTGCACACCTGTTGTCCCAGCTGCTCAGGAGGCTGAGGCACGAGAATCACTTGAGCCCAGAAGTTGGAGGCTACAGTGAGCTATGATTGTTTCATTGCACTGTAGCCTGGGCAACACAGTGAGACCCTGTCTCAAAAAGAAAAAAAAAATGACTGATGAAGCCACACACACACCAACAGAGTATGAAAGGGTTGTTACTCACATAATGAAGCTTTCTGGGGAAAGCAGGGCAGCTCCTAAGCAGGATTTGACAACAGGGAAGGAGACTGACTTGGAGTTTTTTGGTGGTTAGGGAGTAGGGCCAGAGTGATGTTTCTTGCATGTGGTTTGAATTTCCCACTGGTATCAAAGAAGGAAACACCCAGGCTTGCTTGCTTTATTTTTTTAAAGAGATGGTGTCTCACTATGTTGCCCAGGCTGGGCTCAAGTCATCTTCCTGCCTCGGCCTCCCAAAGTGCTGGGATTACAGGCATGGGCCACCATGTCTGGCGAGCACCCAGGCTTTCTTAGCTTGCCAGAGGTGTAGGGCATAAGGGGACGAGGGGTGGGATAAGGCTTAAAAGCCACCAGCAGTCAAACATAAATTAAGTCAGATTCTTAATTACAGATTTCAGATCTGATTTCAGATCAGAGCTTATTTCAGGTCAGATTCCAGGTGTAGAGATCATCTGAAGCAGTCCTGGGCCTCTTCACACTACAGATACCAACACTGCCTTTACTCTTCCATTAGTGTCCTCCAAAATGGGGTGCATGGACAGCAGGTACACATGACCTTCCAAGGGGTGTGGGAATATTAGAACATCTATTTATATATTTTATTTCGTCCTTTTAAGTTTCTGTGGTTTTGTGTACATTTCTTACGTTAGGGATTTCAGTTCAAAATTGTATTGCTGATAGACACAATTCAAAAAGCTTGGAGACCAGGTACATTCACACCATCTAATAGAGATGGGGGAAAAGATCAAAATGCTTTTCTTTTTAAATTTTTTCTTAGTTTTCTTTCTTTATAGAGACAGAGTTTCGCCGTGTTGGCCAGGCTGTTCTCGAACTCCTGGCCTCAAGTGATCTGCCCGTCTCAGCCTCTCAAATTGCTGGGATTACAGGCATGAGGCACTGCACCTCACCCAAAGTGCTCTTCTTACTCTTACATTCACTCAGTATAACACAGAAAGCTTCTGTGACCAGATGCATGGGGGTTTTTCCCACACACCAAGCAATTCTCCAGCAGACATCAGCTGGGGGTCCTATAATTTAATTCAATTCTAACACTATTTACTTGGAGATAGCGTCAGATCCCACAGTTTAATGGTTCAATCCTCCAAGACTGCCTCCCACTTCCGATGCCAATCACAAGCTTCAGGTTGTGACCTGTACTTTTGACCAACCCACTGTAAATCGGGGTCTCTATGCCTACCTCTTCAGGTTTGATTAATTTGCTTAGAGCAGATCACTGAACCCAGGGAAACACTTTACTTATATTTTCCAGTTTATTAATAAAGGATATAATAAAGTATACAGATGAACAGCCAGATGGAAGAGATGCATATGGAAAGGCCAGCAGAAGTCCAGAGCTTCCACACCGTTTCTGGGTGCCCCACCTTCTAGGCATGTCCACCTGTTCAGCAATTTGGAAGCTATCCAAACCCTTTTCTTTTGGACTTTGGCTTTGTTTTTGTTTTTGAGACAGGTTCTCACTCTGTCACCCAGGCTGGAGTGCAGTGGCATGATCTCTGCTCACTGAAACCTCTGCCTCCCAGGCTCACGCAATCCTCCCCTCTCCGCCTCCTGAGTAACTGGGACTAACAGGTGTGCGCCATGACGCCCAGCCAATTTTTGTATTTTTCGTAGAGACGGGGTCTCATCATGTTACCCGGGCTTGTCTTGAACTCCTGGGCTCAAGTGATCCACCCGCCTCTGCCTTTCTTTTGGGATTTTATAGAGGCTTCCTTATGTAGGCAGAATTGATTAAATTATTGGTCACTGGTGATAAGTTCAACCTTCAGCCTTTCCTCTCCTTCAAGGTTGGTGTTGGGGCTGAAAGCCGGAATTCTTTAATCACGTGGTTAGTTCCTGGGCAAGGAGCCCCTATCTTGAAGCTATCCAGGAGCTTCTGGCATGCAGAAACCCACTTATCACTGTCATTTCATTAGCATACAAAAAACCATTTATCACTTTGGAGATTCCCAGGGTTTTAGGAGCTGTGTGCCAGAATACTGGGACTAAGACTATCTATACATACTGCATATCTTATTATACATCACAGTGTCATACCATCTTTCCAAACCTAAAATAAGAACACAGATAAACCTAAAGAATTGTCATCCAACCAGGTGCAATGGCTCATGCCTGTAATCCCAGCATTTTGGAAGGCTGAGGTGGGAGGATTGCTTGAGCCCAGGAGTTTGAGACCAGCCTGGGCAACATAGTGAGACCCCATCTCTACAAAAACTAAAAAATTAGCTGGGCATGGTGGCACATACCTGTAGTCCCAGCTACTTGGGAGGCTGAGGCAGGAGGATCACTTGAGACCTGGAGGCTGAAGCTATAGTGAATCCAGATGGCACCACCTCAGCCCATCCTTGGCAACAGAGTCAGACCATGTTCCTTTAAAGAAGAAGAATATGTCATCCAAAAGACCACCAGGATGGCTAAATAGTAGAAAGGAGAGCTATATTGGTGATTTCAGTTTGCACAGCGGGAAGAGACAGTCTCCAGCTTATGCCAAAAGTGCTCTCTTCCCAGAGGGAAAAGGGCAGATTGGTTTTTATGCCTCACAGGGCCTGTATCACACAATAGAGTAAAACATATTCAGCAGTTTTGGGAGAAAAGTTATACATATCTATGAGGGAAGTTGAACACACGTGCAATGGATAAACATATGTAACACAAATCCCACGTTCACTTTGGGGTAAGGTTTTAACATTAAAATAAGGTGGAACTTGGCCCTTCATGTCAAAAGGTGAACTATTGGACACAAAGTTTGCATGCAGTCTCTATAAACTGGCTGACACTGGCTCGAGGTCTTCGGTTGCTTATCAGGAAAGAATTTTTGTAAGGCTGGTCCTTTGTCCAATCAGAGCTATAGTGGTTTGGATTGTAAATCAGGTTTGGTAAGGTTCTGACAATTTTCCCAATAGCTCCTATTTTTAGCAAATTTAGCAAGATTGTGTTTTTTCTTGTAGCCTTAGGAATTTGCGAAGTTCCCATGCCAACCAAGCCCTGAACCCTCCACCCATAGGTAACTTTCGTTTTCTTAACTTTAGGGTTCTTCTTAGTTGATAAAGGAGCATCCATTTTGGTCTTCCAGATAACAGAACACAATCTGACAGGGCAATTATGTGACTAAAATAATGAAATATTAAAAACTGAATTTTCCACAGAAAATCTGGTATATTCATTGGCTAAATCTATGATTACTCTTCCTAGAACTCCTACCTTTAGCCTCATTTCTCTGATATGCTGTTTTTCTGACTCATATTAACCACAACGAGGATTAACTTCTTCAAATTTAGACTAACACTTGATATTATTTGCATTGGCAACCTAATATTTGTCACTACAGTAAATACCTGATATGGTTTGGCTCTGTGTCCCCACCTAAGTCTCAGGTTGAACTGTAATCCCCAGGCTTGGGGGTGGGGCTTTGTGGGAGGTGATTGGATCATGGGTGTGGTTTCTAATGGTTTAGCACTATCCCCCTGGTGCTACCTCGTGATAGAGTTCTCCCAAGATCTGCTTGTTTGAAAGCGCCTCCCACTTCACCCTCTCTTTGTCACCTGCTGGCCATGTGAAGATGTGCCTGCCTCCCCTTTGCAGTGGCTCATGCCTGGAATCCCAGCACTTTGGGAGGCCGAGGTGGGCAGATCACGAGGTCAGGAGATCGAGACCATCCTGGCTAACATGGTGAAACCCCATCTCTACTAAAAATACAAAAAATTAGCCAGGTGTGGTGGTGGGCACCTGTAGTCCCAGCTACTAGGGAGGTTAAGGCAGGAGAATGGAGTGAACCTGGGAGGTGGAGCTTGCAGTGAGCCGAGATCGCGCCACTGCACTCCAGCCTGGGCGACAGAGTGAGACTCCGTCTTAAAAAAAAAATTTTTTTTTCTTTCTTTTTCCTTTTTTTTTTTTTTTTTTTGAGAGAGGGTATGGCTCTGTTACCCAGGCTAGAGTGCAATGGCATGATCTCAGCTCACTGCAACCTCTGCCTCCCAGGCTCAAACCATCCTCCCACCTTAGCCTCCAGAGTAGCTGGGACTACAGGCACATGCCACACCCAGCTAATTTTTATTTTATTTTATTTTATTTTTTTATTTTAGAGGCAGGGTTTCATCACATTGCCCAGCCTGGTCTCGAACTCCTGGACTCAAGTGCTCCTCCCACTTCAGCCTCCCAAAATTCTGGGTACAGACATGAGCCACTGTTCCCATCCTGCCTGCTTCCCTTTGCCTTTGCCCCATGATTGTA
Source organism: Homo sapiens (assembly GCF_000001405.40). Taxonomy (NCBI): domain Eukaryota; kingdom Metazoa; phylum Chordata; class Mammalia; order Primates; family Hominidae; genus Homo; species Homo sapiens. Next base: position 93,768,087 of record NC_000011.10, read on the forward strand.
AGTTTCCTGAGGCCTCCCCAGAAGCAGAAGCCTGTATAACCTGCAGAATCATGAGCCCATTAAACCTTTTTTATAAATTACCCTGTCTCAGGTATGTCTTTACAGCATGCGAGAACAGACTGATACAACACCGAAATGCAGATTTCCATTTGCTTTTGGTTTTAAAGCTCAGCTTCCTTTTAGTTTACCTGTAAAGCCTCTGTGTGGCCTAATCTTTCATTCAGTAGCAATTTACTATTACATACTATACTAGGTGCTCTGGTACATGCTGTAGTGGTATTAGTATATAGTAGTATGTACTCTACTGGTATATATGGTACATATTGTACTGGTACATACTGTGCCAGGTACTAGGAATACAAAGATGAATAAGACATAGTCCCTGACCTGGAAGAGCTTGGTCTAGTGGGGACACTGACATGCATAGAGGAGAAGACCAAGCTTCCCTTTCACTCTTTCTGAAGGCTCATTGAAAATAAACTGACAAAAAGCAGACTAACAGGAGAAAACGGCATACAAACTTTATTTAGTGTGCATAAGCATGAGGGAACCTCAGGAGAATGACTACTCAATAATCCAATGAGGTCCAGATGTTTATATACCCTTCTTCATAGAGGAAGGGGAGATGGTGGGCACGGGGGTATAGGAGTAAAAGATTTTTAGGGAAAATGAATGAGCTCCAAGAACAATGGCCTGGAAGAAAGTTATTTTGAACTCTGGGGGAGGTGGCAGGAAGATGAGGGGCAGAACTTTACTGTGAGCAAAGGTTATCTTACATAGATAATGTCTCCCAGGTAATCCTCGTGGAGCTGCACTCACAAGAATAAATGAAAAATCCAGATCGGGCACGGTGGCTCATGCCTGTAATTCCAGCACTTTGGGAGGCCGAGGCGGGTGGATCACCTGAGGTCAGGAGTTTGAGACCAGCCTGGCCAACATGGAGAAACCCCATCTTTACTAAAAATACAAAAATTAACCAGGCATGGTGGCAGGCACCTGTAATTTCAGCTACTCCGGAGGCTGAGGCAGAAGAATCACTTGAACGTGGGAGGCAGAAGTTGCAGTGAGCTGAGATCATGCCACTGCACTCCAGCCTGGGTGACAGAGTGAGACTCTGTCTCAAAAAAAAAAAAAAAAAAGCCTGCCTGGACATGGTGACAACTCCCAGTGTCATCTTTTTGGTGGTTAACCTGTTCTGGTTATTTGATGAGATTCCTAGAGAGGGGATTCACTGCTTTTTTTTTTTTTTTTTTTGGAAAGAAGCTTCCCTGCTCACAAAAGGAAGTTCCAGAGTCCTTCCAGAAGCTTCAGAAAAGGAAGAAGATCAGAGAGATGGGGAAGCTGAGGAAGGTCAGAGAGATCCCTTGGTTCTGAGGCTTATTTCTGAGACCTTTTAATATTCCTTAATTCAAAACATTCAGCATGCCAAAGTGCTATATTTTACAATTTTGTTTTCTAAGCCCCAACTCAGGTGAAAAAATAATTGAAATAAAATAGAATAAATCCTATCAGTATTGCCCTATATTGTTTTTTGTTTGTTTTTTGTCTTTTGAGATGGAGTCTTACTCCATTGCCCAGGCTGGAGTGCAATGGTGCAATCCTGGCTCACTGCAATCTCCGCCTCCCAGGTTCAAGTGATCCTCCTGTCTTGGCCTCTGGAGTAGCTGGGACTACAGGCATACACCACCAGGCCCAGCTAATTTTTGTATTTTTAGTGGAGACGGGGTTTTGCCATGTTGGCCAGGCTGGTCTCGAACTCCTGACCTCAGGTAATCCGCCTGCCTCAGCCTCCCAAAGTGCTTGGATTACAGGCGTGAGCCACTGCACCCGGCCAGTATTGCCCTATATTGTACTGTACACTGTTAAATTAAGTTTAGCCTAAAAGCTGCCTCCTTACATATTTTAAGTTTGGCCTAAAAGTTTCTCCATACCTAGTGAAATGTAATCTAACTGGATGTGTAAATGGACTTGTGAAAGGAAAATAAATCTTGGAACCCCAAAATCACTAAGCCAAAAGAAAAGTCAAGCTGGGAACTATGTCAGACACCTGCCTCCCATTTTATTCCTAAATAAGACAGCTACAAAGAGAAGAAGCTATATACCTCCCTCACAATTGTCCACAATACCTTGTGGACAAAGGACAGACAGAACTCAAAGTCATCCCTCTGAGGCTCACCTGAGACAAATGCATATCTGATTGTTTTCTCTGCCCTATTGTTTATGTAAAAACAATATGCACAGTCACTGAGCCAGACTAAATTGTGTATTCAGTGGAAGGCTGATCAAGGACTCAAAAGAATGCAACCTTTTCCTTTTATCTCTTATCTACTTCTAACCTGGAAGTCCCCACATAGAGTTGTCCTGCCTTATCTGAGGGAACCAATGTGTATCTTACACAGATTAATTGATGTCTCATGTCTCCCTAAAATGTATAAAACCAACGTGTGCTCTGATCATCCTGGGCACATGTTGTCAGGACCTCCTGAGGCTATGTCACAGTGCATCCTTAACCTTGGCAAATTAAACTTTCTAAATTGACTGAGACCTGTCTCAGATATTTTGGGTTCACAGACTGTTACTCTTGTAACAAGTAGCCAAGTCTCAACCAATCACAGCAGCCATACTCCAACCACTCACAGGCGGCCAACTGTTCGAACCACCTTCAAATAAGGCAAATGCTGAGCTGTAACCAATCCAGCTGTTCCTGTACCTCCCTTCCATTTTGTGTAGGCCACTTTCCTTTTTCTGTCCTTAAATCCTCTCCAACCATCTGGCAGCACTGGAGTCACTTCTGGACCTATTCTGTTCTGGGGGTTGCCCAATTCAAGAATTGTTCTTTGTTCAATTAAGCTCCGTTTAATTTGTCTAAAATTTTTCTTTTAACAACATGTTAAAGGAAACTGAATATCATAACAAGAGAAATTTACTAAAGAATACATGGGCCAGGCACAGTGGCTCACACCTGTAATCCCAGCACTCTGGGAGGCTGAGGTGGGCAGATCTGTTAAACCCAGGAGTTCGAGATCAGCCTGGGCAACATGGAGAAACTCTGTCTCTACCGAAAACACAAAAAAATAGCCAGATGTGGTAGTGCATGCCTGTAGTCCCAGCTACTTAGAAGGCTGAGGCTGGAGGATCGCTTGAGCCCAGGAGGCAAAGGCTGCAACGAGCTGAGATCCTGCCATTGCACTCCAGTCTGGGTGACCAGAGTGAGACCTTGTGTGATGGTTGATACTGTCAACGTGATTGGATTGAAAGATGCAACGTATTGTTCCTCAATGTGTCTGTGAGGGTGTTGCCAAAGGAGATTAACATTTGAGTCAGTGGCCTGGGAAAGGCAGACTCACCCTCAATGTGGGTGGGCACCGTCCAATCAACTGCCAGTGCAGCTAGAAAAAAAGCAGGCAAAAGAAGGTGGGAGAAGCTGACTTGCTGAGTCTTCCACCCTTTATCTTTCTCCCGTGATGGATGCTTCCTGATCTCAAACATCAGACTCCAAATTCTTCAGCTTTTGGACTCTTGTACTTACACCAGTGGTTTTCCAGGGGCTCTTGGGCCTTTGGCCACAGGCTGAAGGATGCACCATCAGCTTCCCTACTTTTGAGGTTTTGGGAGTCAGACTGACTTCATTGCTCCTCAGCTTGCAGACGGCCTATTATGAGACTTCACCTTGTGATTGTGTGAGTCAATACTCCTTTATAAACTCCCCTTCATATATACATCTATCCTATTCTGTCTCTCTAGAAAACTCTGACTAATGTACCTCATCTTTAAAAAAAAACAAAAACACAAACAAACAAACATGAATTTGAACTTCTGGTGCTGGCCAAGATGGAATAAGCCTTGGCCAGCACCAAGACTTAGCACAACAACCTGTTTCCCACACAATTACAAAATATAGAACTTTGCATGAAAAAAAGCATCCCTTTCAGAACAGTTGAAAATTAAACAATGGGCTGGGCATGGTGGCTTATGCCAGTAGGCCCAGCACTTTGGAAGGCCCAGGTGGGAGGATTGCTTAAGCCCAGGAGTTTTGTTACGGGATCTTTGGGGTGTCACTTTTCTGGCTGGAAACCTGTGGCTGGTAGTGCCTTTGCTTGAGCTTTGTTCAGGCACACTGGACTCATTCCACCCATTCAGCCTGGCAGGCTGTGCTCAGCTCATGCTACTGGCTGGGATCCCATGCCTCCAAGAAAGACTGTGAGTCAGGCATGGAGAGGTGAGGGGTATCTGAGCAAGTATGGGATCCAGCCACTGCACAGTCAGACATGCTGGCTGCACCAGGTGCACTACAAGCTGCTTCCCCAGCTGGCATTGGGGAATGCGGTGGTGTCCGGAAGCTTGGAGACATCAGAAACTGCAGGGCCTCAAAGAGGGAGTCACAGCCCTGGCTCAGGGAGTTTCCAGGTCTGGCCTCCCCAAAGGGCTGCCGCTCTTCTTCTCTCCACCCACAATGTGGTGAGCAAGGGGCATGTTTCAGCCCTGTTTGTGTTACAGCTCTTTTAGTCTTGCCTTTCAGCGAGTCCCAAGTTCTTGTCCTGCAACCAGGAAGAATGAGGTATGCAGACAAGTGAAAGGTGAGCAAGATGAAAAGGAGCTTCAATGAGCATTAGAACAGCTCAAAGAAGACCTGCAGTGGGCAGCTCCTTTCCATAGACAGGGTGTCCTGATGAGTGTTCAGCTCCTAGCAGAGAGGGTAGCTCCTCTCTGCAGGCAGGTCGTCCCAACAATTGTTCAGTTCTCAGCAGAGAGAGTAGCTCCTCTCTGCAGTGGGTTGTCTCGCCATCTGTAGCTCTCACCAGAGAGGAGGCCCTAGAGTTGGTGGCTCCTCTCTGTAGGCAGGTTGTCCTGTCATCTCTCTGTCCTTTGCTTTGCTCTGGCTGAGCCTGGGGCTTTTATGGGCCTCAGAGGGGAAGAAGTGTGCGCTAATTGGTCCAAGGGCGGCCATGGATAGGCCAAGAAAAGGCACCACAAGTCTTCACTCTGGTTCCCAGGACTGGCAGTTTGGCCCCCAGCATTCAGGCCCTCCCTGACCTGAAGGTGGGGCCTCACCGGGGACCCACCCTTTTCTGCCCAGAAGCCTGTCTGCCTCCTGCCGCTGTCCATGGTTCCCAGGCTGCTCAAGTCAAGGGTCACCTGTAGGCCAGTGCTGAGCCTATTGATTTTTTTTGTTTGTTTTGTTTTGTTTGAGACAGGGTCTCATTCTGTTGCCCTGACTGGAGTGCAGCACTCCCCTCGGCTTCCCCACTATGCTTGTTGGTACCCAAAGTCTGGCAGGGCCAAGGCAGCAGGGGGCCAGCATGTCAGCACTGCCCCAAGTGTGTGCACACCTGGCTGGGCTGTGACAGTACCCCAGCTTGGCCCCATGTTGCTCCAAGATCAGAGCAGGTGCCAACAGCAGGGAGAAGCCAGTCAGTAGGAGCAGTCACTTCTGAGACCATGGGGTTGGGGGACTTCCCAGGCCTCCAAGAGTGCAGAGAGGCCCAGGTCTGGAGGTGTGAGGCATGCAGGGTGCCTGCCTGCTCTGGCCCCCAAGAACACAGGAAGGCCTGAGTCCACAGCCCCAACTTGGGCAGCTGCAGTTGCACCTGGGGTGGGGGGGATGGGGGCTGCTGCCTGCTCCCAGCTCCCACCAGTTCTGTGGAGCATGCAGCCCCAGCCAGGTCCCTTGCAGTCTGCGGCAGGAGCTCCAGGTCCTTGCTGGGCCCGGGCCAGCGTCGGGGCAGGGGTGATGTTGCTGTGAGCTCCCCACATGGCCCTGGCACTCAGGGGTGACCTGGGGCTCCCCTCTGCCTAGCTCATGGCCCTTCCCTCGGTGGGGGGCTTCTGGGACCAGATCACACGTGCAGGCCAGGGCCAGCTATCAGGAGTGTCAGGTTCAGCAGTCACCCTGATGTGGGGCAGACCTTGGGGATGTGGCTCCAGGGGGCCCTACACAGAGCCTCCTCCTGAGGTGCAGGAACCCAGAGCCATCAGCGGGGTGGGAATGGTGGCCACTGGCCAGGTCCCTGAAGCGGGTGCCACTCCCACTTCCCACCCCAGGCCCCCAAAGCATGGCCCCAACTCTGCACCCTGGGCCTGGGCCCTATACTCCATTTGCAAGCGCAGCACCGCCTGGAGCCCAGCTCCACCTCAGGGCACCTCTCTGCCCTACTGTGGTTTTCCCCCACTGGTGGGCAACCAGGCCTGGCCCCATTGTAGTGGCCCCCAGGGCAGCAGGCTGCAGGAGGGCTGACCACCTCCTCCCCATGCCCTCCCCATAGCCAGGGCTCAATGGCAGTGGCCACTCTGGATGGCCTGCCAGTGCCATCAGTTTGAGATCAGCCTGGACAAGATAGTGAGATCCTGTCTCTACAAAAATTAAAAATTGACTAGGTGTGGTGGTGCACACCTGTAGTCCCAGCTACTAGGGAGGCTGAGGTGGAAGGATCATTTGAGCCCCGGAGGTCACGGCTAAAGTGAGCCATGATCAGGTGACTGCACTCCAGTCAGGGCAACAGAGTGAGACCCTGTCTCAAACAAAACAAAACAAACAAACAAAAAAACCAATAGGCAAGTTGAGAAGACAAGTCAAAACTGAAAGAATGAACAATATGATAATGAGTTTCCTCTTTTTCCTCTCCTCTTTTATCTTCTGGATTTGACCCAAGGCAGCTTGCATTGGAGGAACTACGCAACCAGCATGGAGAACAAAAGCTCCCAAGAGACAGTCCCTCTTTCTCACCAGAGAACCAGGAAAAGGAGCCCCATGTAACCACATGGAGAAAAGTCTCCCTTTTGGCTGGGTGTGGTGGCTCATGCCTGTAATCCCAGCGCTTTGGGAGGCCGAGGCAGGCAGATCACCTGAGGTCAGGAGTTTGAGACCAGCCTGACCAACATGGAGAAACCCCATCTCTACTAAAAATACAAAATTAGCTGGGCGTGGTGGCACATGCCTGTAATCCCTGCTACTTGGGAGGCTGAGGCAGGAGAATTGCTTGAACCCAGGAGGCAGAGGTTGCAGTGAGCCGAGATCACGCCATTTCACTCCAGCCTGGACAACAAGAGCAAAACTCGATCTCAAAAAAAAAAAAAAAAAGAAAAGAAAAGAAAAAAAGAAGTCTCCCTTTTTTCTCCTTATGTTTTCTGTTCTCTCCTGGCCCTCTTCTGTTCTCTCCATGCACCTGTTAGTCCCAGATATTTGGGAGGCTGAGGTGGGAGGATCCCTTGACTAGCCCCATTGCAGGCAAAGCTGTTCTGCTGCATCAGTGGCAGCAGGTAAGCTGTTATCTAAAAGTCTGAGAGAAAAACACATCTCTTGGGCCAGAGGAATCAGGAAATGAGCCTCTTGTGATCCTATTTTCTCCCTCTTTTACTACTGTATATGGAGGGTGGTCCCAGTAATACAGAACTGCATCACAGGGGGCGCTAAAACTAAGATACACTGGCCAGAGGAAGTGCAGAAAAGGGGTGTGATTCATAGTATCCTTTTATTAACACTTTAATTCTTGTAATGACTTGGAACGTGAATCCCAAATTATCTTACACTCTGTTCTGTTATTTTTGTGCTTTGGTTTGGATTTTTCCATTGACTAGCCTTTGAGTTCATTAATCCTGTTCTCTACTGTATCAAATCTTTTATTAAACCTATCCAATGACAAAATTCAAATGTCAAAATCCTAACCCCTAAGGTGATGGTATTAGGGGGTGGGGCCTGCTGGGAAGCAATGAAGCCATGGAGGCAGAGCCCTCATGAAGGGGATTGGTACCCTTATAAAAGAGACCTGAGGGAGCTTGTTTATCTTTTCCAAGTGAGAACTCAGCAAGAAGGTGTTGTGTATAAATCAGGAAATGGGTCTTCACCAGATACCAAATCTACTGGCACATTGATCTTGAACTTCTCAGTCTCCAGAACTGTGAGAAATAACTTTCTGTTGTTTATTTAAAAAAAAAACAAAAACAAAAAACAAAACAAAAAAAACAGGTCAGGCATGGTCACTCACACCTGTAATCCCAGTACTTTGGGAGGCTGAGGCAGGAGGATCACCTGAGACCAGGAATTCAAGATCAGCCTGGGCAAGATGGTGAAACCTTATCTCTACAAAATAATTGTTTTTAATTATCTGGGCATGGTGGCATGCACCTGTTAGTCCCAGCTATTCGGGAGGCTGAGGTGGGAGGATCCCTTGAGCCCAGGAGTTCCAGGCTGCAGTGAGCTCTGATCACACCACTGCACCCCAGTCTGGGCAACAGAGCGAGACTCTGTCTCTAAAAACAAACAAACAATCTATCCAATGGGTTCCTGATTTTAACTTTTTTTTTTTTTTTTTTAACAGACAGGGTCATGCTCTGTTGGCCACACTAGAGTAGAGTGGCACAGTTACAGCTCACTGCAGCCTCAACCTCTGGGGCTCAAGTGATCCTCCACCCCAGCGCCCCAAGTAGCTGGGACTACAGGCGCACACCACCACACCCAGCTAATTTTTGTATTTTTTCTTTTTTTTTGTAGAGATGGGGTTTCACCATGTTGCCCAGGCTGGTCTGGAATTCTTGGGCTCAAGGGATCCACTTGCCTTGGCCTCCCAAAGTGCTGGGATTACAGGTGTGAGCCACTGCACCTGGCTGCCCAGCTAATTTTTTTAAAAAATTTTGTGTAGAGATGGAATCTTGCTATGTTGCCCACAGTGGTCTCAAACTCCTGGCCTCAAGGGATCCTCCCATCTAGGCCTCCTAAAGTTCTGCGATTACAAGCATAAGCCACCACACCTAGCATATGTATTCTTTTAAAACAAAACAAGCCAGACACCCTGCAATGGACTAAAGAAAATCAGTTAATGCTGAAAGGGATTAAAAGGGGCCTTAGAGATGCCCCAGGATGGGATCCCCAAGTTATAATATTCCATTTCATTATTTGTTTTTGAAAATCAGGGAAACGCCTTAGACATTCTGACATAAAAACAGGGAGCCCAAAACAGACCTATAGGCTACTATAGTCAGTAACTGGACCCTTTGACTAAAGCACTGCCCCCTTGCATGAGGGCAATAACTTCCACTGCTTTGTTAGTAAGAGCCACCAGAGAAATAGTGATGCGAATTTCCTGTCACTTAGTTCCACATTCTGTGAAAGCACTTCAAAATTGGCACCACATTCAACATTATTCGGTCATCAGACTACTTATGAAGTTCTTTTTTCCGTACCTCATACTACAATCTCTAGGTGCAATAATCTAAACTCTGCCATTCTTCTGCCTCGAGATGAGATTGCATAATCTTTATTTTTATTTTTATTTTTTTCAAGGCAGAGTCTTGCTCTGTCACCCAGGCTGGAGTGCCGTGGCCCAAGCGCAGCTCACCAGCTCACTGTAGGCTTGACCTGCTGGCCTGGAGCAATCCTTCCGCCTAATTTTTTGATTTTTCTTTTTTTTAGAGGCGAGGTCTCACTATGTTGCGAAGGCTGGTCTCGAACTCCTGGCCACACGTGATCTTCCCACCTCGGCCTCCCAAAGTGTCGGATTACAGGCGTGAGCCACCGTGCCCGCCCATAAGTGCATAATCTTAACCGATCAATTTCTCTCTCCTATAACAGACCTGCAAGAGATTCTCCTTATTAACGCTGACATTGTTTGGCTTAGAAATAGATTCCCCTTATTAACGCTGATGTTGTTTGGCTTACAGATGGATCTTACCTAAAGAATAAACCTGGGACTTATTGCACAGATTGCGCTGTAGTATCTTTTTTTTTTTTCTTTATTGAGACAGAGTCTTGCTCTGTCACCCAAGCTGGAGTGCAGAGGCGCGATCTTGGCTCACTGCAACCTCCACCTCCCGGGTTCAAGCAATTCTCCTGCCTCAGCCTTCCCAGTAGCTGGGATTACAGGCAGGCGCCCGCCACCACAGCTGGCTAATTTTTGTATTTTTAGTAGAGATGGGGTCTTGCCATATTACCCAGGCTGGTCTCAAACTCCTGAGCTCAGGCAATCCACCCACCTCAGCCTCCCACAGTACTGGGAATACAGGCGTGAGCCACCGCGCCCAGCCAGGTTACTCTATAGAATCTTTATATATATATATATATATATATATATATATATATATATATATATATATTTTTAAATAATACTTTAAGTTCTAAGGTACATGTGCACAACGTGCAGGTTTGTTACATACGTATACATGTGCCATGTTGGTGTGCTGCACCCATTAACTCGTCATTTACATTAGGTATATCTCCTAATGCTATCCCTCCCCCCTCCCCCCACCCCACAACAGGCCCCGGTGTGTGATGTTCCCCTTCCTGCGTGCAAGTGTTCTCATTGTTCAATTCCCACCTATGAGTGAGAACATGCAGTGTTTGGTTTTCTGTCCTTGCGATAGTTTGCTCAGAATGATAGTTTCCAGCTTCATCCATGTCCCTACTCATCATTTTTTATGGCTGCATAGTATTCCATGGTGCATATGTGCCACATTTGCTTAATCCAGTCTATCATTGTTGGACATTTGGGTTGGTTCCAAGTCTTTGCTATTGTGAGTAGTGCCACAATAAACATACATGTGCATGTGTCTTTATAGCAGCATGATTTATAATCCTTTGGGTATATACCCAGTAATGGGATGGCTGGGTCAAATGGTATTTCCAGTTCTAGATCCCTGAGGAATCACCACACTGTCTTCCACAATGGTTGAACTAGTTTACAGTCCCGCCAACAGTGTAAAAGTGTTCCTATGTCTCCACATCCTCTCCAGCAGCACCTGTTGTTTCCTGACTTTTTAATGATCGCCATTCTAACTAGTGTGATATGATACCTCAATGTGGTTGTGATTTGCATTTCTCTGATGGCCAGTGATGATGAGCATTTTTTTCATGCATCTGCTGGCTGCATAAATGCCTTCTTTTGAGAAGTGTCTGTTCATATCCTTCGCCCACTTTTTGATGGGGTTGGTTGTTTTTTTCTTGTAAATTTGTTTGAGTTCTTTGTAGATTCTGGATATTAGCCCTTTGTCAGATGAGTAGATTGCAAAATTTTTCTCCCATTCTGTAGATTGCCTGTTCACTCTGATGGTAGTTTCTTTTGCTGTGCAGAAGCTCTTTAGTTTAATTAGATCCCATTTGTCCATTTTGTCTTTTGTTGCCATTGCTTTTGGTGTTTTAGACATGAAGTCCTTGCCCATGCCTATGTCCTGAATGGTATTGCCTAGGTTTTCTTCTAGGGTTTTTATGGTTTTAGGTCTAACATTTAAGTATTTAATCCATCTTGAATTAATTTTTGTATAAGGTGTAAGGAAGGGATCCAGTTTCAGCTTTCTACATATGGCTAGCCAGTTTTCCCAGCACCATTGGTTAAATAGGGAATCCTTTCCCCATTGCTTGTTTTTGTCAGGTTTGTCACAGATCAGATGGTTGTAGATATGTGGTATTATTTCTGAGGCCTCTGTTCTGTTCCATTGGTTTATATCTCTGTTTTGGTACCAGTACCATGCTGTTTTGGTTGCTGTAGCCTTGTAGTATAGTTTGAAGTCAGGTAGTGTGATGCCTCCAGCTTTGTTCTTTTGGCTTAGGATTGACTTGGCAATGAGGGCTCTTTTTTGGTTCCATATGAACTTTAAAGTAGTTTTTTCCAATTCTGTGAAGAAAGTCATTGGTAGCTTGATGGGGATTGCATCGAATCTATAAATTACCTTGGGCAGTATGGCCATTTTCACTATATTGATTCTTCCTATCCATGAGCATGAAATGTTCTTCCATTTGTTTGTGTCCTCTTTTATTTTGTTGAGCAGTGGTTTGTAGTTCTCCTTGAAGAGGTCCTTCACATCTCTTGTCAGTTGGATTCCTAGGTATTTTATTCTCTTTGAAGCAATTGTGAATGGGAATGGTGCTCACTACCACGCCCAGCTAATTTTTGTATTTTTAGTAGAAAAGGGGGTTTCACCATATTGGCCAGGCTGGTCTCGAACTCCTGACCTTGTGATCCGCCCACCTCAGCCTCCCAAAGTGCTGGGATTACAGTCGTGAGTCACTTTGCCTGGCCAATAACACAAATTTTTAAGATCCCATGGCCAAAGGCTTCTATTGGCTTTGCTTAACCCAAGATCAACCCCTTTGGAATACATCAGTTGTACCCATTTGAAATAATAACTCACATAGCTATGAATCTGTCCCAGGAAATGGTAACTCCTTAACTGTAAGAGGAGATATATTCCTTTGTTGTTCTAACCTTATGAGATAATTAACTAAAAATTATTACCTAGTGAAAGATTATTTCCTAATGGGCTCTTGGGATATGAAAAATTCAAGACCCACAATTTTCATCCAGGAGACTGTATCTACTGGGAACAACATCCTCTAAAGGACTGTCTCCAACCAAGTGGAAGGGCTCTTACCAAGTGCTTCTTAGTAATCCTTTTGCTATTATATTAGAAGGAATAGACTCCTGGCCGGGTGTGGTGGCTCATGACTGTAATCCCAGCACTTTGGGAGGCCAAGGTGGATGGATCGCCTGAGCTCAGGAGTTCACCAACCTGGGCAAGATGGCGCGACCCCATCTCTACTAAAAATACAAAAATTAGCCGGGTGTGATGGTGGGCACCTGCCTGTAATCCCAGCTACTGGGGATGCTGAGGCAGGAGAATCACTTGAACCCTGGAGGCACAGGTTGCGGTGAGCTGAGATTGCATCACTGCACTCCAGCCTGGGTGACAGAATGAGACTCCATCTCAAAAAAACAAAAAACAGAAACTAGAATAGACTCCTGGATCCATGTCTGGATCTGAAGAGGGCTCCATCTCCTGAGGGACTGTTTCCCCAGAAGGTGATCTCTGTTTCAAAATAAGTCAATGACAGGTCTAGAACAAGATAACATCTGATGTAGGTGGCTAAAACCCAAGACTCCAAACCAGGCCTGTATCTAAACAAATGCTTAATATTAGCAAATGTTAATACATGGGGAAGACTTTCCTTTACAAGCTCCCATTAAACTTCTTTCTTTTTGTCCTTAGTTTTCATGTCTCGGCACTACTATCATTAACTGTTGCCCATAAAGCAAACCTCTTTTTGCAATGGGCTTAGGACTATGCTAATAGATTATTTAAAAAAATGCTGATTGAACATGTGGTCTCATGCCCCTTTCCAGTAGTTCTGGCTTTCCTGGTGGGTATCTTCTCTCCAAGGAAAGAAATATATTGCTCCAAGGAGAGAAGATATTGCATAGAATATCAGAAATATATTTGTGTTTCTTAAAAACAGTCATGGTGCTTGACAGTAGTATGATGAAGGATAAAGTACATCACTAGCCTATTAATAATACTTTAAAGGCTGGGCGCAGTAGTTCACACCTGTAATCCTTGCACTTTGGGAAGCCAAGGCGGGCAGATCGACTGAGCTCAGGAGTTTGAGACCAGCCTGGCCAGCAAAGTGAGACCCTGTCTCGACTAAAAACACAAAAATTAATCAGTCGTGGTGGTGTGCACCTGTAGTCCCAGCTACTCGGGAGGCTAAGGCAGGAGAATCACTTGAACCTAGGAGGCGGAGGTTGCAATGAGCCAAGATCGCACCACTGCACTCCAGCCTGGGTGACAGAGCAAAACTCCATCTCAAAAAACAAAACAAAAACAAAACAAAACAAAACGAAACAAAACCTTTACAGAGTAAAAGCCATGGAAGGAGCTTCTTAGTAAAAGAAACTAGTTTGTTAACTTTAATGCTGGCACTGTCCCAACTAAGTAATGAAACAACGACACTGTTCCAATTAAGAGATAAGACACCTTGATTTCAGAATGGTATAACACAAATTGGGGATGGTTTTATCTGGCTTATCCCTCCTTCTGTCAGCCCAGCCACCTTGTCCTTGCCACCCCAACTTTTTATTTATTTATTTTTTTTGAGACAGAGTCTTACTCTGTTGCCCAGCCTGGAGTGCAGTGGTGAGATCTTGGCTCACTGTAATCTCTGCCTCCTGGGTTCAAGTGATTCTCCTGCCTCAGCCTTCTGAGTACCTGGGATTACAGGCATGCATCACCACGCCCAGCTAGTTTTTGTATTTTTAGTAGAGACGAGGTTTCGTCATGTTGGCCAGGCTAGTCTCGAACTCCTGACCTCAGGTGATCCACCCGCCTCATTCTCCCAAAGTGGAGGATTACAGGCGTGAGCCACCGTGCCTGGCCACTTTGCCCCTTTATGTTGGGAACAAAGAAATCATACCAAAGATATCTGGCCCAAAAGCACTGGAGATATGGCATGGATACCCAAAGAACTGTGTATTCACACCATTATATTACAAAGTACTGACTGGCATGCCATTTAATGTATTTATTGATTAGCTCCAAATGGAACATTTTGGCTATGTGGCACTAACCTATGACCATGGTTACTTCCAGGATAGTTAGGATGATGTTTTTCAGGTTATGCTTAATCATATATTTGAGTAGTTTGTACTTTGCCAAAACCTGCAAATTTTCCTTATTTATGATCTCATTGGGTTCATCCTGTGTTTCATTGGTATGATCACTTAGCTTCCATCTTCATACCACAACTGAGTGTTGAAGATGTTATTTGGCATATAGAGGTCCTAACCAATTATACCCAAAAGATAGCTACATAAGTATTCCATTATTAAACAATAGTTATTCTTATGGAAAAGGCCATTATTACAAAACCGTATGGCTTTTGACATACTCACCGAAGCCCAGGGAGGAACTTGCATTATCATAAAAACTGTGTGTTATGTCTGTATCCCAGATGAATCAGATAATATCACTACGTTAATGGATAATATGAAAACCTTAACAACTAACCTTTCAGATCCAACACATCTTTAAACAACTGGCTAAGCAGCTAGTTTTGATCTTGAAGACTTGGTGGCAAAAGCTTTGCTTATTCTAGGAATCATAATCATTTGTTGTTGTCTTGTTTTTGTCTGCACTATTAGACTGCCACTGCGCCTGGCTATTAATCAGATTTTAAAATAAAGTTAAAAAAAATTTTTAAACAAATTTACACGAAAAGCAAGTACAGTGGTTCTCGAACATGATTGGGCGACAGACTGTACAGCTTGCCAGAAATAGGTTTCTCTCATGAAAATTCAACCCCCTCCACACACGGCCATCTACTTTCTTCTTCAGCAGGGACTGACACCAGGGCAACCGTATTTTCCTAAATACCTTAGGAAAGTAGTTCAAAACCTAGATATATCTTGGTCAGAACAAAACCTGGCAAACACTCATGATAAACGGTATATATAATTCCTTAAACGAAATATAGAGGTTTGTAATATAAAATAATCCATCTTTGTCTGTGGAATTCCTACTAATGAAATACGTTCTTGGAGACCCAAAGACTGAAGTTATACCACTTCTTCTTAATCTTTTAAATATTATTTGCAGGCCAGGCATGGTGACACGCTCCTATAGTCCCAGCTCCTCAGGAGGCTAAGGCAGGAGCATCGTTGGAGCCCAGGAGCTCCAGGCTGTAGCGTGCTGACAGCACTTGTGAATAACCTCTGCACTCAGCCTGGGCAACATAGTGGGACCCCATCACTAATAAAAAAGCGAGATCAACATTATTTATTCTGTTACTCGGGCATAAAATAAATATTAAGCACTTACTACATGCCAGAGTCTATTATGTCTGCTGCAGATATTGGCTGTCATAGAGTTATAACTAACAGGAAACCAAATAATTACGTAGTATAATTTTAAGTGGTGATAAGCACGATTGTTTCCCCCAAGCCATGCCCTTAATTTCTAACTCTTCAGATAGTGTTTCTTTAAAAAATTTCTTGCTAATTTAAAATAACTTTTGTTTTGAGGCAGGATCCCACTCTGTTGCTTAGGCTGGAATGCAGCGGTGAGATCTCGGCTCACTGCAGCCTCCATCTCCAGGGCTCAAGCCATTCTCCCGCCTCAGCCACCCGCGTAGCTGGACCACAGGCGCGCGCCACCAGATCTCAGTTCTCTCAACAGGACTCTCATTGCTAAGATCCAAGGATCCATTAATTTCCTTTTCCTTAACTCTTCTAGCCTCTGCAGCTTTCTTTCCTCATCCACTTTTTAAACAAACGCAGGCTTAAAAAGCAAGGAATATACCCGCCACACTCTCGGCTCCCAAACCGCTCTTTCCCTCCCTCTGCCGGCCACGCCTCTTATAGGCCCGGAAGTTTACCCCACCCTGCACCGTGATTCACCGGAAGCGCTCTAGGGAACCCTGGAGCTTCCGCGCCTGCCCAGTTTTGCTCCGAAAGACTTACCGAGGAGGGAGCTTGCGGTGCGTTCTGGGAAAGTTGCTGGGCCAGCTCCTTTGTTTCCAGTCTGAGCGTTGCGTTCGGTTTCCCGAGGGTCTTCTGAGGCACCGCGGCTGCGGGCTTCTGAGTTCCCGGCTCTCCGCAGGGAAGCCTCCTCTTCGTACCTCGTTTTTTGGCTCGTGGGGGGTCCTCCCACCGCTGGCCGACGCAGCCAGCATGTCCGGGGTGCGCGCAGTGCGGATCAGCATCGAATCGGCCTGCGAGAAGCAGGTCCATGAGGTGGGCCTGGATGGCACCGAGACGTACCTGCCCCCGCTGTCCATGTCGCAGAATCTGGCGCGTCTGGCCCAGCGGATAGACTTCAGCCAGGGTTCGGGCTCCGAGGAGGAGGAGGCGGCGGGGACCGAGGGCGACGCGCAGGAGTGGCCGGGCGCCGGGTCCAGCGCAGACCAGGACGACGAGGAAGGTAAGGCCTGCATCCGCTGCCCGAGTCCCCCGGTCTGGGTCCCAGCACCCGCGCGGGCCTCCGCCTCTCCCGCGATGGGGGTGATCTTGTGCGTGCGAGAACTTTTGAGTGTCCCTCTAGCGGAAGCGTAAGGATACTTGGTCGTCATCTTTTTGTTGCTGCCGGACAAGGTAGGACACGACTTTACGTAATACTCCTGCGGGTCTCCTTGAATGGCAGCGTTTAGAGACACTGTCAAACCGTGAAATGTTTAAATGAATGCTTCTCTGTAGAGGGCCTTTAATGTAGCACACTTAGTGGCTAAAAGAGCCCTAGATCGGGGCTCTGCCCCTTGCCGGCTGTGTGACCTTGGGCGAGTTACTTTGCATCCTTGTGCGGTGTGAATGATGATAGTAGCACCTGCAGAAAAGAGGTCTGTTTTGACTGAAATGTGTGACGAGGTCCAAGAGGTAGGCGGGTCCAGATCATGTAGAACCCAGTAGGCCGGGATAAGCGTTTGACTAGTGTTAAGACCACTGAAAGCTTTTGCAGGATAAGTAGAGATGGTTTTGTTAAAGTTTACTCTAGATGCTTTCTAATAAATGAATTATAGGGAAAGCAAAACTGGAAGGGAGGAGACTAGGAGGGAAGTGAAGAAATAATGAGTGGGTTTCAGATTCTCATTATTGTCAAGGATTTTTGAAAAAAAAATCAAAATTCTTAATTTAGTTATGCAGCACACCCAGTGTAAATGGGAATTTAAAGATGTCATTTCAGGGCAGTGCTGTTAGGATTATTAGGGGTCTATTTGCAAAAAAAGGTAAATACTACTTTATACCTCACACAAAAATTATTTCCACAGTAATTTTTGAGGATTGAAGTGCCAAATGAAGAAAGTAAAACAAAGTGTTAGAAGAAATAATGAAAGAATAGTTGTATTATTCTGGGAGTCGGATAGATCTTCTTAATTTCGGAAATAACAGGACAGGCATGGTGGCTCACACCTGTAGTTCCAACATTTTTGGAGGCCAAGGTGGAAGGATCACTTGAGCCCAGACTTCAAGACCAGCCTGAGCAACATAGGGAGCTCCTGCCTCTACAAATTAAAAAAATTAGCTGGGCGTGGTGGTGCACGTCTGTGGTCCCAGCTACTGGGGAGGCTGAGGGAGGAGGATGGATTCAGCCAGTGAGATCAAGGCTGCAGTGAGCTATGATTGTGCCACCGCACTCCAGCCTGGGTAACAGAACAAGACTCTAACATCCACACACACAACCACACACCTACCTACCTTACAAAGTATAGATATATTACTTACATAAAATTTAAAAATAATGGGAAAAGATGCCATAAGCAAAGTAAAAAGATAAATGACAGACTGGGAGAAGTTCTACACATATAACACAAATTTAGTTGATATCTTCTCTATTCAAAAAGTCCCTTCAGACTGAAAAGAAAATAATGACACTTTGGAAAAATAGGCCAAAGGTATCTGAAGGCTCATAGAGGAGAGACTTCAGATACCAATAAACAGAACATAGACTCAATCTCATTACTAGGGACTGGGAAATTAAAACATGATTAAGATACTCTTTCCATGCACAAAATTGACAGAAATTGAAAAGATTGTTAATATTCAGGGTTAGGAATGTGAACTGGTAGTGATTCTGAAAGACAATTTGGCAGTTTAATATGTGCCAACATTTAATTTTAACTTTTTTTGGTTTGTTTTGTTTTTTTTTTTGAGATGGAGTCTTGCTCTGTCGGCCAGGCTGGAGTGCAGTGGTGCAATCTCGGCTCACTGCAACCCCTGCCTCCTGGATTCAAAACGATTCTCCCACTTCAGCTTCCCTAGTATGTGGGACTGTAGGCGTGCGGCACCATGCCTGGCTAATTTTTGTATTTTTAGTAGAGATAGAGTTTCACCATGTTGGCCAGGCTGGTCTTAAATACCTGATGTCAGGTGATCCACCCTGCCTCGGCCTCCCAAAGTGCTGGGATTACAGGCCTGAGCCACTGCACCCAGCCGAAACTTTTAAATGTATATCTCCTTTGATTCACTATTACCACGACTAAAAATTTAACCTGCAGAAAAAGTTGCACATATACAGGGTATATATTCAAGATGTTTACCACTGCTAGCATTGTTGGAAGCAGTTTACTTGTTGGAAGCAATCTACATGTCCGTTAAATACAAGTGGTTAAACATACCGTACATCCATGTTCCAGAATATCATACAGTGTTAGAAGAATTAAGTAGACTCATAAGTACTAACATGGAAGTGTCTCTAGGAAATATTAAGTGGGGGCGGGGGAAAGGCAAGTAATAGAAAATTGGAAATAGATGTATGTAAGTGCATAGAAAAACCTTTGAAAGGGTACACTCACTGGGGCCGGGCGCAGTGGCTCACGTCTGTAATCCCAGCACTTTCGGAGGCCGGGGCAGGCAGATCACGAGGTCAGGAGATCAAGACCATCCTGACTAACATGGTGAAACCCCGTCTCTACTAAAAATACAAAAAATTAGCTGGGCGTGGTGGTGGGTGCTTGTAGTCCCAGCTACTGGGGAGGCTGAGGCAGGAGAATGGCATGAATCCGGGAGGTGGAGCTTGCAGTGAGCTGAGATCGCGCTACTGCACTCCAGCCTGGGTGACAGAGCAAGACTTTGTCTCAAAAAGAAAAAAAAAAGAAAAGAAAGGCTACGCTCCATCTGTTAATAGTGGTTACCTCTCAGGAGGGGAGAGAATCGGGTGGGGAATGAAGGAAAACTTTCACTTTTTACCCTCTAATTCTTTATTGTGTGAACTCTATATAGTGAATGTTCATGTATTTAATCACAATACTTTTTTTAATGGTTAAAAGGAAGATATGCTAATAGTGGCTGGCTTACAGGTCATTTTCATTTTGTACTTTTCTGTATTTTGGAAATTTTGTACAATTGTAAATTCAAGTTCTAAACACTGTAAGAAGATTATTAAAAAGGTTTACATAAATTTGAAAAGAGATTTGAGTCTATAATGTTGTAATGATAAATTTAACCTGTGGAAATAGATGTCATATTCATTTTGCGATTGTAGGAATGCTAATGTGAATGTTAACAAAGTTTTAAGAAACGGTAGAGGAGATGGCATAAATAAGAGAACAATTTGAAATTTAATTAATTATTTCTCCTTTTAGTACTTTTTAAACCTAAGTGAGCTGTCTGCCATTCAATGTAACGAATACTTCTGTATTTCTTTTTTTTCTCTCTCTCTTTTTAGGAGTGGTAAAATTTCAGCCTTCCCTTTGGCCTTGGGACTCAGTGAGGAACAATTTGAGAAGTGCCCTGACAGAGATGTGTGTTCTCTATGATGTTCTCAGTATTGTTAGGGATAAAAAATTTATGACTCTTGATCCTGTCTCTCAGGATGCACTTCCTCCAAAACAGGTATTTGTGGACTTTAATTGAATAATAAAATTTTATTTATTAAATCCCAGGACCCTTTTTTGGCTTTGTGCCTGTTGTTCCATTTTCCTTTCTTGCAAAATTAAGTCCAGATGAAGATTTAAAGACTAACTGGTCTAAAACAAAGCCATACAACTGCATTTCCTTTATTTTTTTATTATATACCTATGATCCTTGGAAGAGTTAAGTTTCATTAAGAATGTAATACCTTTAAGGCCAGGCGTGGTGGCTCACGCCTGTAATCCCAGCACTTTGGGAGGCCAAGGCGGGCAGATCACGAGGTCAGGAGATCGAGACCATCCTGGCTAATGCTGTGAAACCTTGTCTCTATTAAAAATAACAAAAATAAGCCAGGCGTGGTGGTGGGCACCTGTAGTCCCAGCTACTCAGAAGGCTGAGGCAGGAGAATTGCTTGAGCCTGGGAGGCGGGGGTTGCAGTGAGCTGAGATCGCGCCACTGCACTCCAGCCTGGGCGACAGAGCGAGATTCCATCCCAAAAAAAAAAAAAAAAAGAATGTAATACTTTAAAGGTTACCAAATCTTAACAAATTCTTATAGCCTGGGTCCTTGGTCTGTGATATATTACACAAAAATGTGATGATATAATGGCTTTGGAATCAGGTAGACCTGGATTCGAATCCTGCCTCTGCCTTCATTAACTGTGTGACCTTAAATTAAGCAAGTTATTTTCTCTTAAGTCCCTGTTTTTCCATCTAATCCTTCCTTCCCTTTTTTTTTAAGGGATGGATTAGAAAAGTTAGGCGAAATTATGGAGCATATTGAGAGCTGGGTAGAATTGCTGCTATTTCATAAACAGTGTATTCAATTTTTGAACATTTGAAGATGAAAGAGAAGTAGCAGGAAGATGAGTTGGTGAATAGTCTGAAATCATTGAGGCTACTTGGGTCCTTAAGGAAAACAAGTGTCAAGACCATAACCAAATTAGTCATGGAGAAGAAGTAATGACTGTTAGAACCCATTTGTAAATAAAATTAATTGAATAGAATTACTCACATAGTAATAGTTTCAGAATCTAGAAACATTGTGCTGGGGGACTAATAGAGTTCCCTAAATCTGCATTCTTCATTTTATAGAGAGAAAACTAAAGCTTAAAGAGATTTGTAATATGTTCAAGTTGCTGTCAAGCCAGTAGTTAGGGAGCCAAGACTAGAACTCCAGCACCTAACTCATAGCCCCACTGCCTTTTCTACTATTCTGTGCTTTTCCCAGAAGGGAGTCTCCAGGAATTTCTTAATATCTCCAGGAACTCTTTTATTTACGTTCCCTAATACAATCAAAAGATTATTTTGATATGTTTATGAAGCTTTTTATGTGATTTTTGACTCTCATACAGCCAGAAAACTGTATTAAACTGGTTAGTAAAATACACAAATTATGGTGATTGTGGATATTTATATATGCATATGTGATACATAGATAGTGACTTCTGATCAGTTTTCCAAAAAATTAGGATTCAGTGAAGTACATTTAATATTAACAATGGCAGGGCACGGTGGCTTATGCCTGTAATTCCAACACTTTGGGGAACCAAAGCAGGAAGCCAGGAGTTTGAGACTTTCCCAGGCAACATAGCAAGACCCTGTCTCTACCAAAAAAAAAAAAAAAAGCCAGGCTTGGTGTTGCACATCTGGAGTCCCAGCTTCTCAAGAAGCTGAAGCAGGAGGATCACTTGAGCCAGTAGGTCAAGGCTATGGTGAGCCAAGATGGTGGTACTGCATTCTAGACTGGGTGACAGAACAAGACTCCATCTCAAAAGAAAAAAAGTTAATGCTGTGTGATTTTAGTCCTAATTCCAAAAGCACTTTAATAGCTTATGGTAAGATGCAAAATATGGTAAGCTACAAAATACAAGATAATTTTACAGTTATACCCATTGCAGTCATTCATTCATTCATTAAATCAAATATTATGTGCCAGGCATTGTTCTAGGGTTTGTGGATATAGTGATTTCTGCCATCATGCAGGTTACCATTGAAGCAGAGATTATAGATGTTAATCAGAAGTATAATGAGTGCCAAAAAGGTTATATATAACTATATGTGTGTATGTACAGGATAGGGGGCTGGCAATATATAAGGAGAGGAATGGCAGTACATTAAGAGGGGACCCTAACAGGCTGGACAGAGTTGATGCAATGGTAAGTTCTGAGTAGAGGCCATTGTAGTGTTTTTGGTTTAACATAAGTAAAGCTTTGAGTGAGTTGGACAAAGAAATAGGTTAAGGTTATTATTTTATTAAAAACACTGTTATGTGTACTTGCCCCTCCTTTTTGCTTTTTGTTCACTTCATTTTATTATTGATAAAATGTGTAATTTTAGAGTCATTTAAAAATCCTGCAGAACTGCATGTTTGGGTTGTTTTTGACAGAATCCTCAGACGTTGCAATTGATATCTAAAAAGAAGTCACTTGCTGGAGCAGCACAAATCTTATTGAAGGGGGCAGAAAGACTGACTAAATCAGTTACCGAAAACCAAGAAAACAAGCTACAAAGAGACTTCAATTCTGAGCTTTTGCGATTACGGCAACACTGGAAACTTCGAAAAGTTGGAGATAAAATTCTCGGAGATCTGAGCTACAGAAGTGCAGGTATGAATAATTATTAAAAACTATACTTTCTGGCCAGGTGTGGTGGCTCATGCGTGTAATCCTAGCACTTTGGAAGGCCAAGGCAGTTGGATCACTTGAGGCCAGGAGTTCAAGATGAGCCCAGGCAACATGGCAAAACCCTATCTCTACCAAAAATGCAAAAAATTAGCCAGGCGTGGTAACACGCACCTGTAATCCTAGCTACTTGGGAGGCTGAGGCATGAGAATTGCTTGAACCCAGGAGGTGGAGGTTGCAGTGAGCCAAGATCGCACCATTGCTCTCCAGCATGGGGGACAGAGCGAGACTCTCTCAAAAACACAAACAAAAACAATGCTTTCTGTGTAAGTATAATGTTAAACATCCTTCTATAATGTATTATTTCTCAGCTATGTGTTACGTTTCAAAATTTTAATTTCTGTTCATATAAGCCAAAACCACTCTTATCAGAACCTTATAATAAATAGCCTAGTTTCTATTTCAAAACCTTTTAGGTACACTTAACAGAAAGTTCAAAGATGGGGTTTATGTGCTGACACACCTTGAAGCATAATTGACTTTTTAGTTAGAAATGAGGTAGAACTACACTCCTCAATCAAGGCCTTACCTGTAACCCTTAAAAACTGAACATGGCGGGGTGCAGTGGCTCACACCTGTAATCCTAGCACTTTGGGAGGCTGAGGTGGGCAGATTGCTTGAGCTTAGGAATTCGATACCAGCCTGGGCAACATGGCAAAACTTCATCTCTACAAAAAATACAAAAATTAGCTGGGCGTGGTGTTGCATACCTGTTAGTCCCAGCTACTCAGGAGGCTGAGGCAGGATGATCCCTTGAGCCCAGGAGGTCCTGGCTGCAGTGAGCCGAGATTGCACCACTGCATTCCAGCCTGACCTTGTCTCAAAAAAAACCCCAAAAAAAACCAAACGAAAACTGGACATGATGCAATTCTCAGTGTTCTTCTGAGAATTAAAACAAACAAACAAAAAAACTCGACATGAAAGGAGGAAAGAAACTTTCTATTCTTTGCCCTTTCTTTTCCCATTAATCTGCTCAGCTGTTTTTATGTCCTGAGTGAAGAGAAAGGGTGGCAAAAAGGTTTGCTTTCCTTTTTCCCACCAAACTAGGGCTACAGCACTAACTTAGGGAATGCAACTTTTGGGGGCATACTAAAGTTTGATGATGTTGACTTCATATTTTTTGGTATAAATTCTTAGTCGTTGAGCTATAATAAATAGTAGGTTTTACAAGGTAATAATGGCAATGTTTTATAAGCTGCTGAGGCAGTCAGCGGGCTGGCTATATGGAAAAACTTCATAGCTCAATGGGGTAGAAGCTGTGAATATCAGGGGAGGAGGCAAGAAGTCTTGGCTTTGATCGTTGAGATAATGGTAGAGTGATATCTGAAAGATTCATTTGCCAGAGTAAGCTATCATTATCCTAAAATTAAAAAAAGGTTAAGGTGGTTAAGTCAAATACTGGAGGACTGACATGCTTCAGCATTGATATTAGTTGGGTTATTTTGAATCCTGAAGGTTAAATCTCATTATAAAGATGAATTAAAGATGACAAGACCATTTAAAAATTTTAATAGGTGGTCTGTAGAAGCAGTGCTTTCTGGTTTTGGGCATTTTCTTTTCCACAAATAATTTGTGTGCAAGAACTTTAATTCTTTCTTTGGGGTAGTCACTCATGATTATGAAAGGATTTGATCACATTGTTTTTAATTGCAAGAAAATCTTTAGCATCTTCCCTTGTTATAAAACCAGTTACATTGAACCACCTATTTCTTATGTAATTCAATGGCCCAGAACAACTTACCCAAACTCCTGACCTACACAAAAACACATCACATAAAATCTAGGAACTGGGCTGGGCATGGGGGCTCACACCTGTAATCTCAGCACTTTGGGAGGCCAAGGTGGGAGGATTGCTTGAGCCCAGGAGTTCAAAACCAGACTGAACAACATAGACCCTATCTCTAAGAAAAAAAACTTAAAAATTAGCTGGGTGTGATGGCATGTACCTGCAGTCCTAGTTACTTGGGAGGCTGAAGTGGGAGGATTGTTAAATCCTAGGAGTTTGAGGCTGCAGTGAGCTATGATTACACCACCACACTGCAGCCTGGAAGACAGAGGGAGACCTTGTCTCTAAAAAGATAATAAAAAATAAAAAATCTAGGAAACTGGTTGAAAAAAAGATGTTATGTGCACTATCCTCTGTCTTTCTGTTGTTGGATGCAGAGCACTTAGTTGAAACCTTAGTAGAGAGGCTAAGCTCCAGAAGTATTTCATCCCCAAGGTTTCATTTCTAGGAGTACACCTCTTTTTTTTTTTTTTTTTTTTTGAGACAGAGTTTCGCTCTTGTTGCCCAGGCTAGAGGGCAATGGCGCGATCTCAGCTCACCACAACCTCCATCTCCCGGGTTCAAGCAATTCTGCCTTAGCCTCCTCAGTAGCTGGGATTACAGGCATGTGCCACCACGCCCAGTTAATTTTGTATTTTTAGTAGAGATGGGGATTTCTCCATGTTGGTCTTGGCTGGTCTTGAACTCCTGACCTCAGGTGATCCATCCGCCTCGTCCTCCCAAAGTGCTGGGATTACAGGCATGAGCCACCATGCCTGCCCTGTGAGTACACCCATTTTTATCAATACTCCATTGGAATAAAACAATTTGGATTTTCTGTGGAATTCTTATTATGTTGATGTCATTAGACTAAGAAGTGTTTTTTTTTTTTAAGGTAAATAACCACCCCCCACCTTTATCTTTCTTTCCTTTGTTCACCATTCCTCACCCTTTTCCCCCAAAACATATGTTTTTTAGTGGGGACTTACTTTGTGATTCAGTGATGTGGATGTGAAGTATTATATATTTAATAATGTGTGTCGGAATAATATGTTAACTGTTTTATATTTTCCTATTTTTAATACAACATTAGGATCTCTCTTTCCTCATCATGGTACATTTGAAGTAATAAAGAATACAGATCTCGATCTGGATAAAAAGATACCTGAAGATTACTGTCCTCTTGATGTCCAAATTCCTAGTGATTTAGAGGGGTCTGCATATATCAAGGTATTTGTCAAAATATTTTTCAAGTAATTTCTTACGAATAGCCTGAAGTTAATTTGTTAACTTTTTTTGTTTTTGTTGTCATATAGGTTTCAATACAAAAACAGGCTCCAGATATAGGTGACCTCGGCACAGTTAACCTCTTCAAACGACCTTTGCCCAAATCCAAACCAGGTATGGTTATGTTCTATTCTCTAATTTCTGGTCTTATTTGAGCTGACATTTTAAAATAAACTGAAGATAAATATAGGTAGGAAAAAATAGATAGTTTGAAGTAAGAACAATTCAAAATATACTTCTAAAATTTATCAATAAACTATTAGTGAATAGCTGTGCAATTTTTTTTTTTTTTTTTTTTTTGAGACCAAGTTTCTCTCTTGTTGCCCAGGCTAGAGTGCAATGGCGCAGTCTCGGCTCACCGCAACGTCTACCTCCCAGGTTCAAGCGATTCTCCTGCCTCAGCCTCCCGAGTAGCTGGGATTACAGGCATGCGCCACCATTCCTGGCTAATTTTGTATTTTTAGTAGAGATGGGGTTTCTCCATGTTGGTCAGGCTGGTCTCGAACACCCAACCTCAGGTAATCCACCCGCCTTAGCCTCCCAAAGTGCTAGGATTACAGGCATGAGCCACCAGCACCTTTTTTTAAGATTGGACTTATTTACTGGTTTTTTGTGTTAAAGAAGTGAGATTTTTATATTTTGGAAAGAATATAGCTTTGCACAGTGGCAGTATCAAACCCAGTGAGGTTTATCTGTGGCATGATTATTGCTAATTGATACTTCCCTCTACAGGAATTTAAACTTTCCTCTTCAGGAATGAAAGATTGGGGTGGTGGGGAACTTCTCAATACCCTGCCGGGATGATTTGTAACACAGTTGGCATTGGCAATTTTTGACAGTCTCTATAGAGACTGAATAGGAAAAAAAAGAATATACCGTAATGTAGTGTTTTCCTAAACTTTTGTCATATGTATTCAGATCACCATTTAAACTAGTTAATGCATAATATGGTTAGATAATTGATACATATATTTCTTGTCTTTCAGGTTCCCCACATTGGCAGACAAAATTAGAAGCGGCACAGAATGTTCTCTTATGTAAAGAAATTTTTGCACAGCTCTCTCGGGAAGCTGTTCAAATTAAATCACAAGTCCCTCACATTGTGGTGAAAAACCAGATTATCTCTCAGCCCTTTCCGAGTAAGAGCAGCCCTTTTTCGACTTTATGAACAGGACTTTGTGTTTTGGGGGACTAGGACAGAGAAGGTAGCTCTTAGGGTGTATTGGGAGAATAATGAGAGCAAAGAAATAGTGTGCTATCCATAGTGACAGCCAGTAAAGCATGTAACACAAACTATACTGTGGAATCTGTTCTGTCCTAAATAGTGTGACCCTTGGATTTTTAAGCTACATATTAAAAATTTGCACTTATGTAGTCATTATTGTGGTCAAGAGAAAAGAAAATTTGCACTAGCATAGCTATAGTTATTTAGCAACAGTTGCTTTGAGGGAGATTTTTTCAGGGATCCTGCCTTATTATCTAAATGAGAGGCCAATTTAAAAATGTTTACTCTTAACGCCTGTCATCCCAGCACTATGGGAGGCCGAGGCGGGCATATCACCTGGGGTCAGGAGTTTGAGACCAGCCTGGCCAACGTGGTGAAATCCCATTTCTACTAAAACAAACAAACAAACAAATTAAAAAAAAAAAAAAGAGTTTACTCGTAATAGTCTCAAATTTATAGAAACTGGATTTTAATTATATTATTCAAAAGCAGGTAGACTTGCCCTGGAGATCAGTTTGTATTTAGCTTTGCACTTGTTTTTTACATAAATTCTAAGGACTGTCGTCTTAGAAGGAAGTAGGTTTTAGTGGTGAGAAATTCCATCCTACTTCTCATGGGAGCAGGGAAGACTAACTGTCTTTTACGCAGTAAGACTGCCTACCTACTCTTATTTTAAAGGAAAAAACAAATTAATATATAGCTTTTTCACCAGTCTTTAGCCAGTTCAAGGGCAGCAGCCATATTATGTGTCAACAGAATTTGAATTGTTAAAATACGTGGTAGCTTATTATATTCATGAATAGTTTTTTTTTTTTTTTGAGATGAAGTTTCCGTTTTGTTGTCCAGGCTGGAGTGCAATGGCGTGATCTTGGCTCACTGCAACCTGTCCACTTCCCGGGTCCAAGCAATTCTCCTGCCTCAGCCTCCCAAGCAGCTGGGACTACAGGCACACGCCACCATGCCCAGCTAATTTTTTTTGTGTTTTTAGTAGAGATGGGGTTTCACTATGTTGGCCAGGATGGTCTCAATCCCCTGACCTTGTGATCCACCCACCTTGGCCTCCCAACATGCTGGGATTGCAGGCGTGAGCCACCGCACCCGGCCAAATAGTAATCTTGATATACAGATGTTAATCATGAGGTCTGATCTTCAAGTTTAGAATATATCTTTTGAAAATGAACTATGATTATACTTTATGAAGACAGTTTATGCCTTTCCATATTTCAGGTTATTTACATATGTCCTCCTTCTTTTTATAAATAGGCTTGCAGTTATCTATTTCTTTGTGCCATTCCTCAAATGATAAGAAATCCCAAAAATTTGCTACTGAGAAGCAATGTCCGGAGGACCACCTTTATGTCCTAGAGCATAATTTGCATCTACTGATTAGAGAGGTAAGGAAATAAATGTTTTTCTTTGCGCTGTGGTGAGTATGTCCAGGGCAGTGAGTATGCACAAAGCTCCTCTCGTCTGCTGAGTCTTGATTATTCACATAGCAACAACATTCACTGTCTGATGTGAAAGATCCTTGCTGTGTGCTAGGGGAATACAGAGATAATCACAATACTGTCCCTGTTCCCAAACATACCTTCTAGTGGTAGAGATACACAGGTTTTCAAGTAGAGGTGTAAGAAACATGATGCTAAAGTGCAGAGGGAAGGGTGATTCTGACCGGGGGAGTTAAGGGAAAATGTCTTGCCAGAGTCTGTGAACAGACTAGTTTTATTTTAGGACATGTTCTACTTACAGATCATCTACAACTGTTTACAGGGAGCTGGTTCACAGGCCAGGGTAATTTCAAAAGAATATCCTGTGAAATTTCATAGAATTATATATTACAGCCTCCCTTGCCCCACCCCAAAACCTGGTTCAGTTGATTGTGATGATGCAAGAGTTGTTTTTAAAAAGCTCCTTAGGAGGTTCAGATAGGCAGCCGGGTTTGGGAACCTCTAATCTAGGGTATAGTGAAAGAACTATTTACTGATTGCATGCGTTCTATTTATGAGACTCAGTGAAGAGGATTGTTTTACATTTTAAAACTTGTAAAATAAAAATTAAAGCTTGAGATCCTTTTGTGGTTCAAAAGCATGATTGGGCTTTCATGCTTATGCATGAGTTGTGACTCCCTCAAACCTTATTAGGATGTCGGCGCATTACCCATCTGACATGAGAAAAGGAAAAAAGTTACAGCTTGAGAGCGACCCTTCTCTTTACAGTCTTGCATTATGTGTGACCTAGTAGTTGCTAGCATTTTTCTCCAAGGTTGGATTGTTTTCATATGTGGTTCAAATCCATTCCTTTCAGTGTTTCTGTCAACCATGTTTTGACTAAATATTATGTAGCATTTACTATGTGGATATTGGTATTTAAAATGGCTGTTTTTGTTAGTTTCATAAACAGACCTTGAGTTCCATCATGATGCCTCATCCAGCAAGTGCACCTTTTGGCCACAAGAGAATGAGACTTTCGGGTCCTCAAGCTTTTGATAAAAATGAAATTAATTCATTACAGTCCAGTGAAGGGCTTCTGGAAAAAATAATTAAACAAGCAAAGCATATTTTTCTAAGGAGTAGGTAAGGTTGAAGAAAGTTACTGTTTTCTGTTTTTTCTTTGAAATTGCAGTGTTTTCTTCTGTTATTTCATAACACTTTTTTGGGATGCTTTTGACTTTTTTATTTTAGGGAGAGGAGGTGGTAAGAGTTTATTTGCGGTCATAGACTGGGTCCTGTCAAGTCTGGGGAAGACTTAGATCCACTTCTGATCTAACAGTGTATTCTTTCTAACACTGTCACTTTTTTGCAAAGACAACTGACTAGGAATGTGCCTTACAACACCATACTTTCTTCAGTAACCCAGCCGTGAGATACTTATTTCTGAACTGATTTACATCTTTTTCTTGAGGGTTTCTGTATTTTTTGTTTCTTGCACATTTTAGAGTTTGGAGGGCACTTTCCTTATGTTAACTTATTTAATCTTTGTTCTTTGCGGCAGGTAGTGTTAACCCTGTTTTTACTGATAAGATTGAGGCTTAAAGAAGTTATGCACCTTGCTCAAGGTTACACAGCTAAAAAGTTGCAGAACGAGGATTTATGCCCAGGTCTATGTAACGCCAAAGCTCTTTTTTTTCCTTTATATACACTGCTTACAAAATAACGTGGCATGATTACATATAAATGTATCTTTTTCAGTGCTAAAGGGTGCTTTTCTATTTTATTATTGGTACTTAGTGAAAAGGCCTGTTTTTTACTTCATTTGTAATTATGCCTTGGTAGTACTCCAGAATTTCAGGCATGGGCATTGTCATTAAATAGATGATATTTTATTTTTGATTTCCAGTTTTTTTCTTGTTAATACAGTTTTTTTTAGTACATTAGTTTGTAGTCTTAAAGTGGAAATTTAGGTCCTTCAGCTTTTAGTAAAAGGAATTGGGGAGACACGTTAGAGAAGACAGCATGAGGCAGTGAAAGGAGTAGGGGACTAGGGGTGAAAGGTGTGTAAGCCAAGGCTCAACCACTTGCTAAATAACTTCGAGCAAGGGATTTAGTGTCTATGGTCCCCCACTTATTCCCGTCAATAGCAGGTATAGGAGTGGGGTCTTAGGGTCATATTAAATGATGTATGTAGAAGTTTCTTATAAGTAATAAAGCATTATATGATAGGTTACTGTTTCTTACCATTAATACAGTTCAACTTAAAAAGCTGATAATTTGAGTAGATCGTTAGTCTTGCAAATTTCTGATTGACCATAAATTTAAATATTCCCCAAATAAATGATCAGCATAAAAACAGCTATTTTTATAACCATTATAAATTTCAGAGTAGTAAGTGTAGCCTTGGAAGCAGCAAAGCTTTAAAACTTTTACTTCTTCCTGGTGTACAAAAAGCTTAGTGAAGAAAAAAAGACCCTGTCTGGGCATGGTGGCTCACCCCTGTAGTCCCTACACTTTAGGAGGCCAAGATGGGAAGCTTGCTTGAGCCCAGGAGTTTGAGACCAGCCTGGGCAACATAGTGAGACCTTGTCTCTACAAGAAATTTTTTTTTTTTTTTTTTTTTGAGACGAAGTCTCACTGTGTCACCCAGGCTGGAGTGCAGTGGTGCAGCTCACTGCAAGCTCTGCCTCTCGGGTTCAAGCGATCATCCCGCCTCAGCCTCCCAAGTATTTGGGATTACAAGTGTGCGCCACCATGCCTGGCTCATTTTTGTATTTTTAGTAGAGTTGGGGTTTCACCATGTTGGCCAGGCTGGTCCCGAACTCCTGACCTCAAGTGATCCACCCACCTTGGCCTCCCAAAGTGCTGGGATTACAGGCGTGGGCCACCGTGCCTGGCCAGGAAGCCTTTTTAAAAAAAGTAGCTGGGCTTGGTGTGGTGGCTCATGCCTGTAAACTCAGCACTCAGGGAGGCTGGGCAGATCCCTCAAGTCCAGGAGTTTGAGACCTGCCTGGGCAACATGGCCCATCTCTACAAAAAAATAAAAAAAATTAGCCAGATGTGGTGGTGTGCACCTGTAGTCCCAGCTACTTGGGAGGCTGAGGCTGGAGGATTGCATGAGCCTGGGATGTTGAGGCTGCAGTGAGCTGTGATCACACCCCGCTACACTCCAGTTGGGATGACAGAGTGAAACCATGTCTTAAAAAAGACAAAAAGACTGATGTGTATGATAACATGCACAGTGAGATCTCTTGACATGCTAATATATTTTTATGTGTATGTGTCAGAGTGTGTGTGTGTGTCTTTAAAGAAAAATCGGAGTTTATAAAATTTTATATCCTTCTGAGTTCATACCTCAGGGGTGACACCAAAACAAACAAATTTTTTACCTTGCATTCATTTAATATTGTATTGTAAATTTTTTCATCTATTTTAATAGCTGTATAATATCCTATAATGTAAATACTTCATGATTTCTTTTCCCAATTTTCCATTGCTAGATAATTTTATTTCCAGTTTAATGGTTCTCGTAATGCTCACACACATACTTACCTTCTATAGGAATTATGAAGCACTGTCAGGGAAACACATCAAGGAAAAAGGAAAATAAATTTCAGAATGTATTGTAAGAAGCCGGTACTGCAGCAGCAGACCAAACCCTAAGTCTATTAATGTAAAAGCCCCTTGTCCCCACTGGCTCTTCTCATTTCTTCCCATTGTCTTTTAAAATTAAATTTATTTTTATTATTATTTTTTTAATTTTGAGGTGAGGCGTGGCATGGTGGCTCATGCCTGTAATCCTAGCACTTTGAGAGGCCAAGGAGGGCAGATCACTTGAGGTCAGGAGTTCTACACCAGCCTGGCCAACATGGCGAAACCTCGTTTCTACTAAAAATAGAAAAATTAGCCAGGCGTGGTGGCACACGCCTGTAGTCCCAGCTACTCGGGAGGCTGAGGCAGGAGAATCACTTGAACCTGGAAGGTGGAGGTTGCAGTGAGCTGAGATTGCACCACTGCACTCCATCCTGGGTGATAGAGTGAGACTTTGTCTCAAAAAAAAAAAAAAAAAAAATTTGAGACAGCATCTTACTCTGGCTTAGACTGGAGTGCAGTGCAGTGGTGGAGTCATAGCTCACTGTAACCTGGAACTGCTGGGTTCAAGTGATCTTCCTGCCTTAGTCTTTTGAGTAGCAGGGACTACTCGTGCACGCCACTGTGCCCAGCTTATTTTTTTTTTATTTATAGAGACTGGTTGTCGATATGTTGCTCAGGTTTGTTTTGAACTCCTGGTATCAAGCGATCGTCCCTCCTTGTCCTCCCAAAGTGTTTTGATTACAGGTGTGAGCCACTTCCAGGCCTTTCTTTCTCTTTCCAGTAAAGTGCTAAAAATCAGATAATTAGAAACTGAGGGTTTGGTTAATTTAAATGATTTATGCTTTGGTTCTAAGTGTTGGCTGTTGATTAGTGTGTATAAGATTACTGGCTTTGGAATTGGATTCCCAGGTTTTTGGCTCTGGATTTAGACTCCCAGGTTTTGTATCCCAGTTTATAGCTATGTGACCTTGGGCAAATTGCTTAACATTGCTAAAGTTTTTTCTGTTTAAAAAATGGAAATAATAGTGCCTACCTAATAAGGTTAAGATTAAATGATATGTTAGTAAGATTAAATGATATAATTCATGAAAGCTCTTGTTATAATGCATGCTGTATAATGAACACTTGATAAATCTTATTTCTCATTGGTATTGATAGTTTTCTTTTTTTGGAGTATAAGGATTTGATTGTGCAAAAAATCTCTAGCTTCTCTTGAATATGATTATAATTTCATTACAGTAATGGGTCTAGATGTGGGTGTGTCCCAAGTCATTTGTTACCAGGGATCAAGTACTGACATTTATGAATGATTTATATTAGGTTTATACCGTAGAATATCGAATATCCTTCTCACTCATTTCCTGATAAGCTTTTCTGAGTGGAAGAAAATGAATAGAGTTAAAGGGAATAAACCCATCATGAATCATGATAATCAGGGGTGTGTGATGAGAGTGTATTGTAATGTCAAGCTGAGAACCTACACATTCAAGCAGTATGAAAGGGTTCTTAGAGCTACCTCTGCCTTTATTTAAAGTCTGCCTACACATAGTGGTAGTTTAAAAAAGTAGTTAGTTTTAAAATTTTCATAAAATTTTCGAATCATTTATATTCCTATCATTTTGTATGGTGACTTAAAAAGTTTTTTAACTTCTTGTATTTAAAAGAGCTGCTGCAACCATTGACAGCTTAGCAAGCCGAATTGAGGATCCTCAGATACAGGCTCATTGGTCAAATATCAATGATGTTTATGAATCTAGTGTGAAAGTTTTAATCACATCACAAGGCTATGAACAAATATGCAAGTAAGTGGCCAAAATAAAAGTTTTGTATTTAATATGTTAATTTGCTATTGATGTTTGCTGAGTAATTATATTAAGCATTTGGTTTTTATTTGCTAGGGTGGCATAATATTTCTGTAAATTATATAAGCTGTAGAGTGTTTTTTTTTTTAATAGGTGGAGTCTCACTCTTTTACCCAGGTTGGAGTGCAGTGATGATCATATCTGACTACAGCCTTGAGCTCCGGGGTTCAAGGAATTCTTTTGCCTCAACCTCCTGAGTAGCTGGGACTATAGGCATGTGCCCCCATGCCCAGCTAATTAAAAAAATTTTTTTTAAGAAACATGTCTATGTTGCCCATGCTGGTCTTGAACTCCTGGACTCCAGCAATCCTGCTGTCTTGGCCTCCCAAAGTGCTGGGATTACAGGCATGAGCCACCACTCCCGGCCCTTGTTTTTTTGTTTTTTTGATGGCAATTAGTTCTTAGGAGAAAATTCATAAAGTCTGTTTTTAAACATTGTAAGAATGAGAGGTAACAATGTCTAAAAACTAGTCTTTATTAAGTAAATGTCACATATTTGAGCTGGGGTAAACAATGAACCCCGGCACTGAGCAGAAGGCTGCCTTACCTTTTGAGATTCCAGGTCTGCTTCAGTTCTTGCCTAATGGTTATGGCAGGTCTAGTATATTTGAAGTGAATAGGGCCATTTGTATTCTAGCCTATACTCTCCATGTTATGCCTAAAATAACCCAAGTTTTATAGTTCTCATGACCTGGTGTTGATCCTGGGTCTAATCAAGTTCATGATTATGCCCTAAAAACTGGGTTGATAACTGTGTGTCTGTGAAGGAGGTAAGATGGTTTTTGTCCCCAGGCTTCATAGGAATGCAGTCTACTTGATTTACATTCACAAATCACAAGTTAATGCAATTGGCCAGTAGCCTTTAAGGACTTTTTGGCCTACCTTTTGAGCCTTTTTGAAATTTAACACCTGACATTTGTCAGGGTCTGTGACTACATTTTATTTTTAAAGTGTTAGTTGCTTTATTTCCTTTTTGTCTCAGTTTGTGTTTTTGAGATGGCGTCTCACAATGCTGTTGTCCAGGCTGATCTCAAACTCTTGGGCTCAAGCAGTCCTCCTGCTTCACCCTCCTGTGTAGCTGGGACTACAGGTGTGCACTACGATACCCTTAGTTGCTTTATTTCAGCAGACGTAACTAGCCACAGTAAAGCAAAGCATACTGTGAAACACAAAATAACGACCCTTAGGAGTAGGGGCAGAAAAATACATTTATAATGCTATTGTTTTCTTTCTTTTTGATTTTTCCTATGTACAGTCATTTCCAATATAATACTATTTTTAATGCAGAGGTTTTAATTCACTTAAAAAATGAAAACATAGTAGATAAGTGTGAGAGCAGATGCAGAGTATGAAAGAATACACAATGGACAGGAAACTAGTCCTGAAACTTCCAGAGAAAGATGATGGAATAAAGTAGAGTCATAGAGTTTTCTTCCCCTTATCTAAAGAAAGAATAAAATAATTGGGGTGATTTGAGGGTGGATTGGGAGAAAGTAGGTGTTAAACATAGATGAAACAAGTTTGGATTGCATTTTTAACTTAAGAATGGGTGATGGGATTATAGGCTTTCATTATATTATACTTCTGTTGGTGTTTATTATTTATTTGCCAGTAAGCCTTTTGCCCTCCTACTGTTTGTGTTTAAAATTTTCCATAGTAAAAAGAGAGACTGAGTGCAATGGAAAAGAAAAGAGAAAATTATCATCATTGAATTGTTTAGACTTAGAACTAAGACTAAAACTGGGATTATGGTTACAGGTCCCAATCTAAACGTTGTAAACTTCCACAAAGAAAGATTAGTGATGATGTAGCCTTGACAGAATCAGGAGTGAAGGAGAAGTAGAAGGCAGTAGTAGAATGCCCTTTTCCTCATCTTCTATAGCTCGTGTATTAGGGTTCTCTAGAGGGACAGAACTAATGGAATGTGTATGTGTGTATATGTGTGTGTGTGTGTATATATGTGTGTGTATATATATATATATATATATATATATACACACACACATATACACACGCACACACACACACATAAAGGGGAGTTTATTAAGTATTAACTCACAGGATCAGAAGGTCCCACAATAGGCCATCTGCCGGCTGAGAAGCAAGGAGAGTCAGTCCAAGTTCCAAAACTAAAGAACCTGGAGTCTGTTGTTCAAGGGCAAGAAGCATCCAGCACGAGAGAAAGATGTAGGCTGGGAGGCTAGGCCAGTGTCTCTTTTCACGTTTTTCTGCCTGTTTATATTCTAGCCCCACTGGCAGCTGATTAGATGGTGCCCACCCAGATTAAGGGTGGGTCTGCCTTTCCCAGCCCACTGACTTAAATGTTAATCTCCTTTGCACCCTCACAGACACACCTAGGACCAGTACTTTGTATCCTTCAATCCAATCAAGTTGACAGTGTTAACCATCACAGCTGGGCTCAACTTAGGCTATTGAAAGTTGAAAATAATTATCAGAATTCCTTTGGATCAATCATTTAAAACAGTTTCTTACACATCTTTCTAGGAAAGTCTATGTATTTACAAGCATATATATCCTACCTGTTCCTGTAACCGACCTCTCTTTAAAAACTTTTTTTTTACATATGCATGTAGAAGTTATGTAACCCTACCTGTCTTACAGAGTTTTGTATGCTTTCTAGCAACATAATACACATAACAAAATTCACCATTTTAAAGTGGACACAGTTCAGTGGTCTTTAGTATATTCCCTATGTTGTATAACCATCATCGTCTAATTATTGAACATTTCCATCACCCCAAAAAGAAACTCTACATATTAGCAGTCATTTGTAATTTACGTGATTTTTAAACTCAGTAGTGTTTTAGTTCAACTTATGCAGGTAGGCTTAATGATCAGAATACAATGGGATCAATTAGGAAAAACTATATACAGGAAATGCTTTACAGAGTAGTAGACCCTTTTTATGTGGACTATTTTAATAAGGTTTAAAATATGTGGATTATTCTGCATTCTTCTCAGTTAAAATTATTCATGTGGCCATAAGGTCCAGAAATGCAGACAAGACACATAATGAATAATTTATTGCTCAGTAGTCATATATGAGTGAGTAAACATTATTTTGTTAGCACATAGATCTACCTCATTTTTTTCTTACAGCCTTTTTGTATTTCATTGTATGTCCCACACTGTTAATCGGTCTTCTGTTGTTGAACATTTTTGTCGAGTACCAGGAAAATAATTTGTACATACACAGGTCTATCCATTTATAGGGTAAAGTCCTACAAGTATAATTGCTGGGTTAAAAGAGAAGGACATTTGGCTGGGCACAGTGGCTCATGCCTGTATCCCCAGCATTTTGGGCGGAGCACTTGAGGCCAGGAGTTCAAGCCCAGCCTGGCCAACATGATGAAACCCTGTCCCTACTAAAAACAAAAATTAGCTGGGTGTGGTGGTACATGCCTGTAGTCCCAGCTACTTGGGAGACTGAAGTGGGAGAATCATTTGAACCCAGGAGACAGAGGTTACAGTGAGCTGAGATTGTGCCACTGCCCTCCAGCCTGGGTGATAGAGTGAGATCCTGTCTCAAAAAAAAGATAAGGACATTTAAATTTTTAATTAGTACTACCAAATTGTTTTTCAAAGTGGTTGCCACAAGTATGCATTCACCAATAGTGAGTGATAAGAAACCCTGTTCCTTCACACCTTGTTTTAAGAAAAGAATTCTAAAATGTTGGTTAGATTAATATATCTTCAAGCCTTTTGAGTTTCGTTTTTCTTTGAGAAAACAATGTAAACTTTAGTACATCAAAATTACAACTTAAGCCAGGCATGGTTGCACACACCTGAAGTCCCAGCTTCTCAGGAGGCTGAGGCGGGAGGATCACTCAACGTCAGGATTTCAAGGATGCAGTGCGCTATGATGGCACCATGGATAAAACCACTGCTTTCCAGCCTGGGCAACATAGCAAGACCCTGTCTCTTTTTTTTTTTTTTTTTTTTTTTTTGAGATGGAGTTTTGCTCTGTCGCCAGATCGGAGTGCAGTAGTGTGATCTTGGCTCACTGCAACCTCTGCCTCCCGGGTTCAAGCAATTCTGCCTCAGCCTCCCAAATAGCTGGGACT
Organism: Homo sapiens; assembly: GCF_000001405.40. Lineage (NCBI taxonomy): Eukaryota > Metazoa > Chordata > Mammalia > Primates > Hominidae > Homo > Homo sapiens. The sequence continues at coordinate 93,806,118 of NC_000011.10, forward strand.
ACAGATGTGTGCCACCACGCCCACCTAATTTTTGTATTTTTAGTAGGGGTTTCACCATGTTGGCCAGGATAGTCTCGATCTCTTGAGCTTGTGACCGCCTGCCTCAGCCTCCCAAAGTGCTGGGATTACAGGCGTGAGCCACTGTGCCCAGCCTTTATTTTTTTTTATTACAATTTTATGTAGACAATCACTAAAATGCTTTATTCTCAAATATTTGCTTTAAAACAAAGCTAGAAGGAAGAGCCATTATTAAATGTGAGAGGACATAAAGCTGTTTTTTCCTGCATTTTGTTCATCTAGGTTATTAGGGATTTCAAGTTTCTTGGACATATTACATGCTGAAATTTTAGAAGTTGCTTTGGAAGAGTGCAGTGATGTGCTTGTTATTTACTGGCTATTGTATGAGTTTCTTTATTTGACCTAAGCCAAATTAATGGAGTATATATATTCTGACTTGTTTGCTGATTATTTCAGTAAGAGAAGGTAAAGAGTTAACAAAACCGCTTCTCTTTCTGTACGAGAATTTGCTCCTTGGTTAACGCTGGCTCTCATCCCTTGGAAACCTGATAAGGAAAGATGTCATCAGTATTACTAGGCAACATTGCTTATAGTAAAAATGATCTCAAATTGGTAAAATGCATCTGAACCAGGAGAAATTTTAAATAAATGATGGGAATGCCTTTGGATTTTCCTGGATGGTGGTGACTTTTAAAACTGGGCTTGGCTTGTGGAAACCATGCCTATGGAGTTGTTACAGAAGCTTATGGCTCCTGTTAGGGCAGGGCCCACATATACCCAATTGGATCTCATCTCCTTGCAACAAAGGTATTCTGCTGCTATATAGACAGTTGCATGGTCTGCTGGCAAGCTGTGGTCGCTTCAAATGCTTCTGGGTAGACTGGTACTCAGTGTGGTCTATGGTATTCTGGGGTGAGTCTGTTTAGTTGAACCTAAGAAGACACCTGCATCTCCTCCATGGATGTTGGTGTGGGTTATTAAAACTTTTTTTTTTGGCCGGGTGCAGTGGCTCAGGCCTGTAATCCCAGCACTTTGGGAGGCCGAGGCAGGTAGATCACTTCAGGTCAGGAGTTTGAGACCAGCCTGGCCAACATGGTGAAATTCCGTCTCTACTAAAAATAACAAAAATTAGCCGGGCATGATGGCAGGTGCCTGTAATCCCAGCTACTTGGGAGGCTGAGGCAGGAGACTCTCTTGAACTCAGGAAGCGGAGGTTGCAGTGAGCTGAGATCACGCCACTGCACTCCAGCCTGGGCAACAGGCTTTGAGACTTTGTCTAAAAAATAATAATATTTTCTAATTTGATGTTAACGTTTATTATTTATGAAATTGTATAAGATAATTTTGAACATCTCTGATTTTTAGTATGTGTGTCTATAAAGGTCCATTCAACTGCAATTGAATATTGGAGTTGAGCAGATTCGAGTTGTACATAGAGATGGAAGAGTAATTACACTGTCTTATCAGGAGCAGGAGCTACAGGATTTTCTTCTGTCTCAGGTAACAGTTGCAGATTTTGTCTTAAGCCCCCTTCTTCGCATAGCTACTTAAAGAACAAATTGGTTAAAAAGTAGTTAAAATGTAATAAATTGTGTAAGAAGAAAAAAAATTTTTTTCCAGTAGAAATTAAATTCTGTTTAATTTCTAATGCACATTTTACAACCTGTTGGTTAACTGGAAGTACTGATAAGCTGTCCTAGGTTTTCACATAGTTTATGTTAAGATGAAGGACCAGTTCTGAGACTAGCAAGTTTTTTTTCCCACATGTCATATTTGTGAAGGTTTACAAAATCTCTAGGGTTTACAACATCTCCAGAGTTGTTGTAGAAAGTGAAGAAAACTAGAGAAAGGGAGATCATATAAAAAACTATAATGACCATTATCCATAATAAATGAAGTAGTTTAATCTCAAGTCCAAGGGGCAGTATAGAAAGTGATGGGTTTGAGGCTGGGTATGGTGGTTTGCGCCTATAATCCCAGCACTTTGGGAGGCTGAAGCGAGAGTATCACTTCAGGTTGGGAGTTCAATACCAGCCTGGGCAACATAGCAAGACCCCTGTCTCCACAAAAATAGAAAATTGAGTGGGTGTGTTGGTATGTACCTATAGTCATAGCTATTAGGGAGGCCGAGGCAGGAGGGTTGCCTGAGCCTGGGTGTTCAAGGTTACAATGAGCTATAATTGGTCCCACTGTACTTCAGCCCAGGGTGACAGAGCAAGATACCATCTCTTTTTAAAAAAAAAAAAAAAAAAAAAAAGGTGATGTGTTCTAGTCCCAGCTCTACGACAAACTTGCTTTGTGACATCAGACAAATTTCTAGCCCTTTCTTTTCATATCTAACTGTATTTTCCCTAATTTCTTCATGGAGTTTTTAATGACCCAGTGAAATACTGAATTGTGAGATATAGGGTAGGTTTTTGAAATGCTAATGCAAGATACTATTTTTTTTTCACATTAAAAAAAATAGTATCTTGCATTAGCATTTCAAAAACCTACCCTATATCTCAGAAGCAATAATCTTATATACTGATTTGCTTCTTTGGTGGCCAAGTAAGTAAAATTCATTTGTTAGGTATGGCAGCTCTTGGCTGATTACATCTAAATTGGCTTTGGTTACTTTAAGCACACACACAAAAATATATTAGAACACTATTGAGTAGGTCCCAGAATCAATGGGAGGTCTAGAGAACAAGGCTTGCAAATGGATAGGGATCAAAGCTAGGTATGAGAACCATGGCCAGAGGAATGGCACTCATGCTGTCCCAGCACTACTGCCTTCAGCACTGGTGACAAAATGCATTCTAAATTGCCCCCATTGTATCAGTCAGAGTCTTAACAAGAAATAGGTGGCAGACTCAGGAGGATCTAAAGATCTATTTACAAAGAAGTGGGTGTAGGTGAGCCACCAGGGATAGTGTGGTAACCTGCTGCTAGTAGTAGTAACCAGGTAACCAGGCCCCAGGGACTTAGTGGTCACCATTCCTAGGCCAAAGTTAAGAGGAAGGACAGATTACAAGAACCCTAAGGGGGAGAGTCGTGTAGAACAGTCCATCTTGAGAAGCCTAGCAGCCAGTCAAGAGATACAACCAGCCTAGACAACCTCACAGGGAGGGTGCCAGGGGAATAAATACCCTGACCTCACTCTTCCCTGCCATCCTGCTGTCTCCCATTACCTGAACCCAGCCCAAAGCCAGAGGATGTAAGAAGGTATTAATGTAACCACGTGTGTCAGCCTCCCAGGGCAGAAAATAAGGTAGGCAGTGGATTTGAAGGGGCAAATGTTACACCATATTCAGTGATCTAGATGAGAGTCTTCAGTTGGCCAAATTTATGTCATATGTCTTTGCTTAAGCTGCCAGTGGGCAGGAGAAGCAAGTATCAGGCAACTTTAGCTTTGGCAGTGGAAGGTGGAGTCCTATTCCCTCCCCCTAAGTTACGCACAGGAGGATTCCTCAGACCTAAGATAGGGTTGCTGTAGTAGTCAGTGAGCACCCCAACAAAAGTTTACTTCATGGTCGTGATGTTAAGTCACTGCAGATATCTCTGCTGACTGTCAGTCAAGTGTCCTTTTTCATTCACAGATGTCACAGCACCAGGTACATGCAGTTCAGCAACTCGCCAAGGTTATGGGCTGGCAAGTACTGAGCTTCAGTAATCATGTGGGACTTGGACCTATAGAGAGCATTGGTAATGCATCTGCCATCACGGTGGCCTCCCCAAGTGGTGACTATGCTATTTCAGGTACTTTCTGCTGCTTTGAATGAGAAGGGACCATTGGGAGTTTGGCTTTAACATTTAGTTTTAATAATTAAATATGGGTAAGAGTAATTTATCTCTGCAATAAATTAGTTAATGTTGTATTTACACCGAATGTTTATTTGATCATAGCTATTATGCAGAGCAAGAGATTATTATTTCTCTTTCTAGTAATTATAATAAATGTTTAGATTGGCAGCACATTTTCCTGAGATAGTCTGAAAAGTATCATCAGCATTGTTACTCCTGCAGTCCCAAAGTTTAATGGATAAAAACTTTAAAAAAAATATATACTGCTGTAAACATGGGAAGAAAAATATCTGATCCTAAAAATAGTAAAGGGATGGAACAGAGAGGAATATCTAATGCAAGGTACTACTTTTTTCACATTAAAAAAATAGTAACAGTTTTTAAAATATTCTAAAATAAATAATTAAAAATAATTTTAAATAAAGTGTTTTGTTTTATTTTATCTATTTATTTATTTTTGAGACGGAGTCTCGCTCTTTCGCTCAGGCTGGAGTTCAGTGGCGTGATCTCAGCTCACTGCAACCTCTGCCTCCCAGTTTCAAGCGATTCTCCTGCCTCAGCCTCCCGAGTAGCTGGGACTACAGGTGCCCATCGTCATACCCAACTAATTTTTGTATTTTTAGTAGAGACGGGGTTTTGCCATGTTGGCCAGGCTGGTCTCAAACTCCTAACCTCAGATGATCTGCCTGCCTCGGCTAACCTCAGATGATCCGCCTGCCTCGGCCTCCCAAAGCGCTGGGATTACAGGCGTGAGCCACCGCACCCGGCCGAGGAGAAGTATTTTATTAAGCACCTTCTACGAGTGGGCACTTTAATAGGCACTTGTATGAGTATTACATAGCTTAAATTTACATTTGAAGCGCTTATGGTTTTAGTGTGATCTTTGTTTCTGATATCTGCTCTGACTACTTTAAAAATACAGTCATGTGTTGCATAATGACAGGGACAGGTTCTGAGAAATGTGTTGTTAAGAGGATTTCATCGTATGATAATAGAGTGCACTTACACAGCCCTAGATGGTACAGCCTACTACATGCACATCTAGGCTTCATGGCATAGCCTGTTGCTCCTAGGCTACAAACCTGTACAGCATGTTACTGTACTGAATACTATAGGCAGTTGTAACACAACAAAAGCAGTTGACTGAAATGTTACGCAGCTCATGACTGTATTTGAAAGAGTGGGTAGTTAGAAATATTTCCTCACAGGATCACAGCTTGTGAATCTGCAAGCTTGGTCATTGCTGGATCTTGATTGCTAGGAATTTCAAAATACCCTTTTCCTCTTTCCCAAATAATAGTTAAAACCTCATTAAAACCTGAAATTCTTAATTCAGAATAATCTTTCCTTCATCCCTTTCAGTCCTGATTTTAAGTGGTTGAGGTTTCTTTACATATTAGGCATGTATTAACAATTCATTGAATGATTGCCTTATCAAATGAATGTATTGAAAAAAATAGGTGAGTGTACTAGGCGTGGTGGCTCACGCCTGTAATCCCAGCACTTTGGGAGGCTGAGGTGGGAGGATTGCTTGAGCCCAGGAGTTTGAGACCAGCCCTGGCAACATAGAGAGACCTTGTCTTTAACCGCCTCCCAAAAAAAGCTTTGTGTTTTTCAGTGCTGCATGTGGAAACAAACAAAAAGATGATTTCCTGAAATTATAGAGGACATTTGACATTCCTAGGTCAAAACTCACCTTGCTTAATCTTTGTGGTACAAATAATAATTCATGAATATTTATACCATCCTCTTATATAGAAGTTAGAGTTTTTCTCTTGCATGTTGAAACTGAAAAAGCACTTTTTTACAAGAATATTTAAGTTGGTAGACAAAGTTTTTGTATTCACAGTAGAATGGAGTTGTGGGATTTATCCTTGTTATTTCTAGTTTGGTAAACTAGAGTGTATTGATATTTTGGTTTTTCTCCACAGTTCGTAATGGACCTGAAAGTGGCAGCAAGATTATGGTTCAGTTTCCTCGTAACCAATGTAAAGACCTTCCAAAAAGTGATGTTTTACAAGATAACAAATGGAGTCATCTTCGTGGGCCATTCAAAGAAGTTCAGTGGAATAAAATGGAAGGTCGAAATTTTGTTTATAAAATGGAGCTGCTTATGTCTGCACTTAGCCCTTGTCTACTATGATTTTTTCCAGATGTTTCCTAAAGAAGTTTCCAGAAACTTTGACTTGAAATGTTTGCAGATCAACTATAAGCACAAAGAAGAGATAACTTCCAAAAGAGTGCTGTTTTTAAAAATAATAATTAGGAAATGTTTATTTAGCACTTTCAAACTTTTCACTTTATAAATGACAAGTGCTTTGAAATGCAGAAGTTTATGTACAGTTGTATATACAGTATGACAAGATGTAAAATAATATGTTTTTCATGCAGTTTAAAATATTACTAACTTAAGGGTTTCTATGTGCTTTTTAAAATATTCCTTCTTTGATGTTGACATCAAATAAAGTATGTGGTTTAAAAAAATCTCCAAATACCTTTTTTTCCCCCCAAATACTTTCTAAACTTTTTTTTTTTGAGATGGTATCTCACTCTGTAGCCCAGTCTGGAGTGCAGTGGTGTGATCATGGTTCACTGCAGTCTTGACCTCCCAGGCTTAGGTGATCCTTCTGTCTCAGCCTTCCGAGTAGCTGGGACCACAGGCATGCACAACCACGCCTGGCTAATTTTTGTATTTTTTATAAAGACAGGGTTTTTCCATGTTGCCCAGGCTGGTTTCGAACTCGGCTCAAGTGATCTACCTGCCTCTGCCTCCCAAAGTGCTAGGATTACAGGCGTGAGCCACCATGCCCAGCCTACTCTAAATTATTGATAACCTCTTCCTCCAGTTGTCTCCTTTAAGCTTTCCTGGGTCTAACCTACATAGGTAATTTAAGAACATCCTCAGAAAGGACAGCTGAAGGCAATAGGAGGCAGATTATCTCTTTAGGGCGTCCTCAAGTTTTTTTGGTCTGTTCTCCCACTTGATTGACCTCACCAGTTGAGACACCTAGTGTATGGCTCATGCCCAGCCTTCCACCTGGGATTCTCCAGCCTCCACCCAGCAGCCCTGGATTGCTTTCTCCAATTAAGGCCTTTCCATCAGCTCTCTGCTTTTTCAAAGCGAAAAAACTAATGGATTAGTGGGTTATCTTTTCCAAGGAACAGGTTTGCACTTCTTGGAAAAAGTGCCTAAAGTGTGCCCATTAATATGAGGATAGATTTAGGCTCATAAGCCTTTTGGTAACACTGAAAGTAGTATCATATAGGCAAGCTCTCCTTATAAGTAAGGCTTTCAATTTTTAAAACAGACATCCTGCTTTAACAATTTGTAAGATGACTGTGCAGTAATAAAAGTCCTTTGTATTTCTCCACCGTGTTTTCATTAAAGAAAAATGGAGCTTGTGGGCCACGATAGAACAACTTTGTGCTTTTTTCCCCTTCTGATCAAGATCTTGCATCTTTCTATCCATGGAAATTAAAATAATTGGTATGAATTTGCAGTTATTTAAAAATCTTGAGTGCTTCAAAAATTATTGTTGCCTGCAAAATTTGCCTTGGTCAATAGGCTAATCTGCACAATTCCACTCACATAAGGAGTCTTTTATGTGATTTTGAAGGCTCAGGCTAGAAGAGTGAGTCTGAGACTTTTGCTGAATGACCAGTTTTTGTTTATATAAACTTCTCCCATTGCAGATTGATACTTTGGTAAACTAATAAAAATGAATTCCTAAAATGAAATTTTGAAAAGATACAAAATAAAAGCCCCATTTATTTGATTATAACTTGATTAAATTGCATCAAATACTAGAATTTATAGACAGAGTCTCACTCTGTTCCCCAGGCTGGAGTGCAGCAGCACTGTTTTGGCTCACTGCAACCTCTGCCTCCTGGGTTCAAATGACTCTCATGCCTCAGCCTCCCGAGTAACTGGGATTACAGGTGTGTGCCACCACGACCGTCTAATTTTTGTAATTTTGATAAGAGGGTTTTGCCATCTTGGCCAGGCTGGTCTTGAACTCCTGGCCTCAATTGATCCGCCCACCTCGGCCTCCCAAAGTGCTAGGATTACAGGCATAAGCCACAGTGCCCAGCCCCCCCAAATATAAACATTTCTGAATGCTTTATTTTTTATTTCTCTGCTTGTCATGAATCAGTAACAAATCATGGACCAGGACCACACCTTGAGTAGAATGGCTGAGAATACATGTGCAGATACTACCGTCTGTTCTTTTAAACCCCATCTGAGTAGAGTGGGATAACTGAAGACTTTACGTTCTTCATGTCTTACTTTCCCTGTTTGGTACGTCGCTGTAGTGAGTAGCCAGTACCGACCTAAAGAATTGTAGAAACTAAAGCAAATGTGTGGGAAAATGGTAGCTTAGTTGCTGTGGTAGCAATTCTTATGCCTTGTATTTATTTACATTTTCTAGTTTAATGTTTTAACCTGAATTTCCTGGAGTTTGAAGGATGTGCTATGGAAACTTGGGAGACAGTTTGAAGAAAACCAATTAGCCCCTCAACAAGTATTAACAGGTTGGCAAGGAGCTGTGTTTGAATCTTGGCTCTGCTACTGGCTTGCTGTATGAACTTGGCAAGGATTCTCTGTGAACTTGTTTCCTTATATATAAATGAAGATAGAGGTGCCTCCTCTACTAACCTCAGTGGTGATTGAGAAGTTTCAGTAACGTTGGTAATAAATGTTAAATTCTAAAGTACTACATAAATATAAAGCATTAAGCAAGTGTGCTTCTAAGAGTCAAGCCAATTAGAAAAAATGGTTGAGACACCAGCTGTATTTATTAGGAGAAAGCATTTCAGAATGTCCTGTATTCATATTTGTATGATGTTTTATATATGGTGAAGATATTGAGTGTTTTTCATCAGATTTCTTTGCTGGAACACCATCAAATCAAAGGGATAACCTGATTATCTCATGTTGATCAGGAATTGTAATTGGCCCTTAAATGCTGGGATTACAGGTATGAGCCACCATGCCTGGCCTCCTTAGGTATTGCTGATGAATAAAAACAGGGGCAACTACATTATTTAGTAAGTTCACTTTGTTTAGTTGGAAAAAAATCCATTCAGAACATGAGGTACCCAAGGGAAAAATATTTGTACAGACAGAACTACCTGGGCAAGCACTAGCCTGTAACATCAAAGGAATTTAACCTACCTATGTGTGTGAGATGGAGCCGGGACCCCTTCTTAAAGGCCTGTGGGCGCCCTGAGCCTGAAAATAAAGGAAAATCTTGAATTCCTTTGAGGGAATTTCCAGGGTAGTGCTGAGACGTAAATAAGCAACTTGATAAGCAAGAAGGTAAGTGTAGTTTAAAACAATTGCCAAGGAAGTTAAGAGTCCAGATGCTTGGTTCCCTATAGAAACTAAAGATAACATCTTAAAATATGTCCCTGAGTTGTTTTCAGAATCTCAGATCCCCACCAAGTGGATTTGCTGGCATGTAGACCTCAGATAAGCAAGGACAACTTGGGCTGCCGTTCTTTGTTCTGAATTTTTTCCCGAGGGGCCTGGAGGAGGTCATGCCTGTGAGCTGGAGCTAACATTCTTTTCTGTTGACCCAAATTTTAGACAAAGCTTCTCCTTAGCCAATTGCAAATCAGAAAATCTTTGAATCCACCTATGACCTGTTGGCCCCTACTTCAAGATGTCCCACCTTTTACATCAAACCAATATATAGCCTCCGTGTATTGATTTATGACTTTGCCTGTAACCTCTGCCTCTCCACCTTTGTGGGTTTTTTGGGGTTTTCTTGTTTTTGTTTTTTGAGACAGGGTCTTGCTCTGTTACCCAAGCTAGAGTGCAGTAGTGCAATCAGCTGCTCATTGCATCCTCAACCTCCTGGGTTCAAGTAATCCTCCTGCCTCAGCCTCTTGAGTAGCTGGGACTACAAGTATACACCAACACATCTGTCTGATTTTTAAAAATGTTTTATAGAGTCAGGGTCTCACTATGTTGGCCAGACTCATCTCAAACCAGCTCAAGGGATACTCTCACCTTGGCCTCCCAAAGTGCTAGGATTACAGGTGTGAACCATTGTACCCAGGCTTGCCTCCCCACCTTTAAAACCTTTACCTGTAAGCCATTGAGGAGTTGGAGTTCTTGCTTGGTGCCCTACAATAAATGCCTCACTTCCTCTTGCTGCAGTCCCAACGTCAGTGCTTGGCTTTGCTGTGCCAGATGAGCAGACCCCAGTTTGGTTTGATAATGTGTACTTTATAAAACCAAATCTAACACTAAAACTTCAGATTTATTTTACATTATCAATACCCTTTCTTCCACCAATACTCAATCTCTGATAAATTTTATGTAAAACCCACCAAAATCGTGGAACATGGAATTCCCTAAAAGACTAAGAGATTCACAGGAGGTAGAGTTGAATGCATTACTTAACAGGAGGAAACCATCTTGGTTGAAGGAACTAGCCTGATACATAGAAAGTTTGCCTAAGATGATTTTTGTATATATCATTTGAAATAAAAAGTAATTTTTCAGTGAACAATTACAGTGTATTCAAAAAAAAAAACCCAGCCGGCGCAGTGGCTCATGCCCATAATCCCAGCACTTTGGGAGGCTGAGGTAGGCCGATAACCTGAGGTCAGGAGTTCGAGACTGGCCTGACCAACATGGTGAAACTCTGTCTTTACTAAAATACAAAAATTAGCCAGGCATGGTGGTGCACACCTGTAATCCCAGCTACTTGGGAGGCTGAGGTAGGAGAATCGCTTGAACCTGGGAGGCGGAGGTTGCAGTGAGCTGAGATGGCACCACTGCACTCCAGCCTGAGTGACAAGAGCAAAATTCTTTAAAAAAAAAAAAAAAAATAGTGTATTCATACTATAGACTGCATTGTGCAGGCAAGAAGAATGAAGTTTTGGAATAGGTAGACATGAAATAATTCCCGACACATTAAGGAAAGACTGGTGAGTTGTAGGGTAATATATATGATAGAATCCCATTTGACTAGAAAGAAAATAGGATAAATATGTATATTTGGCATATATATACACAGATATGTTCATATATGCATAAGCAAGTCTAGAAGGATACACACCAAATTCGACTATTGTTTCCTCTGGATTGAGGGAAGGAGAGAGATCTTTTACTTTATTTAGTTTTTGTTAATTAACTCTAGCCAAAGATACTTTAATATATATAGACTTTAGTGCTATCTGAATTTTAAAGAAGGATTTATCACCTCTGTAATTAAGCCAAACCAAAAATACCCACTTAATTTTTAAAGGGCAGTGGAAATGTTCTCAAGAATTGGAAAAGCTGACAGCCAGGTTGGGTGGATTCAGGGGTGCAGAGAGATGCAAGCTCTGGCAACTCACACCATTAGTGGATATTGAGTTGGGGATAGATGTGCTAACAGTGATCACAAGGATTTGCTCTGCTTTTAGTAAACTATGGATGTGTCTGATGCTTCCCTGGAAACTGGGCAGAAGAAACCTATGCTGGATATGTAAAAGCTGATGCCGGTGAGATGGTTTCCACTTCCCCCAGTATCCTCCCCAGTGTTGTCAAGGAGGCAGCACGTGAATCACGTCCCTGGGGATTCACCCTGTCATATTTGGCTCCTTGTTCCTGGTTACATCTCCAGCATTCTGTTCTGCCATCTCTTCTCAATCCCTTGTTAACACTTACCCAGCTCTTCAGAATTGTAGGGTTTGTCTCTGCATTCTTGCCTGGGGCAAGATATCCTGATAACCTCTCTCACTGCCTTAGCTTCTCACCTTTGTGAGGTATTGCTTCAAATCAGAGTATGCATGAAGTGCTCTCAGGTATTTACCATCTTATGTGGCCTTCAGAGGACATGAGCTCTCCTTGCATACACGGAACACCATGAAATGAGAAAGTACAGTATATACCTTTTGGGGTTCTAAGATCATAACCTCTGAAAGGACATTCTGTTGACAAAGCATGTGTGTTCTGTAGGGTATCTTATCCACTGCTGAACAAGTGGTACAATTATCACATCCTACTTTTGGCCCATTCCAGAAGCAGGAAGAATGCTATTGAATTACAGTTAATATTCTGAAAGCATAAATTTCAAATTGGTCTTCTGGCTACAATTGGGGGAGAATGGTGGTGCTGATAAGGTGTAGTTTTTCTGAATTGCTAAATAATGTTTACTGTTAGAACCAGTGTAATTAGTTGCGTTGTCACTTAAAATATGTGCCAGACCTGACTGTGATTAAGGGTTTTGTTTATGCTCAGCCTGACAGGACACAGCACCCAGAGCCTCTGATTTCTTGGCAGGAGCAGACACACACACAAAGGACCAGGGCTTTATTTTCAGGTTTTATTTCATTCATTCTTTAAAACTTTTTTTTTTCACAGTTTGAAATATAATTTATAGCTTAACATTTACACTAGCTAATCTCTAAGATTTTTATTTTTCTGAAAAGCAAAAACCTCAGGCTCTGCATTTTAAACCTTTCCACAGGAATGTTCAGTATGGCAGAGCTTTAAAAATTCAAAAGAAACCCTTTTTTCAAAGAAATGGAAAGCCAAGGAAAGAAGCTTTTTTTAAAAAAAACATTGTAACTTCCCACACTACTGATGTGAATAAACTGTCATGAGATTTGGGCGGGGGGGCAATTTAATTGACATCTGCCATGGAGGCCTCTTAGTGGGTGTTCTTTTCCAACTCCCCTTTGATTATGAAGATTGCCAGCCCTGACTTCGGGACAAGCGGAAGAGCAGAGTTCTGAAAGGCAGGTAGTGTGGAAGAGGACATGCTGGCCCCAGCAGCTACCCAACTCCCACTGCTTTCCTGCTGGTGGCCTCTCTGTGTGAAAGACAAGAAAGAAATCAGCAGATTATCCTTGAGCCCCTTGGATACTGCTCACCTCGTTTCTTCACAGCACTGGAAACTGTCCTGGCCCAGAGCCTGGTTCCTCCGACTGCTGCGTGGGGATAGGACATAGTGTGTGAGTTTACCCGTGTGTCTACAGGAGGCGCCTTGAGGGTATCTTCTACCTGTCAGGTGCTAGAGCTACACATCCGTTGTGTAGACCAACTGCTGTCGCCTTTTGAATCAAGCAGTGCCTTGGGAGTCCTGCTCTGGATACTGAGAGTTCCTGTCTGAATATTCTGAGAGATCCCTTCCCAAAACTCTGGATTCAATATTGAGGGAAAGGGCTGTAACTTATCCAAGCAACTCCTCTGCCACATAGGAAATAGAGAAGATATGGACATTGGAGGCCTGAAAGGAGGAAGAAGAGAAAGGAATGTTCTAAGACTTCTTAACCTTTGCATGGGTGAATTTGCAACTGAGGACTAGGAACACATCATCATCGGATGGTACCTTTGGTCTGTAGCTATGAATATTGGAGAGATAAGAGAATGGAAAATAAATCCATGCCTGCTTTTAGAGCTTGTCAAATGGAAGTTGGGATGGAGAAACTTACAGGTGAACATGGTGACCAACAACCTGAGGGAATAATGGCCAAGGCCAGCTGTGGTCCAGTCCCCAATCTCACCTGGAGCCCCAAGACCTCAGAGGATTTTATCAATTTCTAATACTCAGAATAGCGTTTTCCAGTATAGCTTTCCAGATCCTTGAAGAAGCCTCATGCATTTCGTAAGTTGCTCAGAGAACTCTGTGCATACTGTGGGCTTCTCTTGATACTCTGACTGTGAGGTAGGCAAGGGCCAAGCGTTCCTCAGCCCAGGTAGGAGAGGGCAAGGGCCTGACTTGAGACGTGAAGTGTTAGTGACTGAGGGGGACAGATGCAAAGCCCGAGATGACTGATTTTCCAGCTGCATCACCCACTATGCAAGCTCAGCTTTCACACAGGTGGCATCCAGCTCGTCAGGAGGCCAGGTGCTGCCCATAATGGAGATGAGCTGTTGTTTTACTTACAATGGCCTAAGTTTGAGCCATGGGAGGGAAAATCCAATTAACGTTGGAATGAGGGAGGAAGAGAAAGATAATTTTCTCTATTCCTTGTATCCAAAGCTGGCCTCTCAGGAGTCCATTGAGCTCCTCTCCCATAAAACTCCCAGCCACCGGGCCTCACCAATGAAAAACTCTGCAGCACAACAGCACCAACCCCCACCCCCAGTCTCTTTCCACCTCTGCTCTGAGGCAGCAGATTGTCTAAAAGCCTCAGGTTTTCTCACAATAGCTCCCACAGCAGTGCTTGCTTGTGGGATACCAGATGGGGGGCTGGTTGGCACAGCAGTTGCAGAGCAGACAGGAGCACAGAAAGCATGTTCTAATGCTGGCTGCACATCCATCTGGAAATCCTCTGGCCTCTGATACAGGGACTCTGACAACAGGCCATCCTGCACACCAGAGCAAGTGTCGTGAGCAAGCAGCCAACGCCTGCACTCACCCATTGGTTATGTGTCAGCACGGCCCTGATGCTGCAGCCAAGCGAAGCTCCTGGTTCAAAGCCTCAATCACTCTTCTCCTTGAACTTAGCGCGAGTCCTAATACTAGCTTTGTCCCATCCACAGTCCTCAACTCCATGCAGTCAATGTTGTTAATCTCCCACTGTCCTGTTAGGAGCGGGCTGCAACAGGACCACACACAATGGGTATAATAGCTGTGCTTGCTCTTTTTGTTGGAGAATGGTTTCCTCTTGAGGTAGGAATGCAGTCAGGCCCAGCCTTGGCTAACACTCAACATCTTCCAGCTCAATCTCCTCAGTTGTGCTTTCTGTAAAGCAAAGACAAGTCAATGAGTTGGAAATCAAGCCACATAGTGCTTTCTTCGTGAGAACAAGATAACACATGCCACCTCTGGCCTCAAAACCACTCATGGATTATCACAAGGCCCAGGGGGTTACCTTTGAGTTTGTGTCTTCTCTTCCTCTGAAATTTATATGCACACTTATTACAAACCCACATGAGGCTGATTAATACTGCGGCCACAGCAGCGAGAAAAGCAAGGATGACAGCGACAAAGTGCAGGTCTTCATAGAGGATCTCTATGGAGTGAGGGTGAGGGGAGGGGGAAGACAACATTTCTTTTAATATCGTGAAATTGGCCTCCCACACATTCACAGTTCAGAGGGGTGCCCGGGGCCCTGGGATGTCTTACCAGAGACGTGCAGCACGATGGTGCCAAACTGGCTGCTCCCCAGGCGCTCCGTCACGGTGATGACATAGTAGCCGGAATCCCTCACTCCCACGCTGAAGAGCTGGATGGAGCCGTTGTCAAAGGTGCAGACTCTGTCCTTGTGGCTTTGAGAGATGTTGGCCTGAGTCCCTGGTTTCCACTCCACGATCTTCTGCGTTCCCCAATTGGATGAATATGTCCATTCGATGGTGGGCACTCCATGACAGGAGTACTCAACTGAGAGCAGGATGTCTTCTTTGACAGTGGCATTGATGGTGGCCTGAGGAATGTATAGGGACACACCCTGACCTGCAGGATGATATGCTGGATGTTGGGCACATATATATGGCTTTATACTGAAGTGAACTTATATAATTTGTTGATCTATTACACAAATATTTATTGTGTGCCTATTATATGCCAGGAACTGTTCTAGGTTCTGGTGCTTAAGCGATAATGCTGAACAAGACACAAGGCTCCCTGGAGATAGAGCTCTCTACACACAGAGCAACCTTTTTCCATTTTGAAGACTATTTAGAATGCTCCCTTTTATTTCAACATGAAATCTGACACCTTTGTAGCAAGGTGGACTACAGAGGTTCTCTCCCAGTATATGGGGAGCCCTTCTGATGCCCAAGGACTCTTCTCATGACTCTCTGGATCACTCCTTCTCACTCAAGCCCTCAGTGTGTGACATAGTTATTCTTTAACACAGAACAAAGTGCAGAGTTTAAGACGACTGAAATAAAGAAGAAAACAGAGGTCAAATTCCAGGCCAGACCTTGGAGGGTGGGAATCGTGTTTTCTTTATCCCTATGGTCCCTGAACCCAGTACAATGCCTGGCACATAGTGGTTGGTCAATAAATGTTTGCTGAGTAAATGAATAAGTGAATGACCAAATATTTACAGCAACAAGAACATGAGCCTTTTCCTAATAGGAATGTTGATGCTTGGGTGGTTTGAAAAATTAGGTACATCTGAAAGCTAACATACATATAGGGAAAAGAACTATATTTAAGACTTTCTGTGCCAGTTACTATGTTATCTACTTTATAATTATTATCTTTTATTTTATTTATTTTTTGAGATGGGGTCTCGCTCTGTCGCCCAGGCTGGAGTGCAATGGCTCGATCTCAGCTCACTGCAACCTCCACCTCCTGGGTTGAAGCGATTCTCCTGCCTCAGCCTCCCAAGTAGCTGGGATTACAGGTGCCCGCCACCACACCTGGCTAACTTTTTGTATTTTTAGTAGAGACAGGGTTTCACAATGTTGGCCAGGCTGGTCTCAAACTCCCGACCTCATCATCTGCCTGCCTCGGACTCTCCAAAGTGCTGGGATTACAGGCATGAGCCAGTGCACCCAGCCATCTCCTTTTTTTTTTTACAAAGGCACACCAACATGCCCACATAACGGAAGAGGAGGGAT
Source organism: Homo sapiens (assembly GCF_000001405.40). NCBI lineage: Eukaryota > Metazoa > Chordata > Mammalia > Primates > Hominidae > Homo > Homo sapiens. The sequence continues at coordinate 93,822,442 of NC_000011.10, forward strand.
TTCAGCACAGCTCTGATTCCAATCCTGGATCTCTACTTTGTTTTCTGTTTTGTTTTGCTTTTGAGACAGTCTTGCTCTGTCGCCCAGGCTGGAGTGCTGAGTCACAATCTCGGCTCACTCAACCTCCGCCTCTTGGGTTCCAGTGATTCTTGTGTCTCAGCTATCTGAGCTGGGATTACAGGCATGTGCCACCATGCCAGGCTAAATTTTTTTTGCATTAATAGTTTTAGTAGAAATGGGGTTTTGTCATGTTGGCCAGGCTGGTCTTGAACTCCTGGCCTCAATTGATCTGCCTTCTCGGCCTCCCATAATGTTGGGATTACAGGCATGAGCCACCATGCCCAGCTCGTATCTCTACTTTGTGGCTATCTATCAATCACGTATCTATGTTTCCTGATTTCTCTGACCTCAAATATGAGCAGTTGCACTAGTGATTACTGCTGTAAGATTTAGAGAACTATATTTAGAACTAGTGACGAATCTATATTATAACTTCTGCGCATTTCATATACATTCTGTTAACCATGGTGGTCAAGGTTACTAACAGGTTAATATCCTGGGAGACTACCAGCCCTTTTCACACCCTCATGGAACTTCACTTTGAGCATTTCGGTTACTTTGGCCCAAGAAACTGCAAAACTAAAAAATAAATAAAAATAACAACTCCAAGTTTCTCAGATGCTGATACAACTGGAAACTGGCTGACTGGTTCTTGCTGGTTTTTGTATTTTCTCTGGACCAGAGAAACCTCTTTTTCCTTTTCTTTTTTTTTTTGGTAGAGATGAGGTCTTTCTGTGTTGCTAGGACTGGTCTTGGACTCCTGGCCTCAACCTCCCAGAGTGTTGGGATTACAAGTGTGAGCCACTGTGTCCGGCCTAGAAAAACTTCTTTAAAAATTTTTTTTAAATTTAATTGACAAATAAAGATTGTATACATTCAAGGTATACAGCCTGATGATATATCTCTATGTTGCGTAATGATGATCACGATTAAATTAATTAATATATCCATCACCACTCACGCTGAACATTCAGTCCCCAGAATTTGTTCATCTTATAACTCAAAGTTTGGACCTTTTGATCTGCATCTCCTTCTTCCCCACTGGCCCCAGCCTCTGGCAACAACAGTTCTACTCTATTTCTATGAGTTCAATTTTTTTAGATTCCACATATAAGTGAGATCATACAATATTTGTCTTCCTATGTCTAGCTTATTTCATTTAGCAGCTTAGCATAATGTCTTTCAGGTTAATCCATGTTGTCACAAATGGCAGGATTTTCTTCTTCATATGGCTGAATAATATTCATATATATATTTATTTATGTATTCATCTGTCTATGGACACTTGGATAGTTTCCATGTCTTGGCTATTGTGAATATGGTGCAGTGAACAAGAGCATGCAGATATCTCTGATACACTGATTTCAATTGTTTTCGATATATACCCAGTAGGATTGGTGGTTTGTATGGCACTTTTTTTTTTTGAGACAGAGTCTTACTCTGTCACCCAGGCTGGAGTGCAGTGGCGCAATCTCGGCTCACTGCAACCTCTGCCTCCCAGGTTCAAGTGATTCTCCTGTCTCAGCCTCCCGAGTAGCTGGGATTACAGGTGCCCACCACCATGCCTGGCTAATTTTGGTCTTTTTAGTAGAGATGGGGTTTCACCATGTTGGTCAGGCTGGCCTCGAACTCCCGACATCAGGTGATCCACCCACCTCGGTCTCCCAAAGTGCTGGGATTACAGACATGAGCCACCATGCCCGGCTATTACTTCTATTTTTAATTTTTTTGAGGAATCTCCATACTTTTTTCATAATAGCTATATCAATTTACATTCCCACCGACATTGTGCAAGGGTTCCCTTTCTCCATATCTTGACCAACATTTGTCACCTTGTCTTTTTGATAATAGCCAGCCTAACAGGAGTTAGGTGATATCTCATTGTGGTTTTGATTTGCACTTCCCTGATTAGTTCAGCACCTATTTATGTACCTGTTGGCCATTTGTATTGTTTTCTTTGGAGAAAGGACTATTCAGGTCCTTGTGCCCATCTTTAAATCATGTGTTTCTTTTTTGTTGTTGTTTGTTTTTTGCTATTGAGTTGTATGAGTTTCATGTATATTTTGGATATTAACCCCTTTCCAGGTTTGCAATTATTTTCCTGAATTCTATAGATTGCCTTTCCATTTTATTGATTGTTTCCTTTGCTGTACAGAAGGTTTTTAGTTTGATGTTGTCCCACTTACTCATTTTTGGTTTTGTTGCCTGTGTTTTGGGTGTCATCCAAAAAGTTATTGCCAAGACCAATGTCAAGAAGTTTTTCCCCTATTTTCCCTTCTAGGAGTTTTATGGTTTCAGGTCTTACATTTAAGTGTTTAATCCATTTCAAGTTAATTTTTGTGAATGATGTAAGATAAGGGTTCAATTTCACTATTTTACATGTGAATATTCAGTTTTGCCAACACCCTTTATGAAGAGACTCCTTTCTTCATTGTGTATTCTTGGCACTTTAGTCAAATATTAGTTGACCATATATAAGTGCCTTTGTTTCTGGGCTATTTTGTTTCATTGATCTATGTACCTGTTTTTATGCCAGTGCCATACCATTTCAATTTACTATAGCTTTGTAATTTACTTTGAAATCAGGAGGCATGATGCCTTCAGCTTTGTTCTTCTTTCTCAAGATTGCTTTGGCTATTCAGGATCTTTTGTGCTTCTATATGAATTTGATGTGGTTTTTTCTTGAGACAGGGTCTCCCTCTGCCACCTAGGCTGGAGTGCAGTGGTGCAATCATGGCTCCCTGCATCCTTGACCTCCCTGGGGTTAAGGTGATCCTCCCACCTCAGCCTCCCAAGTAGCTGGGACTATAGGTGTGCACCACCACATCCAGGTAACTTTTGTATTTTTTGTAGACACAGGTTTTCACCATGTTGTACAAGCTGGTCTCAAACTCCTGGGCTCAAGCTATCCAACTGCCTCAGCCTTCCAAAGTGCTAGGATTACATGCGTGAGCCACTGCATCTGGCCTGCTTTTTTGATTTCTCTGAAGAATGCTATTGAAATTGTGATACAGATTGCATTGACTCTGCAGATCGCTTTGGGTAATATGGACGTTTTAACGATATTAATTCTTCCCATCCACGAACATAGGGTATCTTTCCATTTATTTGTGTCTTCAGTTTCCTTTGTCACTGTCTTACAGTTTTCAGTATATAGACTTCTCGCCTTCTTTGTAAATTTATTCCTAAATATTTTATTATTTTTGATTTTATTGTAAATGGGACAGGTTTTTTTTTTCTTCCTTTTCTTTTTCTTTTCTTTTTTCTTTTTTTGTTGTTGTTATTGAGATACAGTCTCACTTTATCACCCAGGCTGGAGTGCAGTGGTGCAATCTTGGCTCACTGCAGCCTTGACCACCTGGTCAAGGTCAGAAATAAATGAAATAGAGACTAGAAAAATAATAGAAAAGATGTACAAAACTAAGAGTTGATTTTAAAAAAAAAAGAAATAAAGGCCAGGCTCAGTGGCTCACGTCTGTAATCCCAGCACTTCGAGAGGCCAGTGTGGGAGAGGATCATTTGAGGCCAGGAGTTCAAGACCAGCCTGGGTATAATTTAGTGAAACTGTATCTCTACAGAAAGCAAAAAACTAGCCAGGTGTGGTGGTGCACACCTGTAGTTCTAGCTACTTGGAAGGCTGAAGCAGGCGGATCACCTGAGCCCAGGAGTTCCAGGCTGCAGTGAGCTATGATCGTGCCATTGCACTCCAGCCTGGGCAACAGAGCCAGATCCTGTCTCTAAAAAATTTAAAAATAAATAAAAATTCAAAAATAAATAAAATTGACAAACCTTTAGTTTTCTGACCTGATCTTTATTATTTATTTTCTTCTGCTCTTCTTTTTCTATTAGTTTTCTAATACTTCCTTGAAGTGTAAAGTTAGGTTGATTATTCAACATCTGTTTTCTTTTTTTTTGAGATGGAGTCTTGCTCTGTTGCCCAGGCTGGAGTGCAGTGGCACGATCTCAGCTCACTACAAGCTCCACCTCCCGGGTTCGTGCCATTCTCCTGCCTCAGCCACCCGAGTAGCTGGGACTACAGGCGCCCACCATAACACCTGGCTAATTTTTTTTGTATTTTTAGTAGAGACGGGGTTTCACCGTGTTAGCCAGGATGGTCTCGATCTCCTGACCTCGTGATCCGCCCGCCTCAGCCTCCCAAAGCGCTGGGATTACAAGCATGAGCCACCGTGCCCAGCCCGACATCTTTTTTCTTAATGTAAGCATTTATAGTTATAAACTCTCCCCTTAAAACTGCTTTTGCTGCACCCTATAAATTATGGTATGCTATAGTTCCATTTTTATTTGTTTCAAGATTTTTTTTCTTTTCTTTGATACATTGGTTCTTTAGGAGTCTGTTGTTTAATTTCTATGTATGTGAGAATTTTCCAATTTTACTCCTACTGTTGATTTCTAGTTTCATATTACTGTGGTCAGGAAAGACATTTGATATAATTTAAATCTTCTTGAATTTGTTAAGCCTTGAGAAAAACCTCCTCTTAATTAGACAGACTAACCGGGCATTTAACTAGGTGTTAGGAACAAAGCGGTTTCTCCTTCCATCAATCTATCACATATAATTAGGAATAAATAATCTATAACAGGCCGGACACGGTGGCTCATGCCTGTAATCCCAGCACTTTGGGAGGCCGAAGCGAGTGGATCACCTGAGTTTGGGAGTTCAAGACCAGCCTGACCAACATGGAGAAACCCCATCTCTACTAAAAATACAAAATTAGCCAGGCATGGTGGCACATGCCTGTAATCCCAGCTACTCAGGAGGCTGAGGCAGGAGAATCTCTTGAACCCAGAAGGCGGACGTTGCAGTGAGCCGAGATCGTGCCACTGCACTCCAGCCTGGCAACAAAAGCAAAACTCCATCTCATAATAATAATAATCTATAACAAAGATGAAAAATTAACAGTTTCATGGTTTTAAAGCAAACTGCTTGTTGATTATTTAAAAAGTTGAATTAATGAGTAACCACGTCTGCATCTCATGCTAAAATTAATCTAGAGTGAGTCCAGAGAAACTTAGCAGCTGGGCCAATATTCAGGCCTGGCTCAAGTGCTCTATTCAAGGAGGTTGGTTCAGTACATCAGCTTTCACTTATAAAATGGATGGGCTGGTCTGAAGGTAGTGAGTTATCTCAACTGATTGTTCACAGTCAGTTACAGATGAAACCCCTTATTCTGCTCTTTCTCCCCTTCTCACTACTGCTATTGAGTAGTCTTAAAAAAAAAAAAAAAGGACAGCAGGCAGCCATTAACAAGAATGAGCTTTGTATGGGCAAGGAAAGACGTCTGTGATGTTACTAAGTTAAAAAAATAAACATGTAAAACAGCATACCTAATGTGATCTCATTTATATTTGTGCAAATATGTGCTAATATATACATATTATGTACGGAAAAATGGAAAAGTGTTGGAGTAATATATGTTAAACTGTTAACAGGAATTGCCCCTCAGAGATCAAATGGCAGGAGAACTTTATTTTCCATGTAAGCCATTTATATAATTTTGAATTTTTCAGTTATTTATTGAGTTAATAATTTTTAAAAATGTACTTTAAAAAGTCTTTTTAAGTTCTCCTGATTAGACTATGCAATCTTGGCCAGCAAAATTTAAAGTTTAAAAGTTTACCTTTGCATCTTCACTTGAATTATTTGTGAAAAGCAGAGAGGAACTAAATTTCTAGGCATTTCCAAGACAGATGGGGATGCCTCTTAAAGAACAAGTCACATAGTAGAAGATTTTAGCAGGACAGAAGTCACTGGAACCTGAACCAAAGGGCTTCCCGACTTCCTGGAGATGGTGAGACCCTCTGGTAACTAATCAGAAAGCTGTCAAGAGGAAATAGTAAAAGTACTAGGAAGCTGAAACCACCTACCGAGCAATGGGCTAGAATATAACACTCAGAAGGGTTACTTACTCCTTTTCTTACAAATAAATTACAAAGGTTGTACTTTTCGTTTTTTTAAAAATCGATTATTCAGAAGGGGGATATATTTCTTGAAATCACAACAAAGGTCAATACTGTTGAGATGACAATTACATCTGTTGAGATGGCAAGAATATAAACTAATGATAGGACAGGTATCTTGCCAACATAGTCTCTGCATTTAAGGAGTTATAGAGTTAAGGAGTTATAGAGATACATCTTAATTACTCATTTTCACCTCATTTATCTGGAAAACAACTTATTCAGCAAATGTGATTGTCAGATGCAGCTGAGAACCAGAAACTAAGCATCATTGTCATCCTTATCAAGCCTTTAGTTAAGCAGCTAGCATATAGGTCTCAGAGCCTAAGATTCAGGAGTCCTAATTCAGAAAACTGTTACAGTAGGGTGGGTGAGTGACGAGTGATATTACAAAAGGATCATTTCAAGTGGCAGGGAGGTGTAGTGGAGACACCTGATGTGGGCAGGACACACCCAGGCTCTACCCTGAGACCTCCTAGCTGGGAGATCTGGAAAAGTCCTTAATTATGAGAGCCTCAGCTCTCCTGCGAGGATGAGGGTCGATGACACATGTAAGGCTCAGCAACAGGCCGGGCAATGACACAGAACTTTGTGTTCATCCAGGAGCCGCAGCCCCCACCACTTACCCTTCTCTGATCAGGTCTCTGTCACCTGCCTCAGGGTGACTGACCAACTGCCCCAGTTTGTCCAGGACTGAGAGATTTCCCAGGATGTGGCAGTTTCAGGGCTAAAATCAGGACCGTCATGGGCAAACCAACAGAGTTGATCACTTGTGGTGGCTCACGCCTGTAATCCCAGCATTTTGGGAGGCCAAGGTGGGCAGATCACCTGAAGTCAGGAGTTTCAGAACAGCCTGGCCAACATGGTGAAACCCTGTCTCTACTGAAAATACAAAAAATTAGCCAGGCGTGGTGGCTGGCGCCTGTAATCCCAGCTACTTGGGAGGCTGAGGCACGAGAATCGCTTGAACCTGGGAGGCACAGGTTGGCAGTGAGCTGAGATAGCACCACTGCATTCCAGCCTGGGCAACAGAGTGAGACTCAGTCTCAAGAAAAAAGAAAAAAAGAAATATTGAAGAGCAGAGAGAAAACTCCAAGATATACCACTGTGTATTTCCGAGGTGTTCAAAGGGGCTCAATAGGGGAGTTGTGGAGGCAGCCAGCCCTGACAGGCTGAGGGAGAAGGAAAGCCAGTCTTCCCTAACACTCTGGCTCCCTAATGCATCTCCAGGGGTCAGCATCCCATGCACCCCATTTCAGTTGGGACCTCACTCTTGTTCCTGAGCTCAGCACTGCACTTGCCACAGCTCCCTCAACAGCTGGGGACAGGCTCATCGGGTGCTGGCCTGCAGTTCCCTGAGGTTAGGTAATTTGCCCAATGTCACGGTAAGTGGCTGAGCAGAGATTCAAAACCGAGTACTTTTCACTGTCCTAGTAATGAGCCAGGGAAGTTTGCAGAAGGTGAGGAAGGGAAAGGCACTCATTTAAGGTGGGGCATAAATAACAAGATTTTAAAAGTGTGGGAAAGGGAGGAAGCCCAATCTCAGCTGAGAGAAAACTAGGACGACCCAGGAAGGCAGGAGGGATCCAAGACTCCTCAGATTTGGGACTTGGTGATTAAGAAGTACAGGGTGGCCATGGGATAAGGAAGCTGACAGAGTGTGGGGCAGGGTGGGGGCAGGGCAGAGGCAGAACAGGACCCACGAGGATGTTCAAATAGGGCCATGACATGATCTGAACTGGGCTTCTGGAAGGACGGTCTGGCAGAATTCATAATCTTACCATTTACATACATCACATGTACTGCCCTGGGCCCCTAACAGGTGCTTGCTCTTTGGGAGAACCTAAGGCTGGAGCCTAAACAGCCGGGAACAGCTAGTGGTGCCCTGCATCCCCTGGCCACCCTGTGCCAGCCTCTGAGAGAAGGGGTAGTAAGAAGTGGGCATGTGTAGGGCAGGTCTGCCCAAGACCGCAAGATCGTTCGTTATAGAGAGAATTGTTGTCCTATTCATCTCAGAACCCCCAGTGCCCAAGACAGGGCCTGACACTTTGTAGATGCTGAAAATATACTTGCATGAATGAACAAATGGTGACATGTGTGCCCTGCCTGTCAAACTGTTGCCAACCAGGAGAGAGCAGGAAAGGAGTATCTCCGCTGAGCTGAGGGTCACTGGATCTAGCTGGGGAAGGCGCTGGAGGGACCCCTTTCCCAGCCCCAAGTCTGCTGAGAGTCAAACAGCTAGCAGGAGAAACAGCACAGGTTTGTTTTTCGGTTGGTTCTTTTTTTTTTTTTTTTGAGATAAGGTCTCACTACTGAGGCTGGAGTGCAGTGGGTGGGATCTTGGCTCACTGCAACCTCTGCGTCCTGGGCTTAAGCTATCCTCTAGCCTCAGCTCCTGAGTAGCTGGGACCACAGGCGTATTGGCCAGGCCCGGCTATTTTTTATTTTTATTTTTTTTGTAGAGATGGGGTTTTGCCATGTTGCCCAAGCTGGTCTTGAACTCCTGAGCTCAAAGCAGTCCGCCCACCCCGGCCTCCCAAAGTACTGAGATTACAGGTGTGTGCCATCACGCCTGGTAGTTTTTTGTTTTTTGTTTTGAGACACAGTCTTGCTCTGTTGCCCAGGCTAGAGTACAGTGGCGCAATCATGGCTCACAGCAGCCTCCACCTCCTGAGTTCAAGCAATCCTCCCACCTCAGCCTCCTTAGTAGCTGGGACAAAAGGTGTGCACTAGAGACAGGGTTTCACCATGGTGTTCAGGCAGGTCTCGAACTCCTGGGCTCAAGCGAACCTCCCACCTCAACCTCCCCAAGTGCTAGGATTACAGGCGGCACAGTTTTAAGCCACAACTAAAATATCCATGTTGCTGCCCAACTCATGCCATTCTTGAAACACCTGCCTGCCAGTAATTTGGGAAACACAGCTTTGTGTATGAGGTCAATACAGCACCTCCAAGTAATAGCTTTCCTGTTTAGTGGTGAAGAACAGTGCTGATAGCTGCCCTGGGCACACAGTTCACAGGTACCCATACCTCCTGTGAGCTCAGGTGGTAATTCCCCCTCTCAGTGCCTGATTGCTCAGAAACCAAAGCTCAGCTCATCTTGGAGAGGGCTCACCATGATCTTTCTGTTTAATGGCCTTGGGAAGTCACCCAGATGTCAGCCAAACCCAAACAACGTAAACAGATGCAGGTTTAGGTGGAGGCTACCAGGCTGTTCCCCTTCATCAGGTTTCAGAATTTGTACCCAAACCAGGAAAATCACTCGAAAATGGCAACAGTCACCATTTCTGTCAGTTAACACCTGTTAGATATCAGATGTTATATTATACAATATTATCACAGCCCAGTGAAACCAATGCTGGGAAAGTTGACTGACCTGGGCCGTTATCAGACTGGCAAAGATGAAGAAGTTTGATAACATTATGTTGTCAGGAGTGCATGGAAGTTACTCTCAAACATTAGTGTGGTGATTGTAAATGGGTGGAACCTGCTTGGATGGCATATGATGCAATCTGTAAAAATATTTAAATAGCACATACCTTTTGACCCAGAAATTCCACTTCTAATAATTTATCCTACAGATAAGATGGGCACATAGATGCAGAGATATATGTGTCACTGTTGTCATAAAGCACAGTACAGTCAATTGTAGCAGCAAAAGACTGGAGATGCACCTGTGTGTTCACTGGTAAGGAACCAGTTAAATAAAATATCAGTATTCATGTTTTGGGATATTACAAAAATGTTCAAAAGAATGAGGCAAATCTATATGTGTTGACATTAGATGATCTCAAAAATAATGAAAAAAGTAGAGGGCAGAACAGTGTATAGAGAATGATTCCACTTAAATAAAGTAATTATATGTGTATACACACACAGTCACACATACACAGATAGACATACAGTTATCCATATAAATGCATAGAACATCTCTAAGTTATTCTAAAAACCAGAAGCTGTGGTTGTCTTTGGGGAGAATGGGTGTCTGGAATGGGAGAAGACTTTACATTTCACTCTATACTTTTTTGAACAATAGTAATATTTTAGCAAGTTTGTGAATTACTTAAAAAATAATACACTGTGACTGTAAAAATACAAATACTGCATGCCAAGATTGAGTCTGAGCCTTAGATTCTTCACATTTGAAAATGTTTTTCACATATATACAATGGACAACCCCATGAGCATTACCTCAGTCTATGAAGGCAGGCAGGAGACTTGGACTAAAGCACTATGCTTTTCCCTTCCCGGGCACTTGCTTATTTGATCACTACTTTACAGATGAGAAAACTAAGGCTCAGAGACGTAAGTGTCCAAGTCTTTGCTAAGTAAAAATTCAGAGCTGAGACTGGAACCCAAGTCTCTTTTCATGGTCCCACAGATGCCCCTAATAAGGTAAGGCACTTGAGTATAGAGGTGGAGTTTTACATTTCTTTAATGTTTCCCAGAATAGCACATGGCTCAGTGCTGGCAAAGACTTGGGAGACAGATATGACAAAAAGCAGAAGTCTAGACCTGGGCTGTTCAATATGGTAGCTGCTAGCCACATGTAGCTGTTGAGCACTTGAAACTGACTAGTCCACACTGAGATGTACTCTAAGTATAAAATGCACACCAGAATTTGAAGACTTAGTACTTAGTATGTTATACAGAATATAAAACATCTAATTAATAACTTGTTTTCCATTGATTACATGTTGAGATGATAATGTTTCTGGATATATCAGGTTAAACCAAATATATATTCAAAGTCAATTTTACCTGTTTCTTTTTATATTTTTAATATGGCCACTAGAACATTTAAAATTACATACATGGATGGGCATGGTGGCTCATGCCTGTAATCCCAGCACTTTGGGAGGCTGAGGCAGGCGGATCGCCTGAGCCTAGGAGTTCAAGACCAGCCTAGACAACATGGCGAAACCCCATCTCTGCAAAAAATACAAAAATTAGCTGGGCATGGTGGCATGCACCTGTGGTCCCAGCTACTTGAGTGGCTGAGGGTGGGAGGATAGCTTCAGCTCAGGAGGCAGAGGTTGCAGTGAGCTGCATTTCAGTCTGGGTGACACAGTGAGACCCTGTCTCAAAAATAAAATAGTATTACATATGTGGCTTGCATGTGAGCCTTGCATTATATTTCTACTGGAAAATGTTGGTATAAACTATCACTTCTCCAACCTCTTGCCAAGAAAACAAAACTTGTTCCTTTGAGATTGTTCCACACTCTCCTCTCTCAACAACGTGAGCTCTCTGTCCCCAGTCCTTTCTCTTCATTCTTTAAACATGTTGGCGCCCTTTACTGCAAGTTACAGCATCATCCTGTGTCCCTCCAGCATACCCGTGGACAGCCCATCCAGTGATCTCATCTACAGGCACATCCTCCCTCTAGTCATCCTCAGCCTCCACACCTTCTCTCCTTGTTTACTGTTCAATTCCTCCCCTTGGCCTCATCAGTCCTTCCACTCTGACTCCCTCTACTTTTCCCAATCCATCTTCCTCACTTCCCTCCCTACCCAGCCTCAGTTCCATTGCCCATCAGGATCCAAGGACTCCTGTCAATCTTTTCAACACCAGTACTTTCTGCCTTTTCATCATATCTACCTGGTAAGGCCCTAGTCCTGGGACTAACAATGTTCTACTCTTTCTCTGCCTGTACATGAGTAGCCAACCCTGCAAGAGAATGTCACCTGGCAGACACTATTCAGCACAACAAAGCACACTGTTTCTAGGATAGACTCAAGATCACCAAACTCAACAGGGCCCCATCCTGCCAGACAATCTTACTGCATAAATTGACACTTCCTTTTCCCACAGTTACTATACAGGCTCCCTCCTCTTCCTGGGATGCTGCTGACACTTCCTTCTGATTTGGTGGTAGCTCTGGCCCACCACACTCACCAGCTGTTTTTCCCATCTCTCTGGTTGCTGCTTCTCAGTATCTTTTGAGGGCTCATCCTCTTTGCTGTGGTTTAAATGTCTGTCCCTGCAGAACTCATGTTGAAACTTAAGCCCCTGGCCATGTGTGGTGGCTCATGCCTGTAATCCCAGTACTTCAGGAGGTTGGGGCAGATGGATTGTTTGAGGCCAGGAATTCGAGACTAACTTGGCCAACATGGCACATGTAAAGTCCGGGTCTACAAAAAAATACAAAAATTAGCCGGATGTGATGATGTGCACCTGTAGTCCCAGCTACTTGGGAGGCTGAGGCAGGAGAATTGCTTGAAGCCAGGAGGTAGAGGTTGCAGTGAGCTGAGATTGTGCCACTGCACTCCAGCCTGGGCGACAGAGTGAGACTCCGTCTCAAAAAAAAAAAAAAAAAAAAATTTAAAAATAAAAATAAAATAAGAAATTTAATCCCTAGTGTAATAGTATAAAGAGGTGGGGCTTTTAAGAGGTGATTGGGTCATGAAGACTTTGCCTTCATGAATGAACGAACCCATTCATGGATTAATAGATAAGTGAGTTAATAGATTAGTGGGTTATCATGAGAATGGGTCTGTTATAAAAGCCAGTTTGGCTCTCAATGAGCCTCCTCACCACACTATGCCCTCTGCTGACTCAGGACTCTATAGAGAGGTCTCACCAGCAAAAAGGTCCTCACCAGATGTGGCCCTCAATCTTGGACTTCCCATCCTCTAGAACTGTAAGAAGTAAATTCTTATGGCCAGGTGCAGGGGCTCATGCTTGTAATCCCAGCACTTTTGAAGGCTAAGGCAGGAGGAATGCTTGAGGCCAGGAGTTCGAGAGCAGCCTGGGCAGAAAAACAAGAACACGTCTCTTTAAAAAAAAAAAATTAGCCAGGTGTGGTGGTGTACACCTGTAGTTGCAGCTACTCAGGAGACTGAGGGGGGAAGATCACTTGAGTCCAAGAGTTTCAGGCTTCAGTGAGCTATGACTGCATCACTGCTCTGAAGTCTGGGCAAAAGAACAAAACCCTGTGTCTAAAAAAATTTAAAAAAATTAAAAAGAAATTTCTTTATAAAGTATGCAGTCTTTGGTATTTAGTTATAGCAACCAAAAATAGGCTAAGATACTCTGATCTGCCATTAAATCACAGAATTCCTTGAGCTTGATCCTAGGCCCTGTCCTTTATTCTTTATTCTCTCCCTAGGTAATCCCATCTATGCATGCAGCTCTGAGTCCAGTTACTTCCAAATTCACATCACCAACACAACTGCACCTTTGAGTATCAGAATTATTAATCCAACTGTCTGCTTTGCCTCTGCACCTGCCAGTTGACAGGCACTTCAAAATCAACATCTTCAAAGATAAATTAAATGCACACAGAATTGAGTCTACAGCCATGACTATCTGGAAAGATACAGAACTTGGTAACACCTATTGGCTCCAGGGGGTAAGGAGGAGGAACTCGGTGGCTGGAGGACAAGACAGGGAGGCTTTTACAGATACATATTTTGAATTTTGGACTGTGTGCAAATACTACCTATTCAAACATAAGCAAAAACTAAAGAAGCAAATTAATTTTAAAATAAAACAATAAATGTATAATCCCATCTCCCAGATTTGGTCGTCTGGTGTCCCCAACCTCAGTGAAAGGCTCTCCCAGCCAGTCAGCTCCACAGGACACCATCCTGACACCTTCTCCTTCCTCATCCACTACATCCCATCTGTCACAGGGTCCTGTCAATTTTACCTCCAACATGTAACTTGAATCTGATTTGTGTGCTCTTTCTTCTACCATCACCCTAGTCCAAGCCACCAATTCATGAATGGTGACAATGGTCTCTCAATGTGCTTCACTATGCCTGCTTAATCCCCGCTAACTTACTGTCTACACAGCATCCTGAGTGATATTTTCAAAACTTCATTGTATTTTGTCACCCTCCTGTTTAAAACCCTTGTCTGGCTCTCCATTGCTCTAGGAATGAAGTCAAACCCCTTCAAAGGCTTGACTGGCCAGGTGTCATTTGGCTCCTGCCCATCACTTAGGCCTCAGCATCCTCAGCACGCCCTCATACCCTGAGATCCAGGCACACTGCCCTTTCTTCAGCCCCTTGGATTCATCTCGTTCTCTCACACTGCAGGGACTTAGCATAGGCTACTCCCCCTGCCTGCTCCCTCGTTTGCCTGTTAACCTTCATTCATCCTTCAGATCTCAATCATCGCCTCTTCTGGGAAGTCTATCCCAACTCCAGGCTAGGTCAGGTCTCTTCTTGTATGTTTTCATAGCACTTTTCCATCATAGTAACTATCACAGTTTGTAAGTATACACTTGTGTGGGTATTTGACATCTGTTCTCCCTTTAGACTGTAAGTTCCATGAGGGCAGGAGTTGCCTATTTGGTTCCCTGTTGCAGCCCCAGAACTTTGCAGAGTACCTGGAACATGGATGAGAATTTACGCTCAGTGACTCCCCTTATAGGGTTGTACATCTGATCTGGAGGTATGGGGTACAGAACCCAGGACTATGCCAAGCTGAGCACAGGATCAGAACTTTGGACTCCACAGCCAGTTCTTGTGTGACCCTTGGGATCCTATTTGCTTCCTTCTTTTTGCCTGAAAAAAAAAATGCACACACACACACACACACACACACACACATATATTTTGAGATGGAGTCTTGCTCTGTTGCCCAGGCTGGAGTGTAGTGTCATGATCTTGGCTCACTGCAACCTCCACCTCCCAGGTTCAAGTGATTCTCCTGCCTCAGCCTCCTGAGTAGCTGAGATTACAGATGTGTGCCACCACACCTGGCTAATTTTTGTATTTTTAGTGGAGCTAGGGTTTCACCATGTTGGCCAGGCTGGTCTCGAACTCCTGACCTCGGGTGATCTGCCCACCTTGGCCTCCCAAAGTGCTGGGATTGTAGGTGTGAGCCACCTTGCCCAGCCTGAAATATATTTTTGATCCTTCCGTCTAAACATCCCTGTATCACACACATGCATGTGCATGCACCCATGCTGCTACGTATGCCCTCATGCACACACAGCCCAGTTTCTGAGTTCCTGGCAAATGGGGCCACATAGGAAAGTAATCCCAGGAAATGTACCAGGGAAGCAAGGGCTTCAGAGGAAATCAGTCAAGCAGAAGTGGGTTCCAATATCGATCTGCCCTTTGTTAATATCATGACTTTGGCCAAGTCAGCTCAAAGTCACTGACTCTCTGTTCCTCATGTGTAAAACAAGGATGTCCATAGATACCTCACAGATCGGATATGTTAGAAAGAATTAAAGTGAATGCAGTATGCCGAATGCTTAGCACAGTGCCCTCACCCCACAAATAAACAATAAATGGTAGGCACGGGTATACCAGGGCTATATGCCAGCCACACCCAGAAGAATCTTAGGACTAATCAGAAGATAATACATGGTGTGCCTCAGGCTGTTGCAAACACACCCATAAAAAAAGGAATTTTTAAAATAAAACAGGTAAGCTGCTTCTCTGACTCTTAAGAGGAAGCTCAGCCAACTGCATGGCACAACTGATTCAGAGCAACGGGGGCCAAGAGATCTGCTGGTGGGTGCAGAGGGTGGCACAGGAGGGCAAGATGCAGGGGGGTGGGGGTGGGAGTGTGCAGGGAAAGCCAGAAAAGGCCCTTCCCAATCCCTGCTGGGGAGAGCACATACAGTGGAGCCGAAAGACCCAGGTTCTATCTGGGCTGCACACGCTATAGCTGGGCGACTCTGCACAAACCCCTTCCCCTTTCCGAGCCACTTCGTGGCTTTTCTGTCAATGATTCAATTTAAAAAAGTCAGGCGTGGTGGCTCACGCCTGTAATCCCAGCACTTTAGGAGGCCTAAGGCGGGTGGATCACTTGAGTCCAGAAGTTCGAGACCAGCCTGGCCAATGTGGTGAAACTCCGTCTCTATTAAAAATACAAAAATCAGCCAGGCGTGGTTGGGGCAACTGTAGACATAGCTACTCGGGAGACTGAGGCAGGAGAATCGCTTGAACCCGGAAGGCAGAGGTTGCAGTGAGCCAAGAACAGGCCACTGCACTCCAGCCTGGGCGACATAGCCAGACTCCATCGTAAAAAAACCCACAAAAAACAAAAACAAAAAAGCAACCAGGCCGAGCACAGTGGGTCACACCTGTAATCCCAGCACTTTGGGAGGCCGAGGTGGGCAGATCACTTGAGCCCAGGAGTTCAAGACCAGTCTTGCCAACATGGTGAAATCCCGTCTCTTAAAAAAAAAAAAAAAAAAAAAAAAGCTGGGTGTGGCGCTGGCGCCTGTGTTCCCAGCTACTGGGGAGGCTTAGATGGGGAGGATAACTTGAGCCTGGGAGGTCAAGGCTACAGTGAGCTGAGATTGCACCACTGCTCTCCAGCCTGGGTGACAGAGCGAGACCCTGTCTAAAAAAAATAAAATGAATAAACAAACAAAACCATACAGGTAAGAAAGCCTGACAGCCAAGAACAATTCCAGGGGCACAAGCCCTGATTCCAGACCAAGAGAATTCAGTCTCCTTCCACTCAAGAAGCATTTGGGGGAAAGACAGGGTCGGGGACCAACATTTAAGGAGCTCCTGCTCTTGGGCCCATGCTCCAGCCCCACTTAGGAGTCCCTAATGAGTGAATTCAGCTGCCCAGCCAGCAACGCCAGGCTCTTCTTACAGCCCGGCCCCTGCAGAAAGGGCCTTGAGAACCCGCTTGCAGTGATTGGCCCAAGGCTGATACCTGATCTGAACTGGGCCAATCAGATTCTCTGTCCCGAGAGTGTGAACTTAGGATGCGGGGCCTCTTAGACCCTGTGGTGGCCCCAAGAGACAGGCTGCTTCCTGGAGGCCACAGTAAGTGGAACAGAGAAAGCTGGTTCTGGCAAGAGGCTGTCGGGCAGCAGGAGAGACTGGGCTCCCGTGGCCCAGGGACTGCTGGGGAAAGGAGCTGCTGCCGTGGACACATATGGCTTCTGGGGTCCTGGTTCCAGGTCTAGGGAGAGGCCTGGCACCTCTGCCCCTGGCAGGTACCTCTACTTCCCTCTGAATACACTTTCCCTTGGGTGTCTCCTGCTCCTTAGAAGTTATTTGGCCTCCCTGAATCTGTTTTCTTCAGGCATAAAGTGGGAATAGCAACGCCTGCTTTGCATGGTTGTGAAAACTCAGAGTATGACACGCAGTAAGCACTCTCTATGAGGTGCATTAAAAAGAAATATTATCATAGTCCACCAGTGCCAGCTTGAGGAAGTGGGGCAGTGGCGTGATCAGGCCTGGTAGGGCATGGGTGGGAACTGCAGGCTACAGGTAAGGATGGAATCTAGGTAGTGGTTGGTTCCATTCAGACCTGCGCTCTACCCAAAGCTCCCGCCCTTTTTGCCTGTTATGGTTTGAATAGTGTGTCGCCAAAAAGATATGTTGACGTCCTAACCAGAACTCAGAACGTGACCTTATTTGGAGATAGGGTTGTTACAGAGGTAATCAAGTTAAAATGAGGTCATTACAGTGAGCCCTAATCTAATATGACCCTTCTAAAAAGGAGACATTTGGATATAGAGACATACATGCACGTGGAGTGAGTGCCGTGTGAAGATGAAGGCAGAGATCAGAGGATGCATCTGCAAGCCAGGGAATGCCAGATTGCCAGCAAACCACCTGAAGCCAGGGAGCGACATGGAATAGTCCCTCTTACAGGCCTGAGAACTAACCAGCCCTGCTGACACCTTGATCCCAGACTTCTAGCCTTTAGAACTTGGAGACAATGAATTTCTGTTGTATAAGCCACCCTAGCAAATGCCCTTCTGTGGCTTTTATTTCCAGAAATAATTGTCCTCAGTTTTCTGATTGAAAAGGACTGAATCAGCTAATCTGTTGTTTTCAAAACTTGATTGTGCATTAGATCATCTGGGGAAGGTTTTACAACATTCTCCTGGATCAATGAACTCAGCATCTGAGGGTGTGACCAAGGCCTCTGTGATTTTTTAAAACTTCCCATGTGTTTCCAGCGTGCATCAAGATTGATAACCACTGAGCTAATCCACACTGAGGTGTTAGCAGCTGAAGACCATTTATTAGAATTCCTTTACAGCAGGCACAACGCCTGAAGCCAAAGAACTATGTGAAAGAGCAGTGTTGGAGACACTAGGGACAGCTCTTTCAGGAAGACAGTTGGGGGAAATGGACTATTTCTGGCATCACTCAAATTTTACTGTATCTGGCTAGTCCTATTTCTAGGGATGCTCTGGGGGCTTAGGAGGAAGAACAGGCAGGCAAAGTCATTCCATTTGCTCCCTCCACCCCCTTCAAAACTCTAACACAGTGGTTCTCAGCATTTGGCTCCATTAGAATCACCTGGAGGTGATCACGGAACTAGATTGCAGGGCCCGGTCCCCAGTTTCTCATTCAGTAGGGTGAGGTGAGTCCTAAAAGTGCATTTCTAACAAGTGCTTCTGAGGCAGGAGAATAGGGTCTATAGGCAGGGAACTTAGGGCCCATTCGTGCTGACTTCCTAAAGCTGAATCAAGAGAAAACACCAAGGTCTGGGGCAGGGAATCTGAGGCCAATTCATGATAATTTCCTAAAGTTAAATAAAAGGGAAAACACCTGGGTCTGGGGGCAAGGAACCTAAGGCCAATTAACAAAAACGCAGTAAAGCTAAACCAAAAGGAAAAACCCCACCTTCGCAGGCCCAGAGGCTACTCTCTCTACACCTCTCCCCCTCTTCCAGGTCTCAGAGGGAAAGGGAGAGTGCCTTAGATTGGCCTCTGGCCAAGCATGGGTCATCTCTTTATCTGCATAGGCCACCAATTCACTTCAGCCTTTAATTAGCCACGGACCTAATCCTTCATCCAGGTAAGGGGTAACCAACAGGGACTTCAAAAGAGTACTTCTAACCCAGAAAACATTGTAAACTCTGGCTCAGGCTGCCCCCACCCTGCAGAGTGCTTTCTTGCTGTAACAAATCCCTGCTTTTGCTGCTTCATTCCTGTGTTTCATTCCTTTGTTACTTCATGTGTTTTGCTGAATTCTTTGTTCAAAACACCAAGGACCTGGACAACTCACTCAAGGCTTTCCTTCTGGTAACACCTAGGTGATGCTTCCTTCACCCTCTTCAAAACTCTAACACAGTGGTTCTCAGCATTTGGCTCCATTAGAACCACCTGGAGGTGATCACTGAACCAGATTGCAGGGCCCGGTCTCCAGTTTCTCATTCAGTAGGGTGACACTGCTGGTGGTCCCAAAACTGTACTTTTAGAACTTTGGCTGAAAGGATTCTGTAAGACCTCAGGGCGAAGAGGACACCAAGGATGCCCTCAGGGTCCCAGGAGGCCAGGCCCTCCTCTCCTCTGACACTGCTCTGCTAACACCATACCTGCCAGGCAGGGGCTAGTCTGTGATGCAGCACTTCTTATCTTGGGGAAGGAAAGTTTTGGGACATGCAGTCATTAACAGAACCAGGGTCAATGGATCAAGAGTGAAAGGACACAGGTTCTGGTGAACGGAATTGAGGCAGTGTGTGTAGAACAGATGCATTCATGGATTCTAGAGTCAGACTAACTGGTGTTCAAAATTTAGCTGTGCCAGTAACAACTGTGTGAACTGGGGTAAGTGAGTTACCTTCTTTCAGTCTCTGTTATGGTACCTAGGAAATAAGGATAATATAATAGTGCTGTGCCCGCCTCCTGCAGCAGAATAAAATTTAAATGAGACAATATATGTAAAGAGCTTATCAGTCTCTAACACTTGGTGATAGCTCAATAAATAGTAGGTATTATTAATGATAATTCTTTGAAGATGCACAGGCTTTTTTGGTAAGGTAATGATCTCCCCATCCTTGGGGGTATGTAAGCAGAAGCTGGAGTTGTACCAGGGATTAAAGCAGAAGATCTGAGACCGGGAGTGTTGGAGGAGGAGGCTGGTTCTTCTGCTCCAGATCACATAATGGAACTGGAATAAGCACTTGTAAACCTACGATTCACTTCTGAAGTGTGGCAAGACTGGGCGACCTGAAATTCTTTCCTGTGGAATTCCTTCTAGAATCTTCCTACCACACCTTTTCCAGGCACCAACAAGAGCCACCTTGCTGGAAAGCTGGACTGTTTTCTGAAAGACCACAGGGTATGTAAAAGCCACTGCCGTGATTCTGATCAGATGCCAAGGAAGCAAGGCATGACAGCAGCCACTGCCTCACCCTGCACCAGTGTGCAAGGGGTTGGGGAGCTGGCTGGGTTTGCCGTCTGCAAAGCTGGGTGGCAAGACTGAGTCAGGCCTGGGCCAGCGGCCAGCCTGGGGAACTAGAAGGTGCGGTCAGTAAATGTGTGTTGAATAGGAAGATAAGGGAGAAAATGAGGTGTTGTTATCTCCCAACAATTCTTTTGAGGGGATGTTATAGGATGCCTGAAGGTACTTGGAAGAGGGGTATAAAGTGATCAGAAGATCATTCAGGGCCGGGGACAGCGGCTCATGCCTGTAATCCCAGCACTTTGGGAGGCCAAGGCAGGTGGATCACTTGAGGTCAGGAGTTCGAGACCAGCCTGGCCAACATGGTGAAACCAAAAATACAAAAATTAGCTGGGTGTGGTGGTGCACACCTGTAATCTCAGCTACTCAGGAGGCAGAGGCAGGAGAATCACTTGATCCTGGGAGGCGGAGGTTGCAGTCAGCTGAGATCACGCCACTGCACTCCAGCCTGGGCAACAGAGTGACACTCTGTCTAAAAAAAAAAAAGAGAATTCAGGCACATGCGTAACTGGATACCACAGGTTCGAGTAAATTCTCCTCCAGAAAAACTATTAGGCCAATTCCTCTTTATCCTTTAAGGTTTCTGTTTAAACATCATTTCCTCCAGGAAGCCTTCCCCAATCCCTAGCACCAGGTTAAGGGTCCCATTTCTGTGTTCCCATTGTTCCCTGTTTCTCTCCAGCAACACACTTATCCCTCTCTGTTGTAATTCCTCTTGATGAATGGTTCATCCTCCTCGATCTGCCGTCAGCTATGTGAACACAGGGGTTGGTCTGTCTTGGTGACCATTGAATCCCCAGGGCCTAGCACAGTGCCTGGCACTGTGGACTTCTCATATGTACCTGAATGAATGAATGAATGAATGAATGAATGTCTTTAGGCAAGTCCCTCAACTTCTTTGAGCCTCAGTTTCTGCACCTATAAAATAAGGACTAATGGCATCTCGTTGCAGGCTAACTCTGAAGATGAATCAAAAGCAGCTGTTACAGTGCCTGTCATGAAGTGCTTGGTAAGCAGTCACAGTTATTATTGTCTTGTAATTGTTATTTATTAAGTTATAAAAAACTGAGGAGATACTGGCTTTTCATCTCTTCAGTTGGCTGGAGGCTATTATCAGTGATCTTTCTAAGCCACACATCTAGCTGTCTTCCCTGGCTCTGACAGACCTCAGTAATCTGGTCCCAACTTTCTTTTCCATCTACATCTCCTATGACTCCTCACCCCCAATTCCAGTTGTACCAAACTACAGACCATCACCCACTGGGCCTTTATTCACTCAACCTCAGCTCAGCTCACCGCTTTCCCATTCTCAGGTTCCTGCTCACTCTTCAAGGCCCATCTTTAATGTCATCTCCTCTGCCAGGCCCCACTAGGCTCCCACAGCACAGCTCACACCAGCCTTCCACTCACGTTAGATGACTGACTGCCCATCTCCCCTGTTAGAAAGTGTGGCAGGTATCACATTGTGCTTATGTCCGAATCACCAGCACACAGCAGTATGTGATGTGACTCATACAAGCATGGGCTGTGGAATTGAATTGACCTGACATAAGGGAGAAAGTTCTGGTTCAAGAACCTCTGAAATCCCATCCCGAAGTGCGTGGAAGCCTTGGTGGATGGGGAGAGGAGAGAGGAGCTCTGGTGTTCTGCTTTGAGGCATTGGCTTTCAAAAAGAATGTGATCCAGTCCCAGAGTGAGTCTGGGGCAGGAATCTTGTATGAGTACAGAAGGGCAAACTGTCAGAGGAGCTTGACATTAGGTCCCCTTACCCGTGCCTAGTGCTGAAGGACCCACATCGCCCTTCTCCTCTGGCACTAATATAGGGGCCTACTGGAGGAATTATTCCAGCACCTTTCACCCAAGATGCAAAGCCTTCCCAAGCTCCAAAACCTTCCCAAGCTCCATTCCCTTAACCATCAGACAACTAGTTAGACTGCATACAAGGAAATTAACATGAGTCGAAAAGCCTGATTAAAGTAAAGAATGATCACCCCTTCTACTGGCCCACAAAGAGAAGGTGGTTGTCCTCACAGTTCGCCAGTGCTAAGAACTTTCTCTCTCTCTCCTTACCTGACTACCTCCTACGTTGCCATCAAGGCCTCTTCTTCAAGAAGCTCCTCCCATTCCAAACCGAGCTAACTGCCTTTCTCAGTGCCCCCAGGGCATCTGACAGCGAATCAGCTGCTTAGGTTTTGACTTACAATCCTTCAGTGCAGGGCCCCGCTGCTACCCCAGCTCTTGGCAAGCTGTTCCAGGCACAGTGCGTGCTCAGGAACCATTTATTGAGCCAAACCAGACTTCCCAGCAAAGCAGCCTTGTCTTCTGCCCTCAGCCTTGTGGGAAAGTATTTTCAGGCTTGTCAGGATAAAACCACAAAGACACAGGTGAGACTCTAAGACACAACGTTGGGTGTTCTGAGAACAGCAGGAGGGAGATGTGCTGAACCAGCTGTTTCCATAGGATCAGACTAATGGAGGGGAATGGTCTAGTCTAGTGCAGTAGTTCTCTGGCCACACATTGGAACCACTGAGGAACTTAAAAGCAAAACAAAACAGTGTCTGGGTCCTGCCCTCAGAGATAGTGATCTAATTGGTCTACAGCAGGATGTGGGCATCTTACTAGGTCCGTGTACACTCAGAGAAAGATGACCCCACATATGGGGCTTACATACACCACTGGGATTGGCATGGGCGCTGTCAGCTGAGGATTCTCTGCAGCAGGGCTCCTCTGGGGTCAGCATGGCACGGACCTGAACTGCCCCAGGGTGTGTCTCAGCAGAGAGAAAGCCTAGCATGCTCCCTTGACCAGCTGGACACATGGACAAAAAATGTCCTGTGCTCCTTTTACTGTCCAGTGTGTCATTTTTCCTTTTCCTAAAAGGATGACGGGTAACTTCCCAGCCCAGCAAACCAGTTATAGGAGGGGCGAGTCGTTTCCAACTTGAAACTTGTCAATCCCCATCCCTCCCACTCTCATTCCTGCTGGATAAGTAATTACTTTCCAACTCCAAGCCCATTTTCCAGGGAAAATCCAGGTGCAGAGAAGCCAGCGTCTTGGGTGCACAGTGGGGCTCCAGCATCAGTGGGGTCTCTGAGTGGGGCAGTGGCTAAGTTCCCATGGGTGCATGCTAGGGCAACTTCCACTCCCTCTTCCCTTGCCAGGTCCCCAGAGGTATTGTGCACCTATTTTTTGAGCACCTGCTGTATGCCTCCAATTCTCTTCTCCACCCTGTCCTGCTGTACACACTTACTCATCTTTCAAGAGTCAACCTCACCTGCTCCATGAAGTGTTTTCTGACTCGCCAGGCAGGATGCCTCCCATGACTGGCAGAAGCAACACACATTCTCTTTGGAATAACTCAACTTCAATCCAGGCTGACAAAAATTGTATTAAAGCCTTTTTGTGGGTTTGTTTTAGAGACAGGGTCTCACTGTGTTGCCCAGGCTGGTCTCAAACTCCTGAGCTCAAGTGATCAAGTGATCCTCCCACCTCGGCCTCCCGCGTAGCTGGGACTGCAGGTGTGTGCCACTGTGCCCAGCTTCAAAGCTATTGATTTATAACATGAATTCTGACTTTAGATATAGTAAGTTTTTTTTTGTTTTTTCCCAAAGAGTCTTACATCAGATAAGGGATATAGCTGTCCTTAGGTCCTGGGGATAATGGAGAGGAGAGTCTCCTGGCCCTTGCCCCGCTCCTAGACCAGCAGGGAGCATACTCAGGAAGGCTCTTGGAGATCAGGAAGTAAGACATTTGTGTGACTTTCCAGTTGACTCCAGCCCGCACCCCCAACAGCTTCAATTTTGTCTTTCAGGCATTTTCTGAGATGGGGAGGAAGTGTGTGTGCAGGGGTGCCCATCAGCCAGGGAGCTGGCACCTCTTCCATACGATGTGCGCATCACTAGCACTGCACACATCACCCTGTATGAGGAGTTTCTCTCCCCTGAGTGAGGGCTAAAAGCTGAAAGCTTAATTGTCCATCAGTGGGGTCTGGCTAAGTAAAAAGCAGCATATTTATATGATGACATATGTAGAGAAGTTGAAAGGAATGCACTTCCTTTATCAACATGGATAGAGCTAAAAAAAATTGGTGTAAAACTAAGTTGCTGAATAAACAGTACAGAATGAATGCATTTTTAAAAAATTTTTTTTAATTTTTTTTTTTTTTTTTTTGAGATGGAGTCTCACTCTGTCACCAGGCTGGAGGGCAGTGGCATGATCTCGGCTCACTGCAACCTCTGCCTCCCGGGTTCAAGCGATTCTCCTGCCTCAGCCTCCCAAGTAGCTGAGACTACAGGCGCCTGCCACCACGCCCGGCTAATTTTTGTATTTTTAGTAGAGACGGGGTTTCACTGTGTTGGCCAGGATGGTCTCGATCTCTTGACCTTGTGATCCGCCCGGCTCGGCCTCCCAAAGTGCTGGGATTACAGGCATGAGCCACCATACCTGGCCCCATGATTGCATTTTTTAAAAGTACATTGGAAACTCACTTTTTTTCCAGTGGGTACATTTGTATGTATGCAAAAATATTTTTTATAAATCTGAAAGGACAGTGCAGAGTGAGACCACACCTCATGTGTCTCTGTTTGATCAGGGATCAGTGCACGGCCCACGGCAACATAGTAGGTGCTTCTAAGATGTTTGCCACATGGATGGCAGCGTTGGGCAGCTGCTGAGGACTTATGGAGTGATGGACCCAGAGTCTCGTGAAGGGCCTTGAGAGGATTCCTTCTATACTGGCTCCCTCCTCATCCCATCCGCCCCCACCTTCCACTAAGCCCAGAACCCACAGCTCCATTCTGGCTGTGGCATCCCTGGGTCTGTCCACTCCCTCCTCAGCTTCAGATTCAGCCCTAG
Organism: Homo sapiens; assembly: GCF_000001405.40. Taxonomy (NCBI): domain Eukaryota; kingdom Metazoa; phylum Chordata; class Mammalia; order Primates; family Hominidae; genus Homo; species Homo sapiens. The sequence goes on from NC_000011.10 coordinate 93,847,470, forward strand.
CCCTGTTCCTCTATTTTTCTGAGGACTGGCCCCAGTGTGTATATGTGTGTGTGTTGGGGGAGCTGACTGTTACTTAGAAACTGGGATTGGAAAAAAGCAAGTTGATTCTGGCCCAGGCCATTAACTAAACTATCCTACTATAGTCTTGGATCAAGTACTTCCGAATGAGAGGGAGCACTGGGTGGGTACTCGTGAGCCTGATGGCTAATGTACTGGGAAAGGACATGAACAAATGTTCTAGAAAGGTGCCTGGTCTGGTGGGGAGGCCTGCCAGCTTTCCGAGCCCATAAGTCCTTGTCCTAGTCAGCTTGGGCTGCTGTAACAGATGACCATAGACTGATGTGGCTTAAACCACAGTTATTTCTCACAGTTCTGGAGAGGCTGGGAAGCTCAAGATCAAGGTGCCAGTTTTTGGTGAGGGCCTTCTTCCTGGCTTGCTAATATGCATTTTCTTGCTGTGTCCTCACACAGCTGGGAGGGAGAGCTCTGGTCTCTCTTCCTCTTCTTATAAGGACACTAATCCCATTATGGGATCCCACCTCAAGACCTCATCTAAACCAAATCACCTCCCTAAATCCCCTCCTCCAAATACCATCACATTGGAGGTTAGGGCTTGAATATATGAATCTTGGGAGGACCCATACATTTGTAGGGGAAAGGTTTCAAAAGCAGGGTGTTTGGCATGCTTTAACTCAGACTTCAGGGTAAATAGTGAATATCAGAGGTTCTGGATGAAGCTTTTGACACAGGCAGAAGAGGTAGAGCATGCAGGGAACTGGTAGGAAGGAGGAGGCCTACTCTTCATCATTATGACTGGCTCCAAAGCACAGGCTTCATTCAGGCAGGCACACATTCATTTAACGTCTTTTAAGGGCGCAGGCCCTGGCTAGCACTGGGCAAGTGCTAGGGACCCTGAGTTGAAACAGAGTGCTTGCCCTCCTGGAGCTTACTGCTGTCCATGAGACAGGTCTCAATGGAAAACTGCAAACTTTTACCTGGCCTCCAGGTTTTGCATGTGCCATTTTGTCTGGTACACCCTGCATTCCCTTTGTCCTGTCCCCCGAGCTGCTCCTACCCATCTGGCAGGTATGGGCAGGTGGGGCTGTTTTGGGGAAGTTTCCTCAAGTCTGGATTCTGAGACGCTAGGGCTTCTAGAACATGGCACCTCTTGCCTCTCAAGGCTTGCCATTGCAAGGCTGCCCCTCTTGTTTGCATGTCTGTCTTCTCCATGACACCTGAGCTTCCTGAGAACGAAACAGTGAACCACCATATCCTAGGTACCCACTGTGGCCTGCTTCCTGCAGGGAGAGGGTACAGTCAATGAGTGAGTGAATGAATGAATTATACGCTATTGCAAATGGCTGGTCCCTGAGCATGAGGGGTATCTGAACAGATGTGTAAGTATGGTGATTAGAAACAAGTGATAAAGGTTTGAGAAATAATATAAAAAGCCACTGCAATGACAAACACACCCATCCACCTGCTCGAGACTAACAACCAACTGTTTTCTTGATCCATAGCTGCCAGAGGAACATGCCTCTGTCTTACTGGGTTTCTGAGATTTGCAACCTCTGCAGCTGGGTTCTAGCCAGAGAGGTGTAAAGGTCAAAAATGTTAGATCGTTCAGTCACCTTGTATAAGTTAACATAATATTATTTTTTCTCTCTCTCTCTTCTTTTCTTTTTCTTTCGCTTTGGAGAAGGTCTCATTCTGTTCCCCAGGCTAGAGTGCAGTGGCACAATCAGGGCTCACTGAAGCCTCAATCTCCTGGGCTTAAGTGATCCTTTCACCTCAGCTCCCCCGCCGCCCACCCCAGTAGCTGGGCCTACAGGCACAGGCCACCACACCCAGCTAATTTTTTCATATTTTTACTACAGACAGTTTGCCATGTTGCCCAGGCTGGTCTTGAACTCCTGGACTCAAGGGATCCGCTGGCCTCGGCCTCCCAAAATGCTGGGAATACAGGCATGAGCCCCTGCGATTGGCTTATAACATTTCTGTGCCTCAGTTTCCTCACTTGTGAAACAGGAATAAGAGTAGTTTATTAGGGTTGCCCTAAGGACTAAATGAGAGAGGTCTTGTAAAGTCTGAGGGATGGTGAATGCATAAATGCTTAATAAGTGCTGGCTCTTACTACAAGGCCTCTCACCTCCAGCGGCCCTGCTCTGTCATTCTCTAAACCTCAGTTGGCCCATGTGTAAGATGGGAGTGCGAATGGTAATGATTAAATGAGAAAGTAAAACTGTGCTAAGATCTGTTGTTTGTGTCCAAGAGAGCCTCTGGGACTACGCTTCGCATCCAGGCTCACCAGGCTGGGGATTCCGGGTCCGGCCATCCAAAGCAAATCTACTCAGTGCGCTGGTCGCGAGGACCACCTCCAGCCTGGGGACTTCAGGCCACAACGCCCAACCCAAACCCCAGAACCGTTTTTCTCACGGGAGCAGGCTGCTGTGGGTTCGTCTGACTGATAAGGAGGCCTGATTATTCTCCTGGGAGATGACCAGGAAGGCCATGGAGGGGTCCCCACAGTAGGGGGCGGCGCACGGACTGCAATCTGGTTATTCCAGGAAAAAGAAATAAAAAATGTTGCAGAGGCGGCGGCCACAGGGCTGGGAGCCGGTTATCTCTGGGCCACCTTCCAGCTCTGATAACCGTAGGCCGGGCTCGCCGGGTGGGGCGGGCGCCCCGAAGTGGGCCGGGGCGCCGCGGCCGGTAGCCTCTGCTTTGCCCAGCCCCTCCCGCTACGGTCGGCGCCGGGTCTCCAGGCCTCGCCCAGCCCCACGAGGAAGCGGCGCGGTGCCTGCCAGCCGAGCTCACCGCGCGCCCTCAGCCGGACAAGGTGGGCGAGGGCCAGGGGGGCCGCTGCTAGACCCCGGGGCCCCGCCCGTGCCCCCCTACCCATTCCCGCTCCCCCAGCACCCGGGGCGTCCCCCGGAGCTTACTCTGCAGACAGCGGGCTGCGGCCAGGCAGAGGGCGAAGAGTCCTAGGGAGATGCCTCGGGTCTTCCTCCTCCCGCTGGGCAGAGGCCTCATGGGCGAGCCCGGGGCCTCGCGGGCCGGGGTGTGTGCTGGCCGCACCGCGCTGCAGCTCCTATGCAGCCTTCTCTCTTCCTCCGCCTCTGGCTGCCGCAGGTTCTTTAGGGCCAGATGCAGATGAGCTGGTTGTACTCTGGTTGAACCAGTTCCCAAGGATGGGGGGGCGGGGGGGGGGGGGTGTTGCGCGGGAGAGAATTAATATGGGAAGGAATGGGAATGCACAGACTCAGAGGTAAATAATGGCAAATAATGAGCAGCCTCCTTCCGTTCACACCCATTTTACTGGTATTGATTCAAGGTTCGGCTGGATGCTAGGTGGCAGGAAGGAGGGAAAGTACTAGCTATTGCTTCAGGACAGAGCTAGTCATTGGCATCATGGGCAAAGGGAAGGCTTTTAGGAAAGTGAAATGACAGCCTGGAGTGAGAGGGATGAGGGGAGGGGGTGGGGAGACTCAGGCTGCCCTGATGGGAACCACTGCACAGTGATGATATCCATCCATCTATCCACCCATCAGTCCATCCATCCATCCCTCCATCCATCCAGGAAATGTTCACCAATCGCCTGCTTTATTTGCACAGAGCCTCGCACATGGCAGTCACTCAAATAAACCGGTGGAATGAAGCTAGGCACTGTGTTAAGTGCTGGGGATACAAGGATGTGGGCACCTGTTTAGAAATCCTAGCAAGGGGTGGGGGCTGCAAAAAATGAGCAACCGCTAGGCCGAGGCGGGCGGATCACGAGTTCAGGAGATCGAGACCATCTTGGCTAACACAGTGAAACCCCGTCTCTACTAAAAATACAAAAAAAAAAATTAGCCGGGCGTGGTGGTGGGTGCGTGTAGTCCTAGCTGCTCGGGAGGCTGAGGCAGGAGAATGGCGTGAACCCGGGAGGCAGAGCTTGCAGTGAGCCGAGATAGCGCCACTGCACTGCAGCCTGGGCGACAGAGGGGGACTCCGTCTCAAAAAAAAAAAAAAAAAAAAAAGCAACCGCTGTACAGTGCATATGTCGCTAGGATCAGAGAGGCCCAGCATGCTCTGGGGGCTCAGAGCAAGTGTAATTAGTCTCCAGGAGAGGTCGATGGAGGGGTGGGGCAATCAGTTTTGGTCCAAACTAGTCATGAAATTATATTTCACTTTGTCAAAACTAGAATTTCTAGCCTCACTTGCCACAAGGGGTAGCAGTGTGACCCAGTGCTGGCCAGTGATATTTAAGGGGAAGTCTTTTTGAGGTGTTTCTGGAAAAGTTTTTGCTTTCCTCATAAAAAGGACAGCTAAGGCTGGGACTTCCCCTCCCCCTTTCTTTCTGCCTTGAAAACATTTATTCTGTTCAGATCTGTGGCATGTGTCTTGCATCCATTAAGTTACATAAATGAATGCAAAAACCATCATGCTAAGTAAGGATGGTGGAGCAGGAAGATAGAAAGACCTAGAAGGGCCGGGTGTGATGGCTCACACCTGTGATCCCAGCACTTTGGGAGGCCGAGGCAGGTGGATTGCATGAGCCCAGGAGTTTGAGGCCAGCCTGGACAACATACTGAGACCCCATCTCTACAAAAAAAATATAAAAATTAGCCTGGGCATGGTGGCCCACGTCTGTAGTACTAGCTACTTGGGAGGCTGAGGCAGGAAGATCACTAGAGCCCAGGAGGCAGAGGTTGTAGTAAGCCATGAATGTACCACTGCACTCCAGCCTGGGTGACAGAATGAGACCCTGTTTAAAAAAAAAGATAGGAAGGAAGACATAGAAGACATCGTAATCCACTGTACTTTCCTATCTCCTTCTGGTTTCTAAAGGAGATTTCTTGCCAATTCCGATGTGTTCCTGGTGAGGCCGACACTAGTGTTACCCTGCTGACTGGCTTGGGGTGGGCTTGTCAACCATGCTGTCCATTTGAAGTACCCTCTCTGCCAACCAAAGTATTTGGTTCAAGAATGGGCAGACAGGGCCATCAGCGTCTTCCCTGGAAATGTGTGGCCACTGCTGGCATACTAAAAATGGGATATGAACCTGGGGGTACTGGTGGACCATCTTGTCTGTCATGTGGAGAGGCCCTGGATTAAGAATGAAACCAAGATGAGACAAACTGAGTGGGGAACTGAGGAAAGGGATAAAGGCCTAACTACACGGGTTGGGCTCTGGGATTCTGCATGGTTGGGTTTGCCATTTATCAGCAAATAAATGCCCTCTTTGACTCAGCAAATTTAAGTTGGATTTTTATGATATAAAATTGAGAATGCCCTGCTAAAGCAAGCAGTCTTCTTGACATTTTTCTGTTTTCTTTATTAGATGTAAAAGCCTTCAGGAATTACTTGCATTCATTTGTTTATCCATCAAACATCAAATCTGCCCCCATATCAGGCAATGTGCTAGGCACTGCAGCTCCAAAGATGAATAATAACTCATGATTCCTAGTCTCAAAATACTCACAAACTAGTGGAGACAAAATGATTCAAGTTGGGAAAGGCTTCCAGACACAGAGGTCTCTCCTGCTAAGGCTAAGTTGAGAGGAAACTGGCTGTTCTGCTTACTGCTGTGAACCCTGGAAATCTGAGACAGGTCTCAATTTAGAAAGTTTATTTTGCCAAGATTGAGGATGTGTGTCTGTGACACAGCCTCAGGAGGTCCTGAACACATGTGCCCAAGGTGGTCAGAGCACAGCTTGGTTTTAAACATTTTAGGGAGACATGAGATATCAATCAACATATGCAAGATGAACATCGGTTCTGCCTGGAGAGGCAGGTCAACTTGAAGCAAACGTGGGAAGACTCGATGCAGGAAGGGGTGTTCCAGGTCATAGATGGCTAAGAGACAAATGGTTGCATTCTCTTGAGTTTCTGATTAGCCTCTTCAAAGGAGGTAATCAGATATGCATTTATCTCAGTGAGCAGAGAGATGAATTTGAATAGAATGGGAGGCAGGTTTGCCCTAAGCAGTTCCCAGTTTGACTTTTTCCTTTAATTTAGTGATTTGGGGGCCCCAAGAATTTTTTTCCTTTCACTTTTCCCCCCTTTTCTTTTTAAAAATTTTTTTGAGAAAGCACTTTAGAAGAAACCGAGTCTCTGGGCTCAGATTTCATTGGATCTCTCATGGCTTAGAATGGTTTATTCGTAGACAGGTAGGTGCCAAGTTATTAGGAAAGCTCATTATTAGCATGTTGTGAAGTCTCATGTCCTATGAAGAGAAAATAGGGGGAGGAAGGGAGAAAAGCAGCAAACTAAAAAATAATTCTGAAAAATTGATATAGGCCACATTATACTGTGTAGACAAGGATGAGGCCAGTTTTCCCAAGGGCTTTCATTGGCTCCATCAGTCAAGTTTGATTCCTTAAAGGAAAGCACACCATTCCAGTCAAAGCCTTGGCAAAATAACCAGTTTCTCCAATTTTGTCCTGTTACAAATGAAAACAGATTCTTACTGCACTTATGCAAATAAGTGTATTGTCATGAGTTAATAATGCTCACAAATAGTTTCCAAATTCTTTAGAAATCAAGTAGAGAGAAAACAAATATACTCCACATTTTATTCATAGGAGTATATTTTACTCAATTGTTAAAAGTTGTAAATAGCTTAAAAGTTTTCTTGACTCTGAAAAACAAAAGAAAGGATCAGCAATGTTTCAGTTGAAAAGATTACTTTAGACTTCTATTAGCTTAGTCCATGTAGATAATTTTTGTTATGTTTGGTATTCATGAACATGTTAGCTCTCTATGAGTCCTGAAAGTTTTCCTCTATTCTGATGTCACAATCTTCAAAGTTATCAGAAACCTGTATTCAAGAGCACCTGTTAGAGTCATATAGCCAATAATAAAACCACCTCTTAAGAGGACCAACACAAGACAACAATTGTCTGTGGATGACAAAATGTTTTAGGGCAGCCATAGTCAAAGACACAATTGACAAGTAAATTCGTTACCTCTGTGGCACACAATAATTTAACATAACAGTTATTACTGATAATGTACACTAAGTCATATCAGAATTATAGGAGTTTTCCATAATTTTGTAACACATACCAATAATATATTTAAACAAATACAGCCCAAAGAAAACCAAGCAACATTTCATATTTGACAATCCTTCCTATAGCATTTATATGCCAAATAAATAAGCCATATATGTCATTTTTTGGACTTTAGGGTACCTATTAATAATATCTTACAGGATTAATTAGGTCAGAAAAAGACAGTTTATAATTTGATTTTGGAAAGTTTGTCAAATATCAAAGGTTTAAAACACTTTATAGCACAAAATAGGATTACAGGTCTTGTAAAATAAGTCATTCATTTAACCAAAGTGATAACTCAAGGATTTTTTTAAAAAGGCAAAAACCTTCCTTCTTTGAGAGATAAGACTTAATTTTCCAAATGATAAGACCCAATGCAAACAGCATGAAGCCAATTAATTTTTTCAAAATTTTATAAACAATTATAAAATGTTAGCCTTGATCATAAGATGTAGCTTCCATAAGCCTTTTATAACCTTTATTAAGGAGTTGGTTAATGCTTCAAGAAAACCTTGTTAATCTGACACAGAGGCCCATATGCTAGTCTTGCATCAGTATGTCTTTGACATTAATGGTTAATTTATAGAGAAACTGAATTTATTTTATCTCTTAAAAATCGGCCCTTATAATTTCACACTCTCACCTCTTCTGCAATACACCCTGGGCCTTGAGGAGTTGAATGGCTTTAATTTCTGGTCCTGTGTGTCTCAGGAATGCAGTTTATTTTGATTGGGATCTTTTGGTTTTTTTTTTTAGATGGAATCCCCCTCTTTTGCCCAGGCTGGAGTGCAGTGGTGTAATCCTGGCTCACTGTAACCTCCGCCTCCCAGGTTCAAGTAATTCTCCTGCCTCAGCCTCCTGAGTAGCTGAGATTACAGGAGCCTGCCACCACGCCCAGCTAATTTTTGCATTTGTAGTAGAGACCGGGTTTCGCCATGTTGGCCAGGCTGGTCTTGAACTCCTGATCCACCTTCCTCAGCCTCCCAAAGTGCTGGGATTACAGGCATGAACCCCCACGCCAGCCTTGATTGACATCTTCTATGGGGCCTGAAAATGAGGCTTTAATTGCAGTGTTTAAGATTTAGAAGGACTTTGTGTCCTTTTTAGACCCAGGAGTCAAAGTCCTGTAACTTAATGTCACAAGTACCTTAAAAGCACATACAGAAAAGTACACAGATGTAATAACCTTAATTCAAATTTTTTTTAATCTCAGTTTTTCCCTAAGCAAACCAAAACTCAATAATAATGGCATAGGAATTATTTTGATAAAAAAACATAAAATCTGTTAGGCCAGTTACCAAAAGGCAAAAGAAAAGACCTTCTGTAGTGTACAGAATATTATGTTAGAAGGAAACATTTCCTTTAGATGCTTAAGAAAATATTGTTAGCATCAACGCACAACAAACAGAACTTGAGGAAAAAAACTTACATGAGTTGAAAATGAGTTGAAGGAGAGCATTATTATTTTGAGCCTTTTAAAAGAAAGAAAAAGGTGGCCTTGTTATGTAAATAAAGTCCGTTCAGTAGTCAACGTAAAGAATCTTTGCTTTTTTTTTTTTTTCCTTTTTACTGGCCAAATACGGCCACCACCACACCAACTTTGTGTGTGTGTGTGTGTGTGTGTGTGTGTTTGGGGGGGGGCAGAATTTAGCCACTTTAGAGGCCTTGTTCCCCATAATTTGAAATTTTCCTTCAGATTTGATCAAGTCAGATAGAGTTAATCAGAACCAGTGGGAAAAAGACCAAAACAACAAGAAAAACAGAAACAAACAACAACAACAAAACAAGCAAAACAAATGATGGCACAACATATATGATAACTGAGCACTCTCATGGTAAGGAGAATTTATGACAAATTTGTTGTTAATCTTAACTTTAGCTAAGACAAACCCTAATTCAATTACTTACCTAGGGATTGGTCTCAGACTGAAGACCGCTCTCTACCATTCTAGGAGCAGGAAAAAATACTAATCTTTCATGTTGGAAGCAAGCTCAAGCTCCATAAAGGAGTAACCTGCCTTCCATAATCATGGAAACAGGAAATCTTGCCTTCCTTATTGGAAGCAAATAAAACTCCAAGAAAGAGGAGATGTACAGCAAAACAAACTTTAGATCTCTATCAAATTTTGGGAGATCAGGGATTCTATGGATGTACTCTCAGACCTCAGGAAATTGTCCTCTTGGTTTGAGCCATAAAGTTAGCTTGTGCTGGTACCACACACCGATAGGAGATTTGTCAAAGGTCGGGGCATCTTCATGCAGAATCCCTTCATGGTTACCAAAACATGAATCCTGGAAATCTGAGACAGGTTTCAGTTAATTTAGAAAGTTCATTTTGCCAAGGTTGAGGATGAATGCCTATGACACAGCCTCAGGAGGTCCTGACGACATGTGCCCAAGGTGGTCAGAGCACTGTTTGGTTTTATACATTCTAGGGAGACATGAGACGTCAATCAACATTTGCAAGATGTACATTGGTTTGGCCTGGAAAGGTGGAACAACTTGAAGCAAAGGCAGGAAGACTCAAAGTGGGGAGGGGGCTTCCTGGTCATAGGTAGATAAGAGACAAATAGCTGCATTCTTTTAAGTTTCTGACTAGCCTCTCCAAAGGAGGCAATCAGATGTGCATTTATCTCAGTAAGCAGAGGGGTGACTGAATAGAGTGGGAGGCAGGTTTGCCCTAAGCAGTTCCCAGCTTGACTCTTCTCTAACTTAGTGATTTAAGGGCCCCAAGATTTATTTTTCTTTCACGCTGCCATATACCTGGCACCTGGCATCTGGCACATGGTAGATGCTTAATAACAATTTGTTAAGTGGATATAAGAATGATAAAAATGGAAGTCAGAAATGTAAGTTAGTGAGAAGGAAGATGCTCATGAGATAAAGAGCTGATAAATGTTGGAGTGACTCAGTGATGCTGTGATTTTGTGTCCTGCCTCTGCCTTCTCCAAGCTCTCTGGCTATGGAGAAGTGACATCAAGCCTCTGCACCTTTGAAGTGGTTGGACTGTACCAGAAATTATCTGTCCTGGCTGCACATTAGAAAAAACAAACAAACACACCATGGCTTGGGCCTTGCTCCAGTTCAATTGAATCAGATTTTCTGAGGGTGGGGCTGAGGCATGAGTGTTTTTAGAAAGCTCCCTGAATGATTTTGATGTGCAGCCAGGGTAGAAAACCACTGCTCTAGATTGGAGGCTTCTCACAGTCATGTGTGATGCCTTTTTAGGTCCAAGTTTATTATATCTTTTCTGTAGTATAGGATTTCATAGAGGGGAGGAAGGAGATCACATGGGTCCATTTAAGACATTGTATTTACCATTTTATTCATTCAACAAATATTAATTAAGTGCATACAGGATCTCAGGCACGGCAGGCACTAGCTGGTGGAGTCAGCGGGGGTGAAGGCAGGGAAGAGAGGTGTGAAAAGCAGATTGGGTCTGTATGCTGACTCCTCACAATGCTTGTTTTTTGCTGAAAGGATATAACTCAAGATTCATAATTAGTAGGAAATGTTGGCTCTTCCTTTGCAATCTTTGGCACACGCTGTATCCCTTAGGTATTTTTAACTCTTCTCAATAGTCAGCCATTCTGGAAAAAAACAACACCCACCAGTGTTTGTTTTCTCAAAATCCTAGGATATATTTCTCACTTCTAAGAGAAGTAAATGGTGTCTGTTTATAGTGACCTAGCTTTATGACAGCTGCACATCCCCATGCATTTCTCCTTTTTGAGAACAGTCCTAATTAAAATATACTATTCTGTTGTTCCTGTAAGTACATTTGAATTTGTGAAAATATGCAAAATAGATCACCATATTCAGATGGCTCACAAGTTCTTAGTGCTTTCATCTTTCTTGAAAATATGTTTGTTGTTTATTATGGGATGTGTGTTATGGTGCCAAGCAGGTGGCTGAATTTCAAGGGGAACTTGTGTTGAATGCTACTGTATAGAAGACATACATGCAGTAAGGAAGTTTATACAAACCTTTGTTAAAGTTGTTCCTTTGGGCTTTTATGGTGCTATACAGCATGCTAAGTCTCCAAACTGAGCTGATTTGTATTCCTGACGTCATCCTGGAACCACGTGGAGGCCAAGCCTAGTAAAAGGAAAATGAGTACTAGGTGGTCACTAGTTCCTTCTCTGAACTCTGATGGTACAAAGTGCCTGAACCATGTGGCAGCCCGTGTTTAGTGTCTATAACCAGAAATCATGGTGATTGATGCATGCAAACCTTAGTTCCCCTATAAGGCTGTGAAAGCAAAATATCTTGGTGCCCCCAAATCACTAAGCTAAAGAGAAAAGTCAAGCTGGGAACTGTTTAGGGCAAACCTGCTTCCCATTCTATTCAAAGTCACCCCTCTGCTCACTGAGATAAATGCATATCTTATTGCCTCCTTTGGAGAGGCAAAACAAGCAAACATATAACTTACATGATTACTGAGCACTCTAATGGTAAGAAGAAATTAAGACCGGCTGGTTGTTAATTTTAACTTTAGCCAAGACAAATCCCAATTCAGCTACTTACTTAGGGATGGGTCTCAGGCTGAAGACTGCTCTCTACCATCTTAGGAACAGGAAAAAAAAAATTCATCTTCTCTGTTGAAAATGAGCTCAAACTCCATAAAGATGGAAGTTTACCTACCTTTCATCATCATGGAAGTAGGAAAAACTTGTCTTCCTTGTGTTGGAAGCAAGTAAAACTCCCCCAAAAAAGGGAATTGTACCACAAAGTTAACTTTAGATCTTGACCAAATTTTGGGAGATCAGGGACTCTCTGGAGGGGGTGCTTCCAGGCCTCAGCAAATTGTCCTATTGGTTTGAGCCATAAAGATAGCTCAAACTAGTACCAAGCACCAATATATTTGTCAAAGGTCAGGGGCACCTCCACTCAGAATCCCTTTGTGGTTACCAGCATGTGAACCCCCCAAATCTGAGACAGGTTTTGGTAAATTTGGAAAGTTTATTTTGCCATGGTTAAGGATGTGTGCCCATGACACAGCCTCAGGGGGTCCTGATGACATGTGCTAAAAGCTAACATCCAAGATGCGTGTGTGTTTAAAGGCCTTTGTGTTTTTATTTTTTTTTCTCTCCTAGGACCTTAAGCAAAAGTTTGTTTTTTCTCAGTTGGCTGCATTCTGTTTTCTTCATTTACTTCTGCTGTCTCTCCTTTCTCTTGCACCCTCTGCTGCATGATGGACCTAAACTAGTTTATAAAAGACTGGGGTTTCTTAAAGAAAATGGAGAAGGTGCCAAACTCCCTTTGGGAAAGAAACCTGTTTTTCCTTATGGAACCCAAAGAGTATAAGCAGACAAGTGTGTCTCAGCTTTTAAACTGTTTCCTTTTGTATTGTGTTACCTGATCTACTGAATAAAATAGTTATTGCAACAGAGGCTACTCTTGGGTTCTTAAAGAAGAGTGCGGTTTAGACACTTAGAAATGTCTTTGTTTTAAGAAAGATTTTTTCTAAGTCCACTGTAAAAACATCACATGGTCTAGCTTCATAATAATTCTTCCTTTTTGGAAACCCCGGATTCAGTGTGGGCTCTCCCCAGAGCTCAGAGATCCAGTTAAAAGACAGGTAGTCCCTATCTAAATAAAATTGGTCTCCTTATACAATCCTGATAGGTATTTATAATTTTATGTTTGATTTGGCATCCATCTTTAATCTTCCTCTAGCATACCAGAATTTTTCTCTCCATACCTTATGATGTAAATTTTGCTATTTGATTTTCACCAGAGTTGTTTTCTTTAATGTGCAAATTTAAAGCTATTTAGCTGACACTTGCCTAGGGTTATGAAATAGGTTATCAAGTATCTGAAAGTCTAAGATAGGGGAAAAAAAGGTTTTTATACATCTTTAAGATGTACTTCTATCAGCATATCTAATATGTCTATGTATTTATGTGTGGTGCACACAATGTCTCACTACTGAAAATATATAAAAGAGCTCTAATTAATTGGCTTAAAGAAAAATAAAAGCACTTAATTCAAATACTTTATCAGAAAAATGAAAGAATAGCCAAATGTTTTGTCAAGATTACATGACTTAAGTAAAATCTTTAATAAATAAGCTAGCTTTAAAATTATTGGTAAAGTAATATTAGAAATGCCTTAAGAATTACCAGCATACATTTCTGTTTGCATTTATTGATCAAGCAATTTCATACTTATCCCTGCCAAATACTATAAGGTGTCAAGATTTGGCATAGAGTTTACAAAATCCAAAAGACTTTAAACAGAAAAGGGGGGAAATGTGAAATGAAAATATTTTGGGGTCCCCAAATCACTAAGTTAAAGGGAAAAATCAAGCCGGGAACTTCTTAGGGCAGACCTGCCTCCCATTCTATTCAAAGTCACCCCTCTGCTCACTGAGATAAATACATACCTGATTGCCTCCTTTGGAGAGGTTAATCTGAAACTCCAAAGAATGCAACAATTTGACTCTTAACTACCTATGACCTGGAAGTCCCCTCCCCACTTCAAATTATCCTGCCTTTTCCAGACCGAACCAATATTAATTTTACATATGTTGATTGATGTTTTGTCTTTCTAAAGTGTATGAAACCAACCTGTGCTCTGACCACCTTAGGCACATGTCATCAGGACCTCCTGAGTCTGTGTCACAGGTGCGCGTCCTCAGCCTTGGCAAAATAAACTTTCTAAATTAACTGAGACCTGTCACATTTCTGTATTTTGATATTGGGGGTAGTTTCATGGGTATACATTATGAAAATAAGTAATTCAAAATCTAAGCTGTTGGAATTCTAAACTATTTTGAGCCTTAAAGGAATGTGAATTTCAGGGCCTGAGTCACATGACAGGCAGCTATAACCTAGAAAGTTGTAAACCTTAGTATCTCTGACTATACAGAATCTTTTTCCTTACCTGCATTATTTTGTAAAATGCTGCAAATGGCTAAAGGGCACCAGGGAAGACCCCTTCCCTCTCCACTGTTGACTTTTATTATAGATTAACCTCTCTCTTACCTTTCACACAAATATTTCATGATTGTCACATTGCCTTAAAATGGAATGTTATTCAACTCCTGGGTGATGGGTTCAATCAATTATACTTCAAATCTAGGCATCATGCAATATACTTTTGTAACAAACCTGCACATGTAACTCCTTAATCTAAAATAAAAGTTAAAAAAAGAGGCACACCCGCAAAATCATTCATTAAAACTTGGGGGAAAAGATGGAATGTGAAATGTGCTTTTTTTCATTGGAAAGTGCAAGGCTCTTATATTGGTTCAAACCCAGAGAACACGCCAACAAACACAAGGCGGTGTGGAGCAACATGCTGTTTTAATGAGCACCCGGGTGCAGACAGGCTGAGGCCTAAAATGGCATCAGCCCCCAAAGTGAGGATGGGGCAGGGGTTTTATAGTCTCCTGTAAACAGGAAGTGTCCCAATCTGATGTAACTGCTATGTGGTACCCAGATGGCCTCTCTCTCTTGATCTCCAGAGGGAACGTGTCTTCCAGCCAGCTCTCTTCCTGCTTCTGCTATCTTGCTGACACACGCTGCAGGCACAAGGCCACTTGGGACTAGGCCTGAGGAGGGAGGAGTTATTCAGCCTCCCAAGCTTTCAGGCCCCCAGGAGAATCTTTCCTTCCTGTGTGTTTGGTTATAGAAAAGGGAAAAGGGATGACTTTCTCAATGGCACCTCGAAAAAAAGAAAAATATAATTTTTGGGGTATTCTTGAGAGACGGGTTGGTATCCATCGTGTCATTTGTAGCAGGAGCATCGTCTGTATTGTCTGGTGGTTAACTGTAGTTTCAACAAGAGTTTTAATGGCTTTTGTCATCAGTGGGATAATACAGCAGAGAAACAGGAGAAACCCAATGGTGAAGATTCCTGTCCCTACCAGAGTTTTAAATCCTCCTCAATTAGAGAGCCACGCCCTAGAAGGTTCGTTGGGTCTCATCCCTTCCAGATTTGGACTGGTACATGGCTTACTTTTCTGATGTTTGAAGTGATCTCTAGAACTGCTTTTTTGTTATTGTCTGTGTTAAGACAACAATTAGAGATATTAAACTTACCACAGACCCCACCCTCTTCTGCTAATAAGTAGTCTAGTGCTAGCATGTTTTGATAAATTGCCACATGCATTTGGTTTTGTTGTTGCGCGAGCATTTCCAGAGCTGAGGCGGTTTGGTTAGTGATTATCTCTAGAACAGCCTATAGTCTAATTATTCTATTTAGCATATATATAGGAGTGCAATAACCCCATGAACCATCCTCAGCCCAAGTGGCAGGGCTGTAATATTCAATGATCCATTGTGGAAGCCATTTGTCCTCTTGCCATCTTTGGCTTCCTTCTACCTTTAAGGATCATTTTTCTCTGTTTAGGTTATCATATACATGGACTCCAAGGGTGTTGCCCACCTGCTTTGGAAGTAAAAAGAATCCAGGTTTAATTGTGCATAGGAAACAAGTACTTTGCCAGTGATAAGGTAGTCATGAGTAAGCCTGGGTTCCACACATCCAAAAGAATCCATCAGGGGCAATCCATTGTAGGCTAGTGTTCATAGGATTGTCCCATAGTGCACTTAGGTGGGGGTATGTGGCATAAGGGTTAGTGGTGTTTGTACAGTACCAGGCCTTTTTGGACAAGACACAATCGAGGTAGCTTAAGTTAGAAGAAGACCAGGCTCTGTGGGGTAACGTTGGCCACCACTCTGCTGTGGAGGCATTGACTGTTAGGGTTTGGTGACAGGGGCTTTCACCTGTGGTGCGATGGGTTTCATCAGTCCGCTTGTGGGATATGCACACTGTCCTTCTTACTGGGTTGGTAAATGTCCAGGACTGCGGGCGTTCCTGAGGAGTGAAAGTGAGGCTGGGGTTTTGGGATGTTAGTAAGTAAGGGGGAAAGTCTATCCCATACCACGGCCACTGTTAACTCATATGAGCTCCCCCACATACCCAGCAATTGAACACATTCATGGTAAGCACGATGCATTCTCCTAGATCTACAAACAGGTTTTTTCCTGGCTTGGGAAGGGAAATACCATGGGTGATTTGGGGGGAAGGAGTTGTTGGTTTTGGCTTTTGCTTTGGCTGTAATCTGTTCTCTTTATGTCCTCTAGCACTTGATTGTTTACTCCCCATTTTTGTCCAATTTTGGTGAAGCAAAGCCACTGCTTACCTTTTGGACATATAGCCCCATCACAGCTGCCAGATACTCCTAGATTTTTTACTTTATAATAACTTTTCCCTGATTCAACACATTCCTCGATTAAGGTTCCATAACAGGATTTTTCTATACGAGTATGGTAAATAAAGGACTGTTGCATTTTTCTTCTGTAGTGGAAAGACTGATAACACTCACGGCAGCTCAGAGGGGCTGCTGTGGACAGCAGGGCAGCTACTGACAATATTAGCATTGTGGTGAGGGATATTCCTGTATTAAGACTTTTGGTTGTAAGTGAGGTACAGCAGGCAGTTGGGTAGATACAGGCCATTTCTAAAAGCAGGTGGTTAGTCTTCCCTGTGTTTTGGTTCTAAGAAAAATTTTTTTTGGTTAATTTAAGCTTGGTAGAAGAAATTGGCCTAGACAAACACTTAGCTGTTAATGTTTCAGAGGAAGAAGTAGCCTTGGGGGTGAGTTTGACCCTGGTGCGATGGATCCAGTCGGGGAGTCCTTGGACTCTCACTGCAGTTGGCATGCTGAGTAGCACAGTGTAGGGGCCTGTCCACTTCGGTTGTAGTTTTTTGTGGGGTCAGGTTGGCAGATAAACACATCTGTGCCTGCAAGACAGTTGAGAGGACAAGGAGGTGTCAATAGGGAGAGGCATGGCCTCATTTGCTGCTTCACGAATGAAAGACCGTGTCTGGATTAAGGATGGGAGGTAATTCCTGAGTGGCTCAGAATCTGGTAAGGGTGGAGGCCCTAAGACAAAAGTTCATCCGTACACCATTTCAAAGTGACTATAAAAAGAGGGTGCCTTTGTTGTTGCGCAGAGTCTCATGACGGCAAAAGGGAGATTTTTTGTCCATGACTGGTGGGTTACTAGAGCCAGCTTGGTGAGTTGGGCTTTAAGGACAGAGCTGACTTTTTCAACTTTGCCTGAAGATTGAGGCTTGTAGGGTGTGTGGAAAACCCATTTTATTCCCAAGGATGTAGAGATGCCTTGGGTAATTTGGCTGTTAAACGCAGGCCTGTTATCAGACTGGATGGATGTTGGGAGTCCAAAATGGGGAATTATATACATGATGAGAGTTTGTGTGATGACATTTGCAGCTTCTGAAGTTGTTGGGAACACTTCTACCCACCCGGAGACTACCCTCTCAGACAAAAACTAGAAGATAGGGGAGCTATTTATCGGGTGGCATGTGAGTGAAGTCTACTTGCCAATCTTGCCCAGGTACCTGGCCTTGGGCTTGGTGGGTAGGAAGAGGCGGTGGCTGGAGGGAACCCTGGGGTGACATTGAGTGGCAGATAGAGCAGGATTGGGTAATTTCTCGAACATGGCTGGAAAGGTGAGGACAAGTGAAAATGGGTGGAGAAGTTGCAAGAGAGGTTTGTAATCGACATGGAAAGAGTTGTGAAAGCTTTGGAGGATAGGGATTGTTTGAGAATGAGGAAGAACGAAGCACCCTTCCTTGACATACCATGGTCCTTGCTTTTGAAGGTTTTGGGCTTGAAGTCCTCCTTTTCTTCTGAGGAGTAAAGAGGAGAGAACAAAGACAGGGACGGAAACTGGCCTTGCACAGGTTGCAGGGCTACTTGTTTGGCTACCTGATCTGCTAGAGCATTTCCAGCCGATATAGGATTGTCTGGGGCTTGGTGGCCCCTGCAATGAATGATGGCAACTTTCTGTGGCAGTCTGGCAGCTTGAAGGAACTTGCTGATGAGAGAGCCATTTATGACAGGGGTGTTTTTTGCAGTTACGAAACCCTGTTCTTTCCAGATGGATGAGTGTGAGTGCACTATGTGGAACGCATAACGAGAATCTGAATATATGTTAATTTGTTGTCCGGCTGCTAGAGTGAGTGCTCAAGTGAGGGTGATGAGTTCAGCTTTTTGGGAGGTGGTTCCTAGGGGGAGCGGATTGGCTTCAATAGTGTGTGTGTGGGGTGACACTATAGCATAGCCAGCATGTCAGCGTCCTTGATGTAGGAAGGAGCTGCCATCTACAAACCAAGTAAATGAGGCATTTGGAAGGGGTTAGTCTTTTAGGTTTGGAAAAGGTATAAGAAAGGTTTGAACAGTGTCTACATAGAAGTGTGCAGGGTCTTGGGAGGTAATAGCTTCAAGTAAGAGCATGGCTGGGTTTAAACAGGAGCTGGTTAGCATGGTGATTTGGGGAGTTTCTATGAATAAAGCATACAGTTGGAGGAGCAGTGAGGCAGAGATGAGACTTAGTACACTGTGGTGAGCTAGCATGTCTTTGATGTTATGGGTTGAATAAACTGTTAGGTTGGCATGAAGAGATAGTTTTAGGCTTTCAAGGGTGAAGACAGCAGCTGCCACCAGCACTTGGAGGCAGGCAGGCCATCTGAGAACTGTGGTTTCAAGCTGTTTGGAGAGGTAGGCAATAACCTGGAGGGTGGGTCCTTTGGACTGGGTTAGAACACCTAGTGCAACTCCATGCCATTTGTCGGTACACAGGGAGAAAGTTTTGGTGAGGTCTGGGAGGGTGAGGATGGGGGCTGAGATGAGAGCCTTTTGGAGTAGACAGAAAGGTTGGGTAATAGGCTGTGCTGGTTTTAAAGGCTCATGGAGAGGGCCTTTAGCAGCTTGGTATAAAGGTTTGGCAAGTAGAGCGAAGGAGGGAACCCAGAGCCTAAAATGTCCCACTAGTCCTAGAAAAGAGAGAATTTCTTGCTTAGTTTGTGGAGGTGGGAGGGACTGGAGGAGGGATATGTGGTCGGTTGTGAGCCCTCGGGTTTGCAGGGTAAGGGCTAGGCCTAGGTAGGTGACTGAGGGGGTGCATATTTTTGCTTTTTAAGGGGAGATCTGATGCCTCTGCTCTGTCAGGAAGTTTAAAAGAGAGATAGTATGGGCATTCCAGTCTTTTTGAGAGGGGCTACACAGGAGCAGATCATCAACATAGCGAAGGAGAATGGATGGTTTTAGGGATAAGGTACAGAGGTCACAAGCAAGGGCATGTCCAAAAAGGTGGGGTTGTCTCTAAAACCTTGAGGTATTACACACCAGGTGAGCTGATGTGAAAGGTGAGTGTTGGGGTCTTCCCATGTAAAGGCAAAGAGGTCTTGAGAATCAGGGTGCAAAGGAATAGTGAAAAAAGCATCCTTTAGGTCTAGGACAGAAAAATGGGTGGTATTGGAGGGAATTGCAGAAAGTAAAGTGTATGGGTTAGGAACTACTGGACATACTGGGAGTACAGCTTGGTTAATGAGCCTGAGGTCCTAGACTAAGCAACAAGTTCCATCTGGCTTAACAGGTAGAAATGGTGTGTTAAAAGAGGAGTTTGTTGGATGGAGTAGGTGACTGGTGAGGAGGCAAGAAATGATAGGCTTTAGGCCTATAAGAGTTGCTTGGGGGATTGGATACTGCTTCTGTGATAGGAACTGGGTGGGGTTTTTAAGGGTAATGTGGACAGGGGTGTGGTGTTTCATGACTGAGGGTGTGGAAGTATCCAAAACAGCAGGGTTAACTATGGATGGGGGATTAGGAAAGGCTGCATGTTTTAGGGTGGGAGGTTGGAGGAGTAGAAGAAAGCTAGAAGCACTGGAGGGGTCTGGGTGGAGGTGTTGGTACCATGGGGAACATGGACATGGAGAGTAGTGTGGAGTTTTGAAAGGATGTCTCTGCCTAGGAGCAGAGTTGGGCATGAGAGCAGGACTAAGAAAGAATGAGTGAAGGAAAAGGTGTAAAGGGAGCAGAAGAGTGGAGGGGTGGCTCAGGGTTTGGAGACTTGTCTATCAATTCCCACAACAGAGACTTGGGAGGACTAGGTGGGTCCTGAAAATTAGGTAAAGCAGAGTAGCTTGCCTCGGTATCAATTAAAAAACATACTGGCCTACTTGCCACCATCAGGGTTACCCTTGGCTCAGATGAAGAGATAGTAGTTGCCAGGGTGTCCAATCCAGGGCATCATCAGTATTCAGTGGCAAGGCCAATGAGATCCAAGTAGGAGGTTTTGGCTGGCTCAGGAAGGGATGGGGGTAGTCCTTCCAGAGGCCACTCACAGTCTGACTTCCAGTGGGGTCCTCCACAGAAGGGGCATGGCCTGATGTGCTTACCTGTGTTTGGGCATTGTCTGGACCAGTGGCCTTCATTGCCATACTTGAAACAGGTGCCAGGTGGAGGTGGATTACTAGGAGGCGTCCATGTGGAGCTGTGGCCCTGTGGGTGTGCAGGGCCATGATTGCAGAGGCCAGCATTTGAAATTCTGCCTGTTTTTGCCTTTTATCTTCCTCATCACGATTGTTAAAGACTTTGAAGGCTAAATTAAGAAGGTCTTATTGTGGGGTTTGAGGGCCGTCGTCAAGCTTCTGAAGCTTGTGCTGGATATCAGGGGTGGATTGAGAGATGAACCGAAGGTTTAAAATAGTGGTTCCTTCTGGGCTGGCTGGGTCTAGGTTGGTATGTTTTCTCATGGCTTCAGTTAAACAAGAGAGGAAAAGGGCTGGGCTTTCATCAGGACCGTAGGTGATTTCTGAAAGTTTTTCATAGTTTACCGCTTTATGGGCACCCTTTTTGAGTCCTGCAAGGAGACACACAGTCATGTTGTCTCGATGGTGGTGCCCAGGGGCCCCATCTTGATAATCCCAATGGGGGTCCTGGTTGCAGACTGCCTCTATGCCAGTAGGCTGGGTAGGAGCCTGGTGATGAATTTTATCAGCATGCACCTGAGCTAGGGTCCAGATACAGTCCTGGTCTTCTGGGGTGAGGGTGGAAGAGAGGATAATGTAGAGGTCATGCCAAATTAGTTCATAAGAGTGGGTGAGGTACTGAAACTCTAATATAAGAGGTAGGGTCTTCTGGAAATGAACTGAGTCTTTTGTTAATTTGAGAGAGATCAGTGAGGGAGAATGGAACATGAACTCTAATAATACCTTCAGTTCCTGCTACTTCCTGAAGGGGGCACTCTAGCACATGTGCTGAAGTAAGGGTGGGGCATGGGCCAAAGATGGCACCTGAGCGAGTGTGGGTGGGAGAAAAGGAAGAACCTGGAAGTGGTTCCTGTTGAGGGTTTGAAGGGGAAGGGGGGTTGAGTTAATAGGCAGTGGAGGATAGATAGGGGCATAAGGTGGTGGGATGCGTTTATAGGCCTCAGGAGAGGGTGGTGGGGGAGGAGAATGGGTACAGGCAGTGCTAGAATTGTTCTGAGGAGAGGATGGTGTAGGAAGAGAAGTGCATACTCCTGGAGGGGGTGCTGGCTGGGAAGATGATGGCTGGGAAGGTGGTGACTGATAAGATGGCAGCTGGGAAGATGGCGGCTGGGAAGATGTCAGCTGGGAAGACAAAGAGAAGGCTTGGGGGGTTAAAGAAGATGGTTGAGAGGGAGAGGTAGGGGCTGGGAGGGGTGGACAGCAGTCTGCTGGATCGAACAAGGAAAAAGGGGTAGGGTCAGGAGGAGAAGGCAATCAGGGTGGTGAGAATGGAGGAGCAGGATTTGAACAGGTGAGCAAGAATTGCAGAGGTTTGGTTGTGATCTGAGTGCGAAAAAGGCCTGGACATAAGGAATTTCTCCCCATTTTTCCAGTCGTTGGCAATAATTGCTTAAGTCAGTTAAAACTGTAAAGTCGAATGTTCCATTTGCGGGCCATTTGGACCCATTATCCAATTCGTACTGTGGCCAGACTGAATTGCAAAAAAAAGACAAGATGCTTAGGGTGGATACCTTGCCTGAGGCCTAAGGTTTGCAGGGTTTTTTTATGATACAGCCTAGCAGGCTGTCCTTTGGAATGGAAGACAGGGAATTTCCCATAACGGAGGGTAGGCTTGGGAGAACAGGGAAAAGGAGACTGTCCTGGATGGCCAGAGGGAGATGATAAAAGGAGCAGTCATCACCGCTGCCTTTTTTGTTCCCAGAATGGGATCAAATGGCTTGGAGGTGTCCCCCTAAGACCAGATTATCAGCAAGTGCCTGGCACATGCTGGAACCTTCTTGGACCAACGTTGGATTTTTGTACTGGAGAAACCAAGAGAGGCTATGCAGGTTTCTGTTAACCAGGCTCGCAGGATACTTACCAGTAGGCAATATCAGTGACCGATGTGCGTGCACAGAGAGGCGACTGGAGGCTGAGGACCTTCCTTTGTCCAACTGCTGTGGCCTGCTCTCCAGGGTGGAGGAGTAGGTCCACAGGGGATGTGGACTGGAGCCCGTCCCAGGTTTTGGCAACAGATGCAAAGCTCTTGTATTGGTTCGAACCCCGAGAACATGCCAACAAACAACACAAGGCATTGTGGAGCAACACGCTGTTTTAATGAGCACCTGGGTGCAGATGGGCTGAGGCCTAAAATGGTGTCAGCCCCAAGTGAGGATGAGGCAGGCGTTTTATATTCTCCTGTAAACAGGAAGTGTCCTAGTCTGATGTAACTGCTACGTGGTACCCGGACAGCCTCTCTCTCTTGATCTCCAGGGGATCCATGCCTTCTGGCCATCTCTCTTCCTGCTTCTGCTATCTTTCTGATGCACGCTGCTGGTGCAAGTGGCCTTGTGCATTGGGACTGGGCCTGAGGAGGGAGGAATTATTCATCCCCCAGACTTTCAGGACCCAGGGAGAACCTTTCAGAAAGGAAATGAAAACCAGCTATACAGAAAACAATTGATTATAACTCATAAACGAGCCTTGTGTAGAAAATGCTATAATCTTGTTAAATTTATTTGCTTTCTGCCTATATGAGCAAGAATTTGGCTTTTAGCTTTGGAGCACTGACCCATTTCTCTGGAATTTCTGCATCCCAGAATGGCTATTCCCAGCTTTTTGCTTGAATAAACACTTTAATAAAACTGGATTCTGACCCTTTTGATTATTCCAGGTTGACAATGTATATAACGAAACTCATCAAATTGTACACTCTAAATGGGTGCAGCTCACTTCACATAAATGAAACTTCAGTAAAGTTGACTTTAAAACCTGGGATGACAACTGTTAATGTGAGTGGGACAGGGCTACTTTAATCCTCTCGAACAGGATGAAATTTGTGCTGAGAACTAAATGATGAAAAGAATGTTCAAGTTGTAAGAAACAAAACAGTTCTAGCCCAAGAACACTCAAATATTTTCAATCCATGGAGAACAATGGGCAGGAAGCATCTGGCCCCTGATACAGTCAATGAGGAGGTACAATGCCTAAGGAGGACTTAACATCAAGAATAGACACCCCTAAAAGCTGTTATCATCGCCGTGCACTGGCAGTGCTAGACAGTGTCAGTGATAAAATACTCTTCCCTGTTGGAGCAGAGAGCTTTTATACCAATGTTTCCAGTCATGGTCCACAGCATCAGAAATTTTTGCACAGCACATGGGCCATATTAATTTTTCTTGAGTACAGTGATAAATTACAGTTTTTGAATGTGACTTACAAGATTTTATCAACCCTATTTCTCTTGGGCAGTACTCCTTCATAACTTTTTTGTTAACTTTTATTGAAATTAGTCTTGAACAGCTCAATTCCCATCTTGTGCATGAAATTCCCAGCTCATCCAGGGACCTGATGGTAATGCCAGGCCCTGATGCCCAACTAGCTCACAGTGCCAGATAAATCAGGAAAACTGTCTTTCTCATTTTTATGTTTGACTGAGAAATCTCTTGCTGACCATATTCTCAGGTAGGCATATGACATTGTCCCCAGACCACATATCCAATACCTATCTCTAATTTTTGCCAATAAAGAAACAGACCTAAAGACAGAAAACCTGTCCATAATGGAAAAACTATGATCAAAATTTAGGTTCAAACTTTGGATTCCCCCACAGTGCACCCACTATGCATTTATTGAGCACCTTCTATATAACCTTTTATATAACACAAGAAGAGACAGCCCATAAAAGATGTAAAAGATATGGTTTCTGCTCTTGAGAATTATGCAGTTTTAGAGGCTAAGACTAAAAAGCATGAATAATACTAGGGAAATTTATTCAATGGTTACCAAGCACCTATTATGACAGGCACTGAGCTGGATATTGAGATAACTGAGGTGGATCAAGGGTTTACCATACAACCATCCCACTTCACACCTGTGTCTTATCTAACCCTTACAAAGGTGCTATTAACTGGTAATATTAGAATCCCATTATGCAGATAAGGGAACTGCTGCTAAAGAAATGTTAATAGCTTGCCAAAGGTCACACAACTAGCAAGTGGAAGACCTAGGTTTTTCCTGGGTCTGTCTGACTTCAAAGCCAGAGTAAGACAGACCCAGAGTCTTAATGAATGTGCTCCCCAGCCTCTTCATTATCAAGTAGAGAGGATACAAAGAGAGTAAACCTTGTGAATCCCCCAAATCTGAGACAGGTCTCAGTTAATTTAGAAAGTTTATTTTGCCAAGGTTGAGGGTGTGCACCCATGACACAGCCTCAGGAGGTCCTGGTAACTTGTCCAAAGTGGTAAGAGCACAGTTTAGTTTTATACATTTTAGGGAGACATGAGACATCAGTCAGCATGTGTAAGATGAACATTGGTTCAGTCTGGAAAGCAAGACAACTGAAAGTGAGGAAGGCACTTCCATGTCATAGGTAGATAAGAGACAAATGGTTGCATTCTTCTGGGTTCCTGATTAGCTTCTCCAAAGGAGGCAAGCAAAGATGCATTTATCTCAGTGATCAGATAGGTGACTTTGAATAAAGTGAGAGGCAGGTCTGCCCTAAGCAGTTCCCAGCTTGATTTTTCCCTTTAGCTTAGTGATTTGGGGGCCCCAAGATATTTTCCTTTCACATTTCCTCCCTTTTCTTTTAAAAAATATTTTGGAGACAGGATTTTAGAAGAAAATGAGTCTTTGGTCTCAGGTTTTGTCTGATCTCTCATAGCTAGGATGGTTTATTTCTAGATGGGTGGGTTCCGAATTATTAGGAAAGTTCATCATTAGCAGGTTGTGAAGTCTCATGTCCTGTGAAGAGACAATGGGGGAGGAGAGGAGAAAAACAACAACAAACAAAAACAAAAAAAATCCTGGAGAAACCATATAGACTACATTACTCTGAAGTCCATACATCAGTAGGTGGGTATGAAAGTGGCTTATGTATGTAAACAGGTTGTTGTTATTTTCTTCTGAAATTTAAGTTGTCTAGCTTCAGTTCTCAGGACTTTAAGAAAGCACAGCTTAGTTTTCAGTGACTCCAAATTTGGAAATGCGGCGAAAAAAAGAAGAAAAAAATTGAAAACATTATTTTGA
This sequence comes from Homo sapiens, assembly GCF_000001405.40. Lineage (NCBI taxonomy): Eukaryota > Metazoa > Chordata > Mammalia > Primates > Hominidae > Homo > Homo sapiens. The sequence goes on from NC_000011.10 coordinate 93,872,828, forward strand.
AGACTTGTAGCCAAGAAAAATTAGAATTCAGTCCAAATTGTAGAAAATAATAAAAATAGAAAAACATTAGGAAAGAATAGAATCTAACAACAGGTATACTATAGTTTCTGAAACACAATTTTTCTCTCTCCAGTTTCCCATTTTTACTAAAGGCAAATCATGGTAGGGCTGGTTTGCTTTATTATAGTTGGCCTGATTATTTGTATATAGTACAGCAAGGATAATTATTTTTTACATAGGCTTTTAAATTTGCTTTGATGGAACTTTGTTCTGTAGAAGGAATCTCAGATAAGACTTTTTTAAAGCTGAGCCCAGCCATGGATTTGTACCATCAAATACCTATCAGTTGGGTGAGCCTCTCCTCTTGAAGTTCCAAGATAAAATGTGGGTCTCCTAGGCCTGTCAGAAAGTGACATTCCTTACTTACCACAGGTCAGAACCCTGTACGGGGACTGTGTAGACCAGTATGAGGCCCGTTTTCCCAGGGGTTTTTATTGGCTCCACAAGTCAGGTTTAATTTCTTAAAGGAAAACACACCATTCCAGTCAAAGCATTGGTAAAATAACCAGTTTCTCCAATTGTGTACTGTTATAAATGAATACAGAGTCTTATTACACTTATGCAAATAACTGTATTGTCATAAGTTGAGATACTCACAAATAGTTTCCAAATTATCTAGAAATCAGGTAGAGAGAAAGCAAACATGCTCCAAATTTTGTTCATAGGAATATACTTTACTCAATTGTTAAAATCTGTAAATAGCTTAAAAGAAAAGTTTTCTTGACTCTGAAAAGCAAAACAAAGGATCAGCAATGTTTTAAGCAAAAAGTTAAAAAATTACTTCAGACTTCTATTAGTTTGGTCCATGCAGTTAATTCCTGTTATGCTTGATATTCATCAACCTTTCAGGTCTCCATGAATCCTGAAAGTTTTCCTCTACTCTGATGTCACAATCTCCAAAATTATCAGAAACTTGCATTTAAGAGTACCTGTTAGAGTCTTGTAGCTGACTATAAAACCACCTTCTAAAGAGGTCAAAAACAAGACAGCAATTGTCTGTGGATGACAAAAAGTTTTAGGGCAGCCATAGTCAAAGACACAATTGACAAGGAAATTTGCTACGTGTGTGGCACACAATAATTTAACATAACAATTATACCCTAAGTCATATCAGAATTATGGGAGTTTCCCATAATCTTGTAACACATACCAATAACATATTTAAACAAATACAGCCCAAAGAGAACCAAACACCATTTCATATTTCACCATGTTTTCCGTAAAATTTTTATACTAAATAAGCCAAACTATGTCATTTTTGGACTTTAGGGAGACTAATATATTAAAAGATTAATTAGGTCAGAAAAAGACATCATTTATAATTTGATCTTGAAAAGTTTGTCAAATATCAAAGGTTTAAAACACTTGATATCACAAAATAGGATCATTCATTTAACCAAAGTGATAACTCAAGGATTTCAAAAAATAGGGAAAATACCTTCATTCTTTGAGAGAGGAGGCTTAATTTTCCAAATAATAAGCCCTAATAAAAACAGCAGGATGCCAATTAATTTTTCAAAATTTTATAAAGTCTATAAAAGTTTAATCTTGACCATAAGATACAACTTGAAAGACTTTTATAACATTTATTAAGGAATCAGTTAATGCTTCAAGAAAACCTTGTTAATCTGACCTAGGGGCCCATATGCTGGTCTTAATAGCAGTGTGCCTTTGACATTAATGATTAATTTATAGAGAAACGTATCTTATTTTATCATTCAAAATCAGCCCTTACAATCTCATGAGTACATCTCTTCCATGATAGTCCCCAGGCCTTGAGTCAAATAGCTTTAATTTCTGGCCCTGTGTCCCTGGAATGTAGTTTATTTTTATTGGTGTCTTCTATTGGGACTGAAGATGAGGCTTTAATTGCTGTCTGTGTTTAAGATTTGGTGTTCTTTTTTTTTTTTTTTTTTTTTTTTTGAGACAGTCTCGCTCTGTCACCCAGGCTGGAGTGCAGTGGCACGATCTCAGCTCACTGCAACCTCCGCCTCCCAGGTTCATGCCATTCCCCTGCCTCAGCCTCCTGAGTAGCTGGGACTACAGGCGCCTGCCACCACGCCTGGCTAATTTTTTGTATTTTTAGTACAGATGGGGTTTCACCATGTTAGCCAGGATGGTCTCGATCTCCTGACCTCATGATCCACCTGCCTCAGCCTCCCAAAGTGCTGGGATTACAGGCATGAGCCACAGCGCCCGGCTTGGTGTTCTTTTAAGACCCAGGAGTCAAAGACCTGTAACTCAATGTCACAAGGACTTTAAAAGCATGTACAGAAAGATACAGAGATGTTGTAACCTTAATTAAAAAAATATTTTCTCTTTACATAGAGATCAGTCTCTAGAAAGACCATTATAATTTTTCTTTAATTATAGACAACTTGATCTAAAAGTTTTTGATATAAAAGTTTTTGTTTATTTGTTTAATAAATCTAAATTCTCTTATTGTGAATTACATAGACAATTCATGAAATGCTTGGACTTTCTGGTTTGTCCTGAATATCCCTTTGTCTTAAACAACCAGTCATTCCACTCTAGGACTAAATTTACCATACAAGATTCTTTCTCATATGAAATTACTTCCCTTTAAGCTTTCTTACTAAAAACAAACAAACAAAAAACAAAAACCAAAAAGCCCTCTTTATTTCTACAACTTTCTTTACATCTCTCTTATTTCCTGGTTCCTTTTACCTTGTTTTATACATGACCTTTAAATAAGCTTTGAATTAGACAAAAATTGTTCACCTTTTTAAAAGGACACACTTTTTTTTTTAAGAAAGAATGTTTTCCTACGGATATATTTTTATCGGTAAATACTCAAATAATGAAATTTCTACTATTTTATATAATGTTAGTTTCTAAATTATGAGTTTGTTTACAAGTATTTATCTCATTACATTTACCTAATTATTTTAATCACTTACCTGGATTATTAATGAAAACTGCAATAGTCATCATTTAAATTTATGAAACTTTAATTGCAAAATTATAACTGAGACAGTGAAGAAGATCTGCCCTAACTGACTCCATCTTGCTTCTAACCTCCAAGCTGTTCTTGTTCATTCCTGGGCACAGGTCAAACTAACTTTGGAAGGAACTTCGTTTATAGTTTAATTTTGAAACAAAAATGGTAGCTGTCCTTTCCCAAAGCAAACTTCCTTACTGCCTGTGGACTAGACCACCTAAAACAACAGGCTTAGAAGTTATGGTAATGTTTCTAAATTCTAGGTGTAGCTATTTTCATTAAACTAATATCAATATCTTATTTATTAAAAATTATACAAGTGAAGAACATTGTGTTTTGGGCTGGGTTTATAGTTTTGTAACCCCTATGCCAAATTTTGACACCTTGTATTATTTGGCCAGGATAAATATAAAATTGCTTGATCAATAAATGCAAACCAAAATGTATGCTGACAATTCTTAAGATGTTTCTGTTATTATTTCAAGAATAATTTTAAAGCTAGCTTATTTATTAAAGATTTTACTTAAGTCATGTAAACTTGAAAAAGCATTTGACTTGTCTTTTTTTTCTGATAAAGTATTTGATTTAAGCACTTTTATTTTTCTTTAAGCCAACTAATTAGAGCTCTTTTATATATTTTCAGTGGTGGAACATTGTGTGCACCACACATAAATATATACACATATTAGGCATGCTGATAGAAGTACATCTTATAGGTTCATAAAACCCTCCCTTTTTTCCCCTATCTTAGACTTTCAGATTCTTGATAACCTATTTTATAACCCTAGGCAGGTGTCAGCTAAATAGCCTTATATTTGCATATTAAAGGAAACAACTGTGGTGAAAATCAAGTAGCAAAATTTACATCATAAGGTATGGAGAAGAAAACTCTGGTATGCTAGTGGGAGAGTAAAGATGGATGCCAAATCAAACATAAAATTATGAAAATCTGTCAGAGGATTGTATAAGGAGACCAGTTTTATTTAGATAGGGACTTCTTATCTTTTAACTGGATCTCTGAGCTCTGGGGAGAGCCCATACTGAATCCTGGGTTTCCAAAAAGGAAGAATTATTATGAGATCAGACCACATGATGTTTTTATAGTGCACTTAAAATTTTTTTTTTTTAAAAACAAAGACATTTCTAAGTGTCTAAACTATACTCTTCTTTAAAAGCCCAAGAATATTGGCCAGGCATGGTGGCTTATGCCTGTAATCCCAGCACTTTGGGAGGCCAAGGCAGGCAGATCATTTAAGGTTAAGAGTTCGAGGCCACCCTGGCCAACATGATGAAACCCATCTCTACTAAAAATACAAAAATTAGCCAGGCATGGTGGTGGGTGCCTGTAATCACAGCTACTCAGGAGGCTGAGGCAGGAGAATCACTTGAACCAAGGAGACAGAGGTTGCAGTAAGCCAAGATCAGGTCACTCCACTCCAGCCTGGCTGACAGATTGAGACTGTCAAAAAACCAAAAAACAAACAAAAACCAAGAATATCTTGTGTTGCAATAATGATTTTAGTCAATAAATCAGGCCAAAAGGAAGCAGTTTAAAAGCTGAGATGAACTTGTCTGTTTATACTCTTGGGGTTCCATAAAGAAAAACAGGTTTCTCCCCTAAAGGGAGTCTGGCATCTTCTCCATTTTCTTTAAGAAACCCCAGGTTATTATAAACAAGTTTAGGTCCTTCGTGCAGCAGAAGTTGCAAGAGAAAGGAGAGACAGCAGAAGTAAATGAAGAAAATAGAATTCAGTCAACCGAGAAGAAAATAACTTTTGCTCAAAAAAAGACAAGGTCCTAGGAGAGAGAAAACAAAAACAAAAACATGATCTTTTAAATACAAACACACACACACACACACACACACACACACACACACACACACACATCTTGGATGTTAGCTTTTTGTTAAACTGACTTTAACCACTGAGCTCCTTAAAAAAATCTTCTAAAATCTTATTACCATATTTCAGCTAGGACAAATAGGCACTATTTCAGAAGTACCAAGTATCAAACCAGAAAGGTCTTGATTTAGGAACCAAACCCAACCTGTCATGGTGGAAAAAATAATGCAGAACCTTAGCTATTGAACTGACCTGCAGTGTGGGGCAACAGCCATTGCTTTCAGTTTAGCGTGGCTCACAAAATGTTGGCCTTGTTATATAAATAAAATCCCTTTAGTAGTCAAAATCAAAATAATAAATCTTTCCTCTTTTTTTTTCTTTTTTTGGCCATTTTTCTTCCCCACCACACCACCTTTTTTGGTATGTGTTGGGGGAAATTTAACCATTTCAGAGGACTCGTTCCCCATAATTTGCAACTTTCCTTTGGACTTGAGTGAGTCAGATAGTGTTGGTAAAACCCAATGGGAAAAAGATTAAAAGAACCACAAAATCAGAAACATACAACAACAACAAAACTGTTAAGGAAAACAAACAATCACAAAACTTATATGATTACTGAGTACTCTTATGGTAAGGAGAAATTAAAACCAGCTGGTTGTTAACTTTAGCCAAGACAAAACCCCAATTCAGCTACTTACTTAGGGATGGGTCTCAGGCTGAAGACTGCTCTCCACCATCCTAGAAGCAGGAAAAAAAACCTATCTTCCCTTTTGGAAGCCAGCTCAAACTGCATAAAGGAGTTACCTGCCTTCCCTCATCATTGAAGCAGGAAAACTTGCCTTCCTTGTTGGAAGCAAATAAAACTCCCAAAAAAGGGAGTTGTATAGCAAAACAAACTTTAGATCTTGACCAAATTTTGGGAGATCAGGTCCTTTCTGGAGGGGGTGCTCCCAGACCTCAGCAAATTGTGCTATTGGTTTGACCATAAAGTTAGCTCATGCTGGTACTAAGCACTGATAAGAGATTTGTCAAAAGTCAGGGGCATCTCCACTCAGAATCCCTCTGTGGTTACTGGAATGTGAGCCCTGAAAATCTGAGACAGGTCTCAGTTTATTTTTCCAAGGTTGAGGATGCACACCTGTGACACAGCCTCAAGAGGTCCTGATGACATGTGTCCAAGGTGGTCAGAGCACAGCTTGGTTTTATACATTTTAGGGAGACATGAGACATCAATCAACATATGTGAAATGAACGTAGGTTCAGTCCAGAAAAGATGGAACAGCTTGAAGCAAAAGCAGGACAACTCAAAGTGGGAGGGGCTTCCAGGTCATAGGTATTACAGGTGTGATACAAATGACACAAATGGCTACATTCTTTTGAGTTTCTGATTAGCCTCTCCAAAGGAGGCAGTAAGATACACATTTATCTCAGTGAGCAGAAGGGTGACTTTGAATAGAATGGGAGGCAGGTTTGCCCTAAGCAGTTCCCAGCTTGACTTTTCCCTTTAGTGATTTGGGGGCCTGAAGATTTATTTTTCTTTCACAGAACATTTCCATCAACCCCAAAAGTTTACTCTGTGCAGTCTATTCTTTCCTCTGCCCTCAGCCCTAGGCAACCACTGAATTGTTTTATGTTAAGAGATTCATTTGCATTTTCTGGAATGTTATTGTCAGGCCTCTGAGCCCAAGCTAAGCCATCATATCCCCTGTGATCTGCACATATACATCCAGATGGCCTGAAGCAACTGAAAATCCACAAAAGAAGTGAAAATAGCCTTAACTGATGACATTCCATGATTGTGATTTGTTCCTGCCCCACCCTAACTGATACGATATATTCTCCCCCACGCTTAAGAAGGTACTTTGTAGTATTCTTCCTTGCCCTTAAGAAGGTACTTTGTAATATTCCCCCCCACACTCAAGAAGGTACTTTGTAATATTCTCCCCACGCTTGAGAATGTCCTTTGTATGCCTATCCCAAACCTATAAGAACTAATGATTATCCCACCACCCTTTGCTGACTCCTTTTTCGGACGCAGCCCACCTGCACCCAGGTGAAATAAACAGCCTTGTTGCTCACACAAAGCCTGTTGGTTGTCTCTTCACATGGATGCACGTGACAGTATATACATAGAATCACACAGCATTTAGTTTTTGTGTCTGGTTTTCTCCTGCCATCATGATTTTGAGATTCATCCACTATGTTGTGTGTATCAATATTGTATTCCTTGCTATTCCATTTTATGGATATAGTAGAGTCAGTGTATTCATTCATCTTTAATGAACATTTGTGTTAATTTTAGTTTTTGCTTATTGACATCAGTCTGTTTTATCATCTTCACTGCATTATTACTATCTGAAATTACTTTATTCATCTATTTGTTTATTTACTATCTGAAATTACTTTATTCATCTATTTGTTTATATTTGACTTTCTTTTTTTCCCCAACTAAGCCAACAGGATCTCATTTTCTTGTTCTTCACTTTATCTGCAGTGCCTGTGCATGATAGGAGCTCATGTGTGAACTAATTCCGGGAATTTCATTCCTGGGCTATACTTGAAGCATTCCTGAATTCATATACTAGCTATGGCATTATCGGCTTTGTGACCCTGAGCAAATTGCTTCACCTCGCTGAACTATGGTTACTTAATCTTTAAATTGAGTATTATCATACTAATCTCACCAGGTTGTTGTGAAGATAAAGGTGAATTTCTGACACTAGAAAGCCAATGCTGTCCTATCTGCCTTACCTGTAATGACTCATTTAGTCCTTTAATCAGTTAATCAACCCCATGAATAAAGTACTGTGATTTATTTTTCTTTCTTTCTTTTTTTTTTTTTTTTGAGACTGAGTCACGCTCTGTTGCCCAGGCTGGAGTGCAGTGGCATGATCTTGGCTCACTGCAACCTCTGTCTCCTGGGCCATGCAATTCTCCTGCCTCAGTCTCCTGAGTAGTTGAGATTACAGACATGGGCCACTGCACCCAGCTAGTTTTTGTATTTTTAATAGAGATGGGGTTTCACCATATTGCCAGGCTGGTCTTGAACTCCTGACCACAAGTGGTCCACCTGCCTCTGCCTCCCAAAATGCTGGGATTACACGCATGAGCCACCACACCTGGCCTTTTAATTTTTTAAGACAGGATTTCACTGTGTTGCCCCAGCTGGAGTGCAGTGGCATGACCTCAGCCCGCTGCAACCTCTGCCTGCTGGACTCGAGATTCTTGCGCCTCAGCCTCCCAGGTAGCTGGGATTACAGGCACATCCCACCACACCTGGCTAATTTTTGTATTTTCAGTTGAGATAGGGTTTTGCCATGTTGGCCAGGCTGGTCTCGAACTCCTAGTCTTAAGTGATCTGCCCACGTCAGCCTCCCAAAGTGCTGGGATTATAGGCATGAGCCACTGTGCCTGGCCAAAAAAGTGCCATTATTTTCATTCTATCTATTTTATAAATTGCAAAGCTGAGGCACAGAGTTAGTAAGTGGCAGAGCTTCACTTGAGCCCAGGCTGTTTAGCTTATAAAACTCTTCTCCCCATCATTCTGTTATTCTGCTTCTCTATGCTATTAAATGAGATAGTATATGAAGTGCGTAGCACAGTATCCAACACATGCTACCTTCACAATAAATATTGTTTTTTTTCTTAGGTACAAAGTCATAGAGTGAGATGCCAAACATCTCACCATTTACCTACACTTTTGGGATCATATATGAAAGGTTGTAGCAAGTAAAATTCAGTAGAATTTTGTAGATTGTGTGATATAGTATTATTTTCATCATCTTGACATTTTAATTTCTTGGGTTTGAGACATGATTATAAGCATGGGGAAGTGTGGTATGTTTGTCAAATAAATCAGTTTGACTTTATTTTTTTTGGTAAATTGGTTGTGAACAGTTGTTCATACTCATGTCCCAGAAAGGGTCTCCCAAGCCCATTATTGGGTCTGGCCTGAGAGTGAGGTCTAATCCTGAGAGTGGTCAGCCTAGCTTTGCAATTCACCAAGAACCACAGGGGACCAGTAAATATCAAAGGTATCAGTGTGGGACAGGTACCAGCCCTAAGGGATGGATCAGCTATTTTTGAAATCCCCATTGCAAAATTATAACTGAGACAGTGAAAGAGATCTGACCTACCCAACTCCTTCTTGCTTCTAACCTCCAAGCTGTCTTTGTTTATTCCTTGGAGTAGGCTAAACTAACTTCGGGAAGAATTTAGTTTATAGTTTAAAACAAAGACAATAACAGCACTTTCCCAAAACAAACTCCTTCTTACCTGGGGACTAGACTGCCTTTGTAGGATTAACAAATTAGCCATAAGATTAGAAATTATAGTTTAGGAGTCTTGCAGCTGGAGGCTACAAGATTCTTATCCTCCCTAAACTGCTTCTAGGATCAGTAGTTGAGATATTTTGCAGACCCTGCACTTGATGGATCAGTTGGCACCACCCAGATCCATAAACTGGCTCATCTGATTTTATGGCCCCCAACCAGGAACTAACTCAGCACAAAAAGAGAGCTTCAACTTCCTATGATTTAATCTCTGACCCCATCAATCAGCACTCTTGACTCACTGGCCTTTCCCCACCCCCCAAATTATCCTTAAAAACTCTAATCCCCAAATGCTCAGGGAAACTGATTTGAGTAATAATAAAACTCCCACCTCCCACACAGCTGGCTCTGGGTGAATTACTCTTTCTCTATTGCAGTTCCCCTGTTTTGATAAATTGGCTCTTTCTAGGCAGTGGACAACGTGAACTCATTGGGCAGTTATATTTTCCAATTTGAACCACACAGCACTCTGCTAAAAATAACTATTTGAGGATATTCTTAGAGCTACAGGCTGTGAACTCTGTTTATAGCCTGTTACCTGGTGGCCAATTGGGGAGAGGCCTTTGGATCCAGGGTGGAGCTAGAATGAAGGAAAAATGGGCTGGCTTTGCTCCCAGCATGCTGACCTTGGGGGAACTAGTATAAGCCGCACCCTATCTTCTCTGAGACAGGTCGGGGGAAAAAGCAAAAGAATCACTCCTTTGGCCCTCTGGCAGCTTCCAGTCTCACTGGCAAGGTACAGCAGCTAACCAGGCCAGACCTCAGTTATAGAATAATATGTGAGAGAGTCCCAGGCACACAGCATGGCATCTCCAGGGCAGAGGGTAGGGAGAGGGTGTGACAGGGATGAAAAATATTTTCCTGGAGTAGGTAAGTCTTGATTTTGACTGATCTGTCCCATGGCTGACTACATGTCAGTATGGCCTGAGCAATAGCACAAGTTTCATGCTCAGAGGGCCTCACATGCTTGAACTAATGTTCTGTCATTGCCATCTTGAAATTCTCAATAATTTTTTAGCAAGGGGACTTGCATTTTTATTTTGTATTGGGCACCACAATTTATGTCCTGATCATCCTTAATAGGTTACTTCCAGCATGTATTACTTTTCCTCTGAGCATTTATTACTTTTCTTCCCAAACTTCTCTTTTAATCCTCATCTCAGCTACAAATGCTTACTTCCTCCCTGTTCTTTGGACTTAAAACCTCAAGGCAGCTGTCATGCATGCCTCACCCTAGCCCTTGACACATAAATGATTCAAGACCTGAGGCTTATTCCTTTAAATAAGTCACTTACTCCTGATTCTCACCATTTCCAGAGCCATACACCTAGCTCAGACCTACCTTGTCTTTTGTCTAGTCTCTAGATCCTTGCTTCCTGGTGTACTCTAGGGACCTTGAGCATCAGCATAACTTGAGAGCTTGTTAGAAATACAAAACTTTGGGTCCCAGCCTAGATCTGCATTTTGACAAAATCCTTAGGTGATTCTCATTCACTGGAAGTTTGAGAAGTCCGGTCAGTGGCTCTGGACTTTGGATTTATATTAAGATCAGCTGGGGAGATTTTTAAAATACAAATGATTAGGTCCCATCCTTAGAGATTCTGATTTAATTAGTTTGCATCAGTTTTTTTTTAAGCCCTTCCTTTTTACTTGTTTTAATCATCTATTTCCATGTAACAAATTACCCCAACACATGTTTATAATCTCACATTTTCTGTGGTTTAGGAATCCAGATGCAACTTACTAGGTCCCTTGCTTCAGGATTTCTCACAAAGTTGTAGTTAAGGTGTTGGCTCACGGGCTCTCACATGGCTGCAGTCTAGGTTCCACAGGGCAGGATCTGCATCCAAGCTCACTCAGTGGCTGTTGGCAGGATACAGGTCCCCACAGGCTGTTCACTTGAGGATATCTGTTCCTCGTTGACTGTTTACTGTTGGCTGATAAATCACCTTCAGTCCTTTGCACCAGGGGCCTCTTCAACCTGGAAGCTTGCCTCATAAGTCAGCAAGAGAGTCTGCTAGCAAGATGGAAGCTATGATCTTTTATAAGTCATTTATGAAAATGATATTTATTACTTTTGGCATATTCATTAGAAGCAAGCCACTAGGTCCAGCCCATACTCTAAATGAAGGGGCTGGCTGGGTATGGAGGCTTATGCCTGTAATCCCAGCACTTTAGGAGGTGGAGGCAGGAGGATCGTTTGAATCCAGGAGTTAAGAGACCAGCCTGTGCCACACAGTGAGACCTTATCTCTCCAAAAAAAAAAAAAGACATGGAGAGGCTCACACAAAAGTGTGGCTGCTAAGAGGTAGGGATGCCAGAGAACATTGTGGGAATTTGCCTATCCCACGACCCAGGTGGTTCTGTTACCAGTTGAAGGTGTCCAGGTTCTTGGTTTCTTGAACAAAGAATTGGACAAAATGCACAAACAAAACAAGAAAAGAATGAAGCAACAAAAGCTGAGATTTATTGAAAACAAAAGTACACCCCATAGGTGTACAGGCCTGAGCATTGGGGCTCAAGGGCTCCATTACAGAATTTTCTGGGGTTTAAATACCTTCTAGAGGTTTCCATTGGTCTCTTGGTGTATATGCCCTATGTAAATGAAGATGACGAAGTAAAGTTACAAAGTCATTTACTCGGTGTATGCCCTATGTAAATGAAGAGGATATTTTCGGTAGTAGCTGAAGTGTTTCCATTTGATTTAGTTCTAGGAAGTCAGTGTGAATTGGCCTTATGTTCCCTGCCTCCAGACCTATTCTCCAGCCTCAGTTCAAATGTGTACCAGGGCTGAGAACCACTGCCCTAGAACAGGGACGTGAAGAAGCCCATCCCTTACCTTAACTCAAACTAAGTAGTAATGGAAGCTTGGAGTGATGAATGGGATTGTGAGGCTATATATGGGCTCTATGAGAAAAGTGCGGTAATTGAATCGTTATATCTGCCAAGGTTAAGGGATGTGGCAAATGTGGGATCTGTCATCCCCATCCCAAGTCTGGATTCTGCTAACCCAAATATAGGCTTTTAGAGTAGTCTAATAACTCTCTCCAGTCTCTCCTCATCCTTCAATAATAATACTTAAAAAAAACTTGCTTGCAACATCAATTGTTCTAAACCTCATTCTATGTCTTTCCTCAAATAATATTACAAATAATAGCTAATACCTTTTAAGGGCCTACTAAATGCTAGGCACTCTTCTGAGTGCTTTACATTTATTATACCATGTAACCTTACAAAAATTTTATGAGGTAAGTTACTATTAATATCTCCATTTCCATAAGCCAAGAACAGAAAGATGAATGCTGCATGTTCTCACTCATATGTGGATTCTAAAAACGTGGATCTCAGAAGTAGAGTAGGATAGTGGTTATGAGAGCTGGGGAAGGGTAGGGGGATGGGTGCAGTACCCAGAGGTTAGTTATTGGATGCAAATTTTACTGCTAGATATGAGGAACAAGTTCTAGCTTTCTTTCTTTCTTTCTTTTTTTTTGTTGAGACAGAGTCTTGCTCTGTCACCCAGGCTGGAGTGCAGTGGCACGATCTTGGCTTACTGCAACCTCCGCCTCCCGGGTTCAAGTATTCTCCTGCCTCAGCCTCCTGAGTAGCTGGGATTACAGGCATGCACCACCATGCCTGGCTAATTTTTGTATTTTTAACAGAGACGGGGTTTCACCATGTTGGTCAGGCTGGTCTCGAACTCCTGACCTCATGATCTGCCCGCTTCGGTCTCCCAAGGTGCTGCGATTACAGGCGTGAGCCACCACGCCCGGCCAGTTCTAGCTTTCTATAGCACTGTAGGGTGACTATAATTAAGAACAATTTGTTGTATGTTTCAAATAGCAAGAAGAGCAGATTTTAAATGTTACCAGTACAAAGAAATAATGAATGTTTGAGGTGATGGATATGCTAATTATCCTGATTTGATCATTATACCTTGTATACATGTATGAAAATATCACACTGTATCTCATAAATATGTACAATTACTAAATGTCAATTAAAATAATAATAAAAGCAACCTCCCCCATTTCTAATGAGGAAATTGAAGCCATGACAGTTTAATCATTTACCAAGATTACACAATTAGTTAGTGGCAGAACTGAGATTCACACCTACCTGGTCTGGCTCCAGAGCCCATGCTCTGAAATCACTAACTCAATGTAAAAACCCATTTCTACACACTTCCATTTATGTCTGTTATGGCATTACCATCTCTAATAGGGAAAAATTAGAAACACCATACTTTCCAACAATAGGGAGATGGTTAGGTATATTATGATATAGCTTTATGATGATATATAATATCCACTAAAAGGGATACTTTTCAAAGAATTTTAAAGATAGGGAAATGCACAAAATGATGTTAAGAGAAAAAGAAGTAGAATTAGACAAAGATTAAAAAAATAGATAGTGAGGGAAAGGAGGTGGGCACAGGATAAAGGAGTAGAGGGACAATGAGAAAGAAAGAAAAAGGGGAAAAGATAAAGAAATAGGGTTAAGAAGAGGTGTGTGTTGGGGGGATACAAAAAAGACAGTGAAGTAGGGACAGAGAAGGGGAAGGATAGAGATGGAAGATGAAGACAGAAAGGAGACAAAAGAGAGGGAGAGACGCCAAATCCTTCCTATGCCGCCATCCATTAGGCAGCTTTTGAATGGCTCAGGACTGGAGCAAAACGCATTTGCCAGCGCGATCCGTCTATGCTCCTGATGGGGGAAGTAGAGCCAAGTTGTGCTGAGAGTATTCCTCATTAATATCAGAGACTCCAGCCAGCCTTAATGGTCTCTGAGCTGTGTGGGCTGCAAAGGGACTGGAGAGCTAACATGTGGGTTGGGCAGACACCAGGCTGTGCTCACAGAGATGGTGCCTCCTGGGGCCAATCTGAGGTTTGATGCCTGGCCGGGGCCTGGAGGCTGCTGAGTGATCTGGAGGGCATGGAGGAGTTCTTCTGAGGTGATTGATCAAAACATGGTCAGTCCAGGTCCTCCTGGCCTGACCAGGATGACAAGCAGCCCCTGTGGGTGTGGTTAATGGTCAGAGAAAAGTGGCTTATGGTAGTTGTGTTATTTAAGAATTGGCTGGGTGCAGTGGCTCATGCCTGTAATCCTAGCACCTTCAGAGGTCAAGGTGGCCGGATCGCTTGAGCCCGGAGTTCAAGACCAGTGTGGGCGACATGATGAAACCCTGTCTCTAGAAAAAATACAAAAATTAGCTGGGCATGGTTCCTCACGCCTGTAGTCCCAGCTACTTGAGAGGCTTTGGAGGGAGGATTGCTTGAGCCTATGAGGTCAGGGCTGCAGTGAGCTGTGTTTGCTCCACTGCATTCCAACCTGAGCAATAGAGCAAGACCTTGTCTCAAACAAAACAAAACAAAAAAGAATTGGTCAGTTCTTCATGTTCTTTTGGTCAGTAACAAACACTGACCCTTGCCTGAATCCCACCTGTCCTCAAAAATCTCACAATCCAGTTAGTGGGAGGTGACAATCAAATAAATTACGAATAAGACTAAAATATGTCCTTAAAGAGATAAATGCTGCAGCTTCTTCCAAATGTCAGGGATTCAATGAAGATTTATTGAATAAATGCATGAATGAATGAATAAATGTTAATCTTATGTATCCAATAGGATTATTTATGAACAAATTCTTTGCATAGATTGGTAGCTGCCCAGTATGGTTTTTCTTTTTCTTTTTTTTTTTTTTTTTTGAGACGGAGTCTCGCTCTGTTGCTCAGGCTGGAGTGCAGCGGCACAATCTCAGCTCACTGCAAGCTCTGCCTCCCAGGTTCACACCATTCTACCTCAGCCTCCCGAGTAGCTGGGACTACAGATGCCTGCCACCACGCCCAGCTGATTTTGTTTTTGTATTTTTAGTAGAGACGGGGTTTCACTGTGTTAGCCAAGATGGTCTCGATCTCCTGACCTTGTCATCTGCCCGCCTCGGCCTCTCAAAGTGCTGGGATTACAGGCGTGAGCCACCGCGCCCGACCCCAGTACAGTTTTTCTAAGTGAATGGCTGATTACATTTCACTGCAGAGAAAAATGCAAATACTCCTCAGGGAAGGAGCACTCCAGGCTGCTGTCACATACTGGTACTTTAGTATGAACTTAATTATGTAGTCTATTTTTGCTGGTATTTACAAATCATATTAGCTAGCGTTCTTCAATCTCCTATACATTCTATGAGATGGGTAGGGCTGGAATAATCATCAGTCATTATCTGCATTTACAGATGAAGAAATTGAGGGCCAGACAGGCTGGGTGTTACGCCCAACTGAAGTACTAAAGCCATGTACGTTAGTACATGAAGTACTAAAGAATGTAGGGCTCCTGATACCGAATCCAGTTCCTGTTCCCCTGTGCCATATGACTACCCTCAGGCTAGGTAATGGCCAGTGGAGAGAGCAGCTGAGGGTTTTGTGGGAAAGGATTGATGTTGGTGGAGGTGGGAACCACGTACCAGGACCAATGTAGTAGCTTTATAAAACTATTTCACCTAACTATCACAACCACCTCATGAGATGAAAATTATTATCCCATTTTAAAGTCAAAGAAATACAGAATCAAAAAAAGGTCAGAGCCAGGATTCAAGCCAGATCTGTTGCACTTCAAAGCTCACACTCTTTCCATTGCATCATGGTAATTTGCAATAATTTTGGAGAGAGAAAAGCAAAGTGATAACATCAAAGTTTCTGAGACCCTTCCAGCAAGTCACGATTGCTCTGGGGTGGGGTGGGAGTGCCAGGGTAGAGATTGTGCATCTTCAGGCCTCAGGGACACTGGGATTTCTTCCCTGTGGGGCAAACACACTGGATTTTATCTGGCTTTTTTTTTTTTTCCTCCCAGAGATAGGAAGAGTGAAAGGTCCTCATTAGTTGGGGTAGCTGGGCTTCCAGGCAAATTCAGGGACAAACTAACTAATTAAGTTTAAGTTGGACAGGAAAGGGGAGAGGTTCTAAGGGAAAGGAAAATCTTTGCCCATAATTATCAAGGTAGATTTCTACTTCATGCCTGCAATAAATCTCTCTCTCTCTATATATATACCAATACCTAATCTACATATATTTAATTTGTTCTATTTTTCTGGAGAACCCTGGCTGACAAACCTAGGTCCCATTCCATCTTTACTAATTAATAATCTGTGAACTTGGACACATGTCTTAACTTCCCTGATTCTTAATTTCTTGATCTGTAACAGAGATATAAACAATGCCCTTTTTTAAGCAATAGAGATGGGGTCTCGCTATGTTGCCCAGGCTGGTCTTGAACTCCTGGGCTCAAACTTGATCCTCCCTCCTCATCCTCTCAAAATGCTAGGATTACAGGCATGAGCCACCATACCCGGCCCAAGAATATAAATATATATATTTTTAATGAGACGGAGCCTAGTCTCACTCTGTCTCACCCAGGCTGGAGTGAAATGACATGATCTCAGCTCACTGAAATCTCTGCCTCCAGGGTTAAAGTGATTCTCCTGCCTCAGCCTCCCAAGTAGCTAGGATTACAGGCATGCGCCACCATGCCTGGCTAATTTTGTATTTTTTTAGTAGAGATGAGGTTTCACCATGTTGGTCAGGCTGGTCTCGAACTCCTGACCTCAGGTGATCCACCTGCCTCGGCCTCCCAAAGTGCTGGGATTACAGGCATGAGCCACCATACCCTGCCAACAATATCTACTTTTTTAAAAATCTCTTCTTCTCTCACCTGTGTATACAGCTCCCTTGTCTGCTTTCCTGTGCCTGTGAAAGGGTGCCTGAGGGGTGAGGCATCAGAGAAGCTACAAACTGATTATTACCTCCCACCTTTTGTACGTGTTCCATCCTGACCTGTTCTTCCTCTGTGGACAGCCCTTCCAGCCCCTCCAGTGTCTGTGCCCAGTGGAACCTGTGGGAGCAACTCTGCAGCCCCAACCCCCAAAGGGATGAGAACTGGGCAGCCCTCTTTCCACTGAATGCTGCTGCTTCTAATCAGGCTTCCCTTCCTAGTTTCAACGGCCCCTCTGCCTTTGCTGTCCTTACATTTGAACATTACCAGCCTCCCACCATTCTTGGGGTATCACCCTCTCTCATTCAGACCCTCTCTCATGTTATTTTAGCATTATGTTATCTGCCCTATGGTTTTCTTTTTAACTCTTTTTTTGTACTGATACAGGAGATAGAAGGAAATTATTTGGGTAGATAGGGCAAAAGAGTCCCCGGCAAAACTTTTCTTCTAACAAAAAGCAGCTTGAGAAATTACTTCCTTTCTAACCACTCGCAGTTCAAAGAAATCACTTCTCTTCTAATAAAGACCAGCCTGGAAGATCGGGCTGTAAAACATAGATAAACAACTCTGGCATAAAGGGAGAGCTTCCAGGGTAATCACCAAACTTCACATACATATGATTGATCCCAGTAAAAACAGTGGGCCTTAATGAGCACATTCCTTTCCCTTTTTGAGCACACTAAGATAGGGAAGCTGGAAGCTTGCATGGTGGGGCAGATGCCTACAGCTGCAAGGAGGTACCTAGGACCAGGCATGGAAACTCCCCCTCCCCTTTTTAGCACATGCATGGTGGGAAGGAGATAAGCAACATGGAATAGTCCAAGGTAAGAACCAGCCTGCATGATAAAAGAGTGGGGTGGGGCTGCCAGAGGTTTCACTCCATGCAGATGGCGCACCTGGTCCTAACTGGTTTTTCATGCCCTATGAGATAAAGTACCCTCTCCCTACTAGCTCACTTATAAAAACCCTTACATTTTACTGCAGTACAGCAACCCATTTGGGGCCCTTCTCCGAAGCAGAGAGCTATTCTTTTCCTTTCACCTATTAAACTTCTGCTTTAACCTCACCCTTTGTGTGTCCACATCCTTGATCTCCATAGCTGTGGGACAAAGAACCTTGGGTGTTATCCCAGACAACGAGGCTGCATCTGTACCACTGTCTTTGTAAATTCAATTGATGACACATTTAAACATGACACACACAGAAAAATGCATAAAATATAGACATACAATTTGATAAACAATAAACACAAATGTATAAGTTACATAATTATGAAACAAATACCTATATTGCCATTGTCCAGGTCAAGAAATAGAATGTCTCCAGTGCCCCAGAGGTCCCCTTCAGATTCCAATCCCTTCCCTGACCCAGAAGTATTCATAATTGTGATTTGTATGGTAACTATTTTCTTGCTTTTCTTTGTGGTTTTAAGGTCTATTTATGCATTCCTAAGCTCCATAGTTTCACTGCACTTGTTTTATATCAATGGAATTATATTTTTGTGATTTTTGCTTATGATGTTTTTGCATATGTGATTTTTTATGTATTTGTGTATGTTTATATCTTGCTTCTTTAGCTCAGTATTACGTTTGTAAGATTCTTCTATAGGGTTTTAAGTAGCTATAGTTCATTCATTTTTGATGCTATATAGGTAGACTCTCTTTATATCAGGAGTGGCTAAACTATGGCCCATGGGCCAAATCCAGCCAGTGGGCTGTTTTTGTATGGCCTGTGAACTAAGAATGTTTTTTACAATTATAAAATTTTAAAACAAACAACTCTCCACTGCTGCCCCCTAAAAAAGGCCAAAATATGAGGCAGACTACATATGACCCGAAATCCTATATCCTATTATCTGGCCCTTCATAAGAAAAGTTTTTCAACCCTGGCTGTATATGAATACACCATAATTTACTTATTTGCTGCCTTCTTGATGGGAATTTGAGTGGTCTGCAGTTTTTTGAGTACTGAGAAATGTTGCTGTGAACATTCTTTTTTCTAACAAAAGCTACTTCAGGCTGGAGGTCTGAACATTTTTGTACATGTTTTCTAGCACACATGTACCTGTATTTTGTAGGGTATATACTTAGAAATAAAAATTCTAGATCACTTAATATATGCATATTCAAATTTAGTAGACAACCCCAAACAGTTTTCCAAAGCAGTTGTACAAATCATAAATCATACTCCCAACAGCAGTGTGTGAGAGTTTCAGTTGCTCTATATCCTCACTAACACTTAATATTATCAACTTTAAAAATGTTTGCTTTTTTTTTGAGTTGGAGTCTTGCTCTGTCACCCAGGCTGGAATACAGTGGCATGATCTCGGCTCACTACCACTGCAACCTTTGCCTCCCGGGTTCAAGTGAGTCTCCTGTTTTAGCCTCCTGAGTAGCTGGGATTACAGGTGCACTTCAACATGCCTGGCTAATTTTTGTATTTTTAGTAGAGAGAGGGTTTCGCCATGTTGGCCAGACTGGTCTTGAACTCCTGACCTCAAGTGATCTGCCCGCCTTGGCCTCCCAAAGTGCTGGGATTACAGATGTAAGCCACCGTGCCTGGCCAAATGTTTGGTTTTTATATACTGTTATATCATCGTGGTTCTAATTTAGCATTTCCCTGCAACCAAGAAAGGTTGTGGGACATTTATATTTCTTTCTTCCTTTTTTTTTTTTGTAAAGTACTGGTTCAGTTCTAATATCTTTCCTATTTTTCTATTGGTATGTCCATTTTTCTTACTGATTTGAAGAAGTTCCTTATATATTTTGGATATGAATTTTTAATCAGTTATAAGTATTGTGAATATAAGTTTGCCTTTTCACTCTCTTAATGGTGAAGACTTGATGAGCAGAACTTCTTAATTTTAATGTAGTAAAAATTTATTGATATTTTCTTGAACAGTTAGTTCATTTGGTAATTTTTTTTGTTTGTTTTGAGACATAGTCTCGCTCTGTCACTCAGGGTAGAGTGCAGTGGCGTGATGTCAGCTCACTGCAACCTCCACCTCCCAGGTTCAAGCAATTCTCTTCCTCAGCCTCCCAAGTAGCTGGGATTACAGGCGCCACCACCATGCCCAGCTAATTTTTTTGTATTTTTAATAGAGATGGGGTTTCACCATCTTGCCCAGGCTGTTCTTGAACTTGTGATCCATCCACCTCAGCCTCCCAAAGAGCTAGGATTACAGGGGTGAGCCACCGCGCCCAGCCATTTGGTAACTGTTTAAGAAAACTATCTTCTCCAAGCTCATGAAAATATTCTCCCATTTTATCTTCTGAAGGCTTTATAGTTCTTTTCTTTTCTTTCCTTTTCTTTCATTCATTTTTTTTTTTTTTTTTTTTGACAGAGTCTTGCTTTGCTGCCCATGCTGGAGTGCAGTGGTGCTATCTTGGCTCACTGCAACCTGTGCCTCCTGGGTTCAAATGATTCTCCTGCCTCAGCCTCCCAAGTAGCTGAAACTACAAGTGCATGCCACTATGCCCAGCTAATTTTTGTATTTTTAGTAGGGACAGGTTTCACCATGTTGTCCGGGCTGGTCTCGAACTCCTGACCTCAAATGATCCATCTGCCTTGGCCTCCCAAAGTGCTGGGATTATAGGCATGAGCCACTGAGCCTGGCCTAGTTTTGCCTTTTCTGTTAAGTACTGGATACCTGGAATTGATTTCTGTTTAACCCATATGGATAGCAAATTGTCCCAGCAGCACTTATTTAAAAACCGTTCTTTCCCATTGCCCTGCAGTGCTGCCTCTATTATGTATCAAGTGTTCATATAATGCAAAGTTCTCTTTCTGGACTCTATTGTATTGGTCTGTTGATCTATGTACCAATCCATTCTGTTTAAAATATTGTAACTTTATATCAAGTCTTGACATTTGACAGTGCCAGTCCTACATTTTTCTTCTTTTTCTTCCTCCTCCTTCTTTTTCTTCTTCTTCTGGTGCATCTTGGCTATTCTTTGTCCTTTGCATCTTCACATAAATTTGGGGATCATCTTTTCAAATGCCACTAAAAACTGATTAGCATTTTGACTCGAATTGCATTGATTTTATAAATGATTTGGGAGAATTGGCATGTTTACAATACTGAGTCTTCCAATTTATGAACATAGTATATCTCTTAATTTAAGTAAGCTGTCTTTAATATCTCTCAATATGTTTTACAACTTTCACCATTAAGATCTGCACAATTTTGTCATACTTATTCCTAGGTACTTCATATTTTTTTTGAAGATGCTAAAAAGGTAGAGTCTGTTTGCCACAGATACATAAAATTTTTCTGTGTAACTTTGATTATTCGTGAAATGAAAAAGACTCTTTGATAAAACCTCTGCATTTACCTCACCTTCCTCTCATTTACCTGGGTCAGTGATGGCTCACCAGCAAGACAGAGGCATGTTTTTCCTTGATGGAGGGTACCCTTCTATGGACTAATAACAGCAATAACCAAAACTTGATCAGCACTTTATTTTTTAAATTTCTTTTCCATATTTCATTTCAATAGCATGATCAGCAGTTTAAAAAGTGTTTCCCTTTCCTGTATATCATATGGGCAGAAAAAAAGCAAAGTTTCCTACATTAGTATCTTATTTAATCCTTATAACTATCTTGAAAATAGACATTTTAATTTCCATCTTACTAGTGAGGAAACAGTTTCAGGGAGCTAAAAAGGCTTGCTCATTCTGTCAATGGATAAACACATAAAGAAAATTTGGCATATATACACAATGAAATACTATTGTGCCTGCCTTGAAAAAGAAGAAAATTCTGCTATTTGAGACAACATGGATGGACCTGGAGGACATTATGCTAAGTGAACTAAGGCACAGAAGGACAAATACTGCGGATCTTACTTATATGTGGAATCTAAAACAATCAAACACATAGAAGCAGAGAGTAGAATGGGGATTACCAGCAACTTGGGGGTAGGGAATGGGGAGATGTTAGTCAAAGAGTACAAAAGTTTAGTTAGACAGAAGGAATAAGTGTTTGGATATCCATGGCACAGTGTTGTGACTATCATTAGTAATAATGTATTCCATATTTCAAACTTGTTATGAGAGTGAATTTCAAATGTTCTCATCACAAAACATGGTAAGTATTTGAGGTCATAGATATATTAATTAGCTTAATTTAATTATTCCACACTGTATACATATATCAAAACATCACTTTGTACTCCATGAATATAAACAACTGTAATTTGTTGATTTACAGTAAAAAAAAAAAAAAGACTTGCTCAAGTTTGCATGGCTTTATTTAGCTCCAGTTCAGAACTATTGACTTCAGTCTGTTCTCTTTACCTGACCCACATTTGCCTCACCACCTGGCACCTTTGAAGGTGTGGGTTTTTGTAGTGCTTCGTGCAGTGTTTTGTAGTGCCGGATCAGATTAATATTTGGGGAGCTAGAGAGTAGACCTAGAAGAAAAACAGTCTACAGGGACTAGATTTTTTCTATTTTCTACCTAACAGGATACTATACTCACTTGTCTTTTTAGGGGAACCATAATTCAGTCAACAGATCTCAGTTCCCACTAAATTTGCTTTCGATACAGGCTTTCTGTTTAGAAATGAGTGCCAGTCCTAATGAACAGTGATATTTTTTTTTCTTATTAGACCAGAAGAAACTTGAGGGCATATATTTATAGTCATGGTGCCTGTTACAATGTTTTGGCAAAAAGTGTTTGCTGAATGAGTGCATTTTTCTGCTACGTATACAATCTAGAAGCTTATCTTCCAAGAGCTAACTATTTAATACCTTGAAGACTCAACAGGGGGTGCTCCAAGACTGCCTAGTGTAGTTCACACTTGGTGAAAAAGAATGCTGTTCACCTGCCAAGGAGCTGAAATCTGTGCGTTTTGGTTTAAAACAGGAGCAAGAAGGAGAAGGGGGAGGGAGATGAGAAAAACCTTTGGTTTTGGCATTCTTTTCATTCACAGTTGAGCCATAGTATGAGATCCTCTGTGGTTTTACTTAGGCATTTATGATTCCCTCAGATTTGAGGAGCATTTTCTAGCTCCTCTAGGGCAGAGCTCTCCTATTTTACTTTGTACTCCATACAAGAATTGATAAATTCTGGTTGAACTGAGACAGCTAGCTCTATCTGGAAGCCTGACCCCCATAAACTCTTCCCTGAATTAAGTTTCCTCCTCCTCCATTCCCTTTCTTGGTTGATGGTGTCTGCCGGCCCCAGCATTAGAGTTAAAACTTCAGAGCCACCCTGCTGCTCAGCAATTTCTCCATGAGTCCAGTTGGCATCTAGTCCCATTACCTGCAGTAGTTGTTTTAAACCTTCACTTCTCAATCCTCCCTCCTCCCTCTTTGCTCATCCCACCCCGCTGTTTCAGGAGGTGACTCTCTACTCTCTGAGCCCCAATTCACGTTTCAAGTGGAAAGCGCCTTGTGGAGTCTCCCTCAGCTTTCTAAGTGCACCTTTGGACCACTCCATACTCCCATTTGTCCTCTGTTTCCCTCCCCGTGATCCTGGAAGAGGTATCTTAGATTGTAGTCAACATGAATCCTACCCCTGTCTGGTCTTCCATTTATTTGTTCATTTATTCACCCATTCTTCAAACATTTATTAATCACTGCTATGTGATAGGTTCTGGGAATACAACAGTGAGTACAACTAACAAGGTCTACTAGGAGAGACAGCTGTTAATTGAATAACCAACCTACTGGATGAAGTGGGGTCAATGTTCTCATGCTGTGCTAAGTTGTACTGAGATAATGCAGCTTTTGTTGTTGTTGTTGTTTTTGAGATGGAGTCCCGCTCTGTCACCTAGGCTGGAGTGCAGTGGCGCAATCTCGGCTTACTGCAACTTCTGCCTCCAGGGTTCAAGGGATTCTCTTGCCTCAGCCTCCTGAGTAGCTAGGATTATAGGCACACATCACCATGCCCAACTAAATTTTTTTTTGGATTTTTAGTAGAGATGGGGTTTTGCCATTTTGGCCAGGCTGGTCTCAAACTGCTGACCTCAAATGGTCTGCCTGTCTCAGCCTCCCAGTTGCTGGGATTACAAGCATGAGCCACCGCGCCCGGCCAACACAGCTTCTTAGTTCCTATAACTGATATTTCTTCCTCAAAAGCCATTCTTCCTCACAAGCCAGTTAATAGTATCTCAGGCTCAGAGTAAGGATTCAGACTAAACACACCTGGGGAGGCAATCCCTCTGATAAATCACCTGTACCTGATGGGAAGGGGCCCTGCTTGATCCCTAAAGAAGAGCTTTGCAGGGCACAGTGGCAGGAGGGCTCACCAACAGGCTGGCAGTTCTGATTTCTCATGTTATGCTGTCCCTGTGTCTGTGTGTCAGCGCCCCCCATGGCCTGTGTGGGGGGATCAGAGCATACCTGGGTGGGTCAGGGTTGTGGACATGCAGTACCCACAGAAGGACATGGAGAGGATTCTGGGAACAAGAGGAGGCAGGACCTGGTGGGTTTCTGGGACAGGTCCATGCCCAGGGTTATTAAGTCCTAGGTTCTATTATATGAAAATCAGGTTAAGATGAAAGCTAAGTGGGTCAAAACGGAGGGAACTTGAGGTGTGAGGAGTTTCTGAGCAGACACTGGGAAGGTGAGGCCTGGATGAAGGTCCTGAGCTGGAAGAATAAGAATCTGCTGGCTGGACGTGGTGGCTCACACCTGTAATCCCAGCACTTTGGGAGGCCAGGCAGGTGGATCATTTGAGGTCAGGAGTTCGAGACCAGCCTGGCCAACATGGTGAAACCCCATCCCTACTAAAACAGAAAAATTAGCCGGGTGTAGTGGCAGGTGCCTGTAATCCCAGCTACCTGGGAGGCCGAGGCAGGAGAATCGCTTGAGCCCGGGAGGTGGAAGTTGCAGCGAGCTGAGATCATGCCACTGCACTTCAGTCTGGGTGACAAGAGTGAAACTTCATGTGAAAAAAAAAAAAAATCTGTTTCATAGCTCTTCAGTCACCTGTCACTCACTCATATCTGAAATTCCACCATTAGCCCCTTACTCTTCTGACTCAAGGTTTCAGCCTATATCAAAAGGGAAATAGTGTCTCAGGGAAGGGACATGGAGCTCCTCTCACCTCTTCTATCCCTACCATCAGATTCAAATAGCAGCTGCTGGTAGTTTGTATTTCTCTGGGATCAGTGGTGATATTCCCTTTATAGTTTTTTATTGTGTCTATTTGATTCTTTCTTTATTAGTCTTGCTAGCGGTCTATTTTGTTAATCTTTACAAAAAACCACCTCCTGCATTCATTGATTTATTTGAAGGGGTTTTCTTGTCTCTATCTCCTTCAGTTCTGCTCTGATCTTAGTTATTTCTTGTCTTCTGCTAGCTTTTGAATTTGTTTGCTCTTGCTTCTCTAGTTCTTCTAGTTGTGATGTTAAGGTGTTGATTTTAGATCTTTCCTGCTTTCTCCGATGGGCATTTAGTGCTATACATTTCCCTCTACACACTGCTTTAGCTGTGTCCCAGGGATTCTGGTACATTGTGCCTTTGTTCTCATTGGTTTCAAATAACTTATTTATTTGTGCCTTAATTTCATTATTTACCCAGTAGTCATTCAGGAGCAGGTTGTTCAGTTTCCATGTAGTTGTGCAATTTTGAGTGAGTTTCTTAATCCTGAGTTCTAATTTGATTGCACTGTGGTCTGAGAGACTGTTTGTTATGATTTCTGTTCTTTTGCATTTACTGAGGAGTGTTTTACTTCCAATTATGTGGTCGATTTTAGAATAAGTGCGATGTGGTACTGAGAAGAATGTATATTCTGTTGATTTGGAGTGGAGACTTATGTATATGTCTATTAGTTCGCTTGGTCCAGAGCTGAGTTCAAGTCCTGAATATCCTTGTTAATTTTCTGTCTCATTGATCTGTCTAATATGGACAGTGGGGTGTTAAAGTCTCCCACTATTATTGTGTGGGAGTGTAAGTCTCTTTGTGGTTCTTTAAGAACTTGCTTCATGAATATGAGTGTTCCTGTATTGGGTGCATATATATTTAGGATAGTTAGCTCTTCTTGTTGCATTGATCCCTTTATCATTATGTATTACCCTTCTTTGTCTTTTTTGATCTTTGTTGGTTTAAAGTCTGTTTTATCAGAGAATACTATAAACACCTCTCTGCAAATAAACTAGAAAATCTAGAAGACATGGATAAATTCCTGGACACATATACCCTCCCAAAACTAAACCAGGAAGAAGTCAAATCCCTGAATAGACCAGTAACAAGTTCTGAAATTGAGGCAGTAATTAATAGCCTACCAACCAAAAAAAAAAAAAAAAAAAAAGCCCAGGATCAGATGGATTCACAGTCAAATTCTACCAGAGTTACAAACAAGAGCTGGTACCATTCCTTCTGAAACCATTCCAAACAATGGAAAAAGAGAGACTCCTTCCTAACTCATTTTATGAGGCCAGCATCATCCTGATACCAAAATCTGGCAGAGACACAACAACAACAACAAAAATTTCAGGCCAATATCCCTGATGAACATCAATGTGGAAATCCTCAATAAAATATTGGCAAACTGAATCCAGCAGCACATCAAAAAGCTTATGCCCCATGATCAAGTTGGCTTTATCCCTGGGATGCAAGGCTGGTTCAGCATACACAAATCAATAATCGTAATCCATCACACAAACAGAACTAATGAGAAAAACCACATGATTATCTCAATAGATGCAGAAAAGGCCTTCGATAAAATTCAACACCCCTTCATGCTAAAAACTCTCAATAAACTAGGTATCGATGGAACATATCTGGAAATAAAAAGAGCTATTTATGACAAACCCACAGCCAATATCATACTGAATGGGCAAAAGCTGGAAGCATTCCCTTTGAAAATCGCCACAAGACAAGGATGCCCTCTCTCACCACTCCTATTCAACATTGTATTGGAAGTTCTGGCCAGGGCAATCAGGCAAGAGAAAGAAATAAAGGGTATTCAAATAGGAACAGAGAAAGTCAAATTGTCTCTGCTTGCAGATGACATGATTGTGTATTTAGAAAACCCCACTGTCTCAGCCCAAAATCTCCTTAAACTCATAAGCAACTTCAGCAAAGTCTCAGAATACAAAATCGATGTGCAAAAATCACAAGCATTCCTATACACTAATAATAGACAAACAGAGAGCCAAATCATGAGTGAACTCCCATTCACAATTGTTACATAGAGAATAAAATACCTGGGAATCCAACTTACAAGGGATGTGAAGGACCTCTTCAAAGAGAATTACAAACCACTGCTCAAGGAAATAAGAGAGGACACAAACAAATTGTAAAACATTCCATGCTCATGGATAGGAAGAATCAATATCATGAAAATGGCCATACTTCCCAAAGTAATTTATAGATTCAATGCTATCCCCATCAAGCTACCATTGACTTTTTTCACAGAATTAGAAAAAAACTACTTTAAAGTTCATATGGAGCCAAAAAAGAGCCCATATAGCAAGGACAATTCTAAGCAAAAAGAACAAAGCTGGAGGCATCATGCTACCTTACTTCAAACTATACTGCAAGGCTACAGTAACCAAAACAGCATGGTACTGGTACCAAAACAGAGATATAGACCAATGGAACAGAACAGAGGCCTCAGAAATAACACCACGCATCTACAACTATCTGATCTTTGACAAACCTGACAAAAACAAGCAATGGGGAAAGGATTCCCTATTTAATAAATAGTGTTGGGAAAACTGGCTAGCCATATGCAGAAAACTGAAACTGGACCCCTTCCTAACACCTTATACAAAAATTAACTCAAGATGGATTAAAGACTTAAACAAGAGACCTAAAACCATAAAAACCCTAGAGGAAAACCTAGGCAATACCATTCAGGACATAGGCATGGGCAAAGACTTCATGAATAAAACACCAAAAGCAATGGCAACAAAAGCCAAAAATAGACAAATGGGATCTGATTAAACTAAAGAGCTTCTGCACAGCAAAAGAAACTAGCATCAGAGTGAACAGGCAACCTTCAGAATGGGAGAAAATTTTTGCAATATATCCATCTGACAAAGGGCTAATATCCAGAATCTACAAAGAACTTAAGCAAATTTACAAGAAAAAAACAACCCCATCAAAAAGTGGGCAAAGGATATGAACAGACACTTCTCAAAAGAAGACATTTATATGGCCAACAAACATATGGAAAAAGCTCATCATCACTAGTCATCAGAGAAATGCAAATAAAAACCACAATGAGATACCATCTCATGCCAGTTAGAATGGCAATCATTAAAAAGTCAGGAAACAACAGATGCTGGAGAGGATATGGAGAAATAGGAATGCTTTTACACCGTTGGTGGGAGTGTAAATTAGCTCAACCTTTGTGGAAGACAGTGTGGCGATTTCTCAAGGATCTAGAACCAGAAATACCATTCAAACCAGCAATCCCATTACTGGGTATATACCCACATTATTATAAATCATTCCACTGTAAAGACACATGCACACGTATGTTTATTGCAGCATCGTTCAGAATAGCAAAGACTTGGAAGCAACCCAAATGCCCATCAATGATAGACTGGATAAAGAAAATGTGGCACATATACACCATGGAATGCTATGCAGCCATAAAAAAGGATGAGTTCATGTCCTTTGTAGGAACATGGATGAAGCTGGAAACCATCATTCTCAGGAAATTATCACAGGAACAGAAAACCAAACACCGCATGTTCTCACTCATAGGTGGGAGCTGAACAATGAGGACACATGGACACAGGGAGGGGAACATTACACACTGGGGCCTGCCAGGGGATGGGGGGCTAGGGGACGGATAACATTAGGAGAAAGATCTAATGTAGATGATGGGTTGACGGGTGCAGCAAACCACCATGTCATGTGTATACCTATGTAACAAACCTGTACATTCTGCACATGTATTCCAGGACTTAAAGTATAATAAAAAAAGAAAAAAAGTTAAAAATAGAACCACTGTATAATCCAACAATTCCACACTGGACATATACCACCCCCCAAAAATTGAAAGCAGGGTCTTGAAGATATATTTGTATATCTTTGTTCATTGCAGTATTATTCACAATAGCCAAAGGGTGGAAGCAATCCAAGTGTTCATCAATGATTGAACGGATAAACAAAAATGTGGTATGTATATATAAATATATGTAAATACACACAGAAGCACACACACATTTGCACACACACATGCGCACACAATGGAATTAATAAGCATTGAAAGACAACAATGTATTATTCAGCCTTAAAAAGGAAGGAAATGTGACACATGCTACAACATGGATAAAACTTGAGGGCATTTTGCTAAGTGAACTAGGCTAGAAACAAAAAGACAAATACTGTATGATTCCACTTATGTGAAATACCTAGAGTAGTCAAATTCATAGAGGCAGAAAGTAGAATGGCAGCTGCCAGGGGCTGTGGAGATGAAGGAATGAGTTGTTATTTAATGGGTACAGAGTTTCAGTTTTGCCAGATGAAAAGAGGTCTGGAGATGGCACAGCAGGGTGAATGTACTTAGCACTACTGAACTGTAAGGGCTTTACACTTAAAACTGGCTGAAATGATAAGCATAGTTTTATGTTATATGTGTTTTACCACAATTGAAGAAAAGAATTTCAAATTAAAGATAATTTGAAAAAATAGTTTAATGGACATTTATATGCCCTTCCACTGGATTCATCAATTATTTTGTGTTATCCACTCCCAAATATTTTTATTTGTTGCTAAAACATTGGAATGCAAGTTGTAAATATCATGGCACTTTCCCTTTAAGTACTATAGCTGGTATCTCCCCCAGACAGGGATATTCTGCATAATCTACATCACATTCAAGACATTTAATACTGGCGTGTGTGTAATAACAGTAGTATTATCTAATCTATAATCCATGTTTAGAATTTCCCAGTTTTTCCAATAATAATCTTTGTACTTTTTTTTGTTGGATCAATTTTAGTTAAGTGATTTTTTTGACAAGTATTTATTGAGTACCTTATGTGTACTAGGCACTGTTCTATTTTTCACTGTTTACCAGTGAATAAGATTGGTAAAAATCCCTGCCTTCATGTCTAGCTTATATTCTAGAGCTATAGAGAGAGACAGAGAGTGGCTCAGGAGACAGTAGAGAGTAGAGGAAGACAGCAAACAAAATACATGAGGAAATGGTATGTGGGACTAAATACATGAAGTACCATGGTGAGAGAGAAGAACATGGCTGGCAAAGGGATTGGGGTACATGAAAAGGCAGGAGGAAGCTGAAGTTTTAAATAGGTGGTCATGTGCCAGGCGAGATGCCTGAGCATAGGCATGGAGAGGCCAGGGAGCAACCAATGTCTATTGGGGCAAGAACTTGCAGGCAGAGGAAACAGAAGGATGAACGCCCTGAGGCGGGAGCAGAGCTTGCATGAGTAAGACTGGCAAAAAGGCTGATATGGGGAAGAGCGGGAGGGAAGGTCAGAATGCAGGGGCCAGGCTTAGAGGCGAGTGGGGCTCTGGTTTTCACTCCTAGTGAAATGGAAGCCTTTGGAGGGTTCCCAGCAGAAGAGGAAAATGGTCCAACATACATACCAAAAATAAATATATTTATTTATTTATTATATATATATTTATATAGAATATATTTTTATTTTATATATTTATTATATATACATATACAGTATTATACATTTTATAATATATATTACAATTCTCTGCTTTGGGCTAATGTATATTTATATAATATTTGTATGTAATATAAATATATATTTATACTTTATATAATATAAACATATATATGAACATATTTATATTATATAAATATAAGAGAGAGAGAGAGTCTTGTTCTGTTGCCCAGGCTGGAGTGCAGTGGGGCAATCTCAGCTCACTGCAACCTCTGTCTCCTGGGTTCAAGCGATTCTCCTGTCCAGCTGAGTAGCTGGGACTACAGGTGCACGCCACCACGCCCAGCTATAAATTTCCATCTGTATTCCAGATTCTGACTTCTGGGCTCCAGTACCCAAAGTCCAGCGGACATCTTCACATCTACACCTGGGTGCTCTGCAGGCACCTCAAAGTGAACAGTGCCAACTGAATCAGCATCTCTGCTGCACCCTGCACCTGCACCTCCTCCTGGGCTTCCTATTCTGAAAATACAGACTTAATTGCGTATTTCCACAGCTCACCACTCTCCACCGATGCCCCTGTATAAAATTCCTTATCTTGGCTCTTGCCACTCACTCCTCCTCATGCATACTGGTGTCAACTGTAAAGGACTCGGTGGAGTTCCTCCCACCCAGGCTGTCTCTCACCTCTGGAAAGCTGGACCTTTGCCTATTGTTACCTCAGATACAATGTTTTCTTTCCCCATGAAGAGCCTGACCTACTCATGCTCTTCTCCCGAAGCTTCCAAGACAAGCTTAGTGCCTCTGCTAGGTGCTCCTGTGGTGTGAGTGACAGGAACAAAAGGCAAGAGCAAAGGGGGAGCCACAGAGAGATGTGCATGCTCATCACAGGGAGGAGCTGCTGTGCAGGTAATCTGTTTGCTCAGACTGACTTTGGGAACCATGTCAGTGACTCTCCTGAAATGAACACCTTGGAGAGACCCAGGCAGCTGGGTCATACGTCCCAGGCAGCTGGGGCAGACGGGTCCGAAACGTCCTGTTGATCACTGGCCACATGAATCCTAAGGGGCAATGCCCCAATTAATGAGAAGATCCTGCCTTCATGCTCTCTCTCAACAGGCCACTTTCTGTTTTTAAGAGCCTGGGCTAAGAGTGATCAATTCCATTAGCCCTTAGAGGTGGCATCACAAAAGCATCTTTGGTTCTCTCTCAAAGCCCGATCCTTCAGAGAGGAGGGCACCCAAGAATAGGGTAATCTCAGTCCTGACCCGGGACAGGAATTGCTTCCTTTGCCACTGGTTTATGTGTGACCCCAAATAATTCACTCCTACTCGCCCTGTAGGCCTTTATTCACTTGTAAAATGGGTATAATAATTTTTATCTACCTCAGAGGTGCACTGGGAGGTATAATTAATGGTGGTTAAAGCACTTTGAGAGGCACAGATGAAAGGCCTTCTATAAACACACATCATTATTATGATTAATGGTATTTTTCTTCTTCGAACACACTGGGAGGCAGCCCTTTTGGCTTAAGTCCTTTAATCACCTCTCAGCTCCTCAATCACACAAGAGACATTACAGCCTCCAGGCTGGCCACACAGTAAACCTTTAAAGCCCTGAAAATGTACAGCCATCCTGAAAGTGATTTTAATCTCTGTCTTACCCCTCTCTTTTGACATTCTTCCAAAATGATCTGACTTGAAAAGTGGCAGTTTTTATATATTATGAATAATCTGTTTAATTCGAAGCATTTCACCAGTTTTGAAGGGAGGGGAGAACAGTGTTCATCATCATTAATTAATATGTACTGACTATCCCCAGCACCAGCTCTTGCTTTTCCCAGACCACAGAGAAAACCCAGACATCTGTGTATCAGTGCGGGACTGATTTCCCAAGGTAGAACCAAAGTGACTCATTTTGGGGCAAAGCTAAGACCCAACTGGGTCCTGAGGTTCCTGAGAGCCCAGATCCCTGCTCCTGAAAAGGGACCTGATTTGTGGTTCCCATTCAGACCCCTCCAGCTCATCTCACAGAGTGCAGTGTTTAGTGCAGGCTTTGATTATGAGTGATGACCCACATGGCTTCCCAGGTGGAGCCTGCCAGAGGGACGTGTCAGCCTGGGCTGCCCTCCTGGAGGCTCATTCCCACCTGCTTCTTATCTATGTGGCCTTGGGCAGGTTACACAACCACTCTGTACTCCCTGAGGACAACACATGTCCCTTATAAAAAGAGAGAATGTGTAAAATTCCATCATGCCTGGCATGTAATAGGTCCTCTACACATTTTCCCTCCCTTTCCCCACAGAGGGCCTGAAGAAAGCTGTATCCACTTTTATAAAGCTGCTGGAAAATGTCCAGCTTGCCTGACCACAAGACAGGCTTCCCAGGGAGGATGCGTCCTGTTGCTGCCTCATCCGTCCAAGGGCATGACTATATATTGTGAAGTGGGGCAGATGTACCTCCCAACCCAGTAATCCAGTACTCAAGTTGGGAAGACCTGGGGCAGCTCCTGCGGTGGCCCTCCAACCCTCTGATTCCAGAATTTTCCAACCACTGTTCAGTGTTCATGACACTAATAGAAATGGAAGGCATAAAAATTAGCCAGGAGGTAGTGGTGCATGCTCATAGTCCCAGCTACTCGGGAGGCTGAGCGGGGAGGATCACTTGAGCCCAGCAGTTTGAGGCTGCAGTGAGCTATGATCATGCTACTGCACTCCAGGCTGGGCTGGAGCAAGACCTCATCTCCAAAAAAATAGAAAAGAAAGAAAGAAGAAAGCATAAAAGAGCTCAGGAATGGTGGGAATCAGCAATGTGTTGTGTAAATATCTGGAGTTTATTTATATGCGTGCACTCAGAAATGGACTTCACATCTGTATCCACAAAGACATATCAGGTGGCATCAGATACATCTGTATCCCAATTCATTATTGGGAGGATTGCTTTGTTCTTTTTCTTGATCAGAACATCCCTTGGAGTATGGAGGTCAGTTCTGGATACCATACTTTGAGAGGGATATAGACAAAACTGGAGAGAGTTGGAGCTGATGCTCAACTGGTGAAAGGAATCACAGAGCTGAGAGCTCATGGGAAGACTTGGGGAAGACAGGAACACTGTCTTTAAGTATTTGAAGGTAACTGGAAGATGGATTAGACCCAGGGGTCAAAGTAGGAGGCTGCAGAGAGAAAGATCTTGGCTCATTGGAAGGAAGACATTTTTAACTCTCTGGGCTGCCCGATGTGGAATGGACAGCCTTGGGGATGGATTCCCATGAAGTAATGTCAGATAAACAAGGCAGGGATGGTGACTGCGGGATATAGACACTGAGAAGGTATGTTGACTTAAATCCTAACATCTCTTTCAACTCTCCAAAATGTATGATTTATGATTCTGGAATCTGTCTAAATTAACAAGGCATGTATAGAACATATGGCAGCTTTCTATTAATCAGAATGTTTGCTTAATGAAACAGTCCTTGGCATTGCTTGTAATGAAGGGTTTTTTGTACCTTTTAAAGTTCTGAGTACATAAACTTCTGCTTGTACTAAATACTGCTAAACATGTGAGCTTGAGCTTTTGTATTTAGCTATTCTCCCAGGTCCTACAGAGTTGGTAAGTGGGCCACGTTGCAAACTCTTTTTAGCAATTCCACACTCCCCTTGACCACCTTGGTCACTGTAGGCAGGAGCTGCTGAAAGAGTTTGAACAAATTACATGATTTACTGATGCAGGCAACACACCTTGGAGGGAATTCACAGACCCTTTGGGAAATGCTCTAGAAGCAGGTACACCCAGCAAGCCACAAGCTAGTGGAGGCCCGAGGTTAGATGTGGGTGACATTGGATGGAGGCTATCTTGTCCACTGTAAGGTCTAACCAGCCTTCAAGGCTAAGGTACACACACCTCAGAAGTGAAGAGAGGGGTCCCATGCAAGAGAGTATCATGGTTAGAGATGTTATTCTGGAATCAGATTCCTTGGCAAATGACTTAACTTCTTTGCATGTCAGTTTCCTGATCTGTGAAATAAAGACAATAGTATTAGTACTTGGCTTATGGGATTTTTGTGAGGATTAAAGGAACTGATAGGGATGTTCCAATGTCTTAGTGTAGTTTTAAGCCATATGCCCTTCAGAAGGATAAACACACAAACTTAGAAAAAACATCATTTTAAATGAAATCAATTGAATGTAATTAAAGCACTTTAGAAAAGAGCCTAGTCCATAGTGCGATTCACACTTTAGGAAACTCTTGTGTGCTGAGAAGCCAGTCCTGAAATCTCGCAAAGGGAAGGTGTTCACTAGATAGTGTCAAGATAGTAGAAAGGAGAAAGACAGAGAAAGGATACAGAAAGGAGAAAAGAAAGATAGAGAAAGGAGATAATAAAACTAGGTTCCTGCTGGGCGCGGTTGCTCACGCCTGTAATCCCAGCACTTTGGGAGGCCAAGACGGGCGAATCACCTGAGGTCAGGAATTCGAGATGAGCCTGGCCAACATGGTGAAACCTCATCTCTACTAAAAAATACAAAAAATTAGCCGGAAGTACTTGCTGGAACCCAGGAGGCGGAGGTTAGTGAGCCAAGATTGTGCCATTGCACTCCAGACAGGGTGACAGAATGAGACTCTGAAAAAAAAAGAAAGAAAGAAAGAAAGAAAACTAGTTTCCTAGAAGTTGCTTTCAGGCAGCATTTTTTGTACTTCTCTTAAGCCAGTGGTCCTCAAACTCGAGTGTGTATCAGAGTCTCTTGGAGGGCTTATTAAAACCAGATTGTGAGGTCCAACTCCAGTGTGTCTGACTCAGTAGGGCTGAGGAGAGGCCCCTGAATTTGCCTTTCTAACAAGTTCCCAGGTGAAGTGATTGCTGATGGACTGGGGACTACATTTTGAGACCAACTGTTTTTGGGGAACAAATGGAGGAAGCTGGTCTGGTCTTCCACTCATCCTATCTTCTCTGGGGAGGGAGAAGATCAGGAGGCTGGGCCAGAGCAGGCTCTTCTCCACGCACAGGCAGGCTGTGGGTAGGCGATAACATAGGGCAAGAAACTCCCGAAGGCATGAGGCACCAATGTGGATGGCTAGTGGGAGCAAGCAACCCAGGGCCCCAGAGGTGGACCTAGCAGCAAAGATGGTGACCCTCCAAGGCAGGTTCTGGCAACACGTCTGAGAACATGCAGTTGTGATGGTTGATCTTATGGTCTAGCGAGGCCATGATACCTAGATCTTTGGTCAAACATTATTTTAGATGTTTCAATGAAGGTCTTTTTTCTTGTTGTTGTTGAGATGAGACTACCATTTGAATCAGTAGATTGCATAATGCAGATTACCTTGCATGATGTGGGTAGGCCTCATGCAATCAGTGGAAGGCCTTCAGAGAAAAAGGCATGTCCCCAGAAGAAGAGGGAATTCTGCCAGTGAACTGCCTTTGGACTTGAACCACAACTCTTCTCAGAGTCTCCAGCCTGCTGGCCTATATCATCAGATTGTGGGCTCGCTGTACCTCCACAACTGCATGAGCCAGTTCCTTAAAACAAATCTTTCTGTCCATATATAGCATCCTGTTCATTCTGCTTCTCTGGAGCACCCTGACTAATGCTATACTCCTTGGGATGTGGCCACTGGCATCTTAGGAATGCACATGAAATAACACGTGGTGTTATTTAAACTGATCTCACTTGGTGTGGGTCAAAGAAAAGAAGCTGGTGTTGTGGGGGCCACATCTCTAATGACAAAGGGACAGGCACCAGTTTGGTGTTTTTCTAACAAGTGATGCACTTTTTTATTTTTATTTTGGGATACTTACTCAGCACTTTCAGCTTCAAAGTGCTCTGCAAGAAGTAATTAAAATATCCTTACAACAGAGCAAGGAGGCAGTGGGTGTTATTACCATTTAATGTCTGGTAAGACTGAGGTGGTAAATTTGTGACACCTTTGAAGATGTGGATGGAGACCAAACCCTGGACTCCCTGACACCTAAGTCTGTGTCTCCTATCAGGCCTTGCTTCTTCTGAAGAAAGTTGCAGCATCAAAATTCTTCTTCTTTTTTTTTTTTTTTGAGACAGGGTCTCACTCTGCTGCCCAGGCTGGAGTGCAGTGGCACAGTCATAGCTCGCTACAACCTCAGCCTCCCCAGGTTCAGATGATCCTTCCACTTCAGCCTCCTAAGTAGCTGGGACTACAAGGATGAGCCACCACACCTGACTAATTTTTGTATTTTTGGTAGAGATGGGGTTTTGCCATATTGCCCAGGCTGGTCTCCAATTCCTGGGCTCAAGTGACCTCCCAAAATGCTGGGATTACAGGAGTGAGCCACCACACCTGGCCAGGAGATATTGGAAATACTCTGCATATATTACCTCATTCAGTTCTTCCAACAACCCCGTGTAGCAGATGAGATTATCAGTCACACTTCACAGACAACAAACTAAAACTCAAGAGGTTAAAACATTTTTTCAAGGTAGCACAGCTGGGAAGAGAGTGCTGGGGTTTGAACTCAGGTCTTATTTGCTCTAAATCCCATACCTGTACCACCACACTCTAATGCTTTAGATGAATACTGAGAATCCATTGGGGAGCTTCAAGGCCAATGATTCGGAGGATTAGAGATTTTGAGCACTCTTAGATTGTAATCAACACAAGGGCAAGGACCTGAGCTGGCTTGCTCACTATTGCCCAGTGCTTAGCACAGAGTCTAATGCCCACAGGCACTCGGTAAATATTTATTACATAAATGAATGAATGGAAGACTGCTTTGGAAACTTCCTGGAAAAATGCATCGAGAATAAATAAGGCAGCTTTTTCTAATTTTTAAAAAAGTTGCAAATATTTTGGTGCTCCAAGAATGAGGGAAGCCCCAAAGACATCCATGCAGGTCTACTGTAAAAATTCACACAGCCCATTTCAGTCCTCCTCTGGCCCATCTGCAAGCTTCAACCCAAATGATCTCTTCCTAAACTGAATACCAGTTTTAAAAGGATAAGAAGGGTGTTTATTGGGTTATCAACAAAGGAGAGATTGGCCAGCTTCTGTTTGCCCACCCTAGTCCTTGGGTAGAAGGCTGTTACGGGTTTTTTCATGCTTCCCTTTGCATTGGATGTGGTTTATGGGGGACTCGGTGTTAGTGGATTTTCCTGGAGAGTATTTTTTTTGGATAGGTTAGCATATTTTATCTCCCAGGAAAACTGGAGAAAGAGTATTGAGATTCAATTTGTCATGCTAACAGGATGAAATGATATGTACTATGATAGCACAGTCTATGACAAGGACCTGAACTCTTTTTATAGTGTTTCTCCCCAATTTCTGTTCATCAAAGCAGAATCACCTCTGCCCTCACCCACTTCCCCAGCTTGTAACCTGCGAATCCAGAGGCTTCTCTCTCGTTGCCTTATTCCTTCCTAAGAGCCAGGTAGCCTACCTGTTACTCATTCAGCTACATTCTCTCACTAGGTGGGGCTGACTTGAATAAAATTATTTTTGATTAATAGTGTATTTTAATTAAAGATACATTTTACTTATTTTAATTTTAATTTTTAAATTTTTTAAATTTTTTGGGATGGAGTGCAGTGGTATGATCTTGGCTCACTGCAACCTCCGCCTACTGGGTTCAAGCAATTCTCCTGCCTCAGCTTCCCGTGTAGCTGGGATTACAGGCGCATGTCACAATGCCTGACTAATTTTTGAATTTTTAGTAGAAACAGGGTTTCACCATGTTGGCCAGGCTGGTCTGGTACTTCTGACCTCAAGTGATCCTCCTGCCTCAGCCTCCCAAAGTGCTGGGATTACAGGTGTGAGCCACTGTGCCTGGCCTAAAGACACATTTTAAATTAATGAATATTTATTGTGGTAAAATATACATAAAATTTACCATTTTAACTATTTTAAGTATGCAATTCAGTAACATGAATTATATTCACATTGTTGTACAAACATTACCGCCATCTATCTCCCAAAATTTTTCATCATCCCAAATTGAAACTCTGTACCTATTAAATGGCAACTCCCCATTGCCTTCCTTCCCCAGGCCTTGGTAATCACTATTCTACTTTATGTCTCTATGAATTTGTCTTTTAGTTAATTTTTTATCTCTCTTATCTTTAGTTTTGAATGGCTACTAGTAAGTGCCAAGCCTGGGTGAATGGTTATAAAGATCGTCCATGCTCTGGGGAGATGGGACGCCTTTTTCTGTTATCCAGGAGGGAAGATTGGGTTCAGATGACAGAAGATGGAAGAGAGAAAATAAGATGCACTGAGTAACCTCTCTGAGTTAGGCCTCGGCACACACTCTCCTACAAAGGATCTAGTGTCATATATAAGGGGCTGAGGAGGAACTTAGAATGGCAGTGTGACTTGCCCAAGGTTGAAAGTACAGAGCTGGGATTTGAACTCGTGTCTGACTCCTAGTCCAGTGCTTTTCCTTTCCTCCCCCCATCCCCCACAATAACAGTTTTATTGCATAGCAGAAAATGCATTCTTTAAAATATACATTGCAGAGCTGAGCTTTGTGGTTTGTGCCTGTGATCCCAGCTATTCAGGTGGCTGAGGCAGGAGGATCACTTGAGCCTTAGAATTCAAGGCTGTGGTGAGCTATGATTGGGCTACTGCACTCCAACAACAGAGCAGACCCTGTCTCTAAAAAAAGTGAAAATGAAAAAGGATACAATTCAGTAGTTTTTAGTGTATTAATAATTTTATGCAACTATTATCACTAACTTTAGAATATTTTCCTCACCCTAAAAAAAACCCCATACTTGTTAGCAATCAATCTCCATCCCCCGAGCATCTGGCAACCTTTCTTTCTTTTTCTTTTCTTTTCTTTTCTTTCTTTCTTTCTTTCTTTCTTTCTTTCTTTCTTTCTTTCTTTCTTTCTTTCTTTCTTTCTTTTTCCTTCCTTCCTTCCTTCCTTCCTTCCTTCCTTCCTTCCTTCCTTCCTTCTTTCTTTCCTTTTCTTTTCTTTCTTTCTTTCTTTCGAGTGCTTTACTCCCTTTTATTGCTGAATAATATTTTATTGTATGAATATATCACATTTAAAAATGTATTCATCAATTGATGAACATTTGAGTTGTTTCTGCTTTTTGGCTATTAAGAATAATGCTTCTATGAACATTTGTGTACAAGTTCCTGTGTAAACATATGTTTTTATTTATCTTGCATAGATACCTAGGAGTGGAATTGCCACTTTTATTTTGAGAAACTTCCAAACTGTTTTTCAAAGTTTTCCATCAGCAGTGTGTGAAAGTCCCGATTTCTCTGAATTCTTGCTAACATTTGTCATTGTCTGTCATTTTGATTTTAGCCATCCTGGAGGATATGAAGTATTATCTCATTGCAGTTGTGATTTTTATTTCCCTAATGGTTGATGATATTGAGCATCTTTTAATATGGTAACTGGCCACTTGTATATCTTTTTTTTTTTTTTTTGAGAGAAATGTCTATTTCCTTTGCATTTTTAAAAATTGGATTATTTGTCTTTTTATTGTTGTAAGAGTTAAAGAACTGTATTTGATTTCTGGTTACAAATTCCTTATCAGATATATGATTTGCAAATATTTTCTCCCATTCTGGGGCTTGTCCTTTCACTTTCTTGACAGTGTCCTTGGAAGCACAAAATTGTTCAATTTTGATGAAGTATAATTTATTTACTTTTTCTTTTGTTGCTTGTGCTTTTGGTCCCTTATGTAGGGAGACCATTGCCTAATCCAAGGTTACAAATATTTGCTTCTATACTTTCGTCTAAAACTTCCTAGTTTTAGCTCTTACATTTAGGTCTATAATTCCTTTTGATTTAATTTTTGTATATTATGTGAGATAGGGTTCCAGGTTCATTTTTTCTCTTACAGTCATCTAGTTGTTCCAGCACCTTTCATTGAAAAATATATTCTTTTCTCATTGAATTGTCTTGGCACCCTTGTCAAAATTAATTGGCTATACAGTAAATATAAGAGTTTATTTCTGAATTGTCAATTCTATTCCATTAATCTGTGTGTGTATCCTTACGCCAAGTTATTATAATTTTGTAGTAAGTTTTAAAATTAGAAAGTGTGAGTCATCCAAGCTTGTTTTTCTTTTTCAAGATCATTTGGGGTATTCTGGGTTCCTTGTATTTTCATGTTAATTTTAGGACCAGCCTGCTAATTTCTGCAAAAAAGACAGGTGAGATTTTGATAGGGATAGTGTGGGATCTGTTAATTGATTTGGATAGCATTATCATTTTAACATTATTAAGTCTTCCAATCCATGAGCATGGGATATCTTTCCATTTATTTAGGCCTTTAATTATTATTGTTTGCTCAGGATGGTTTGGCTACTCTGGGTCTTTTGTGGTTCATATACATTTTAGGATTATTTTTTCTATTTCTTTGAAGTATGTCATTAGTATTTTTATAGGCATTGCATTGAATCTATTGATTGCTTTGGGTAGTATGAACATTTTAACAATATTGATTTTTCAAATCCCTGAACACAGAATATCTTTCTATTTGTTTGTGTCTTCTTCAATTTGTTGCATCAGTGCTTTCTAGTTTTCTTTGTGGAAATCTTTCACTTTTTAATCTCATTTGTAGCTATTGTAAATGGGATTATTTTCTTTTTCAGACTGTTTGCTATTGGCATATAGAAATTCTACTGGTTTTTGTATGTTGATTTTGTATCCTGCAAATTTACTGAATTTGTTTATCAGTTCTAATGTTTTTTTGGTGGAATCTTTAGGTTTTTCCAGATATAAGATAATATTGTCTGCAAACAAGGATAATTTACTTCTTCCTTTCTGATTTGGGTGCTCTTTCTTTCTCTTGCCTGATTGCTCTAGCTAGGACTTCCAGTATTATGTTGAATAACTGTGTTGAAAGTGGACATTCTTGTCGTGTTCCATATCTTAGAGGAAAAGCTTTCAGTTTTTCCCCATTTAGTATACTAGCTGTGGGTCTGTTGTATATGGCTTTTTTTGTGTTGAGGTATGTTTCTTCTATACACAGTTTTTTTGAGGGTTTTTATCATGAAGCAATGTTGAATTTTATCAAATGCTTTTCCAGCCTCAATTGAAGCGATCACGTTTTTTTGTCCTTTATTTTGTTGATATAATGTATCAAATTAGTTGATTTACATGTGTTGAACCACTCTTGCATTCCTGGAATAAATCCCACTTGGTCATGATGAATGATCTTTTTAATGTGTTGCTGAATTTGGTTTGCTAGTATTTCGTTGAGAATTTTTGCATCAATATTCATAGGGGATATTGGCCCATAGGTTTTCTTTTTTTCTGATGTGTCTTTGTTTGGTTTTGGTATCAGGGTAATACCGGCCCCATAGAATGAGCTTGGAAGTGTTCTCTTCTCTATTTTTCAGGACAATTTGAGTAGAATTCATATTAGTTCTTCTTTAAATGTTTGGTAAAATTCAGCATTGAAGTTATTAGGTCCTGGGTTTTTCTTTGCTGGGAGACTTTTTATTATGGCTTTGATTTCATCACTTGTTTATTAGTCTATTCAGGTTTTGGATTTCTTCATGGTTCAATCTTTGTACGATATGTGGATCTAGAAATTTATCTATTTCTTCTACGTTTTCCAATTTATTGGCACATAGTTGTTCACATTTTTTCTGATTATGTCTTTAAGGATTCTTTGAATTTTGCAGTATTGGTTGTAATGTCTTCTTTTTCATCTTTAATTTTATTTATTTGAGATTTCTCTCTTTTTTTCTTGGTCTGGCTAAAGTTTGTTGATTTTATTTATCTTTTCAAAAAACAACTTCTTGTTCTGTTGACGTTTTGTGTGTTTTTTTTGTTTCACTTTTATTTATTTGAGCTCTGATTTTTATTATTTCTTTTCTTTTACTAATTTTGGGTTTAATTTGTTCTTGCTTTTCTAGTTCTTTAAGATGCATCATTAGGTTGTTTTTTTGAAGTTTTTCTATTTTTTTTAAAGTAGATGCTTATTGCTATAAACTTTCCTTAGTACTACTTTAACTGTAACCCATAGATTTTGGTATGTTGTGTTTCCATTTTCATTTGTTTCAAGAAATTTTTTGATTTTCTTCTTAATTTCTTCATTGACCCACTGGTTATTCAGGAGCATATTGTTTAATTACTATGTATTTGTATAGTTTCCAATGTTCCTCTTGTTATTGATTTCTAGTATTATTCCACTGTGGTCAGAGAAGATACATGATATGATTTCAATTTTTAAAAAATTTCTTAAGACTTGTTTTGTGGCCTAACATAGGGTCTATCCTTGAGAATTATCCATATGCTGAGGAGAAGACTGTGTATTCTGTAGCTGCTGGATGAAATGTTCTGCAAATATCTATTAGGTCCCTTTGGTTTATAGTGGAGATTAAGCCCAATGTGTCTTTGTTGATTTTCTGTCTGGAAGAGCTGTACAATGCTGAAAGTGGGGTGATGGGGTCTCCAGCTATTATGTTTTGGGGTCTATCTCTCTCTTTAGCTGTAATAATATTTGTTTTATAGATCTGGCTGCTCCAGTGTTGGGTGAATATATAGCTATAATTGTTGTATCCTCTTGCTGAATTGACCACTTTGTCATTATATAATAATCAACTTTTTCTCTTTTTATAGTTTTTGTCTTGAAATCTAATTTTTCTGATACAAGTATAGCTACTTCTGCTATATTTTGGTTTTCATTTGCATGGAATATCTTTTTTCCATCCCTTTGTTTTCAGCCTATGTGTTTCTTTATAGGTGAAGTGTATTTCTTAAGCAACATATCATTAGGTCTTGTTTTTTTTTTAAATCTGTTTAGACTCTCTGTCTTTTGATTGAAAAGTTTTGTCTATTTGTATTCAGTATCATTATTGATAAATAAAGACTACTCCTGCCATTTTGTTTTTTGTTTTCTGGTTGTTTTGTGGTCTTCTCTTTCTTCTGTGGGCCTATAATTTTTTAAACAATATTTTGTAGTTTTCGGTGTATGATTCTTGTACTTCTTTTGTTAAATTTATCCCTAAGTGTTTCATCCTTTAGAATACTATTATAAATGAAATTGCTTTCTTAATTGTATTTTTGATTGCCCATTGCTAGAGTATAGAAATACAATTTTAAAATGTATTTTCTTGTATCCTACAATCTTGCTGAATTCAGTTAATAGTTCTAACAGTTTATTAAGGGATTACTTGGAATTTTCTATGGACAAGATAATGTCAACTGCAAATAAAGATAATTTTACTTCTTCCTTTCTAATCTGGAAGACTTTATTTCTTTTGCTTGCCTAATTGCCTTGGTTAGAACCACTTGTGCAATGTTGAATAGAAGTGGTAAAAATGGCTATCCTTGTCCTCTTCCTGACCTTAGGGGGATAGCATTCAGTCTTTTCACCATTAAGCAAGTTGTTAACCATGGGTTTTTGATAGATGCCCTTTATCAAGTTGAGGAAGTTCCCTTTATTTCTAGTTTGTTGAATATTTTTTATAATA
Source organism: Homo sapiens (assembly GCF_000001405.40). Lineage (NCBI taxonomy): Eukaryota > Metazoa > Chordata > Mammalia > Primates > Hominidae > Homo > Homo sapiens. Next base: position 93,916,752 of record NC_000011.10, read on the forward strand.
GAAGGATATTGGATTTTGTCAGATGCCTTTTCTCTATCCACTGAGATGACCATGTGTTTCTTCTTTTATTCCATTAATATGGTATATTACAGTGATTGATTTCTGGATGTTAAACCAACCCTGCATTCCTGGGATAAGTTCCATTTGGTTATGGTATATAACCCTTTTTATGTAGTTCTAGACTTGGCCAGTGCTTTTTCACCAGCCACAGCTACATCTCATAGACTCTTTCCCAAAGCAAATCTCCTGTGGTGGTACTAGATCATATCTCTGATCTAAAAACTGCTAAGTGGCAAATGATAACGAAAAACTGAACACTATTCAGCTGGATTCCTCAGGAGGCCCCAGAAGCTTGATGAGACCAGCCACAAAAGTGGCTCAGGGGAAGCACTGAGATGCTGCTGCTATTTCTCTTCCAGTGTGTAAGAGAGCCATGTTCATGAATTGCATTTGAGTTTAGTGAGCCAGTGTTCCAAATCTCCTATATCAATCCTATTTTCAAATTTCTGTAGTCTGAAATCAGACTACATGCCCTGTTTTTTAGCCTAGAAAACAGGTTCTCTGTTTGTCATTGTAGCCAGGCTGTCTAGATCTCAAGCCCAAATCACAGCAACATTCTGTAATGTGGATCATTATCCATGCTATGACTTGGGGAAGGGTCTAGCTTAAAGCAGATTCCCCCACTTCAGACTCTCAATTTTTCTACCTGGTTCTGCTTATCTGTTTTGTTTGCTTTTTAAATAATACAAATAATTCAAGAGAAAAGACTCAGAAACCAAAGGGATAAAAATTTATTATAGCCAATTTCTGCTGCATATTAATGACTCCAATTATAGCACACGGCCAAAGATACATCTGCAGTAAAGGGGGAAAAAGTCAGGAAATCATCTTGGAGCAAAATAATAGATAAAATCACAGCTGAAATGTGGTTTTAGGTTTGGAATTAAGTCAGTCGACTTCTCTGAGTTCATGGCTTTCCGTAGTAAACACCATCATTATGTATTGGTCTTATTTGCTAGATAAAGGAAGGAGGATAAAAATCCTGAGTTCTCTGTAAAAATTTACGGGTTTGGGGGCTGTCATATATCAGCCCTGACACCTTATCTCTCCGCTTCAAGTGTCCAAGAGGCTGGTGTTATGTGGCAGGTTTTATTTATCTTTCTAATGAGTTTGATGACAGCTTCACATTTGGGCACAAAATGGTGGTTTGAGTCTACTTTTCCCAACAGTCCGAGATGTTCCTGCACCAGTTCTAGAGGAAAACCTCCAAATGGCTAAGGATGTCCAGAACCTGCTATGCTCAGGAATAAAAGGTGCTCTCCCAAAGGCTTCCCCAGAGGTAGTGCAATGTGGGAGGGAGGGTAGGCAAAAGTGGAGTTTCAAGTTCTCAGTCTCTTACGAGGTGGTCCCCTGGGGAGATTTACTTGAATTGGAGACTGGACCTCTGTTTCCTTCTCTCTAAAATTGAATTTACCTCCTGGGTTGCTGTGATGATTAAGTTAATGTCTGTGAGGCATTTATCAAGCATGTGAGCACACAGGAGGTGCTCAATACATGCTGATTTTATTCCTTTTTTCCTTCATTTGAGTCAAAAACACACTCTGCAGCCACTGATCCAGAGAAGAGTCAACAGAGTGGTGGCTGTGGGGTTGTAGCCATGAAACCAAGCAGGGCCACGTGAAGAGGTTCAGAGCATGGACTCTGGCACCAGAAAGCCTGAATTTTAATCCTGCCTCTACTACTTACTAGCTATGTGGCTTAGTGAAGGTCAGCTTACCTCTCTGAGCCTCAATTTTCTCATTTTAATGAAATGAATGACAATAGTATTTCAGAGTCAGGTGTGTCTTTGCTTGCTGTCTCTCTAGTACTTACATATGAAGGTTCCAGCTTCCTGCCCATGATGACGGAGCCTTCCAATCTTTTGCCTTCCCCACCTCTGTGTTGCCTGGAGTGCTCTTTGCACTCTTCTCCTGGGATGACTGGACTGTGGCCAGGTTGAGATGGTGACCACAAGCTCCCTTCACTGTGGCACAGTTACCCATTCTGTACATTCTGTGGTGGTTGTCAGCATGGGATCTTGGGTCAGTTACACCTCCATGAAGTCTAGGCTATCATTTACAGCTGGTGACCTTGGTAAATGATATTATCTCTAAATCTTCATTTTCTCACCTATAAAAAGGGAACAATAATATCTAATACTTGCTTCATGGGCTTGTGGTGAGCTTTAATATTGGAAAATATTTATTGAGCTTTTAATCGGTGCTTGGCATTATGTTATGTGCTTTATAGGAATTTCTTCATTGGATTCTCACACCAACTCCATGATATTGATACTAATATTATGATTTTCATTATACAGATGAGGAAACTGATGCTCCAAGGTCACATAGTTATTATATGACACCCACATCTTTCTGACTCCAGAGGTAGCCTCTCAGCCCTGTAATGAGAAGGCATGTGCAAGCACTAAGAACAAAGTAAACACTCATGATAAGCTATTACCCATGATAAATATAATACATGGAGTGTGGTAGGGTTGATACTTCTTCAGCTTTGGGGGATAACCAAATGCCCTGAGGATGGAAGCCAGAGACTGCCTCAGTCCCTCCCACTCTCTCTTGCTGAATATGCTCTCCTAGTGATCATCCTGTACTCCTCGGATATTCACCAAGAGAGAAGGCCACCCTGCAGCCATATAGCTGCTTTTTCATAAGGAACGTACCTGGCTAGCTCCCCGAGGGCTGAATAAAAGAAGCAAATGAGTAAAGCAAAATGGTCAGTTAATTGGGCTCTATTCGAGAGGTAATTGTGTGAGAATGAACTGGAAGAGACAGAGGTAGAGACCAGTTTATGGCCAATGTTGGATTTTCTAACCACTGACTATGGAATGGGTTGGGCCTAATGAGTGTTTGCAAAGGTTCTTTGAAATCCCTGAGATAAAAGGCTATGCTCTATTTCTTAAGGAGTTTTACTAGTTCTCATTGATCTGTTTGTCTACTATTGGAGATGGAGGGCAATTAAATAATTTGTGCACATCAGACATGTAATACGCCTCTTTGTATCCTCACTGCCTAATTCAGTGTTCCCTCTGTATAATGGAGCTCTTTAAATGTCTGTTTTCATTAATGGAGGTGAGGAGGGCTCTGATCTGGTTTTCTTTATTGGCTCTGATGTTCTTCATTCAGACAATCCCTTCTTCTAACTACTGGATATGTAATTATGAGGTGCCATGCATGTTTACATGGGGAGTGGTGGGAGGATGGAGGGTGGTGAAATGGAGAGGAATGAAGCACTCTTCTTTTACTTCTTTTGCATGTCAGTCAGAGTGTAGAAGGGTCAATGCGTAGGAGCTCCTAGCATTAAGGATATGAGTGTATGTGTTTGTGAAAGTGTAATGAATACCAAATGTAGAGCAACAACAAAATGTCCAACTCTAAGAAAATCAGAATTTATTGCTACAGTGAAAGTTGTCCGGGAGGGCCAGTGAATTTTAGCTAGGCGTTTGGGCCAGAGTTTTATTCTCAAGAAACCAGGTCTGGGAATGGTTACTGCACCTCTGAGGCAATGCCTAGAGGCTTGTATGTGTCTCTCAGAAGTCATGGTGCTTGCTCACCCAAGATTTGCCTCAGGTTAGACCAATTATAATTTTTTTTTTCTGTTTCCACTGGCCGAGAAATGTCATTGTTGATAGAAAAACCCCTGTATGTTCCAGGCCATCATTTCTGGCAGTTCTTGGGTTTTCTTGGTGAAAGAGTCATGAACATGGTGAATCTCTCCATTATCCTTAGTTTGCCCATTGAGTTGCCAGACTGCCCCAGCATTTCCTCCTTGGAGCATTTCAGATAAGGGGCTATCTGTGTTCCCTCAGGTGAGGAGGCTAAGATGGTTTGATGTAATGATGTGGGGCTGCAGGTGATCTGTCTGCCTGCTTGGGGAAGAGTATGAAATAGTTTCTGAATTTTTCCCAGATCTATAGCACTAGCCATTCTGATAAGCTAATTCATACAAAGGTCAGCCTCGTGTGATGGGTAGAGCTTTGGATTTTGAATCGGAAGATTTGGGTTTGAGTGCTTGCTTGTATGTGATTACATACAAAACTGTGCATCGACTGACAACCTCTCTGAATCTTGCCTTTTTTGCTTAGTGACATAAGTACATTGATATCTCACTATTTCTACATGAGTTGTTTTGGGGATCAGTTGGATAATGAATGTGAATGGTAGGGGGCCATATGGAGGAAGGGATTTATAAAAAGTGCTGGGATATAGTTACAGGTCTAACCAACATGCCAGGTAATGTCTGCATTTTAATTAAGCTTTCTAAAGACCATACTCTTCCTTTATTGTCATGCTCAGATGAAACTCCATTTCAGGTCACTCTCAAGTAACATAGCTAAGAACTCAGGGCCTAAAATAACATGTGGCATAGAATAAGCAATCGAACATTGGTTGACTGGATGACAGAATGATTGGGTGTGTAATGGAATGTGATTAAGTATACACCTACTGGATATTGTGGGGAGGATTTATTTACTGGGCATAAAAAGGGTACCTATAGATACAGAATTTGGATGCCATAAAGAATAAACAAAGGAAGCTCTAGGTTGCTCAGTAGAGAGTTTTTTAAAATGCTGCATTGCTTATTACAGATTATAAATTCAGTATTGTCTCTAGTAATTTCAAAATAATTGAGTGTGTCAATTATTAAACTCTTGGTTGCCAGCTTCAATGATTAAACTCTTGGTTCCCAGCTTTCTTTCTTTTTTTTTTTTTTCTTTTTTTTTTTTTTTTGAGACAGTCTCGCTCTGTTGCCCAGGCTGGAGTGCAGTGGCGCAATCTCGGCTCACTGCAACCTCCGCCTCCTGGGTTCAAGCGATTCTCATGCCTCAGCCTCCCGAGTAGCTGGGACTACAGGCGTGTGCCACCACGCCCGGCTAATTTTTTTGTATTTTTAGTAGAGACGGAGTTTCACTGTGTTAGCCAGGATGGTCTCGATTTCCTGACCTCGTGATCCACCCGCCTCAGCCTCTCAAAATGCTGGGTTCTCAGCTTTCTATACTTGGGCTTTGGGGCTGGGACGCTGCAAATCACCTTTCTCCTTTACCAACTGCTCACTCGTTGACTCTGCCAGTAGAGGGTGCTAGAGGAAGGCTGGAGGAAGAGAAAGAAACATGACTCTTCTCATTGGCTTATTGTGCCTCTCAGATACCCCAGCAATGCTTCTTCACCTTGGCAGGGCCAGTTTGTTTCAGTGGCATCAGCTGAATCCAGTTAGTGGTTTCCCCAACAATTGCAGAATCAGCCTCACAGCAATGTTGCTCTCTGCCTAACCTGGGCCACCAGCTCCAGTGGCCAGTGCCTCTTTCTCAGAGGTGCCCTTCCTCAGAAGGGTCCTAGGCCCCACAAAATTTCTCCTCTAAGTGTCTAGGTTTCAATAATTCCAGCCTCTTCCCTTTGTTTCCCCAGTCCTAGGGATGGGAACTACATCCTGCACTTGCTACCTTTGTGATAAATTTCAGTGTTCTCCTTTTGCTGTTTCAGTTCCTCCAAATCTACTAACCATTCTTTATATGAAATTCTCTCTGTTAAAATAGCTAGCATGGAGACTTATGATTTCTGGTTTGGCACGTTAGAATCCTAGAAGTCACACTCCATCCTAACAAGTAAAAAGCTGAGCAAACTAAAAAAAAATTAACTCTTCTTAGATCCACAAGAGAAGTGAGGTCACTGGGAAAATTGTGCTTCCCAAACTGGAGACAGACAGGCAAATACACAGAATCACAACTTATAGGAGCAGAAACCCACTAGCAGAAACCTCTGTGGAACCACTGCCAATGTAGGAAAACTTGAATCATAATTGACCAATTGCTGGAGGCTTAGTGTGGACAAGCCTGATAGATAAAAACTCCAGGGACCAAGTTAGCAGGGTCCCCCATGCTTTTTTGAGTTTTGCTTCTTGGAGCTCTATCAGGTTCTCTCAGTGAATATGGGAGAAAAATCCCCTTTGGCTTCCAGCAGGGAGAGGAAAAAAAAGAATCATTTGAAATATACCAGAGCCTTCCATTCTTCTTAACAAGGTCTGCCTTCAGGAGAAACTATTTAATCAGGTAAAATATTTACCTGTTGTTTTTGTTGTTGTTGTTGTTATTTTTTTTGTTTTGTTTTGTTTTCCAGCGCCTTACTGACCTGGGGGAAGGGAAACATCCAACTCTAACTGCTTCTGGCCTTCCACGTGGGAGAAGGGAAATACCCACCTCCAGTTCACTCTAGCCATCCTGTTCCACATAAAGGGGAGAGAGGAATGCAGAGACGTGTGAAGTTCATAGTCCAGAGGCACAGGCTCACTAAATGACTGAACCTAGTCACAGGACTATAGCATGCTTCCCTTTCCCCCACACGATACTACCACCTTGCTAATGGCCTATTTACAGTAGTTCCTTTTACTCAGAACATCATGTCTGCCTACCAGGAAAAAGTTACAAGGCAAATAACACAGTTTGAAGAGACAGAGCAAGCATCAAAACCAGACTCAGATATGGCAGAGATGTCAGAATTATCAGACCAGAATTTAAAAACTATGGTTAATATGCTAAAAGCTCTAATGGATAAAGTAGACACCATGCAAGAACAGATGGGCAATGTAAGCAAGGAGATGGAAATTTCAAGCAGAACCAAAGAGAAATGCTAGAGATGAAAAACATTATAACAGAAATGAAGAATGTTTTTGATAGGCTTATTAGTATACTGTACACAACTAAGGAAAGAATCTCTGAGCTTGAAGATCAAAGAGATCTAAAACGAAAATCAAACTAAAACTAAAAATCAAAGAGAAAAAAGACAAAAAAAATCCCCAGTATATCCAATACCTGTGGGAAAATTACAAAAGGTGTGACATACATGTAATAAAAATACCAGAAGGAAAATAGAGAAAGGAATAGAAATATTTGGAATGATGATGATTGAGAATTATTCCAAAATTAATGCCAGACACCAAACTACAGATCTAGGAAGCTTAGAGAACATAGAGCAGAATAAGTGCAAAACAAAACGAAAACAAAAACCTCAAACAATTAAAAAACAACAACAACAACAAAAACCCCAAAACAATGCCTAGGCATATCATATTCAAACTACAAAAAATCAAAGATAAAGAATCCTGAAAGAAACCAGAGGCAAAAAAAAAAACTTACCTATAAAGGAACAAAGATTAGAATTACATACAACTTCTCAGAAACCAAGCAAGCAAGAAGAGAGTAAAGTGAAATATTTAAAGTTTTGAGCACGAACTCCCCGCCAACCTAGAATTCTGGACTCTGTAAAATTATACTTCAAAAGTGAAGGAGAAATAAATAATGTTTCAGACAAAAAAATTGAGGGCATTTGTTTCTAGTAGACTTGCCTTATAAGAAATGTTAAAGGAGTTCATTAGAGGGAAGGAAAACGATATGGGTAAAAAACTCAGATATACATAAAGAAAGGAGTCACATCAGAGAAAAAAACTATTTAAAGTAAAATCTTTTATTTTTCTTATTCTTAGCGGTTCTAACAGATAATAGCTCATTCAAAGTAATAATATCAACAATATATTCAATTATAAATACCTGCTTATCTTTCTTTTTTTTGAGACAGAGTCTCCCTCTGTCTCCCAGGCTGGAGTGCAGTGGTGCAATCTCAGCTTGCTACAACCTGTGCCTTCCAGGCTCAAGTGATTCTCGTGCCTCAGCCTCCCGAGTAGCTGAGATTACAGGCATGCACCACCACACCCAGCTAATTTTTGTATTTTTTGGTAAAAATGAGGTTTCACCATGTTGGCCAGGCTGGTCTTGAATTCCTGGCTTCAAGTGATCTACCCGCCTTGGCCTCCCAAAGTGCTGGGATTACAGGAATGAGCCAGTGTGCCCGGCCCCTATCTCTCATCTATAAAGAGAGTAGATTCTTATGAAGGTTTATGTATAAATGAAATGAATGACAGCAATAATACTAAGCACAGGAGGAAGGAATTAGGATTACTTTGTTATTATAAGATATTCACATTACCCGTGAAGTAGTATTGTGTTATTTGAAAGTGGGACTTGTATTAGTTGAAATGTATATTGTAAATTTAGGGCCACCACTAAAAAAAAAGTATAACTGATATACTAGGAAAGGACATAAAATGGAATAATAAAATACCCAACTAAAACTACTGAAGGTTTGGACAAAAAGTTGTGGTTAAAAAAAATAAAAACAAAAACCACGGAAGGCAGAAAAAGCATGAAAGGAAAAAATAAGAACAAGAAACAAGGGCAACAACATGGAAAATAGTATAAATATGGTAGATATTAATTCAGTGATATCAATAATCACTTTGAACATTAATGGTCCAAATGTCAATTAATGACAGAAGTTTTCAGAGGGGATCAAAAAGCAAGACTCAACTGTACTGTTGTATGCAAAAACCCCAAACCCACTTTGAATATAAAGAAACATATAGATTAAAAGTAAATGGCATGAAAGAAATATAGCATAAAAGATCATGCTAACACTAATCGAAAGAAAGTAGGAGTAAATATATTAATTTCAGACACAGCAGACTTCAGAGCAGGAAAGTTATCAAAAATAAAGGGGGCACTGCATAATGATAAAGGAATCAATTCTCCAAGACAATTTAACAGTCTTTAAAATGTATGCACCTAACAACAGAATGTCAACATACATGAGGCAAAACTGATAGAATTGCAAGGAGAAACATGATTCCACTATTATAATTGAAGACTTTGACACTCCTCTATTAGAAATGAACAGATTCAGTAGGCAGAAAATCAGTAAATATATAGCTAACCTCAACAACATCATCAATCAACAGGATATAAATAAAATCTTCAGACTACTTCATCGAACAACAGCAGAATACACGTTCTTTTCAAGTTCACATGTAATATTCACCAAGATAGACCACATTCTGGGCCATAAAACACACCTTAACAAATGTAAAAGTATAGCGGTTGTACAATATTTGGTCTCAGAACAAATGGAATTAAACCAGAAATCAATAACAGAAAGATAGCTAGAAAAATCTCAAAATACTTGGAGATTAAACAACACACTTTTAAATAACACATGGGCCAGAGAAAAAAAACTCAAGATCAATTTAAAAACATTCTGAACTAAATGAAAATGAAAATTCAACTTATCAAAATTTGTAAGATGCAGAGAAAGCAGTTCTTAGAGGAAAATTTATGGTATTGACTACATATATTAGAAAATATGAAAGATCTAAAGTCAATCATTTAAGTTTCCACCATAGGAAAAGAGAAAAACAAGAGCAAATTAAATCCAAAAATTAAAAACAGAAAAGCAATAAAGAAAATAAACCAAAAGTTGGTTCTTTGAAAATATCAATAAAGTTGATAAGCCTCTAGCTAGAATGAATAAGAGAGGTGAGTGAGAGAGAGAGACAATAATTACTAATAACAGAAATGAAAGAGAGAAAATTGCTACAGATCCCATGAATGTGAAAAGACCCAAATGTCCAACAATGATACACTGGATTAAAAAAATGTGGCACATGTACATGGAATACTATGCAGCCATAAAAAAGGATGAGTTCATGTCCTTCGCAGGGACATGGATGAAGCTGGAAACCATCATTCTCAGCAAACTATCACAAGGACAAAAAACCAAACACTGCATGTTCTCACTCATAGGTGGGAATTGAACAATGAGAACACTTGAACACAGGAAGGGAAACATCACACACTGGGGACGGTTGTGGGGTGGGGGGAGGGGGGAGGGATAGCATTAGGAGATATACCTAATGTAAATGATGAGTTAATGGGTGCAGCACACCAACATGACACATGTATACATATGTAACAAACCTGCATGTTGTGCACATGTACCCTAGAACTTAAAGTATAATAAAAAAATATATATATAAAGAAACAAAAAAGAATAATCAGGCTGGGCACTGTGGCTCACACCTGTAATCCTAGCACTTTGGGAGCCCGAGACAGGCAGATCACTTGAGGCCAGGAGTTTGAAATCAGCCTGGCCAACATGGTGAAACTACATCTCTACCAAAAATACAAAAATTAGCCGGGCATGGTGGTGCACACCTGTAATCCCAGCTACTTGGGAGGCTGAGGCATGAAAATCACTTTAACCCAGGAGATGGAGGTTGCAGTGAGCCGATATCACACCACTGCACTCCACCTTGAGTGATAGAGGGAGACACTGTCTCAAAAATATAAAAAAAAATAATTAGTGAATCCTATCAACAGCTCTGTGGCCACAGATTTGATAACCTAGATGAAATGGACCAATTCCTTGAAAGACACAATCTGCCAAAACTCATAAAAGAAGAAACAGACAATTCAAATTGGTCTGTATCTATTAAAAAATTGAATAAATAATTAATAACCTTCTCAAACAGAAAGCACCAGGCCCAGATGGGTTAACTGGTGAATTCTACTAAAAATTTAAGTAAGAAATTATGCCAATTCTGTATCATCTCTTTCAGAAGATAGAAAAAGAGAAAATACTTCCTCACTCATTCTGTGAGGCTAGCATTTCTATGATATGAAAACAGTCAAGGACATTACAAGAAAAGAAAACTACAGACCAATATCTCTCATAAGTCTGGATGCAAAAATCCTCAACAAAATATTAGCAAATCAAATCCATCAATATATAAAAAGAATTATATATCGCCACCAAATGGGATTTATCCTAGTTATGCAAGGCTGATTCAAAATATCAAAATTAATTGATATAATTTATCATATCAACAGGCTAAAGAAGAAGAATTGCATGATCATATCAATAGATGCAGAATAATTACTGGACAAAATCCAACACTCATTTATAATAAAAATTCTCAGTAAACTAGCAATTGAGGGGAACTTTCTCAACTTGATAAATAATATCTAAGAAAAATCCTACAGCTAATATCATCCTTAATGGTAACAACCTACTAAAAACTTTCCCACTAAGTCCAGGAACAGGCAAGGATACCCCCTCTCACTACTCCTTTTCAACATCATACTGGAAGTCCTAGCTAATGCAGTAAGACAAGAGAAGAAAATAAAAGTTACACTGAATAAGATGGAAGAAATAAAACTATCTTTGTTTGCAAATGATATAATCCTCTGTGTAAGTAATCATAAAGAACTGACAAAAAAATAACAAAAACAAAAAACAACTTCTGAAACTAGTAAATTATTATAGCATGGCTGCAGAATGCAAGGTTAACATATAAGAATCAATTGGTTTCCTACATATAGCAAGGCTGCAGGATACATGATTAATACGCAAAGTCAATTGCTTTCATATATACTGGCAATGAGAAAGCAAAATTTGAAATTAAAAACCCAATGCCTTTAAATTAGCACACACACAAATGAAATACTTAGGCATAAATCTAACAAAATATGAATAATATCTATATGAGGACAACTACAAAATTATGATGAAAGATATCAAAGAAGAACTAAATAAATGGAGAGATATTCCATGTCCATGGATAGGAACACCCAATTTTGACAAGATGTCAGTTCTTTCCAATTTGATCTATTATGATTTTTTTTTCTTTTTCTTCTTTAATTTTTTAATTTTAATAGCTTTTGGGATACATGTGTGTGTTTTTTTGTTACATGGATAAATTATATAGCAGTGAATTCTGAGAAATTAGTGCATGCATCAGCAAAGTGTGTGTTGTACCCAATATTTAGTTTTTTATTTTATATCCCCCTTCTGCTGTCCCCCTTCTGAGTCTCCAAAGTTATATCACTCTGTATGCCTCTGCATACTCATAGCTTAGCTCCCACTTATAAGTGAGACTATATGGTATTTGGTTTTTCATTCCTGAATTACTTCACTTAGAATAATGGCGCCCAGCTCTATCCAAGTTGCTGCAAAAGACATTATTTTGTTGCTTTTTATGGTGAGTAGTGTTCCATGTTGTATATATACCACGTTTTCTTTATCCAGTCATTGGTCGATGGGTACTTAGGTTGGTTTCATATTTTTGTAATTGTGAATTGTGCTGCAATAAATGTACATGTGCATGTGTCTTTTTCACACAGTGACTTCTTTTCCTTTGAGTAGATACCCAGTTAGTAAGATTGCTAGATCAAATGGCAGATCTACTTTTAGTTCTTTAAGGAATCTCCATACTGTTTTTTTTTTTTTTTTTTTTTTTTTTTTTTTTTTTTGAGACGGAGTCTCGCTCTGTCGCCCAGGCCGGACTGCGGACTGCAGTGGCGCAATCTCGGCTCACTGCAAAGCTCCGCTTCCCGGGTTCACGCCATTCTCCTGCCTCAGCCTCCCGAGTAGCTGGGACTACAGGCACCTGCCACCACGCCCGGCTAATTTTTTGTATTTTTAGTAGAGACGGGGTTTCACCTTGTTAGCCAGGATGGTCTCGATCTCCTGACCTCATGATCCACCCGCCTCGGCCTCCCAAAGTGCTGGGATTACAGGCGTGAGCCACCGCACCCGGCCCATACTGTTTTCTTTAATAGAGGTTGTACTAATTTACATTCCCACCAGCAGTGTATAAATATTCCCCTTTTACCACATTCATTTCAACATCTATTTTTCTTTGACTTTTTAATAATGGCCATTCTTGCAGGAGTAAGGTGATATCTCATTGTGATTTTAGTTTGCATTTTCCTGATGATTAGCAATGTTGAGCATTTTTTCATATGTTTGTGGGCCATTTGTATATCTTCTTTTGAGAAATGTGTATTCATGCCACTTGCCTACTTTTTGATGGGATTATTATTATTTTTTTCTTGCTGATTTGTTTGAGTTCCTTGTAGATTCTGGATAATAGTCCTTTGTCACATGCAAGTTTGCAAATGTTTTATCCTATTCTGTGGGTTGTTTGTTTACTCTGATGATTATTTCTTTTGCTATGCAGAAGCATTTTAGTTTTATTAGATCCCATTTATTTATTTTTGTTTTAGTTGCGTTTGCTTTTGGGGTCCTAGTCATGAATTATTTGCCTAGGCCAATGTCCAGAAATGTTTTCCCAAGGTATTTTTCTAGAATTTTTTATGGTTTCAAGCCTCAGATTTAAGTCTTTGATCCATCTTGATTTGATTTTTGTATAAGGTGAGAGATAGGGATCCAGTTTCATTCTTCTGCATGTGGCTAGCTGGTTTTCCCAGCACCATTTATTAAGTAGGATGTCCTTTCCCCAATTTATGTTTTCGTATGCTTTGTTGAAGATCAGTTGGTTGTACGTATCTGGCTTTATTTCTGTGTTTTATATTCTGTTCCATTGGTCTATGTGCCTGCTTTTATACCAGTACCATGTTGTTTTGGTAAATATAGCCTTGTGGCATAATTTGCGGTCCAGTAATGTGATGTCTCCAGATTTGTTCTTTTTGCTTAGGATTGCTTTGTCAATTCAGGCACTTTTTTGTTTTGTATTAATTTTAGGATTTTTTTCCAATTCTGTGAAAAATGATGTTGGTATTTTGATGTGAATTGCATTTACTCTGTAGATTGCTTTTGGCAATTAGGTCATTTTTACAATATTGATTCTGCTAATCCACGAGCTTGGAGTGTGTTCCCATTTGTTTGTGTCATCTATGATTTCTTTCGGCACCAACTTTAGCTATTATAGTTTCAATCACAACGCAATTCTATTGCATCTATTGATGAAATCCTAATCAAAATGCCAGATTTTGTGGATATTGACAAACCAATTCTAAAGTTTATACGTAAATGCAAAAAACCCCGAATAGCCAACTCAATACTGAAGGAGAAAAACAAAGTTGGAAGATTGACAATACCTGACTTTAAGACTACTATAAAGCTACAGTGGTCAAGACAGTGTGATACTGTCAAAAGAATAGACAAGTAGTTCAGTGGAACGAAATAGAGAGCCCAGAAATAGATCCACATAAATACAGTAAAATATAACTCTCTCACAAAGGAGCAAAGGCAATAAAATGGAGCAAAGATAGCTCATTCAACAAATGGGGCTGGAACAACATCCACATACAAAAAAGTAAATCTAGACACAGATCTTATACCCTTTATGGAAATTAATTAAAAATGGATCACAGTCCTAGATGTAAAGTGCAAAATCATAAAACTCACAGAAAATGGCATAGGAGAAAATCTAGATGACATTGATTATAGCAATGACTTTTAGATAAAACACCAAAGGTGGCCAGGCACGGTGGCTCACGCCTGTAATCCCAGCACTTTGGGAGGCCAAGGCGGGCGGATCATGAGGTCAGGAGATCGAGACCATCTCCTGGTGGTTAACACGGAGAAACCCTGTCTCTACTAAAAATAAAAAAAAAATTAGCCGGGTGTGGTGGCGGGCGCCTGTAGTCGCAGGTACTTGGGAGGCTGAGGCAGGAGAATGGCGTGAACCCGGGAGGCAGAGCTTGCAGTGAACCAAGATCGTGCCACTGCACTCCAGCCTGGGCGACAGAGTGAGACTCCGTCTCAAAAATTAAAATAAAAAATAAAAAATAAAAAAAATAAAAAAAACCACCAAAGGCATGATCCTTGAAAGAACGAATTGATAAGCTAGACTTCATTAAAACTAAGAACTTCTACTCCGTGAAAGACAATGTCAGAAGAATGAGAAGACAAGCTACAGGGTAGGAAAAAATATTTACAAAAGATATATCTGAAAGAGTACTGTTATTTAAAGTATACAAGGAATTCTTAAAGCTCAATAATAAGAAAACAACCAATTAAAAAATGGGCCAAAGATTGTAACATATACCTCATCAAAGAAGAGTTATAGATAGCAATAAGCATATGAAAAGATGCTCCACATCATGTCATCAGAGAAATATAAGTTAAAAAACAATGAGATACCAGTACACACCTATTTGAGTGGCCAAAATCCAGAATACTTACAAGACCAAATGCAGGCAAGTACGTGGAGAAATAGGAATTCTCATTCATTGTTGATGGGAATACAAAATGGTACAGTCAATTTGGAAGACATGTTTGGCAGTTTTTTACAAAACTAAACATATCCCTACCAAAGAATCCAGCAATTATACTCCTTGGGATTTACACAAAGAGTTAAAAACTATGTCCAAATTAAAAACCTGCACGTGGATGTTTATCATAGCTCTGTTAATAATTGCCTAAACTTGGAAGAAACCAAGATGTTTTTCAGTGTTAATGGATAAATAAACTGTGATATATCCAGATGGTGGAATATTATTCAGTGCTAAAAAGGAATGAGCTGGGCTGGGCGCGGTGGTTCACACCTGTAATCCCAGCACTTTGGGAGGCTGAGGCGGGCGGATCACGAGGTCAGGAGATCGAGACCATCCTGGCTAACACAATGAAACCCTGTCTCTACTAAAAATACAAAAAATTAGCCGGGTGAGGTGGCGGGCGCCTGTAGTCCCAGCTACTCTGGAGGCTGAGGCAGGAGAATGGTGTGAACTCAGGAGGCAGAGCTCGCAGTGAGCCGAGATCGTGCCACTGCGCTCCAGCCTGGGTGACAAAGCGAGACTCTGTCTCAGAAAAAAAAAGGAAAGAAAGAAATGATCTACCAAGCCACGAAAAGACATGCAGGAAATGTAAAGGCACATTAATAAATGAAGGAAGCCAATTTGAAAAGTCTACATACGATTCTAATTGTATGGCATTCTAGAAAAGGCAAAACTATGGAAACAGGAAAATAATCAATGGTTGCAAGGGGTTTAACAGATGGAGCACAGGGGACTTTCAGGGCAATGAAGCTATTTTGTATGGTACTATAATGAATACATGTCCTAATGCATTTGTTTAAATTCACAGAATGTACAACACCAAGAGCAAACCCTAATGTAAACTATGGGCTTTGGATGATAATGATGTGTCATTAATTGTAACAAATGTGGCACTCTGGCAGGGGAAGCTGATAATGGGGGAGGCTGTGTGTGTATAGGGGCAGGGGGCATATAGGAAATCTTTGTATCTTCTGCTTAATTTTGCTGTGAATGTAAATGTGTATTAAAGATAATGTCTATTAAAAAATCCCTGATGTGGTAGTTGGTGTGGCATAGATGTTTGCACTCTGACTGATACC
Source organism: Homo sapiens (assembly GCF_000001405.40). NCBI lineage: Eukaryota > Metazoa > Chordata > Mammalia > Primates > Hominidae > Homo > Homo sapiens. Next base: position 93,932,796 of record NC_000011.10, read on the forward strand.
CTGAGTCTTAGAAAATCCTGAGAGCTCTAATAATAAGTTGCTCCCTTTTTAGAAGCTGGTGGCTCCTCTCTAGGTATCCAGATTTCTCGAAGGAAGGCACAGGTTGCATGGAGCAGATAGATATTTGAAGAGGCACTGCTTGTTCTAGAATATTTGGAGAGATCTCATAGGTAAATTAGGGGGAAGAGCTTTCAGTGGAGGATGGAATTAGAAAATATCTCTTTTCTAATCTTTCGAAGGGTTTCTCCAGGGTTTTTAGGATAAAAAACTGGAAGAAACTTCAAAGCCCACTTCATTCAATGTCTTCATTTTGCAAGGGAAAAAACCAAAGTTCAGGGAGGTTAGTGTTTGCTTGAGTTCAGTTAGTTAAAGTCATTATCTGGACTGGAACTCATGTCCCTTGATGCTTGTTTCTGTGCATTTGTCACCTCAACACACTGTACTTTAGTTATAAATTCACCTTGGCTCTGCATGGGTTGTTTTCAAATCAGATCTCAGACACAATCTTATCTTCAGGCGACACTGGCCATGAGGGGGTGGTTGTACTTTCTGGGTTTACTAAGCATAGGATATGGCTCTTCAGGGCTGGATTGTGACGTGTATCTTGTATTTTTTTCCCAGAAACCTCACGTCTTAGATGCTGCTGAGAAATGATGTCATGACTCTGTGGAGAATATATAAATTTGCTTTGCTTGGCTTCTTGCCTTCTGATATGGTTTGGCTGTATCCCCATCCAAATCTCATCTTGAATTGTAGCTCCCACAATTCCCACATGTTGTGGGAGGGACCCAGTGGGAGGTAATTGAATCACAGGAATGGGTCTTTCTCATGCTATTCTCGTGATAGTGAATAAGTCTCATGAGATCTGATGGTTTTATAAACAGGAGTTTCCCTGCACAATTTCTTTTCTTTTCTCTACTGCCATGTCAGATGTGCCTTTCACCTTCCACCATAATTGTGAGGCCTCCCCAGCCATGCGCAACTGTGAGTCCATTAAACCTCTTTCTTTTATAAATTGCCCAGTCTCAGGTGTGTCTTTATCAACAGTGTGAAAATGGACGAATACACCTTCTAAATGTTGAAGTCACCCATGCCTTAGGCCTTGAATATTTTCTGTCTATTTACAGTCACTCACCAGGTGATCTCTTCTAGTTTTGACTTTAAATTTATTCTATAATCCAGATTTACATTTCCATCCCAACCTTTCCCCTACTTTCCAGACACACATTACCAACTGCCTATGTATCATTTCTCCATGGATGCAATAGGATCTCAGACTTGACATTCCTGAAACCCAACTTTTCATCACTCTCCCAATCTCTAAGCCTGCTTCTCCTCCACGATCCTCCATCTCTTTAAATGGTGCCGCAATTCGTCTAGATGCCCATGTCAAAAAGCCTTGGAATCATCCTTGACCTTCACCTCTCACATCTAAATCATCTGTAAACCCTATGGGTTCTACCTTCAAAGTATATCCAGAACCTAACGTTTTCTCACCTCCTCCATTGCTCCACCCTACCTTACCTGGATTACTTTAGTAGTGTCCTAACTGGTCTTGTGTTTCCACTGTTGGCATCCTTCATTCTATTCTCCACAGAATAGCCAGACTGGGCTTTTAAAACTGTAAATCAGAGAAGTAGAAACAAACATGGTGAACCCTATGGTTACCCCAGACTGCTGCCTGGGAGCACTTTCTGAACTATAGTGTGGGAAGGGAGAATCCAAGCAGTCTTACTGAGCTGAGGAGAGATTGAAGTTTGAAGAGGCTGAAGCAGCTACAATTTGCAAGGCAGACTAATGAGGAGGAGAATTAAGCCACACAGAGCAAGAAATTGCATAGTGGTCTCCTTGAGTGTGTTGCTGAATAACAAACTATGCCCTCACAGAATATAATTCCAAGAGGCCAGGCAAAGAATGACTGGAGTCCTAGAATCTGAATAATTTCCAGAGCTTACATAGGGCTAGAAGATGGTTGTGTTCTAATCAGCAAAGGGCAAGTACTATTGAATTCCTGGTGCGTTCAGTGAAGACTTCAAAAGTACGATGCCTTAGTTGTGGGGCTGTCCCAGCCCTAGAGTATAGGTTCCTTTCAATACCCTCTAACAAAACTTAACAACAAGACTCAAAAGGATGAGGCTGGACTTCAAGTGACTTGCCTACCTGCCAGGAAAATAATGACTCTTTTTATAGAGCAAAATTCAACACTCAACAATCTAGCTTCCAGATGAAAACTACTAGACGTGCCAAAAATAGGAAAATGTGAACCAGAGCTCTTTTAGGGCCTTTGTATTTGGTCTTCTCTCAGCTGAGAACTCTCTTCCCTCAGATGTCTGTCTGCACAACACCTCAATTCATTTGAGTATCTATTCAAATATTTTCCTTAGAGAAGCCTTCTCTGATATATAAAATTATCACCATCTGTCAATCTTAATTCCCTCCTGCTATTTTTTCTTATTCATAGCATTTAGTCATTAGATTGTAAATCTCTTTGATATGTATTTGTTTGACATGTACTGTATGTAATGTGCACTCAGAAACACTTATTGCGTGATTGAATGAATATAAAACAATATTTAGTTTTCTTTGGGTAAGGCTAAACATTTACGTTACCTAAATTTCTAGTAAATGCCACCAGAATTTGTGTGTGTGTGTGTGTGTGTGTGTGTGTGTTTTAAAACTGAATTTATTTCCTTCTCCTAGACTTCTACTCTTTCTGGCTTACCTGTATTAGTAGCATCTCCAGCCAACTCCTTCTTTATCTTGCTTTCCAGTCAGCCATCACCCTTGCCAGTTCTGCTTCTGTAAGATCTGTCAGTCTCTCCAAAACCAACCACTTTACTTCCCTACTTACAACTATTGCCTCTTCACAATAAAGTCTGACATCCTTAACATCACAAGCATAGGATGGCATGGCTTTGCATGTATTCTGTGTATTGCTAGCTGGCTGAGGTGATGGAAAAACAGAGTAAAGGCATCCCATTGACTGTGGGTTGTCATTCTCTCTTGTCCTTTGGCCTCTTATGGCTAAACTGAACATTCTATAAAGGAAGAAATCCAGGCTAACAATGACAGTACAGTGTACTAAGTGCCATCGTAAAGTCAATACTGAATGTTCCACAGGAAGCAAAGAAAAAGATGCTTGACTATGATTGGCAGGGAGACGTTGGAGGAAATGATGCTCACGGCAAACCTTAAGGGATGAGCAGGAGCTTAGCAGGTGGTCAAGGTGAGAAACCGGCATTCTGGGCTGAACAAACAGCATAGTGCAGGTGTACAGAGGTGTCAGATGACAGGGTTTTATATGCCCTGCAGGTGAATCTAGATATATTCTGAGGGCAGTGAGGAATCACTGCAGGGTTTTAGAATCAGATTTATGTGCTTCAAGAATACTTTGGCAACAATTTTTTGGATGGCTTTAGCGGGGGACTGGAGGTAGAAAACCATTAGGAGACCACTGCAATAGTCCAGGCAAGAGACAAAGGGCAGAAATAATACCACTAGCTAACATTATTTTGAGCTATGTGCCAGGCACATAGTAGGTTCTCATTTTGTTTAATTTCATTTTATCCTAACATTCCTATGAGGTGGAGAAACTGAGCAGTTTGCCCACAGTCACACAGTGAGTGGTGAAGCTGAGTCAGAAATTCAGGTAATGACCCCAGAGCTTGTGGTCCAAACAGCACAGAGGATGGATTTTAGAGTGTTTAGGGACATTAAGTAATTAAAGGATAAGATCTCATTTCCCTCCCAGAACAGTCTAGCTCAGAGTCCTTAGTTTGGCTTGTGGGAGATTCATTAGGGGCCAACCCACCTTCCCTGGGGATAGAGCACGTAAGTCAGGCCATGAGGGCTGTGGCTGGGCTGGTTTGTTTCCTCTGAGCTTTGCTTGCTTTGCTCTGCTGGATTTGAATTATGAGAGTGACTGGCAGGCTGATGCCAGCATGATGCGTGAAAAACACTCTCCAAATTGGAAAGAATTTTCCTTCTGGGCTAAGCTGAGAGCACATGTTGCTCATTGGCAGATCCTGAAAATCCCAGCATTCAGAGATTTACCAGCGTTCTCTGTAAAGCAAAGCAGATGCCTCTGTGTCTGTCCTGTGAAGGGCTATGTGAGAGGAAAATGAGTTCCCATGCCTTACCTGCTCACCAACAACGTAGGTTTTAAAGGCAAAGGAACAAAAAGAGTTCAAGTTTGTATCTCCCAGATCATTTCTACCTAATAGAAATGTGAGTTAATTGTAAGCTTTAAACTTAGACACACTCATTGCCTATTAGGGGTGACTATTTTATTACACATTGTTTGTCAAAAGAGATGCATTTCTATTCCTTTTGCAGTCGAATGAGGCAGGAGCAAGGCAAGCAGGTAACCTTGCTCTTTGAGGATTCCTGCAACTGTCTGAGAAAGCTTTGGCAGTTCTGGTGTGCACGCGACTGACATGCAGGTCTCTTGAGCGTGATGACATTTTTGGGACCTACCTTCTAGAACCTACTGGATTTGCTGTGTCTTGCAGCATAAGTTCACTGCCTCTCTAACTAAATAAAAGTTAAATAAATAGTTAAAATTTAAAACTTGACAGGGTGCAGTGGCTCATGCCTGTAATCCCAGCACTTTGGGAGGCTGAGGCGGGAGGATTGCTTGAGCTCAGGAGTTTGAGACCAGCCTGAGCAACACAGAGAGACCCCATCTCTACAAAAAGTAAAAAGAAAAAAAAATTAGCTGGGCATGGTGGTGTGCACCTGTGGTCCCAGCTACTTGGGAAGCTGATGTGGGAGAATTGCTTGAGATCGAGAGGTGGAGGTTGCAGTGAGCCAATATCGTGTCACTGCACTCCAGCCTGGGTGACAGAGTGAGATCCTGTCTCAAAAAATAAAAGAATAAAAAATTAAAATTAAAATTAAAAAAATTAAAACTTACAAAAAGTTTCATTGATGGCGTTTTCATCATGTTTAAACTTCCGGATCTCAAAGAAGTTAGGTGTCTGATCAAAGCCACCTTATTTGAGAGGTCTTCCTGACCACTGAACACAAGCACCAATATTCCTTGGGCCTTCTCACACCAGTACTCTTTAACTCAGTTGTCCTTATTGATTTTTCTTCAGGACACATATCAGCACCTAATAAATATGTTGTTTGTCATCCATTTCTCCTTATAAAATAAAAACTACATGGGGGCAGGGACTTGATTTTGTTCACTGCTCTATGCTCAGTATCTAGAATGGTTCTTGGCACATAGTAGATGCTCAACAAATATTTATGGAATGATTGAATAAGTAAACTCCTAGTCTATTTCCAACAATAGTCTAATGTGTATTTAGAGTTCATGCTGATCCTCAAGTTGCATACTCAAAATCTTTGCATTTTACTCATCTCTTTCTCATATCTAGCTGACTGCTGTACATTGCAAAGTTATAGCACTTCTCACATGTGGCAGAATTTTCTTTGATTTTGAGAATCATTTGTATTGTCAAATGCCTCAGACATTAGGATGTATAGTATTTGTTCTTTCCTTATCACTTTCAACCTCCTTTTTAATGGCTACTTTTGTTTCCATTGTAAGGATGCTCTTCTTAATTGTTGTAGTAGCATTTTGGGAGGTCAAGGCAGAGGATCACAGGAGCCCAGGAGTTCGAGACCAGCCTGGGCAACATAGTCAGACCTCATCTCTGCTAAAAATTTAAAAAATTAGCTGGTCATCATGGTGCATTTCTGTAGTCCCAGTTAGTAGGTGGCTGAGGCAGGAGGAGCGCTTGAGTCTGGGAGGTCAAGGCTACAGTGAGCCATGGTTGTGCCACTGGACTCCAGCCTGGGTGACAGAGCAAGACCCTGTCTCCAGGAAAAAAAAATTAGTTATGGTAAATCCTTACAACCATCCTAGCGTAGGGAATGTGCCCTTACAATATGGTGGAGGGCAAAAGGATGCTCATACCATGTTTGGGTCAAGGGCACTTTGGCACCAGGGTTCAGCTTAGCTTTGTGTGAGTGTTCATCCATTGAAATTCACAGGTAGAAGGGCTTCTCTACTCCCAGGTCTGCCTGTGTTACCCCACTGTCCCAGTCACTGGCCCCCTTAGGGTGGCTCTCAGAGGCCCTGCCAGCTCCTGCTTCCTCCCTTTGCCCCTGCTGTTCCTTCTGCCTGGACAACCTCTCTTTCCCACGTATCCAGTTCAAGTCCCTGTTGTCCAAAGCCCTTCCCTTACTGCTCCAACCACATCACGGTACCCTCGAATTCCTTTCTCTGTACTGGTCTTTCTCTCTTCATCTAAGTGACCAGCAGTGAAATTCCACAGAAGAAACCTTTGACTTGGAGTCAAAAGTTCAGATTTGAGCCTTGTATCTGCCTCATATCAGACAGCCATCTCTGAGCCTCAATTTCCTCCTCAGTAAATTCTGACAACTATTTGCACTTGGAAGACATGACAAGGCCGTTTCAGGGTCAGGTATGATCATGTAGGAAATAAGCTTTGGAGATGATTCAGCGTATGCAAAGATCCCAGACATAATCATTATAGGATTTTTTATGCTTCATCTAGAACAGCGTGGCCCTTACTAAGAACATATAAATCCCAGTGATGCTGGTGGCAAGTGACAGAGTACATTTTAACTACAGTTGCAAAATGAAATCCTGCTCAGAACTGGCTTTGTTCCCTTTTGGGATTTCCACATTTGGGAAAGGGTGATCAAAGAGAGGAAGAGAAAAAGAAGGAAGCTGACGTTTTACAGAGCTGTGCATTCAGTTTGTGTAAGCTACTTTGGATAATCACATTTCCTGATTGCCTTTGTGGGTTTGGAACATTCAGTCATTTGTTCTTACGTTTAGTCATCCACTGAACATTTATTGAGAGTTTATTATGCCCTGGGCACTGTGGATACAGAGATGAATAAGGAGATGAATAAGGCACATGCCTGCAACCCAGCCAGGTTGAGGGAGCTGGCATGTGACCAACAAGATGGATGCAGCAATTAAGATATGTCTAGGGAACAGAAGGGGCACCTAGCTCAAACCAGGGACCAGCAATTATTCTCAGGGCATTGTTTGCATGGAAGGTAAGACGGCATACACTGGGCATATGACTGCATGTAGTAGGGTAAGAAAACATCCAATACAAAGGAATCCATTAGATGACATGGCTGTATTCCTGAACTCATGTTCTCAGCCACTCTACAGCCAAATATTAGCCTGTCAGGGGTCTGATGGCGTGGTGCGTTTCCATGACGTAATTTCTTTAGACCACTCTCAGCATACTGCCTTGGAGGAAGGGGCCAAATCAGTGTCCCTCACATAAAGGGCCCTGTGTTTCTCCACTGTGTTTTGCTCACTCTAGCCATCTGTGGGTAGGGCCACTGCTCAGACAGTGATACTCAGACACAGGAAGACTTGGTTGAGTCTCTCTCTATTTTTGAATGATTTCAGGTTTCCTAGACTTCTGCTTGAGTAGACTGGGAAACTCAAAGCCTTAGTCAAGGAAACCAATTTTTTTTCTTTTTCTTTTTTAATTAGCTTTTTATTTTAGAATTACAAAAATGTTGCAAAGATAGCACAGGGAGTTTCCATATACCCCTCACCCAGTTTTCCCTTACTGTGAGCATCAGACATTACCACTTGTCACAACTAAGAAATCAGCGTTGGAATATTTCTATTACCTGAATTCCACATTTTATTCACATTTCACCAGTTTTCCCACTAATGTTCTTTCCTGTTCCAGGATCCCATCCAGGATATCACATTATGCTTAATTGTCATGTCTCCTTAGGTTCCTTTAGGCTATGACAGTTTCCCAGCTTGTCCTTGTTTTTGATGACCTTGACAGTTTTGAGGAGTGCTGGTCAGATGTTTTGTAGAATGTCCCTCCATTGGGTTTGTCTGATGTTTTTCTCATAGCTAGACTGGGGTCATGGGTTTTGGGAGGAAGACCACAGAGGTGAAGCTAACATAGTTGTATTCCATTCACATCATTTCAGTGGTACATGCTATCAACATGGCATTGCTACGGATGTTAATCTTTATCACCTGGCCTAGGTGGACCTTTCTAGTTTTTGTCACTGTAAAATGACTTTCCTCCCACTTTCTATACTCTCATTCTTTAGAAGTGAGTCATTAGGTGCACTCCATACTCAAAGGGATGGGGGAATTAAATTCTATTTCCTAGGAATCTACATAAATTATTTGGAATTCTTCTGTGAGGAAGATTAGCCTTCCCATTTATTATTTATGTAATTATGTACTTATATCAGTATGCAGTTATAAATATTTATTTTATATTTATTTACACATAACATTGCTTTATCTGTTTTGTTGCTCAAATGGTTTCTGCTTTGGCCATGGGGAGATACTTTAGGTTGACCTCTGTTTCCTTTTGGCATGCCCCCACCCTTTTGGTTTTTGAGCACTTCCTTACTTTCAGACACAAGATGCTTCAAGCTCATCTTGTATTCTTCATCCCCATCTACAAAGATCTGTTTTTCACTCCCATGACATTTCTGACACCAACTGTGTGTTTTTTTCTTCCCTACTCTAACCAGTTCTCTAACACTAGCAAAGGTGCCCCACAATTCAGTTCGGTTCTGACACTATCTACTTGGAGTTAGAGTCAGATTCTGAAGTTCAAGGCTCAGTCCACAAGGCTTCCTCCACTTCAAACACCAATTGCAAGTCCAGGCCTCCTGTACTTCTGACTAACCTGCTATAAATTGGGGGTTCCCACCACTCTGTCCTCTGAGCCACCTTCACGGCTTGTCTCATTAAGCTTCTGAGGGCCTCCTGAGGAATCCAGCTGAATAGTGTTCAGCTTTTTGGTTATTATTTGCCACTTAGCAGTTTTTAAGATCAGAGATATGATCTAGTGCCACCACAGGAGATTTGCTTTGGGAAAGAGTCTATGAGATGTAGCTGTGGCTGGTGAAAAAGCACTGGCCAAGTCTAGAACTATATAAAAAGGGTTATGTACCATAACCAAATGGAACTTATCCCTGGACAGACCTCCGGGAAAACAGTTTACTCACTATTGTCAGTTTATTATAAAGGCTACAACTCAGGAAGAGCAGCATAGATGCAGAAGGCAAGGCATGAAGATGGGGGTGCGAGGCTTCCATGCACTCCCCAAGCTGCACCTTGATGTGTTCACCAGCCCAGGAGCTCTCTGAACCCAGTTGAAAAAACTGTTTTTTTTCAACCCAGGTTTTTTCTGCAGTCTCTATTTTGTAGGCATGATCTATTACATCATTGGTCACTGGTGATTAATCAATCTCCAGCCCTGGAGGTCAGAGGGTGTGGCTGAAAATTTCAACCATCTAATCACTGGCTGATCTTCTGGTAACCAGTTCCCATCCTGAAGCTATGTATGGGCCCACCAAGAGATACCTCATCAGCATAAACTCAAGTATGGTTAAAAGGGGCTTCTGAGGAAAAGTAAATGATGCTCCTCTCACTCCTGTCACTCAGGAAATTCCAAGCGTTTTAGACTCTCTTGTGTCAGGAACCAGGAACAAATACCAAATATTATTTAAAAAGGCACTCTTCTCACCCCATCACTTAGGAAACTTTAAGGGTTTAGGAGCTCTGTGCTAGGAACCTGGGATGAAGGCCAAATATATATTTCTTATTATGTCACAATATTACACCATCGCTAGAATCAAGATTGTGTTCTTCAAGGAGTCCTGGTTTTTTTTTTTTTTTTTTTGGAGAATGGCAGTAGAGTTCAAGATTTTGGCTCTGGGTATGCTCATTGGTACTGAGGTATAACTGTTTCTAGTTTTTGCAGCAGACAGAGCTAGGAAATATAGGTATGTATGTATAATCATGCATACACACATATATATATTTCTATATCTATCCATCTGTATCTATGTTAAGCTAAATGTGAGTTTAGATTGATGTCTCTGACTCTGATCTATCACCACATGGACTCCTTCTAGCCTTGTCTCTGCTTATCTGTAACTTCTTCTTCTAACAGTGAGAACACTGGCTCTCACCATCCATCATTCAACCCTAGTATACATGTATAGCAATTTCATAATTCTTAACTTATACCCCTGTGAGAAGCAACTTTAAAGTACAGTGTTTGTATACAATTTCCTTTGTCTCTAGCCTTACAATTTCCAACATTTTCCAAATTTTCAAAGCCAAAACATAATTTTCCAAATTTTCTAAAGCTACTTATATTAGCTTTAATTTTCCCCCCACTCCCTACTGTGCATCTGCCTCTTTTAAAATTATTTTCTACCCACTTGGCTTGAAAGAAATACTGGATGTTGGTTTGTCAATGCGCCTTTGAACCATGATATTTCCCTCAAGTCAGTGTCACGACTGTAAGAGCCTTTCACCAGGCTTGGCAGACAGATGAATCTTTTAGATAATTTTGCTTAATTAGAAAAATCATATGTTTATAAAAGTCATTTTTGCTTATTCTAGACAACATGGGAATTTTTATACTATGCACACAGTGTATAGGGTAAAATGGAAAGATTTTTCAAATGCACTAATGAAAGATATTCTTAACACTTCCAACAGCACATGTATCACATTATAGGCACACTGTTGTATCCCGATATAAAATTGTTATAAACATACAGAATGAGAGTTGGAAAACAATATCAGTCAACTCTGGTCTGGAAAACATGTGGTTTCTTTTGAGTGTTAAATTAAACTAAATTTGACCTGAGGATGTCTCCATACAGGAGTCTTCACATAACAAACTGCAGCCTAACTTCATACATAAACTAACTGGAAGCCTAATTTAGGAATATACTTTTGTAACATATAGCTGAGTCTCAGCCAATCATAGCAGCTGAGAGCTTCATTCAATCACAGGCGGTCAATTGTTCAGACCAAGTTCAAATAAGGCAAACCCCAAGCAGTAACCAATCAGGCTGTCTCTATACCTCACTTCCATTTCTGTACCTCATTTGTATTTTCTGTTCGTCAGTGCTGTCTGATCACGTGGCAGGTTGGAGTCCTTTGAACTTGTTCTGGTTCTGAGAGCTGCCTGATTCTAGAATGATGAATTAAGATCTTTAAATTTTGTCTTTTTAATGAGAGTAAGGAATTTTAAAAGATGAGATATGCTTAAAGACACAGAGATTGAAGTGGAAATTCCACCTCCTCCATTTCTGCCTTATGTCTGGGTGTTGTGTTCTGAGACTTTTCACTCCACTTAAACCCTTTCTTTTATAACTGAGAGCCCCTTGATCCCTCCTTTCTCCAGACACTTTTGCTTTGCAAATAGTAGGAACTCAGGAAACAATTGTGTTTTTGTTGTTATTGTTTGTTTTAATTTTTGTTTTTTCTTGAGACAGTGTCTCACTCTGTCACCCAGACTGGAGTGCAGTGGTGTGATCACAGCTCACTGTAACCTCAACCTCTGGGGCTCAAGTGATCCTCTCACCTCAGCCTCCTGAGTAGCTGGGACCACAGGCACAAGACACATGCTAGGCTAATTTTTAAATTTTTCATAGAGATGGTGTCTCGCTAGGTTGCCCAGGCTGGTCTCGAACTTTTCGCCTCTTGCCTCAGCCTCCAAAGTGCTGGGATTACAGGGTGAGCCACTGCACGTAGCTCGGATATAATTGTTGAGTAGCTGAATAGGAGACCTAAGTCAGCCTTGAAAATCACCTGTTCCTGCTTATTTTCAGGGATCTCTTTCCTATTTGCCAATAAACACATTTTAGTGGACTAATCATGAATCGTTTTATGGTTGGCCTCACATTTAAAATGTTGGTGGTGCTCCTCCCGCCCTCCAAAGCCCTTTATGGAGCACATTAACAGAGCCCTGCCAGCGTTACAAGCTGGGCCCCACCTGAGGTTGTCTCCATTGCCCCCTCCACCCACTTTACTGGCCACAGAATGTTTGTGCTTTTGTGTTTTCATCAGTTGAGTTCCTTTTGCTCACCAAAGAAACACCACAAAAGACACTTTTGCCAGAAAACCTTTCTCCTCCCTTGCTTCAAATCCATCACTTTACAAAGAGTGTTTTAATTAAAACAGCTTATAAAAGTTTATGCTTTGGATTTTTTTCCTCCCAGGGAAACAGTATTCAGGCTGCATAGAGTCATTCTACTTGGTGGGATGACTGTCCTAAAGATGTCCTTTCCCTAAGCCCAATTTCCCCACCAGAGAGAAGAGCCCGCCAGGGTTGTTAGGGCCGAGAAGATGGTCTCAGATGCAGCAGTGTGCTGGGCCCATTGCAGAGTGCTCAGTTCATCTTCTGGGTAGTCTGTGTCTGGTTTCATGCCAGGAGTGAGAGCTAAAGGGAAGCTACAGAAGCATCCACGGTTGGCAGGACTGTTGGACATTTGCGGCTTCAGCAGGGTCACCCTGTTTGGTTGAGCAGGTTGTTTCTGTACAAGGCAGCGAGCATCCAGGGTCTGAGTCAGGGACTGAGATCCAGACTGTGCCAGGCTTGACCTATGCCTGCCATGGGGCTGGGTATTAGTTTCCTGTGGCTACTGTGATGAACTGTCACCAGCTGGGTGCCTTAAAACAACACATTTCTTCTCTCACAGTTTTGGAGGCCAGAAGTCTGAAATCAAGGTGTCATCTGGGTTCTGGAGGCTCAGAGGGAGAATCTGTTCTTAGCTTCTGGCGGCTACCAGAAATCTTTAGCATTCCTTGGTTGTGGCAGCAGCACTTTAATCTCTGCCTTTGTTTTCACAGGACCTTCTTTTGTGCCTGTGTGTATTTCTTTTCCTCTTCTTATAACGATGCCAGTCATATTAGACTTGGGGCCGTCCCTAATCCAGAATGATCTCATTTTAACTAATTACCTCCACAAAGACCCAATTTCTAAACAAGGTCACATTCCAAGGTTCTGTTTGAACAGAATTTTTAGGGGACACTCCTCAACCCAGTATGGGCTGCATCAGCCTGAAGGAAAAGGCACCTCTAAAAAGTTGCCAGTGGTTCTGTCTGCTTGCCAAGCTGTGTTCTCCACAATTTTTTTCCTCTAATTTGAACAAAGGTGCTATTTTGGCTAGCGGAAACCCTAGATTTTGCTTTGGAAGCAGTCAGCACTGCAAGACATATTAGTTTACAAGCTTCTTGAAGCAGGGACCTTGTCTGGTAACTCTTTAAGAACTGCCATAGCTTCTACCCATCCATTAAATTCTCAAAAATGTTTGTTGCAATCATGGCAAATAATTATGAAAAAAATCTGGAAAGGCCCTTCTGATTCCGGCTATTACAGCAAAGCTTTTTTATTTTTTAAAAAACATAGATGAGTAGCTTTTAACCTGTTTTATCCCATTATTCTCTGCTTCTTTGGTGGTTTAAAAAAGGCTGTTGGATTCTTTTTTTTTTTTTTTTTTTTTAATTTTTTTATTGATAATTCTTGGGTGTTTCTCACAGAGGGGGATTTGGCAGGGTCATGGGACAACAGTGGAGGGAAGGTCAGCAGATAAACAAGTCAACAAAGGTCTCTGGTTTTCCTAGGCAGAGGACCCTGCGGCCTTCCGCAGTGTCTGTGTCCCTGATTACTTGAGATTAGGGATTGGTGATGACTCTTAACGAGCATGCTGCCTTCAAGCATCTGTTTAACAAAGCACATCTTGCACCGCCCTTAATCCATTTAACCCTGAGTGGACACAGCACATGTTTCAGAGAGCACAGGGTTGGGGGTAAGGTCACAGATCAACAGGATCCCAAGGCAGAAGAATGTTTCTTAGTGCAGAACAAAATGAAAAGTCTCCCATGTCTACTTCTTTCCACACAGACACGGCAACCATCCGATTTCTCAATCTTTTCCCCACCTTTCCCGCCTTTCTATTCCACAAAGCCGCCATTGTCATCCTGGCCCGTTCTCAATGAGCTGTTGGGCACACCTCCCAGACGGGGTGGTGGCCGGGCAGAGGGGCTCCTCACTTCCCAGTAGGGGCGGCGGGGCAGAGGCGCCCCTCACCTCCCGGACGGGGCGGCTGGCCGGGCGGGGGGGCTGACCCCCCCACCTCCCTCCCGGACGGGGCGGCTGGCCGGGCAGGGGGCTGACCCCCCCACCTCCCTCCCGGACGGGGTGGCTGGCCGGGCAGAGGGGCTCCTCACTTCCCAGTAGGGGCGGCCGGGCAGAGGCGCCCCTCACCTCCCGGACGGGGCGGCTGGCCGGGCGGGGGGCTGACCCCCCCACCTCCCTCCCGGACAGGGCGGCTGGCTGGGCGGGGGGCTGACCCCCCAACCTCCCTCCCGGACCGGGCGGCTGGCCGGGCAGAGGGGCTCCTCACTTCCCAGTAGGGGCGGCCGGGCAGAGGCGCCCCTCACCTCCCAGACGGGGCGGCTGGCCGGGCGGAGGGCTGACCCCCCCACCTCCCTCCCGGACGGGGCGGCTGGCCAGGCGGGGGGCTGACCCCCCCACCTCCCTCCCGGACGGGGCGGCTGGCCGGGTGGGGGGGCTGACCCCCCCATCTCCCTCCCGGACGGGGTGGCTGGCCAGGCTGAGGGGCTCCTCACTTCCCAGTAGGGGCGGCCGGGCAGAGGCGCCCCTCACCTCCCGGACGGGGCGGCTGGCCGGGCGGGGGGCTGACCCCCCCACCTCCCTCCCGGACGGCACGGCTGGCCGGGCGGGGGGGCTGACCCCCCACCTCCCTCCCGGATGGGGTGGCTGCCGGGCGGAGACGCTCCTCACTTCCCAGATTGGGTGGCTGCCGGGCGGAGAGGCTCCTCACTTCTCAGACGGGGCAGCTGCCGGGCGGAGGGGCTCCTCACTTCTCAGACGGGGTGGTTGCCAGGCAGAGGGTCTCCTCACTTCTCAGACGTGGCGGCCGGGCAGAGACGCTCCTCACCTCCCAGACGGGGTCTCGGCCGGGCAGAGGCGCTCCTCACATCCCAGATGGGGCGGCGGGGCAGAGGCGCTCCCCACATCTCAGACGATGGGCGGCCGGGCAGAGACGCTCCTCACTTCCTAGATGTGATGGCGGCTGGGAAGAGGCGCTCCTCACTTCCTAGATGGGATGGCGGCCGGGCGCAGACGCTCCTCACTTTCCAGACTGGGCAGCCAGGCAGAGGGGCTCCTCACATCCCAGACGATGGGCGGCCAGGCAGAGACACTCCTCACTTCCCAGACGGGGTGGCGGCCGGGCAGAGGCTGCAATCTCGGCACCCTGGGAGGCCAAGGCAGGCGGCTGGGAGGTGTAGGTTGTAGCGAGCCGAGATCACGCCACTGCACTCCAGCCTGGGCACCATTGAACACTGAGTGAACGAGACTCCGTCTGCAATCCCGGCACCTCGGGAGGCCAAGGCTGGCAGATCACTCGCGGTTAGGGGCTGGAGACCGGCCCGGCCAACACAGCGAAACCCCGTCTCCACCAAGACCAGTCAGGCGTGGCGGCGCGTGCCTGCAATTGCAGGCACTCGGCAGGCTGAGGCAGGAGAATCAGGCAGGGAGGTTGCAGTGAGCCGAGATGGCAGCAGTACAGTCCAGCTTCGGCTCCGCATGAGAGGGAGACCGTGGGGAGAGTGAGAGGGAGAGGGAGAGGGAGAGCGCCTGTTGGATTCCTAAGGGTTAAATGTGGTAGGTTCTACCCCATTACTGTGAGTCATGCAATATTTCTCAAGTGTGCCCATGGGATGTTAGCCCCATAAAAACTGTCCCAGGAGAACATGGTTTTTGTGGTTAAACAAGACTGGGGAATTGTATTTGCTTTTCTTTTCCTGGAGATTAGTAATGTACCCGCTTTGTAAAAGTTCCCAACTCTCACAGTAGAGAAACCTATTAACTTTGTTTTAATCCAGTGACCCCAAATTTATTTGGCTAAAGCCTCCCCTCCTTTTTTCTTTGATAAATGAGTAACATCTATTATTAGGTTTGTGCCTGAATCCCTGTGTTGTTCAAGGATCAGCTGCCATCCTAAACATGCCTTCCAGCTCTAAAGTGAGAGCTACATGAATTTGGGCAGCCACTCAGTCTCTCTGGGTTTTTCTTTTCTTGTTTGTCAAATGGGAGATACATTTCTAAAGTTCGTGGTGACATTTCCACAGGTTTCCTCTAGTAGTACCAGGTGGAAGAAAGAGCAGTAGCATGATAGGCCCAGTAGCATGATGGGCTGCTGGACTAGGTAGGTGTCCCTGCTTTGTTACCCAAGTAGACAAAAAATGGGGCACTACAGCTGAGAAACCCATTGTCTCAGTTATATTTCAGTTCATCCTTGTTTCATAGGATGAATTGAAATACAATTCATAGAACTAGTGTCTAAGCAATAAACTTGGAGAACCACTGGAGAGCGGTCAAGAATATAAATGCCAGAATCAGGCTCAAGACTTAGATTTGTTGACTTTGAATAAGTAACTAAGCCTCTCTGAGCCTGAATTTCCTCATCTGTGAGACAGCAATATAATGCTACTTGCTTCAGAGGATTAACTGAAATACTATAGATAAAGTGTTTAGCACAGGGCCTGGGGTATAGTAACAACTCAATAAATGTGAGTGTCTATCATTATCATCATCATAATTATTATTTTAATTATCATAAAGCCAATGACTTCTTATGTCATGTTTAGAGATCATTTGGGGGGAATGATGATCTTGAGTCTAACAAAGAAGATGAAGTTGAAAAGCTGTTGACCTTTATAAAAATCAGCCCTGGTAAGAAAGTTGATTTTTTTCTCAGCTTCTAAGAACTCTGGAAATTGACATTTACTAAATCCAGTTATTCTGAACCATGGGAAACTGTTTCGCATCTGTCAATAATTTCTTCAGGCTGGCCATAAGCTATTAAGTTTACCCAATTAAGCCAAAAGTGGCCAGTGAAATTCTCCATTTCAAAAGACATTTCACAGTTACTGGCTTACCTCTGGGAGTGTGGAGTTAGGGCAGCAGAGAGACAGCAAGGGATAGGGCAAGGGGAAATGATAGGAAATTCCCGAGAAGCACCGATGTGTCCTTTTTAGATGCATGTACCACAGAAGAGTCTGCAGTGGCTGCAGAGTCCACTGACAACTTGGCTAAGGCAAAGCACAGCTTCCACAGCACCAGTCCTCAGGAGGATGGAAAGTAAGACCGCATTCCAGAGAATGATATGCACAGACTCTTGGTGACTGCCCAGGTGGGTTGGTTGAATAGTTGTCCCTGCTAGTACAAGGGAGAAAATTCAGAACATGGAATAGGTTTTCAGGCCATATTTCATAGGGCTCTATATTAGAGAACTTCCAAATAGTTATTTGAAAATTCAAATATGATTTCAGGCCATATTTCATAGGGCTCTATTATTATTTGTTACTGTAACAAAGACAGTAAAGGGAGGGAGCTGCCACTTACAAGCATCAGAAAAGCACTAGTCTAGTACAGGGGGTTACAGATCTATGGGTCTTTATTGCTCTCACCTTCATAGAGACAGCAGACCTATTATGTGTCCATCAGAGAGAGGGCTGAACAGACATCTTTCCCTCTAATAGCACAACATCTCAGCAAGGCATTGTGAATACAGACATAGCCACTCAACAGGGCATAGGAGGAGATAGAAAGGCATGTGATACAAGTGGGGGTGGTAAAGAGCAATGACTCTGAAGTCCCACAGACCCAGGTCTTGATTCCAGCTCTCTCGCTAAGAAGTTCTGTTAAATAGATAAGTTTCCTAAATGTTTCTGCACCTCAGATTCTTTACGCCTAAAATGGGGTTAAAACAGCATCAACGGCATAGAATGGTTGTGAGGATCAGTAAGATAATAATTAGCACAGTGTCTGTCATGGAGTAGGCATCTATTTCAGTTATGTCATAATTATTAACATAGTATAAGGAAAGGTCTGAGAGGCCTAGAGTAGCTGGAGAAAGCTTCACGGGGAAAAGTGGGGTTCCCTGGCCTTGAAAGAGGCTAGCAGCAGAGAAACAGCGTGGAAGTAAAAACCCTAAGGGATGCAGAGTCAGAGTACCCTAGTTGGACAAAGAGAATATGAAATAGGTTTTCAGGCCATATTTCATAGGCCTCTATATCTTTTGATATCTCTGTCTCTATCTCTACCTTCACTGCTGTCCATATCTGTACCTACTGAATTCCAAGTGAGATTGTAAGTTCCTTAAATTAAAGACTTCTGGGGCTCACCAGCACCTTTACATTTTACAGAAATCTCTTTGGCTGATCTATGGCCAAAGGATTGAAGAGCAAAATGAGACTGAGATACTTGGAGGGCTGTTGTAGGGGCAGAGGCGAAGGGTGATGGACATTTAGAAGAAAGTGACAATAGACTGGGTGGGAGCAGTGGTCAGATTCAAGATGTATTGTGGAGGTAGAATCCACAGGGGATTGAATGTGGGAAGTGAGAAGAGAGAAGAATCAAAGATGACTCACAGGTTTTAGATGCCATCTAGGGCATGGACTGAAGGGATTTGGGGTGAACATCAAGGGTTTGGGGCATATTCATATTGAAATGCTGTGAGACATTCAAGAGGAAACTTCAGAGAGGCAATTAGTTATTTGGCTCAGAAATGTAGAATAAATATCTGGGCTGGAGAGAGACACTTGAGGAATACTCATAGTCATGATTATACATAAATGGATGGATGGCTCTGAAAGCCATGGGGATGATGAAATCTGCAAGGGAGAGAACATGAAATGACAAAAGAAGCAGGGTCTTTTTAAATCAACTGCCGCTGGGTTTCTTCCTGCACTCCTTTAGGAAAATAAATGTGCATCACAGGGTCCAGCCACTTCAGAATATTTGTGCAACCCCAAATTTAGTAGTTAAATCTCCCCAGTTAGATTGTGTGCTTCTTGCAAACAGGTAAAATTGTCTTATCCTTCTTTTGTACCCCTTCCCTCGACACCTACTTGGTGGAGTTCATGAATTGGAGCTAATGAAATCAAGGTATTGGGTTGAATACCTTGGGTGGACTGCTTAATTCATGGGCCCATGCAGGGCTGCTTCCTAGACCAATCATCTCTCAGACATTGTTGATTTGGGAGAAAGTAGGGAGAGAGGAACAAGATAGGAGGTATGAATGGAAGTACCTGGCCCCATTACTGGACGGTCAATACCAAGAGAATATGCCCTTTGTGGTCATCAGCTGTATCCTCTTCAGATGTGAGACACTGCTCCAAGACTGTGAATGCTACTCACTCCAGAGTGTCTTTCCTGAAAGGGGATAGTTTCCACTATCTGTGTCACAGAAGGGGCCGCTGAGCAAACCCAGTGAAGAAATGGCCACACAGTACCTGCCCCCATAGTGCCCTGTGTGTCCTAAAGCACATGGAACAGCATCAGAAATGGGAAAGAGCCAGAAATTCAGTGCAACAATGGTGAGGGAGGTGATGGGAACTTATCTTTTTAAAGATCCATCCACTGAGTTTTCTGGTAAATTGAAGAGGGCCCAAATCTTCTCTTCCAGATGCTAGACTAGGTAGGTGTCCTTGTTTTGTTTCCCAAGTAGGTAAAAATGGGGCACTAGAGCTGAGAAACCCTTTGTCCCAGTTGCAATTTGAAAGAATGAAATCATCTGCTACAAAATTGTGAGCAGGAAGTGAAACTTATCCATGGTTGACTCCTGGGGCCGTGAGCCACCTGGCACATAGAAGTAAGTGTGCTGCCAGTCCTCTCATCCGCACTCATGACAGACATCAGTAATGGATTCCTGCACTCTTCCCCATCAAGCCTGGACAAGGCCTCACAGTTCTCAAAACAGAGTGGCCAATCGATCAGTACTGGAGCTCTAAATGAAGCCTATTTGCCATCCTGGTGGTGGGTGTTCAGTAAATGTTGTATGATTGGGTGAGTAAATGAATAATTACTTACCTTACTTACCTAATGCCTGAGCCAGTGACCAAAACAGGGCCTGTATAGTGTACAAAGTCCATAAATACTTGTTGACTGGATGGGTGAGTATGACGGTGAGGCCATGGGAAGACCAGTGACCCTTCCTGCATATTAGTGCATTGCTGAAGTGGGGCAAAGCTGAAGGACGCGTTTGCTTCAAAGCATGAGCTTTGATTCCTGACACATCCATGCTGTGTCTTTCTCACCACAGGGAGGGTTGGGGGAGCTGAATGGAATGACTCAGGCAGCTGGCCCTAGGTGATGTGGAGTCCAAGGTCTCTGGGGAGGCTCTGACTGGGGGCTGCAAGGGTTGGGGCACAGAATCTTTGGAGCAGGATGATCTCTGGCTATTTGAGTTTTTTCTGTTCTTTAAGGGAGGAAAAAGATGTATGAACAAAAACTGTCAGAACTGTGATCAGAGACATGGGCAGTTTTATGTGCAGGAAAGAGCATGATGCTGGGAGTCAGGAGACCTAGACTGAGTCCCAGCCCTGTCAGCCACACGCTCATTCAGGGTGCCCTTATCATCTCTGGACCCCCCAGGCTCTCCACTGTTTGTCAGGATCTGTGGAGGGTCTGGAGGGGGGGGGGTCCAGAGATGATAAGATTGTCCCCAAGCAAGGAGCTTTGTAATCTACCTGGGGATGAGTAAATGCAGTTGACCAACAAGGATTTGAAATGCATGGGTCCACTTATATGTGAATTTTCTTCTGCCTCTATCATCCTTGAGACAACAAAACCAAACCCTCCTCTTTCTCCTCCTCCTCAGACTACTCTATGTGAAGACAAGGATGAAGACCTTTATGATGATCCATGTCCACTAAATGAATAGTAAACATATTTCCTCTTCCTCATGATTCTTAATAGCATTTTCTTTCTCTAGTTTATTGTATGTTATGTGTGTTATATACTGTATTCATACAATAAACTAGACAAAACTAGTACAATAAACTAGTTTTGTCTAGTTTATTATATGATGTGGGTACTATATACTGTATTCTAATTGTACTTATACTGTATTCTTACAATAAGAATGCAATATATAATAGACACAACATACAAAATATGTGTTAATTGACTATATTTTTTATTGGTAAGGCTTCTGGTCAACAGTAGGCTATTAGTAGTTAAGTTTTGGGGGAATCAAAAGTTATAGGCAAATTTCTGACTGTGAGGAGGATAGGTGCTCCAATCCCTGTGTTGTTCAAGGGTCAGCTGTCATCCTAAACATGCCCTCCAGCTCTAAAATGAGAGCTATGTGAATTTGGGCAGCCACTCAGTCTCTCAGGGTTTTTCCTTTCTTGTTTGTCAAATGTGGGATACGTTTGTAGAATTTGTAGTGACATTTCCACAGGTTTCCTCTAGCAGTACCAGGTAGGAGAAAGAGCAGTAGCATGATAGGGCCATGGGCTGGAAATGAGAAATAAATACATCATGGACGAACCTTTTTTTTTTTTTCTCTTTTTATTCTTTGTGGGCCATTGAGAGGGACCATCTGTGAAAGTTTTTGACTGTACAATCTCCAATGTTCCTTCTTGCTGGAATACCAGTTTTATGATGTGTTATCTCACTGGTTACTGAGGAAATAAGAAAGCCAAGGGAGGAGAAGGTTCTAGACATCTCCACAGACAACAGAAGCACAAACAAACAACAATACCTCAGCAGGCTGGCCTCCCAGCACTGATAAGTGTTTGGGTCCACTGCAATGACTCTCTTCAAAGCCTCCTTCCAGGCTCATTTTTCCTGGTGCCTTGTGGAGCACAACCCATTTCTGTTGGCTAGAGTCCTGCATACACTCCTGTGCTTTAAAAGGAAGGAATTACAAGTACTAGGAGATGGTCAATAGTCTACCCTTCAAAAGAGGGAAAGCCCACAGCCTAGGAAATAAAGCCTTTTGGGGTAGATCTTGGGAGTGGTTAAAAATTCTATAGACCCCACTGTACTTAGCGCACATCTGTGAAAGCAGTAGCCCTCTTTACCTCCTCTCAACAACATTAGGGAGGGCAACATTAGTGTGGTCACAAAAATGCTCTCGTAATGAAGGGGATGTGAGCTTTTTGGAGCAAAGTTTGTTTTGTTTTTATTCCTATTTAACAACGTCTAACAATTCCTCACTGTTTATGGGATAAACTCAGGCCCTGGACACAGTACATGAGCCCTCATGCCCTGGTCTTGCCCTGCTGTCAGAGTTTCACTTCTCCTTCATTGAGACCTCCTGACACACCAGCTTGTGGGCTCCCAGGATGGCCCAGGACTTTCCTGCCCGTGTGCCTTTGAATACGCTCTTCACCCTTTGCCATCAGGCAAACCACTACTCACTCTAAAAGGGCCCCATTGAGGGTGATACTATCTCCTGTGATAGTTTGAAAAAATGCACTCTCCTGTAAAGATATATTCATTTCCTAATCCTTGGAACTTGAGAATATTACTTTATAGGGCAAAAGATAGAATTGGGTTAGAGATCTTGAGAGGAGTTGCTTGTCTTGGGTTTATCTGGATGGGTCCTAAATGCAATGACCTGTATCCTTATGAGTGAAGCATAAGGAGTTGTGAGGGCAGGGAGAATGTCGTGGAAAGATGGAGGCAGAGACTGGAGTGATGTGGCCACAAGCCAAGGAATGCCAGCGGCCATGAGAAGCTGGAAAGGACGAGGAACAAATTTTCCCCAGAGCACCAGAGGGAGTGTGGCCCTGCTGACACCTTGAGTTTGGACTGCTGGCCCTCAGAATTGTGAGAGAATAAATTTCTGGTGTTTTAAGCCACCAACTTTATGATAATTGGTTACAGCAGCAATAGAAAACAAATGCAAATCCTCTCTGTAGCTTTCAGTGACCCCTGCCAGGCAGAACTATTAGGTCCTTCCTTCAGGTTAACCTCAACTATTGCACTGAGCACATGACATTCTCCTTTGCTCAGGTGGGCTTTGAACTCGTGGACCAGCAGATTTTACCACAGTGCCTGGCACAGAATCAGAAGCCAATGATGAGGTGATAAAATTTGTGCTCACATTTCCACAGGTTTCTTCTAGCAGTGGGGTAGGAGAAAGAGCAGAACAATAGGGCCACAGGTGAGGAACAAGAACTAACTACAATGGATGAATTGGCTTCATGAAAAAAATCACTTCCCCCTGTGTGATGGTTGGTAAATGTGTTTGCAGATGTGAACATCTGGGAAACCCCCAGTTCTCATGATGGTGAGGAAGACATATCCTTGGGCATGTATTATTGACGTGTGATTGGTGCTAAAGATGGCTGTTTCCTACTCAGGTGTGTTATTCCACCTGATAGACATTGTGCCAAACAAACTTGGACCAACCCTTAGCTAGCTGGAGAGCCCTCCCAAGCACTCCACATGCTATTTTGCAGAACTGTGGATGTGGAGCGGGGCCTCTGCTGGCATGAACTTCATGCATGCCATCTTTCCCTGTGTCTTATCTTACGTGAGTGCATGGGTCAAATAGTGGAGAAATGGAGAGATCACAGGCTTCAGAGTCAGATGGGTGTCTGAGTCTCAGTTCTGTCTTGCACCAGCTGTGTGGCCATAATCTAACTACTTAATCTGCCTGGGCCTCATTTCCACACCCATAAGATGGAGATAATGATACCCACTTCACAAAATTGTTGTGAGAAGGAAATAAACGATTTGTGTGCAAGATTTAATACGGTCTAAACCTTTGTGAAAATGCCTGCTACAATTATTATTAAAGGGCAGTAACTGTGAATTCTGGTTTTATTCCGTCAATCCTTAAACCATGTTAAGCATAAAGCTGATGCTAAATAAATGGCTGTGCCTGTTTTTGTCTTCAGAGTGTCCCTTGTGGCTTTTGAGATCTTGTTCTAGCTTTCCTTATATTATAAAGGGCAGCTCAATCTCCTGCCCCTTCTTCCTCTATTCAGAGTTGAGCCACTGGGGAGATTAGTGCTATACCAGGCCCCTAGCACCTCACCTCCATTCATTCCTCAGTCCTCTGCAATCTTGTTTCCAGCCACTCCCCCAGGACTGCTCCAGCCCAGATCCACTGGACACCTTGCTGTGCACTGGATGCTTTTCAGGGCCCAGCTTATGTTCCCCCTGTTGCAATTGACATTGCAGTTTCTCACTCCTTGAAACTTTCTCCTTCCTCAGCTTTCCTAATTTTCCTCTTTTCTGCTTTGCCTTTGACTTTCTAGTTATTTTTCAGTCTTCCTCACAGGCTTCTCTTCCTCTGTATACCTCAGTTTCTGATGCTTCCTAAGGTTTTAACCTGAGTTCTTTTCACCTCTCATTCTATGCACCAGCTCCAGACACACCTTCTACTATGGAGGCTCCCATATCACCTCTCTGCAGTGCCTCTTAATCTCGTCTTGTTTCCTGGTCTTCAGTCCCAGCCCAACCATCCTCTGATCCCTTGGTGTAGATGTAAACTAGAGCAAAATAGGGTCCTCTGCCCTCCCTCCAAGCTCACCCCTGAGGTCCCTGCCTCGGAGAAAGCTACCATCATTTCCCCTAGCACCCAGGCCAGAATGCCAGAGCCAACCTGGACTGCTCCCCTTCCCCACACCCCATACGTCTTCAGGTCCTGCCAATCTGATCTTTTAACATTGCTCAAATATGCCCTCCCCTCTCCACTTCCATGGCCGCTGCCTTAGTTTGCTTTAGCTGGGTGCCTGTCAGGGTATAGAGTGTATACTAATGACTGAATGAACTAAGAAAGGAAGGAAGAGAAAAGAGAGA
The DNA here is from genome assembly GCF_000001405.40 of Homo sapiens. Classification (NCBI taxonomy): domain Eukaryota; kingdom Metazoa; phylum Chordata; class Mammalia; order Primates; family Hominidae; genus Homo; species Homo sapiens. Next base: position 93,957,233 of record NC_000011.10, read on the forward strand.
GAAGGAGGAAAAGAGAAAGAGAGACTGGCTTGGTTTGTTGGATTTTATGTTATTGAGCTTCATGGCCTGGTTTGGTCCTATTTGCATTATTCCCATGTCACTCTCTGGGACAGCTGGGGGAGGTTTTGCTGGAAAGCTGGAGTGAGAGCTGGACAAGCCAGTTGGTATTAAGGGATGCTATGGAGACAGAGTGTCTGGTCCATGAGTGAGCCAGGCTGTACTCTGCATCCCTCTGGACCACAGAATATTTTTCTATGGGTCACTCTTTTTTAGTAAACACTCTGGGATTCTGCTATTAGGAAACCTACGTGACCACAAGCTGTTTGCACTGTATTTGTTCATTTACATATTGAAAGAAGTTGGGTGGTGATGTTCTTGTAAATTCTCCAGATGATGAGAATGAGGCTTAGAAGGATTTGTGTAATTTGCTTGGCAGTGGAGCTGAGAAATGCAAATCTGTCCTTCAAAAATAGGGTGGATAAGAAGCAGGAGACAGGTGCTTGGCTGGATCCCCAGAGGTGGTAGAGCTGGTCATCTGGGCCAGGAAAGGGGACCGATGCATGTTTACTGGCCGCTGTGTGTGTGCCAGTCACTTTATGTATGTTATTTAATTCAGTGTCCTCCGCCTAGTTGTAAGATAGTTTGATTCTTTTTACTGAAGCACAGGGAAATTGCAGAGCAGGCCAGACACAGACTCATGATTTGAGCAGCGTCTGTTGGACTCCTAGGTCTGTGCTGCCTGTGAGGAAGGGCGCTGAGCTGAGACACAGACAGTTTTTCCCAAAGTTTTGCTGATTTAGATAGACTCTTGCACAGGAAGCCCCAGCCTCTGCCATGTAGGGGAGGGGCTGGTGGTCACTGGATGCAATTCGCAACATCACTGTGCCTACTAGGGTGAAGAAAAACCCAGAGGGGAGGTGGTCACCTTGTTTTTGAGAGAATTCCTTATGCCCTATCCATTTATTCACCCATTTGCTGAGCACTCAGTGCTTGGCACTGGGATTTCACACAAATAAATTGTCTTTTCGTAAGTGACCACTGGATACCTTGAAGAGGAGGAGCCAAATGAAAACAAAAGGTAGAAAGGAAGGAAAACACCCCATGCCTATCTCAGTGGGCAGCAAACTATGGGCTGTGGACCAGCTCTGGCAGGTTACCTGTTTTTATAGCTAAAGCTTTGTTGGAACATAGTCATGCTCATCTGCTTATATATTTTCTATGGCTGCTTTTGCCCGGCTATGGCAAAGTTGAGCAGTTAAAAAAAAGAGACCCCATAGTCCACCAAGATGGATGTATTTACTGTCTTATCTTTTACAGAAAAGATTTGCTAACACCTTACTTGTACCTAGGAAAGCCTTGATGATAGCTACATAACTTTTTAAAGATGGTCATCTTTGATGAACCTGACAAATATCCTATTATTGTGCTTTTGATTAAAGTGTATCTTTCATGCAATTAACAACAATTTATTTATTGAGCTCTAATCTAAGCCAGGCACTTTGCTAGGCAGGCACTTAGAGGGCAAAGGTGAATGATACTTGGGCTCTGTTCTTATGGATCTCACAGCCTAATGGGGGAGCACACAAATAAATAGATGCTTGCAATACAGTGTGCCAGGTGCCAATGTGGAGTGTGTTTATTTATAGCATGTTGTGGGATACAGAGGAAGAGCAGCCGGCCATGCTCTGGGGGCATAGGTAAGGTGGCCCCCAGATGAAATTATTGCTTTGTGACTGGACAAGTCCTTAGGGACACACTTCATCTGAGGGAGGAGAAATAGATAAATCTCATTGTTACCAAGAGTCTAGCTCCTATAAAGCCATGGAAAACCCAGACCAAGTCTGTGATCTTGGCAGGCTCCAGCACCTGCCCACTGGGAAAGTATAGCAGGAGGTTGGCAATGATGACTGCGGTAGCCAAGGCCAAGCTCAGTATGCCCACGCACCTGGAGCCATTGTCAGAGCACATGTGAAACTTCCCTGGAAGAGAAAGAGAAAACAGCTGATACCAGGAAGCTGCCCCACTCCAGCCATTGCAGAATCAGGAGAGAGTGCTCCAACCTCACACCTGCACGAGCAATGCATCAAGCCCAGCTGTGCCACTGGTAGGCAAGATGACCTGGGAAGCCACTTTCCTCTCTGAGCCTCAGTTTCTTCTGTCATGCAGAGAAAATACTGACCTCATGGATAGTGGTGCATAGACTAAAGAAGTCTAATAAATATGGAAGCACCTGGCTTATAGTAGCTATCTCTTTTAAAGATTATGGGGAATCTTTTAAAGAGAGTCTACTGAACATCTACTACAGGGGGAACTGAGGTAATGTTTAGGAAATCACTGTTATTCTGGTTCTTTTTTTTTTTTCTGAGCTGGAGTTTTGCTCTGTGAAGTGCAGTGGCATGATTTCGGCTCACTGCAAACTCTGCCTCCCAGGTTCAAGTGATTCTCATGCCTCAGCCTCCCGAGTAGCTGGGACTACAGGCGACGCCATCACAACTGGCTAATTTTTGTATTTTCAGTAGAGATGGGGTTTCACCATGTTGGCCAGGCTGGTTTCAAACTCCTGACCTCAAATGATCTGCCGGCCTTGGCTTCCAAAAGCGCTGGGATTACAAGAATGAGCCACTGCACCTGGCCTATTCTGGTTCTTTCCCAGAGCAATTCCCATAGTGATTATGAACTTGGCCCTGGACCACCCAAACCTGGGTCCAAACCCTGCCTCCATGTGTGAGCTTGGGCAAGTTATTTAACTTCTTTCACTTTAATTTCCTCATCTGCAAAATGGAGTTTACCATGGCACCCACCTGTGGGATTGTTTAGAGGGGGAAAATAAGAGAATGCATTAAAAAGTCTCTCGATGCTTGACAGCTGGAGAAATAAAAAGCCAAGGGAATCTGAATCATCTTGTCCTCTCATTTTATTCATGTGGAAAATTTCCTTTCTCACTCTCTTCATCGATTGAGTGTACTGAGCCTGGAGATTTCAGAGAAGCCAGAACGGAGGCACTTGGAGAGAAGGGAAGATTTCCTATCTTGCTTTCTTCTCTGTGCTTGCTCTTTCTGAACTTAAGTCAGATTGGAGTAAAGTCAGTATTGCATTTTCTGAGTGGAGGCTGCCATGGGAGCATGAGGTGCTGGTGCTCCCTGCAAGGCTGCCCATTCACCACTCAGGTCCCTAGACATGGAGGCCTGGTGCAATGAATGGCCCTTCCCACAGGGGAAACCTGCAGTCATTTGAAGAGCCAGGAACCTCTCTCTCTTTGGGAATAAAATGGAAAAATGTCCAGCATCAGCTTTTTATGCTCACAGAAGATTTAAAGTTATTCATGAACAATGGTTTAAGCAGGTTGATAATGCCTGGGGTCTTATTTCTATCTAATATCCAAATTCAGGGCTGTAGAAAGCTGATGCCTGAGTGGGGTGCTGCCTGCCTCTGGCTTCTGTGGATGAAGGAGGTTGAAACTAGTGACATCATTCCCCATTATGATCACCAACAGTAGTGATAATGAAAATTTAACACTTAATGGGGGCCAGGTGCAGTGACTCATGCTTGTAATCCCAACACTTTGGGAGGCTGAGGCAGGTGGATCACTTGAGGTCAGGAGTTCAAGACCAACCTGGCCAACATGGTGAAACCCCATCTCTACTAAAAATACAAAAAATTAGCTGGGTGTGGCAGTGTGCACCTGTAATTCAAGCTACTTGGGAGGCTGAGGCAGGAGAATCACTTGAATCTGGAAGGCAGAGGTTGCAGTGAGACGAGATTACACCACTGCACTCTAGCCTGGGGGACAGAGTGTGACTCCTTCTCAAACAAAACAAAACAAAAACAAAACAACAACACTTAATGGGGAATAACACTTTATGATGTGCAAAAACACATAAAATTATTGCTACTTGCTCCAGGCACATTATAGACATTATTTCATTTAATCCTCAGAGCAACTCAATGAGGTGATAGCTCCATAGCTTTATGAGCAAACAAGTTTATAGAAATTAAATAAGATCCCAGGGTCTCCCAGCTGATTAATGACAGAACTGACACTCAAATGTAGGTCTGCTCATTTCCACCTCCAATTATGCCCAGTTAGGGCTTGTGATTAGAAACTGGAAGCACTGAGAATCCAGGGCTGTGGAACCTTTCAGTCTGTGAAAGGGGCTTTTCCCCCCATTCTCAGGGTTGTGCCTGGAGGGCACTTGCAAAGCCAGCAGCCTCCTGTTGCTTCCTAGATGTTCTGACTACTGCTGCAATGAATACAGCGTGCTCACTTCACTACAGGAAAACTGTAGATCTTTTCAAGAGGAAAGAGGGGATGGGTAGAGACTGGGGCCACATTTGGAAAGGAGGACCATGCAGCCCTGAAGGTTGGCACTTAATAAAACTATGGGAAGGCAATTACTCTCATGGATGATGGCCAAGAATGTTAAGAGCTGTGAAGGAATCTGGGAAATCTAATTCCTTCATTTTCTAGGAAACATAGCCCCAAAGAGTTGAAATTATTTGTTCAAGGTTCTCTGGCTAGATAGTTAGAAATAACAGCAAAAATAGTAACAGTCGTGCTCGCAGGTATTATCTCATTTGGTTCCTCAATAGTCTAGTGACAGAGACATCGTTATTACACCTATTTTATGCATCTGCTGAGGAACATTCTGAGGCCCAGAGAGGCTAGGGAACTTGCCTGAGGTCACATAACTTTCAATGGGGCAGTTTTCTTTGGAGTCTGTCCAGATCCCACATCTTTTGGCCTCAACATGCTCCACAGGCAGGATAATCACAAGCCCCTCAGTTCTTTAATTATAGACTCCCTTTCATATAGTCTGCTCAGTGCTCCCCATATAATCATCTTCATATCCGTTAGATTATTATACTCTCAGTTTGAGTTTGGACAGCATGGTCACTACACTAAGGTTTTAGACCAGCTGGGAAAGTACCAGTATCCAGTACCCAGGGCCTGCAGGCACAGGCACACTGGGCAGCCTCTCCTGGGCAAAGTGTCCCCGGCAGATGGCCCAGAGGCAGTGGAGGGGGCCCTGCAGGCTGGGGTGTAGTCCCAGAGAATGCATCAGCTATCTTGGGGGTTCTGGGCAGGCTCTGGTTCCTTCTACCTTTCAGAAGGCAAGAGGTGACCACTTGAAAGACTAACAACAGTAAGTTCAACAGCAGTAAGTCCCAGGCACCCACCTTACAGGACAGTTTAAGCAACTAACCACAGCTATTTAGTCTTCCCCAAAGCCCCCTTGCGGAGGAGGCCCCTTGTCTCTTTAGAGGCTGAAACCCGAGGTCTTTTCAGGTTCCTCTGTGGCCCCTCAGTGCAAAGATTTGCCTGGGTTCTGAAGCACGGGGCTCCCTCTTCCTGTCTGGCTCTGACCTCCCTCCTGTTCTTCCCAGTGTGGAAAAAGTGGCTCAGATTCCTTCAGCAAGAGCCAACACTGCCTCCTCTGCTAGGTGTCCCAGGGCAGGGGGTCCAGCCAACTCAGCTGCAGAGGTGCTGTGTTTACTCTGGGTCACTGGGTCTCTGGGTCACTCCTGATAACCTCAGAGGAGTTCTCCCAGTGGATGAGTTTCCACTGTGTCTGCTCCAGATGTTGGCGGCTGGGTGGGTCCCCAGCCCTGTGCAAATGTCTGTGTAAACCACCCACACGATTGGCTTGAGAGGGCTGGAGCATCACCTTGTCATCTTTCATCTTGTCATCTTGCAGTTCCCCTGCTCAGGGTCTGGAACGGTTGATGACTACACTTCACAACGCTGTGGGCAGTGGGGCGTCCTGGCTGGGCTTTGGTTTTCTTGTTGCATTTGGTCTCTCAACCAGCCAAGGAAGAAAAGTAGATTGTCCACGGAACCCTCTCTCCCATATCACCTGTCCCCCTGCCCCCTGAAGCTGTGATACTAGTGTTGAGTGATGGATAGAGAGCAGCCACAGTGAGCACTTTGCCAGGAGTCTGGCCACCCAATCACCCAGGGGGGTGATCCTCCGTGACTCTGCTTCCTCCTCTATCTTGGTGGCTGTGGGACAATGCCTCCTTTGTCTTTGGTCTTGCAGCAATCCTTTCCTACCCCAGAGAACATATTTTCCTTTAATCTACCAAGTTGAATGTTTTCTGTGCACTGACAATGAGTATATTGCTAAAACCTTTGAGAAAATGGAACCATGTGATTCTATAATCAGATATGTAGCTCCAGAGGCCTGGCTGTATCATACATATATAGATTTTTTTTGAGATGGAGTTTCGCTCTTCTTGTCCAGGCTGAGGTACGATGACGCGATCTCAGCTCGTTGCAACCTTCGCCTCCCGGATTCAAGCAATTCTCCTGCCTCAGCCTCCTGAGTAGCTGGGATTACAGGCGTGCATCACCATGCCTGGCTAATTTTTGTGGTTTTGGTAGAGATGGGATTTCTTCATGTTGGTCAGGCTGGTCTTGAACTCCTGACCTCAGGTAACCCGCCCACCTCAGCCTCCCAAAGTACTGGGATTACAGGCGTGAGCCACCGCACCTGGCCTTGTATCATAATTTTAAACTTCCTTTTTTACTGAAGTTGCTTTCCTCTGCAAGAGGTTAATGGTGTAAATCACTTCTTTTTCCATTTTGATGCCTATTGGTCAACGCAGCTCACCCAGGGTGAGCATATATTTTCTTCTTCATTCCTTTTCCTTCAGATTCCTTTATTTTTTAATTATTTTTTGAGATGGAGTCTTGCTCTGTGGCCCAGACTGGAGTGCAGTGGCACGATCTCGGTTCACTGCAAGCTCCGTGTCCCGGGTTCACGCCATTCTCCTGCCTCAGCCTCCTGAGTAGCTGGGACTACAGGTGCCCGCCACCACGCCCAGCTAATTTTTTTGTATTTTTAGTAGAGATGGGGTTTCACTGTGTTAGCCAGGATGGTCTTAATCTCCTGACCTTGTGATCTGCCCGCCTCGGCCTCCCAAAGTTCTGGGATTACAGGCATGAACCACCGCGCCTGGCCCAAGATTCTTTTATTTGTGACCATCCTTCCCCAACCTCCTCCCAGGGCCCTGCCTCTCAGTCAATGGTTCCATTCATTTTGTTCATTGATGAAGCCTTGGACCAGTGGCAGCAACCAAGTGGACAGAGTGGGCAGTGATGCTGATGATGAGAACTCTTAAGTCTTTTGGTCTCTGTAGTTGAGATCACTAATATTGGGCACCTCTGCATGGTGTATCTGGGCATGATTTTGCCAACAGAATCTCAGACTCTCTTCTCAATCTTGCCAAAGACCCTTTCTCTCACAGTGTCATTTGTTGAGCTGTGATTATTTGCCGAAGAAATAATTGGCACACCTGCCAATGTAGAGGCCCTGTGCTAGGTGCTTTATCTGTGTGATTGAGGGTAAATTCTTGAACTTCTTCTGGTTGCAGTTTCTTTGTCTATAAAGTAGAAATAACACTTTATCTAATAGTGAACACATATTTTAGAGGACACTGGTTATTTGCTCCGTCAAGCCCTCAACGTGTCTAAGTGGGTCCTCGGTTGGGAGGCATGCACCCCTGAGCTGGTCTGTGCTCCCCACCTGTGCTAAGGTTCTGGCCCTGCAGCCTCTCTTTCCCTGCGAGTGATTTTGAGTGCAGCTACAGAACCAGCTGTAATTTCGAGGCCTTTTCCCCCATCGTGGAACAGTAGACTGTGAACCCAGCAGATAATTAGACCCACTGCCTGCACATCTTTGGTTGCTGGCCCTTTGAATGAGTTTATTTAAACACAAGTCCCCCAGCTGAGACTCTGTGATTTGTTCTGTGGTGCCTGATGTACCAAATATCTCTTTATACTGTTTGATGGTTCTCCTCAAGAGTGCACAGTTCCTCAGGATCAAAAATAGTGCAAACCTTCTTCAAATAGTAGCATTAACATCATTCTCCAATGATTGTGCTTCTAGGAGCAGAAAAGGCATATTAGGCCATTTTTGCATTGCTTTAAATAAATACCTGAGGTTGATATTTATAAAGAAAAGAGGTTTTATTTTGGCTCAACGGTCTGCAGGTTTTACAGGAAGTGTGGTGCCATCATCTGCTTCTGGTGAAGGTCTCGGGAAGCATGCAATCATGGCGGAAGGTGACGGGGAGCCAGCATGTCACATGGAGGGAGTGGGAGCAAGAGACTCGGAGAAAGGGGAGGTCCCAGACTTTTAAACAACCAAAGTTCTTGTGAACTAACTGAGCAAGAACTCACTTATCACCAAGGGGATCGTGCTAAACCATTCATGAGGGATCAACCCCCATGATCAAATCACCTCCCACCAGGCCCCACCTCTAACACTGAGGATTTCATTTATTTTTTTAAAAACTTTTATTTCAGGTTCAAAGGTATATGCATGCAGATTTGTTATATAGGTAAACTTGCGTCATGCGGGTTTGTTGTACAGATGATTTCATCACTAGATACTAAGCCTACTACCCAATAGTTATTTTTTCTGTTCCTCTCTCCTCTCATCCTCCACCCTCGAGTGGGTCCCAGTGTCTGTTGTTCCCCTCTTTGAGTCCATGTGTTCTCGTCATTTAGTTCCCACTTATAAGTGAGAACATGTGGCATTTCATTTTCTTTTCCTGCATTAGTTTGCTAAGGATAATGGGGGATTACATTTCAACATGAGATTTGAAAGGGACAAACACCCAAACCATATCACAAGGAGAGACAGAGAAGTCTCACTGGTGTTTGTAAAACCATGGACAGAAGTAACAAGATAAAATTTCAAGCAGGCCATTAAAGTAGGCATTTTAGCCAGGTGTGGTGGTTCACACAATTCCAGCACTTGGGGAGGCTGAGGCGGAGGCTTGCTTGAGCCCAGGAGGTTGAAGTTGCAGTGATTGCACCACTGCACTCCAGCCTGGTGACACAGCAAGACCCTGTCTCAAAAAAAGGATGCATTTTATACACGGATCCATATACCTATAATAACGTACATGCTTGAATCAAGTTTTTTGATTTATAGAGATTTTAGTTACATTTAATACAGCAATCTGGTAAGTTATTCTTTTATAGAGGGGAAACCTGAGCTTCAGATGGAATAAATAATTTGCACTAGATCTTATAATTAATAGATGAAAGATGTGGCACTTTAACCCAGTTGTGGATATGTTTGTTTCACTCACATGCAAGTGTTGCACACATAATTACACATTCATGTGTACTCATGATTATACACGTTGGCATATGAAACACAAAGAACACCCATAAACATCCGACTTGTTAAAACATCACTGGGGGTGATGGGCTTATCAGGTCTGCTTCTCTCTGACTTCAATGGTCCAGGTCCTCCCTCTCCAGACATTGATCCAATACAAGGAGGCATTTTATAGACATAACAGAGAGATTTAGGTGGTATAATTATTTGCATAAACACAAAATATGTGCATAACCAGACCTGAGTTCCATATAGACTTCTACATTTCCAGTTCCATCTCACTCAAGAAGTAGCACAGGCCAGGTGTGGTGGCTCACACCTGTAATCCCCTTTTAGGAAGCCAAGGCGGGTGGATTGCTTGAGCCCGGGGACAATGTGGTGAAACCCTATCTCTTCAAAAAATACAAAAATTAGCCTGGCGTGGTGGTGTGTGCCTGTAGTCCCAGCAACTCAGGAGACTGAGATGGGAGGATCACTTGAGCCGGGGAGGCAGAGGTTGCAGTGAGCTGACATTATGCCACTGCATTCCAGCCTGGGTGATAGAGCCAGACCCTGTCTCAAAACAAAACAAAACAACAATTAAAAAAACATAAATTCATAGCTAGGGACATTTCCCTGGGGTCCAGTCTGAGTTCCCCTTCTCCCAGGCCCCCTTGATCCTTTTCTACACTTTCCACACAGCTCATGTTTTTTTGCTGCTGAACAGCAAGAAGTCTTTGGACAGGCCGGGCACAGTGGCTCATGTCTGTAATCCCAGCACTTGGGAGGCCAAGGAGGGTGGATCACCTGAAGTCAGGAGTTCGAGACCAGCCTGGCCAACATGATGAAGCCCTGTCTCTACTAAAAATACAAAATTTAGCTGGGCATGGTGGCGGGCGCCTGTAATCCCAGCTACTTGGGAGGCTGAGGCAGGAGAATTGCTTGAACCCAGGAGGCGGAGGTTGCAGTGAGCTGAGATTGTACCATTTGCACTCCAGCCTGGGCAACAAGAGTGAAACTCTGTCTCAAAAAAAAAAAAAAAAAAAAAGTCTTTGGACATGAGTGGCCTTGCTCTGCCACTGCTACTTACTAGCTGTATGTCTTTGGGTGAGTTACGTAACTTCTCGGTCCCCAGTGTCCTTATCTCTAAAGTAGGGATCATCATAATAGCAGGATTATTTCATAGCCCATAAGATTGTGGTGAGGATTAAAGGTTCCTGGTACATGCAAGTCATGTTTATCAACAGAAAGATGCTGGTCACAAACTAGCGTGAAAGGGCCTCAGGTGGGTTAAATGCTCAATAAATGCTACCCGCTCATATCACGCTAAAAAGAGCTGACTCCTGAGTCCTTAATGTTGCTCTCGGAGCAAATGGTTATGATTGCCTCTGCCCAGGGCATTGCCACGTGGCTGGCTTTCCTTCAGTGTGCCCTGAGCCATGCCAGAGCCTGAATACGGGCCCCACAAACGTAGCTCTTTAGTCTGAGTGATTGGTGTCATGGTCGCATTCACTGCTGCTCTATGGTGGGAGAAGAACCTCCTGGCTAAGGCCCAAGCTGAAAATGGTCCTGCACTGTAAGGAGCCACGAATATCAGGACAACTCCTGATCCTGAGAGGCACGTTAAACACCTGCTTTCAACTTGGGGAATTCCTATTGATCTTGTATAGAGTCAGTTTGGAGTAGAAGAATTTAGGTTAAAAGCGTGGACTCGAACTGGATTGGCTGATTTCTCATCTCAGCTCCGCTGCTGAATTGCTAAGTGATCAGGGCCAGTTATGCAGCCTCAATGGGCCTCAGTTTTCTCATCTGTAAAATGGGGATGAGGAGGATAATATCTCCTTCACAGGGTTGTTGGGAGGATTAAATGAGTTTGTGTATGTAGCGTACTTAAAACCATGCCTGGCACAGAGTAAACACTATACAATATTATTGTTAAGCACACAAAGCAACCTCTCAGAGGTATTTTGGTTTATGACTCAGTATTCAGTGAGCACCCCGTAATAGAGCACGGAGAAGATATAAGTGATATGAAAGTGGTATGTTCCTTGTTTGAACTTTATGATTTGCTCTAGCAATTAGAATTAGCCTGTGGCAGAAACTGGTACATGATTACCAAAACCTGTTTCCTTTTTGTTCTGGACACAGAGCTAGATCACCTTTCCCAGCTTCCCTTGGAGGTAAGTGTGGCCATGTGATTAAATTCTGGCCAGTAGAATATAGGCTGATGTGATGTGTGCTACTTCTTGGCCCATAGAAATTTCTCATGTGCGATTCTACACCCTCTTTTTTTTTGTCTGCTGACTGGATGCAGATGTCCTAGTCGATGCTGGAGTCACAAGATGTTTTCAGCTCTGTCCTTCACTCTGACCTTACAAATTATTTCTAGTTCCTAAGCTTTTCCAGACTGTGTGTCTGGACTCCATGGAGTCACATTGGTGTCCTCTGCAGGTGTTCAGAACTCACCTTTCCCCTTCTAAGTTAGGTACCACACTTTCATTTACTTTTCATCTTCCCCAAATACATTGACATCTTCCTACTCTGGGATCTCATTTTCCCTCCTTTTGCCTTTTTAAATTAATTTACTCTGTTTTTGGAGGAAGTATCCAGGAACAAGCAGAGACAAACACGTGGACAGTCTCTTATGTTTTAAACGGCAGTCCTGTTGGATCATTTTCAGGATTGACACTGAAGATGCAGTCTGGAAAATAACTTCAGAAATAGTGATTTTGCTTTTATTAGTTACAGTTTTGCTGCATATGTGTAATTCGCTTGCCTTTAATAAATTAGATAATTAAATAGAAAATTAAGAATATATATAATACTTTAAACAGAGAAAGAATAGATAGATAGGACCTTCTTCTCCAGTTTTGCCCCAAGCACAGTTGGCTTGTTTGCTGTCTTCTTTGACTGGGGAGGCGGCGTTCTCCCCTGGTGGATGTGGTGGACGGAAAAGAAGATGAAGTGGGCGGATGAATTAGATGGACCGTGGGTCCTCTCCCACCCCTGCTATCCCAAGGCTCTAGTGATCTGTCTCATGTTAAGTTATGATTTCATTGCTCTTCTGGATCAAGCATGAAAATCTCATCACCTCGACCTCTCTAATAAGTTACTGAAACAACTTTCACGTTTTAAAAATTTTTAAATGTTCACTCCTTTTCCAAAGATTCGAGAGGAATTTGGGTTGAGTTTTACCTTTTCAGGTTCTAGTTCCCTCTAATAGGAGGCACCGCCTCTGATAGACCACACCCTGTTCATGGCTACTAAATGCCCCACAAGGGGCAGATCAGATCCGATTTCTGGGTGAACCTGAGGAACTTCTTTGTAACCAAATATGACCATTAAAGGGAGCCTAAACCTTGTGAGAACTTAAAACCCTGGCAAAGTAAGGAGAACTGGATGAAAAGAGCAGCAAGACATAGATTTATGGTTTCTAATTTTATTACTTAAGACAATATTATGCCTGAGAAACAACATTTTGATATCCTGAGGGCTCAGGGACATATGCATTAACTCTACAAGGATTGTTATGAAACAATTAAATTTACTACCATTAGTAATGACTACAATATAAGTATTTATGATTTTGATAATATCAGTTACAACTGATAAAATATTTATTGATAATAACTTATTTACTGTGAGTAGTAACATCAGTCATCTATTTCTAGGAGAGCAGAGACTCATGTAACTCTCTAGGAGAGCAGAGTCATGTAACAAGCTACCACTGGGCACACTAGAAGAATCAGAATATATCTTGCAGTAAAGACAAGAGGTGGCCCTGAGGAGCCAACCTCAGCACAGCTGCCCCGCTGGGGGCTGGCGTCAGGTCTGCGGTGGTGTGTGGCTGGGCTCCAGCATTCGGCACGAGCTCTGCACAGACTGGGGATCTGCTTCTGTTTACGTGGTCAGCCCTGTCTTGAGTAATGAGGAGAGCATACCTGAGTTTGGATCTTTAGCATGAATGAATGGGCAAGGAACGGGCAGAATAAGGGAGTAGAGGGAGGGCATTGAGAAGCTGGGGATGTCAAAGGTTTTTAGGACCAGGCCATCATGTAGAAACCACCGAGTTATGCTGCCAGGTGCCACCTGTTCTTGTTCTGGGAAAAGAGAGACTGGGGACCCATTTCTTTTGCTATGTGGAGAATGTGATTGCAGTTGATGACAGGCATTACTCTGTGTGATTTCCTTTTCTCTGGCCCGGAGTCCTGGCCATAGGCAGGTGAAGAGTATTCCTGCTTAGCAATCAAGCTGAGTTGCTGTCCCAACCCTCTGACTCCTGGCCTCTGTCATGGGCACCAAGGGGTCTGGGAATGCTGCACACTCCTTCCTTGCTGAAACCCAAGGCCACGTGGACTTTTGCTCTCCTGGGTCATCTGGGTAGTTGGACAGCTCCATTGCCTGATTTAACTGGAGTTTCACCTGGAGTCCCTCTGTTGATTTGCAAGTAAGCCCTTGACCTGACATTGTGTCTCTTGTCATATCTAAGATGTAATTTTGTGGTGATAGAAGCAGTTTGTGGGCAATGAAGTCACACACAAATGAAAATATTCTTAATAAGGAATACTGTTTTTAAACAAATGACCAAAAAATGGAAAGACTGGCAGATTTTTTAGGTAATAGACATTCTCTTGATGCTACTGTCAAAAGTCAGGAAGAGAAAGATAGAAAAGGAAAGTGGAAAGAAAATATGGAGGAAATGGAGGAGGAGTGCTTTCCTTAACTTCAATTAGGCAAAAACAGTATTAGTGAAGGGAAGAGTCCTGGCCTAGGAGAAGCATCTGGGGGACCTCAGAAAAGTATTTTTAAATTGAGCCCAAGCCTTCCTTCCTTCTTGGAGTTCTTTTCTCTGCTACCCTCCCCTATATCTGCAGCCCCCTCCCTCTGTGCAGAGCTCTCCTTTGACTTCACAGGCACAGCATCCATTCTGTAGTTAGGCTCCATTTATCGAGGTTACTTGCTCTGGGAGGTTTTCCAGACCACCCCGTCCCGCTGCACTATTTCTCTCAGCTACGTTGGCCTATGAGCCCATAGGAACAGGGACTGAGTGTCAAATCTGCAGCCTCTAACACCACACCCAGCGACTATGGGTGCTCAATGAAGAAACACAGGTAGAAAAAGTGTCCGTCGAAGCCCTTGCTCACCTTACTTTCCCCTAGGATCTTATTACACTGACTGTTCTGTTTCTACCTCCCAGCATTAGTTTTCGTCTTGTTCAATGTACGTATTTCTTGTGGATCCAAGGAAATTGTAAGCTACTGACAAAATGGCACTCATTCTATGCTCCTTCCTTGTATTCTTCCTGGCACCAGGCATGGAACTGAAAGCCTAAGAGAGGGCTTCGTAAATAATTTCTGATCAATTTAGTGAGTGAGTAAGACACAGCCCACAATTAACTAGGCCTTTCTTTCTCACTTCTCCCATCGTTACTCACTCTCTGGGACTTACTTCCCTTTTCCCAGAGCTTCACCCTGGCCCCTGGATCATTCAACTAAAAAAGGGAGAAGATGAAGCCCATAATTAGCCAACTGACACATGTCTTCAGAAAGAATCATTTGCAGGTTAAGTCTTCCATAATCCTTAAGGCTCAGCAGTTATCCCCTTAATTCTGAGTAATAGAACCAACCTACTAGATTGGTTATAAGAGCTCTTTGTCTCAGTTTTCCTGTATGTATCATAGGGTTAATCGCCCCTGTCTTCTGCCTTCCCCATAGGAACATAGTGAGAGAATGTCATGCCTTGCACTGTAGTCTTCGGATGAAAGGTACCATATAAATACCACATGTTATTAAAGGCCCTTGACCCACGGAAGATCATGGAAACATCACTGCTTATGGGGTTCACAACAAGGTAGATAAAAAGGTGGTAGATAAAAAGAAGTCCTTGTGCCCAAGGACTTCTTGGTGTTGGGATCTGGAAGTTGCCCATGAGAACTGGGATCTGTACGTGAAACAAGGGCCAAAAGAAATGTGTCAGTGATCCCAGAGACAGCTTAAAAATCCACTAAAATTTAAAAAAAAATTTATAAAATAACTTATCCTGGTTAACAAGTCAAAATACTGTAGAACTTTTGTGATACAAAGCCACAGTTTCTTGCCTCACTCTTTCCTAACTCCTGTCCTTTTCCCTAGGATAGCCACTTTTAATCTTTTTACTATTTATTTTGGTGTTAATTTCCATATCTCTGAATAAGATGTTTCCATTTCTGTTTTTTGATTGATCAATTTTAGATATTAGTTATTGAATTTCTGCCATTGATCTAAGGTTTTACCATCCTACATCCCCCTTCCCTCAACCTTTTCATGTAGTTATATCATGCTTTCATTTTAAAAATCAGTATCATTTGAAACTTTAAGTCATAAACTAATCACTTTATTTCTTGTTCAATAATAGTATTTTTTCACTCTCCGCCTTGAAAGATGGGAACATTTGCACTTCTATCCTTCCTTTTAGCTCTCCTTCCTGCCTTCCACTTCCCAATTTCTATCATTTGAACTTTTATATTGTTAAGATTGATAATATTTACATTCTGTTCTGAAACCATAACTCTCTTCTGTGCTTTGTCTATGGCAGGGGTCCCCAGTCCCTGGGCTGTGGACCAGTATGAGTCCATGGCCTGTTAGGAACCCGGCTGCACAGCAGGAGGTGAGTGGCTGCGAGCATTACCACCTGAGCTCCACCTCCTGTCAGATCAGTGGCAGCATTAGATTCTCATAGGAGCACAAACCCTATTGTTAACTGCTCATGTGAGAGATCTAGGTTGCATCCTCCTTATGAGACTTAAACTAATGCTGCCCCCATCTTCCCACCCTAGTTATGGAAAAATTGTCTTCCATGAAACTGGTCCCTGGTGCCAAAAAGGTTGGGAACTGCTGTTCTATGGGGTTAGTCTAAGAGCTGAAAATTATTTTAACTTGTAGGAGTTTGGTCAGGGTGGTGGGAAAAATTATAAAAATTGTAGAAAGAAGCAAACCTTCTTGGAAGGCCAGGAGGTTTTGCAAAAGCTTTGAAAGATAATTTGGCTGAAGGGCGCCACCATGTTAATTACCCATAAGTAGTATTGACTCAAAGCCTCTGTACTAAATAAATACAAACATCACTGGCTTATTGGGGCTTCAGTCTCGGCTGCTGGACTCACCTGCGGTGCTGAGCAGTGAAGTCCCCTAGTCACGCTGTCAGGCAAAATACCTGTGTCAGCATACATTTTTTCATCCATCGTTTGGCCAGGGTCTGTGCAGTGGGATAATTTAGGAATCAGAGAGACTGAGGGGTTGAGGAGGATTTATTATTATTATTGTTATTTAGGTGCACCAGCCCAGTCAGATTAACATCCAAAAAGACTGAGCCCTGAACAAAGAGTCAGGTTACCTTTTAAGCATTTCATGGGGTGGAGGGAGATCTGTGCAGGGGGAAGCATATTACAGAAATGAGAAACAAAGACAGTTATTCAACTGAGACATGCATTACATCATTTCTTACTTTTCAAGGAAAAACATGTTTTACCACTTGAGTTTATCTGCCTAGTGACCTTGCAGCTGCACAGTTAGAGAAACAGCGTCTTCACAATGCCTGGGAAAGGGAGAGATAAGGCTCACTAGCCACAGACAGAAAAACAGGCAGTTAATTTTTAAAGGACGCCACCTCTTTTTCCTCCTCAGGTGGAATTGGGTTTTCTTACTTACAACTGAGTTTTTGCTTACACATTCTTTAATTTCTTTTAATTCCTGTTTCATCTGTGGGTCAGAGCCGGCATTAACTGTTTTGTGCAGAGCCTGATTTTATACTATGATTATATTTTCTCCTTGTAAAGCTTTTAAGTTTTTCTTTTGGTCTCAAATTCCTTTTTTATTCTGGTGGTGTTTGCTTTTATTACATCCTTAACTTTTTTTCAAATACTTGGTTGAAATAGGCATTCTATTAAATACCCTCCCTCCATTTCCCTCAGATCCCTCTCTCCCGGAGCTGTGCATCCTCTGAACAACTGCTGTCCACAGGCTGCACAGTAATCATTCTGGGCCTTCCTCACTGCTTTCAATTTTGGGAACTGCATCTTCCTTGTTATTGTTTTACTCCTTTGATTTGCTAGGCACATTTTCAATTGCTTTCCCACCAAAAATGTTTATTAAAAATAAATTCTGGGCCAGATGTGGTGGCTCATGCCTGTGATCCTAGCACTTTTGGAGGCCAAGGAAGGCAGATTGCTTGAGCTGAGGAGTTTAAGACCAGGCTGGGAAATGTGGAGAAACCCTGTTTCTGGAAAAAATACAAAAATTACCTGGGCATGGTGGCACATGCCTGTGGTCCCAGCTACTCAGGAGGCTGAGGTGGGAGGATCACTTGAGCCTGGGGAGGTCAAGGCTGCAGTGAGTTGTGATCACACCACTGCACTCTTGCCTGGGCAACAGAGTGAGACCCTGTCTCAAATATAAATTAATAAATAGATAAATAAATTCTGTGTTTTGAATGTCCAGAAATATTTTTAAACCACCCTCAATTTAAGTAGAAATTTGTCTAAGTAGAGAATTTATAGTTCAAAATATCTTTTTTTCTGTTTCTAGAACTTTGAAGGCATTATTCCACTGTCTTCTAGCTTCCAGTGTTGCTGGTGAGAAGTCTGATGTTAGTCTGATTATTATTTCTTGTGGGTAACATGGTTTTTTCCACTTTAAATTATTCAGGGTTTTCTTCTTTTTCTTATTATTTTGAAACTTCATAATGACATATCCACATGAGGTTCTATTTTATTGTGCTACAGACTTGGTGGGACCTTTAGATTTAGAAATGTATATCTTTTGTCCCTGGTGAATGCTTTCATATAGCTTCTTTTATTATTTTCTTCTGTTTGTTTTTCTGAGCTAACCTTCTAATTCTTACTGGTTATTATTGGATGAATGTGTCCTCTCTGCAACCCCAAATTCATCTGTTGAAGCCCTAACCTCAGTATGTGACTGTATTTGGAGACAGAGCCTTAAAAGAGGTGATTAAGTTAAAATGAGGCCATTAGAGTAAGACCTAATCCAATTTGATTGGTATCTTTATAAGAGGAAATTTGGACCCACAAAGAGAGGCACCAGGGGCACACACACACACACACACACACATGACCAGGAACACACACACACACCCACACAACCAGGGGCACACACACACATACACACACACGGACACAAAGAAAAGCACTTGGTTGGCTCAAAGAAAAACACTTGTGTGATTATTTAAGCTTCAAGTCAAATGAGCTACTTTGGTTTATGAAATACTTTTTTATTTAAAAGAATTATTGGCAAAATATAATTATGCCGACTTGCATACTTAGCAGGCATTTTTCTTAAAAATGAACAAAGTGAGCACTTCAAGGAAAATAACAGTATTATTTTTGCCAATGATAAACTTAAGCTGTCAAGTGAAAATTAGAATTTTGGAAAATTGGTATTCACCATCATAAACTTGACAGCTTTTCAATAATTAAAGACTTTTCTGGTGAGATGAATCATGGTATTAGCAAATGTATTTTTGATATTGTATTATGAAATATGTGAATATTTGGAATATCTTCAAAACTGAGTGAACTGGTATTTTCCAAATGACTAATGTGATATTAGAAAATCATGCATAGGCAAAAGTTCCATCTAAATTTGAAGGTAGATTAATGAATTTTAATATAAGAGAGTATGAAAAGTTCACTAATATGGTTTCAGATTCCACATTGAAATTAACCTTTAAGAAACTATTTTAAAATTCATATGGGACCAAAAAGAACCTGAATAGCCAAGGCAATAAAAAAGAGCAAAGCTGGAGGCATCACACTACCTGACTTAAAACTATACTACAAGGCTACAGAAACCAAAACAGCATGGTACTGGTACCAAAACAGACACATAGCCCAGTGGAACAGATTAGAGAGCTCATAAATATGCCTGACACCTACAACCATCTGATCTTTGACAAAAGTGACAAAAGCAATGGAGAAAGCACTCTCTATTCAATAAATGGTGCTGGGATAACTGGCTAGCCATATGCAGAAAACTGAAACTGGATCCCCTCCTTACACCTTATATATAAATTAACTCAAGATGGATTAAAGACCTAACTGTAAGACCTAAAACCATAAAAGCCCTAGAAGAAAACCTAAGCAATACCATTCAAGACATAGGCATAGGCAAAGACTTCGTGATTAAAACACCAAAAGCAATGGCAACAAAAGCCAAAATTGACATATAGGGTCTAATTACACTAAAGAGCTTCTGCACAGCAAAAGAAACTATCATTAGAGTGAACAGGCAACTTACAGAATGGGAGAAAATTTTTGCAATCTATCCATCTGAGAAAGGGCTAATATCCAGAATCTACATAGAACTTAAACAAATTTACAAGAAAAAAACAACCCCATCAAAAAGTGGGTGAAGGATATGAACAGACACTTCTTAAAAGAAGACATTTATGTGGCCAGCTCTCCAACTCTCCAGACACCAACTGAGTGTCCTGCATTCAATTGTGACACTAACTACCCAGCATTCATGTCAGACTTGGGTGGTGAGTGTCAGACTCCATAGGTTTGAGGGCTCAGTCCCACAAGACTGCCCTCACTTCAGATGCTAGTCATGAGGATTGGTGCCTGGGTTACTTACACTTTTGTCTGACTTGGCTAGAGATTTGGATTCCCACAACCCCCACCTCGGGTTTGATAATTTGCTAGAATGACTCATAAAACCCAAGAAAGAACTTGACATGTTGTTACCAGTTTATTATGAAGGATACACAACTTAGGAATAGCTGAAGGGAAGAGATGCATGGGACACGGTGGAGGAAAGGTCACACAGAGCGTCTATGCCCTCTCCAGGCACACTACCCTCCTAGCAGTTTGATGTGTTCACCACCCCTGAAGCTCTCCAAACCCCTTCATTTAGGGGTTTTTATGAAGATTTCCTCACATAGATATGATTCAATAAATCATTGGCCATTGGTGATTAACTCAATCTCCAGCCCCTGTCCCCTTTCCAGGGGTTGGAGTGTGGTACTGAAAGTTCCAACCCTCTAATTATCCTTGATCTTTCTGGTGATGAGTCCCCATCCTAAAACTCTCCAGGGTCCCCCAGCTACAAGTCTTCTCATTAACATGTAAAAGGCACTTATCACTTCAGAGATTCCAAGAGTTTTAGGAGCTGTGTGCCAGGAACTGGGGGGACAAAGACCAAATATTTATTTACTATTTTTTTTGTTTTACTGAGACTGAATCTTGTTCTGTTGCCCCGGCTGGAATGCAGTGGCACAATCTTGGCTCATTGCAACCTTTTCCTCCCAGGTTCAAGTGATTCTCCTGCCTCAGCCTCCTGAGTAGGTGAGATTACAGGTGTGTGCCACCGTACCTGGATGATTTTTGTATTTTTAGTAGAATTGGGGTTTCACCATGTTGGCCAGCCTGGTCTCGAACTCCTGACCACAAGTGATCTGCCCACTTCAGTCTCCAAAGTGCTGGGATTACAGGCGTGAACCACCATGCCTAGCCAAATATTTATTTACTATTGTTCCACACACAACAAATTGAATGTAGAAGCAGATATAAGAATCCACATATCATATATTTAAGCCAGACATTAAAGAGATTTATAAAAATACAAAATGCTAACCTTTTCACTAATTGTTTTGTTTGGAAATCATGGTTATTTTCTTAAACATGTGCTATCTATAATGACATGTATGGATTTACTTATTTTTAAATGAATTAATAATATCTTTAAAAGTATCAGTTTTAATTTTTAATAGGTCAATATTAAAAATTATTAAATAGATTAAAACCACATAAAGAAGAGCCCCTTGGAGTCATCGATACTTTTTGAGTGTGAAGAGATCCTGAGACCAAAATGTTGAATGACTTTTGCTTTCTGGGATGGTTCTTGCATGTAGGGGTTTTTCTGATGGATGCCCTAGGTGGTGACAAAAGATTATCAAGGTCATCACTGGTATCACCAGAACACTGAGCATCCTACATACTCCAACTGCTATCCTTTTCCTCTCTCTGTTTCATCCTTAGACTGGTAAAACTTCTCTATGCTAAGTCTGGTGTAGTCTTGCTCTTCTCATGCCCAGGACAGGGCAGTTTGTAAAACAAAGTTTTTGTCATTCATGGGATAAAAACCCTTTGAATAGAATTCAGAGGGGTTCTACCTTCATTCAACTTCTGGATCCTAGGGTTTGTTTTGTAGTGGGTCTTCAGGATGAGTATCAGGATGTGTCCTGGGGTGTGAGGAAAATTTTCTTGCACTAAGCTGCCTGATACCAGGAAATAATCCAGTAACACCATGCTTGAGGTCCTGTGTCTTTGTTCATGAGGCCTCCTTACCACTTAGTATCCCTTATTTCCATTAACATTGTTCTAATCAAGCTGAGTTGTGATAAGAGCTGGTTCCTGCTCAATTTCTTTATTCTCCACTAGACTGGGAGCTCTGTGAGAAGAGAGGTCACATCAGTTTTCCTCCTTGCTGTATCCTCTGTCCCTAGAACAGAACCTGACACATTGATGAGACTCAATACCTCTTTCTTAAATAAATGAATAAGGAAGAATGCCTTTGAACTGCAATTTATAAGAATTTTTTCTTCTAACACCATATTAACCCAGTACTTCCATTAAAAAACAAATTACAAAGAATAATTCCAATAGTAAAAACTAATAATTTTGAGAAATTGCTAATGCTATGTAGTAAAGGGTTGCTTTTGACATGGAGAAATGCTAAGTAATCTTTTAGACAGAATGCTAACAGCTCTGCCTGTACAAATGGCTTCTTTAAAACCAAGAGGACTTTATTATAAAATGCTTTGGGCAAATGAACACTTTGATGAAGGTGTGACCCTTCCACAAATGATGTGAAAGATGACATGCCAGATGAGATCTCAGACCACATGAAAAATGTGTAGGAAGAAGTATCCACATGTGAAAACTCTGTTCTCTGTCTATATGCCTCTTTCATTAGGGTTTATTGTGGTATTGACAGTTTATTCACAGACATTTATTAAGCACTGCAGAGGTGTTGCTGGGGGATATAAAACATTAAGCAGGCATGACACCTGTTCTGCAGGAGCTTGCTGGAGAGTTGGGGACACAAGTCTTGGGCACAGGGCAGCTCACACACAAACGATTGCACAGGAGTTGACACATTGACAAGAGCAACATTCTGTGGAAAAAATTGAGGGCCAAGTAATTTGGGATCTGGAAAAAAGGGAGGCAGAGCTGATATTATGGGAAATATTTGTAGAAGAGCTGGATTTAGATACATTCCTTGAAAAAGGTGGAAGGTGCAGAGAAGAAAAATGATGGAATTTGAGGAAACTCTGTTGGGGAAAGGAACAGAAGTATAGAACACTAATATGGAACTGACAAAACATCTGTTTGGCTAGAACATAGGCAGCATGGTAGGAAATATATATGAGATTACAGAGGTGTGGGCTGTGCAGAGGTGTGGCCTGCATAGTTGGAGAGTCTTGATTACAAACTGAGAAGCTTAGATGGGTTACAACAGGTAACTGGGAGGCACTAAGTGGAAAACTGCCACGTGAAAAATAGAGGTTAAGAAGGATCTTCCTGGCACAGAAAGAAAAAAGAGCAAAACTTGGGAATACTGGAGTTTGGAGACCAATTTGGAAGTTGTGATCATTTTAGAGCAGTGCTGTCCAATAGAAATATAATGCAGGCCACATGTATAATTATAGATTTTCTTATAATAAAAGTTGAAATAGTCAAAGAGAAAAAATGAAGTTCATTTAAATAACATATTTGTTATCATATCCCAGTTTTATCCCAATGATTAAAAATAAAAGTTAAACATGTAATCAATATACAAATTATTAATAAAATATTTAACATGATTTCATAGGAAGTCTTTGAATTCCAGTGTGTATTTATACTTACAACACATCTCAACTTGGATTTTAAATTTTTGATGGAAATGCTTGATATGTGTTTAGATAAAATTTATAAAATTTACAGTTGAAAAAGCAGATTCACATACTTAGGTTGTATCAAACATACCGGAACATTTCCCAATAATTGAATTGAGTATCAGTTATTAAATTTAAATTAATTAGAGACAAAAATTCAGTTTCTCCATTATACTAGCCATATTTTAAGAGCTCATCTAGCCTCATGTGGCCAGTGGTCACCATACTGAACACTCAGATTTAGAAGCTTGTTTTGGGGTGTTAGCCAGGAATAAGTGCTTAAATGGAGGAAGTTTCCAATCAGAATTATGCCTATCTTGATGCACTCAAGAGCAGAGGGAGTAAATTCAGTCAGAGAGAGAATAAAGACAGTCTTTTGTGTCTTAAAAGGTTATAAGTTTCCTGAAGACACAGACACAGTTCTGCTCACAGTGTTTTAATCTTTACCGAGCACAGCACTTGAAATGCTTGTAAGATACTAACTAACCTAAGGAAACCATTTCAACTTAACTCTTGAATTCTTTTCAGCCTTCTCAGAACACACTAGTTTGTTCATATGTGTCTGAATTTACAAATCCATGTTTATCTTCTAGTCATTGTCAGCATCTGATTGCAGAGCAGGTATGAAAGTATATTTGATTTCAGAGTTTCTGCCTGACTCTGAAGGGCCCTAAATTAGAGAACGTTGTGCAGTTTCAGAAAAGCAGGCCAAACGGAGCTTGAGTTGTATGTTCTCTCCTTTTTGCCTCTTCTAGTCCTTCTTACATTACTACCCTGTTTCTTCCTCCTTTGCATTATGATTAATTTCTGCAATAAATGCATAAAATTGTCTCACAGCTTTATAGAAATTGGAGAACTTCTGATCTTATCCTATTATTTCTGCAGAGAGCCTTGACCACTGCTCTATGAGAGGACGACAGTAAGCTCCTGACCCTGCAGAAGGGCCCTCTAACTCCTTTCTCAGTGTATTTGTCAGGGTTCTCTTGAGGGACAGAGCTAATGATCTAGACTGTAAGTTCTGGAAAGTTCTAGTTGTCACCTCTCAGCACTTACCAAGGGGATTTGGACATAGTAAGTTTCTACTCTATTCTGATTGATTTAAGATACAGTGTCCCCTCGGAAATGTTAGCAGTTATTTCCATAACCAGTTTTCTCCTGTAGTCCTAGAATCTCTTCTGCCACTTTGCTGATGGGTCTTTATCCCTTATGTCTTGATTTTTTTTAATGAGTCTCTAACAAGAGGTGTGTAGTTTATATGTTCATAAATCATAATATTTTGGCTCAAATAATTCATTAATTTGTTCATATATTGTCCCTCCCTCCCTTTGACAGTTTTTTAGTATTGGCTTTTTGCTGTGTGCAGAGCTGGGTAGCAGAGAGGCAAAAAGCAGCCCCAGACCTTGGGGAGGTCAGAAATGAGTGTGGATAACAGGCAGAATAAATAACAGCTGTAACACAATGTGGTAGGTGCTATAATAAGGCTCATGTACCAGGTAATGGAATCATAAATCCAAAATCATAGAGCCATCTGTCATTTATTTAACAAGTATTAATATTTAGTAGGTACCTGTTGAATGCCAGGCACTATGCTGGGTGTTGGGAATACGATGGTGAGGCAAGACAGATCTTAAAGAGCTTTCAAGCCTAGCTTATATGTCTTGTAAATTATTTAGGAGGAATTTTTGAGGCTGTCTGTTGCAATTTTCTTATCTGATGAAAAAATTCTTGCTACAATTGCCTTGGCAAGTGCCATTTACGTTAATGTGGTCTGTGACCAGTGATATGAAACTCATGGATTAATTTATGTCTAGTGTTGAACATTTGTAAATGTTGGTTATTCTGCTGTATTTTGAGTGAAACTGAAGTAAAAATTATGTATTTCAGGGCTGAAAAGTGCCTGCTAGAAAACTTCAACTCGTTTTTTTTCATGTGACCAAAAGATGCATTAACATTCACTAAAATATAAGCTTCAGGAGGATGAGATTTTGTCTTTTGTTCATGACTTTACTCACAATACCTACCCTGGACTAGAGTTAGGCACATATTTTAGGATTAGTTTCTGAAATGAACATAGAAAGTTTTTTTTTTTTTAATAGAGACAGGGTCTCATTGTGTTGCCTAGGCTGCCTCTGACTCCTAGGCTAAAGAAATCCTCCCACCCCAGCCTCCCAAAATGCTGGGATTACAGGTGTAAGCTACTGCACCTGGTTGAAGGCTTTTAAAAAAAAATCTAGGCAAATCAGCAGAGAGCCAGACATAGTAGTTTATTATTTCTATTAATAAATAATGAAGCACATGCATGTGTGTGAATGAGTGAATAATGATAATAATAATCATATATTGTGTATAGAGTATGCATTAGGTTCTTTACATAATTTATCTCAATTTCTTCTCACAGTAATATGGGAGTATTTGTTAAGCCCCATTCTACTGGTGGGTCGACTGCTATTTAAATAACTTGCTGAGGCTAACATATTTGTCAAGTATTAAAGCTTAGGCTAAAGCATTCTTTGCACCTTCTTGTGGCTAGTTGTTATTTTTGCCTGTATGCTGGAGATTTTAGGGTGTATGGGCATTCCACAGGTTTGCTTCCATTGGCACAGGAGGGTAACTGGACAAGCACAGACAAAGGTACACTGAGGAAATAGCCAAGCAAAAGTTGAACAATCTTTGTGGCACTATTGAGCCAGGGGTCAATCCAGGGGGCCAATTGTAAGCATGCCGCATATATTATTATAATAAGAATAGTAACACTGCTGTGGTAACAGGCTGGAGAGACAAATTCTTTGTTCACTTTACCATACTTTACCTTCCCCTTGCCCTTTTACATATTGTAGAGAACTACATTTCCCCAAATATCTTGTCGACTGGCTTCTGGGTGTCAAGCCCAGTAGGATGCATTGGCCAAGATATTTCTGCCTCTCCTGATTAGCTTTGGGTGGCACTTCTGGCAGTGGATGTCTCCTCTGGGCCCCAACTTCTGCAAGATTACCTCTCACTTTGTGATCCCAACTCTGACTGGCAGCTCCCACTATGGTTGTAGCTCCAGCCAGACCATGCTTGTGTTTTAGTTCTGACAACACCACCTTCTCCTGTTGTCTATCAGGGTGTAGGGAGGGAACAGTATTCTGTTGCTAATCACCGGGCTGCCTCAACCATCTCATGGTTGGTTTCCAAGCTCTTTCATCTTTCGTATAACCAATTCCTTGTATTAAATCCCTCTGTTGAAAGACTTCACTTAGAGTTGCTTCTCTTTCCTGGTTAGATTGACCTGACTAATATAAATTAAGTACCCAAGTTTCAAGGGCTTAGTACAATACAGGTTTGTTTTTTGTGTTCATTGGGCAGCCTTCTACATGGTTCAGGGCCCATGATCCTTGTCATTGTGACTCTGCTTTCCTTTAGGGCCTTGGAACTCTCTCTTTTGCTCTGATAACAGAGGAGAGAGTGTAACAATCTCACTAGGGAGGGTTTTATAGGCCAGTCCTGGAAATGGTGATAATGATTCTGTTCAGATTCTGTTGGCCAGAACTTTGAGGGAGGCTGATA
Organism: Homo sapiens; assembly: GCF_000001405.40. Taxonomy (NCBI): domain Eukaryota; kingdom Metazoa; phylum Chordata; class Mammalia; order Primates; family Hominidae; genus Homo; species Homo sapiens. The sequence goes on from NC_000011.10 coordinate 93,983,824, forward strand.
CATGTAATCTTGCTGTGGGTCCAGGAGGAGAAGGAGACAGGTTAGGTGTCAGGGACAGTGAGTTTGTATTTACTGCATTGGGATGCTGAGAAGACTGTCTGAGTATCTGGTCGAGTTGGCCTGTGGATGTGTAGATTGCTCTCTACTCCTTATCCCTCGTTTTTGCCTTTCTCATCTTGCTTTGTTCATACGTAGCACAGTTGAAATACACTTATTGAAATCTAGTACAGAGTGATGCCTACTCTCTGGGGGTGGGGATAAGTGTATATGGGTATATCCTAAACCAATAAGTCAGACCAAAACATGTCTCCCAAGGTCTAAGAAATTGGTACTTGATTAATAATGTCTAGAATTAATTTCATATACTCCACCAAGGAGTGTAAGAAATACTCCTCCATACATTGGTATGGTGTATGCTTTGCTACTCAGAGTGAATTCCATTAATCAGCAACATCTGGGAGCTTGCTAGAAAGGCAGAATTTCAGGCTCCAGTCCAGCTTCCCTGAATCAGAACCTGCAATTTAACAAGATCCCTGTGTGATTTGCATGCATGTTAAAGTTCGAAAAGCATTAGTGTAATTCACAAAGTTAAGGCTTTACTCAGCTAGTGTCACAAGCTTTACATGAGACACACTGTGCTATTTCCTGGTTTAGGAAAATTTTGTTTGAGTTCCCATGGTATAAGCTCATCCTGCTCTCTCTCTCTCTTTCTTTCTCTCTCTGTCTCTCTCTCTCTGAGACAGGATCTTGCTCTGTCATTCAGGCTGGAGTACAGTGGCACGATCATGGCTCACTGCAGCCTTGACCTCCCAGGCTCAAGTGATCCTCCCACCTCAGCCTCCCAAGCAGCAGTTGGGATGACTAATTTTTAATTTTTTTGTAGAGAATAGTCTCACCATTTTCTCAGGATGGTCTCAAACTGCTGGTCTCAAGCGATTTTCATGCCTCAGCCTCCCCAAAGTGCTGGGGCTACAGGCATAAGCCACTATGCCTGCCTGCTTTATCTCTTTAACAAGCTAAGAAATTGGACAACTGGAACATGCTTTTGGTATTTGTAATAACAGAAAGATGCAAGAAAGAAAAAGAAAAGAAGAGACAGAGACAAAAGAAAAAGAAATAAAGAAGAGAAGGAAGCAGGCAGGCTGGCCGAGTTCATCTAGCCAGAGTGAGACCTGGGCCAGAAATTCCCAAACTGTTCAGAGATGGAACTCACTGGGCAGTTGCCCTGCTCTGAGGCCAACCCTTTGCATAAAGCTAGTGAAGCTCTGGGCTCTATGCTTAAGTAACTTCAAACTGCGTATCTCTTGCTGCCAGATTTGGGCTGTGGGCAATGTGCCAATTCTTGCCCATCTCTGAAACTGTCAAAAATTCTGATTTTAATTTCTTCCTGCCTTCTATCCCTGCATGCAAAGTTCTATTTATCTTTAAACTCAACCTAAAAGCCAACTCTCTTGTGAGGCCCTGAATCCAAAGCTCACCCCAGGCCTTCAGCACCCTTCTAAGCTGACTTTCTAGGGCATGAACTTCTGATCAGTCTTGCACTGCTAGTCTCCTCTGCTCCTTCTTATAATCCAGGCTGGCCTCTCATTCTCTCCCTTCTTTGCAGGGAGAAAGGTACCAGCCAGAATTCACCAGATGAATACATCACTCTTAGGTGCTATGTAGACAGCATAAAAGAGGGTTTGAATAAGAACACAGGTGTTTTATTAGAGGCTTTTTGAACGCTTAATGAAGTCCAGTAAGTACTTCAAGGAAGGCTTCTGTACGAGTAGAAAGAAGCAGTGGGCAACGAAGCAAATAATTCCATTCTTGTGCTGCTAGGCAGCCATATTCTCTGCCTGTGTGCAGTACTTTGTTATATGCAAGATTAATTTGGCAAAGATAGGATTCTTTCCTAGCCTGGGTCTCCTGCAGGTGGCATGGGGCAATAATACATTTATCCTATGGCTGTGTACATGAAAGATAAGGAAGAGCTCTAAAAATTGTAGCTGTCAATTCAGGGGATGGGGTTGGGGGTAAGGCAGCTGTGTGTGTGTGTGTGTGTGTGTGTGTGTGTGTGTGTATGCACGTGTGCATTATATTTCAAGAAAGATTCCTTTGTGTTTCTAATTCATTTGCCTGCTGATAACTGCCTTAAAATATAATAAAATCAGTTTCTTTCATTCATTCATTAAAACATTCATTTACACAGCAAATGTATTATGATGTCCTGTACACATAGAGATTAATAAAACAGTTCCTAACCTGCTTATGGACCTCACAGTCCTGCTTGCTTCAGCCTTACTCATTTATGAATTTGTCCAATTCTTGCCTGTCCTGCCTCCATGCCACTCCTACCCTGTGAGGGCTCTGCAGCCCCCTTTTTCCCTTACATTAATAGACTTTATTTTTTGGAGAAGTTTTAGGTTCACAGAAAAATTGAGCAGAAAGAATAGAGAGTTCCCATATTCTCCTTCACTCTCTACTCAGCTTCTCCTATTATTAACATCTTGCATTAGTGGTGGCACATTTGTTGCAAATGATGAGTCAATATTGCTGCATTATTATTACCTAAAGTCCATAGTTTACATTTGCATTCTTTGTGTTGTACATTCTGAGGATTTTGACAAATATATAATGTATCCACCATTATAGTAGCATATAGAACTTCTCGCTGCCCTAAAAATCGGTCTGCAGCCCCTTTGTTGTCTTGCTCTGTCTCCTTGCCTCCCCTGCCCATGCAATAATAAAGGAAGGTTACACTCACTTGGATTGAAATCAAAGTCTAGCATATATTTAGGTTACCTTGCCCCACCACAGGACCTTGGCTGACTTATTACCCAGACACCACTAAATCTTCACCAAACTTGACAGGAAATCTACCCTGCCTCTCCAGTAGAAAGACCCAGAAGGAGATGAGAAGCTATGTCTCTAGGTTCAGAAAGTTACAAAGAATTCAACTCACTAACAGGGCAATTTAATTTCCTGCTGAGCTGCCCCAGGGAATTCAGGATTTTAGAAATGGCCTTTGTTTAATCTTCATGACTCATTCCTCCTGAACAAACCTAAGTTCTTTAATGGAGCGTTTTGTGTACACAATTTTAGTGGTGCTACAATATGTCTAATGAAGTGATAATTTGTGGATGTACAAAGTATATGAGGCAACAGCAGGGGCCAGTTTGGCAAGCACCAAAGCCAAGCCAGACATTGACCTGATTTAGAAGCTGCACGTTTCCCAGGCCTGGCTCGGCTAACTGCAGCATGCTGGGCACTGGGAAACCTATGGTTGGTTGGGAAGAGCCCTAATGATACATTTTATTTCCTTTTTAAAAAATCTTTAAAATCATTGTTCCAGGAAGGTCGTAGTAATCATTCCAGCTTGCCAAATTGTATCTGAATTTGCTGACAACAGGTGCTTCTGTGGTTAGGAGTGGTGAAGCCCTTCTGTAGAAGGGCATTGGTCTTTGGAAGAAAATGATAAAGCAGGATTCCCCATGGTCTGCAGGGCCGCCCCTGGTGACTGTCAAGGAGGCCAAGACTGTTCTTGGTTCTCATCCAAGAGCTCCTCTGATGATGTTCCGCCCCCATTCCAGATTCCAGTGAGCCACCATCTGATCCCTTCTCCGTGCCTCCCCTATATGCCCCTGGCAGTAGGTACTCCCCCCATCATGGAGCTTATTGTACTGATTGCAACTGTCTCCTCACTTGCTCATCATCCTCACTGCACTGTAAGTTCCTTACTTACTCACTGAGTTCTTGTCAGTCCCTACATCAAGACCAGGCAAAGTATACAGATTAGTTGAATAAATGAATGGACTGAATGGTTGTGGTTGCTCTCTATCTCCATCAATGGCACCCCTTGTGAAACAGAAGTCTCAATGCTATTCTTACTTCTTCCCTCTTCTGCATGTGCTCATTCTAGTCACCAAGTCCTATCTATTCTAATCCTAATACGTGTGTGGAATCCTCATTTTTTTTTTTTGTCCCTTCCTATGTTGAGACTCTGGTCATCTCTTGTCAGGGTTGTCAAATAAAATACAAGATGCCTAGTTACATGTTAATTTCAGAAAAATAATTTTTTAGTATATGTCCCAAATATTGTATGGGACATTCTTATGCTAAAAATTATTTGTTGCTTATTTGAATTTCAAATGTAATTGAATAGTTTTGTATTAAATTTTTTCATTGTGATAAAATATTCATAAAATAAAAATTGACCATTTTAACCATCTTTAAGTGTACAATTCAGAATTCAGTGGCATTAAATATATTCACAATGTTGTACAACAATCACCACTATCCTTTTCCAGAACATTTTTTTTATCATCCCAAATAGAAACCCTGTGTTCTTTAAAAATAATTCCTCACTCTCCCCTATCTGTATCCTCTAGTAACAGCTATTATATTTTCTGTCTCTATGTATATGTCTATTCTGATACCAATAAGGTATTCTTAACAGGAATCTTTGATGTCACTTAATTTGGCAAAAAGAAATCTCTTCTCAAGGGAACTTTAATAACATTTTAATATTATTTTCCATGGATTTTATTTTCACAAACACCAAATTATAGAAATTTGCCAGCAAATAACTTTCATCACAGGAAATAACTTTCATTATATGAGAATATTGGCCTGGGAATATAAAAATCTATGCATGGCCACTGTAAGAAAACTGTAAAATGAATTATATGTAAAATGACATTATATGAAATAAAATAAGCCACTCACAGAAGGACAAATACTACATAAGCCCACTTACATGAGGTATCAAAATAGTCAGACTCATAGACACAGAGCAGAATGATGGTTGCCAGGGGCTGGGGGCAAGGGAAAACGGGAAGTTGCTGTACAGCAGGCATAAGGTTTCAAACAGATAAGATTATTGAATAAGTTCTGGAGATCTGCTCTACAACATTATGCCTATGGTTAATAGTACTGCATTTTGTGCTTACAAACTTAAGAGAGTAGATCTCATGTTGTGTTATTATCACAATTTTTAAAAATGACCAAGAGGATTTTAAAAAGAATATATTCCTCCTCTAAGTAGACTATGGCTAGATGAGAAGCATGTAGGTAGAACCGTAGACAGTAACATAAAAATTGTATAAAGTGGGAAAAAAGACAAAAGAGAACTCCTCCCATCACTCCCACCCCATTTTGTGGATGGGAGAATAAGGAAAAGGGACTGCTGTTGTGCTGGGTTTGTCAAATGTTTAAGCAGAGGCCAAACGGCCATCTATCAGAGATACTGGAGTAGGTTTACTGCACAGGGTGAAATGACGAAAAGGTCCTATCAGCCTGGTTGGATCCTGGCAGAGGGTTTGCATGCAGAGACTTTAATGAAAGGACTACTTACAGCGGCATGGCAAAACAAGGAACAAACTAGAGAAGTTGAGGCACCAAAGACTAGCAACATGAGAAGCAATGACCTCTGTCAGAGCCAAAGAGATGGTAGAAAAAAATAATTACTGGAGCCCAGGAAGAGCTGGGACTGAGTATGAAGAGTGGAGAATGAATTTGGTGTGGGCAAGCAGAGAATAACAGCCTCAGCTTCTAGGAGTCTAACTCTTACGTTTTAAGGACTCCACATTCCAAGGCAAATAATTTATCCTTAGCTTTCAAGCTTAAAATGGGGCCAGGAATATTTTGTGAACCATATTAGAGTGTGACAAAAGTTATAACCATAGATTTAGCGTTATTTTGTGGGTTAACTTCATTCCTGTCTGTAAGCATATGATAAAGTCACAATTTCAAGTCTCAGAAGGAGTGGAGGCTCTAGAACCACAAATGTCAGCCACATATATAAAAGTTTAGTAGTCACATTAAAAAAGTAAAAAGAAACAAAGTTAATTTTAATTTTACTAGTATGTGTTCTTTAACATAATATAGCTAAAATATTATCATTTCAATATGTAACCAATGTAAAATTATCAAGATTTTTTAAAAAATCATTTTTATTATTTAAAAAATTTTTCAGCACATCACGGTTGCAAAGTAGATATTTTATATTCTTTTTTCATACTGAGCCTTTACATTTTATACTTACAGCACATCTCAGTTCAGACTAGGTACATTTCCAGTGCTCTAAACCACATGTGGCCAGTGGCTACCATACTGGACAGAGAAGCTCTAGATCCTGCCTTCTCTAGATTCCACGGAGAAGCTATGAGCAGGATTCTAAGAAGTTAGAGCTCAGACCTCAGACATTTCCTAGTGATTCTATTGGTTTGTTTTAATAAACTTTTTACTGACGTATAACATGCATGCAGAGAACAGCACAAACCATGAGTGTGCAACTTGAATTTTCACAAACACACCTGTGTAATCAGCTCTAAGATGAAGAAACAGAAAATTACCCACAGCCCAGAAGAGTCCCTCATGTTCATTACTGGTCACTTCTCAGGTCACTTCTCACCCACTTCCACCAGGATAAGCACCACTCTGACTTCCGACACTATATATTTGTTTAGCCTGTTTTTTTATTCATGTGTAATGGAAACTGAACATTGTTTCTGGCTTTTTTGTACTCAACAATACGCTTGTTATTGTGTATGTTCTATTGCTGTGTCACATTTCATTGTACAACTCTACCTCCATGTTTTTACCCATTGTATAAAGAGCATTTGGGTTGTTTCTGGTACTGCCATGAGCATTCTTACATATGACTTTTGGGGAACATAGGTAGATCCTGACTGCTTTCCTGTTACAAGAAATGGAGGCTTGCCATTGTCTGCTCTTCTGTCTTTTCTCTTAGGGTTTAAAACTGCAGTTAGTACTTATTAAGGTAATGGCAGCAATACTTGTTTTTGTAGAAAGTGACTGTGTCTCTCATGTTGTATATATTTTCTTTCTTTTTTTAGGTGGTAATTTTTTTGGAATTTATTAATTTGTGTTTAAAAAGAACTGCTGAGGGAGTCAGAATAAGTTTTAGTGTATTTTATAGGCGACTTTCAGAAAAATAAATAAATAAAATGAACTGCAGGAAAAGGTTCACGGTAATAATCTGAACAGGTAGGAAAATACAGTTGACACTACTGAAACACTACCAAAATGATTCCAGGACATACATTTACTCCACAAAGCAAAACCTCTTAGATGCTGTCATTGATGTGAACACTTAACTGCTTCTTACTTTTCTAAACACATGGTGGTATAATTAATGATATTTAATCACTTCTGTTCTTTCATATATATAAATATATAAGATACCATTAAAAACTAATATATCTTCTCCTTAAATGTTTCTTACAGATACAACTTTAATATTTTCATTCAATAATAGTATAGTTTAAGAGATTTTTTTCATTCACAAGTTAAATGACAATCCACCCAAAGGAAATGATAAGTGATAGACTCGTGGTGCAAGTAAAGTGTCTGGGAATGCAGCAATGGACATTTCTAAAATACAAAAAAATATAAAATTCTTAGGAGGTACAACAAAAGCTTTACTAAGCAGATAGACACAGAACTAGAATGTTTGATAATTTTACTGGTGATATCAATGGGACTCTAGATGTTTTCAAACTGAATTTGAACTCTCATTTTAGGCTTCGTATTCTGCTTTTTCCATTTCATTAATGACACAAACATGATCCAAATCCCTGAAATACTCATTATAGTGATAACCTACAGATCACACTTAAAACAGTTCCAGATTTACTGCTGGGGAAGGTCTTATGATTCATGGCTTACATCCTGTCCCCAGGTAAAATATCTTATAATTTTCTCAAACTGTTGGTGTACTGATTAATACATAACCTACTGACATGGAAAAGGACACTTACTTCTTTCTAAATTATGAAGTTTTACTGAGTGTAAACTTCACGATTCTATGTGAATGTCCTCCATTCCACATAGAACATTTTAGCCTATGTGTTGTCATCTGTAACCAATGAACGTAACCTCTGAATTATACCTTCCAATGAAAAAGGACAACTCTGATATGAGGAGACCCGCTTCTCCTAAACTTTCTTATTAAAACATTTCAAGTTGTTGGGCTGGGTGCTGTGGCTCATGCCTGTAATCCCAGCATTTTGGAAGGCTGAGGCGGGCAGATAGCTTGAGGTCAGGAGTTCAAGATGAGCCTGGCCAACATGGTGAAACCCCATCACCACTAAATATAAAAGTTAGCTGGGCATTAGCCAGGTGTGGTGGTGTGTACCTGTAATCTCAGCTACTCAGGAGGCTGAGGCACGAGAATTGCTTGAACCCTGGAGGTGGAGGTTGCAGTGAGCCAAGATCACACCACTGTACTCCAGCCTGGGTAACAGAGCAAGACCCTGTTTCAAAAAAAAAAAAAAAAAAAGCCAAGTTGTAATAGACTTCAAAGCATCCTTAACTTTGTTGGTGTGACTTCCTGAGTTGATCTACACATTTGGCTTCCAATAAACCTTAATCATATTATTTATGCCTTAAAAGCCTTAATTTTGGTCAACAAAATGGTGTCATGGGCAGGATTTTGGAATGACCTCCCCGGACAACCCAGCCAATTTCCAACCTTTGTGCAGGTAACAGAAATGAATTCATTGCATTTCCAAACTTGGATTCCCTTGCTGGATGCTACAGATGAGTTCTTCCCAAAATTAATGAATGTCCTGTCTTAGCCAAAGCCCTGGTTTATTGAAGCTAGTCTCCTGTTTGGCTATGAAGTACAATGACTCTCCTGGAATGAGAGTTACTGCTACGAATTCAACCTAAGGGTTTTTGTTGAATTCTAAGACAGGTTAAAATAGTCTGTAAATTGTTTTCCAGGAGGCTTGGGGCAAGATACCTTTTCCTTAATGGTCACATGAGGACACTTTTGCTCCACTACATAGCTTGTCTCACTCAAAACAACCAAAACAGAAAATGGGTCATCTAAGGCTGAGGATGCACCAGCTGGGTTTACATAAAATATATACAGTCCTTCTACTTAAATAAGTGGACTAACCTAAACTGGGATGGTTATAAGCAATAATAGCCAGAGTGGGGATGTTTTAGACGTGGCTAAAACAACATCTTTACATACAAAATTGAAAAAAAATTGGTTTTAGAACAACACAAATTAAATGCGAGACTTATTTCCAATAGCACCCAAAAGCCTCTAAAGTTCCAACTGTTCCCACTCCTTCTACCTATTATCTAAACTCATTCCTTTCTGCTTATTCCCTTGGCTCCTATACACCTCTTAGGCAGAAACTTTGAAATTTCACAATGCACACATTTTCTTCTCTGAAAATGGCAAAGCACATTTAAATTTAAAACAAAATGAACAAAGAGAACAAAAATCTCTTGTCAAATTGTAACCGCCAGTGTTGGAAAAATGGCCTGGTGGGAGATGATTGGATCATGGGGGGTGGACTTTCTCCTTGCTGTTCTCATGATAGTGAGTGAGTTCTCATAATATCTGGTTGTTTAAAAGTGTGTAGTACCTCTTCCTTCTTTTTCTTCCTCCTGCTATGTAAAATGTGCCTCCCTCCTTTTCCCTGTTCGCCATGATTTTAAGTTTCCTGAGGCCTTCCCAGCCAAGCTTCCTGTAAAGCTTGTGAAACTGTGAGTCAATTAAACCTCTTTTCTTTATAAATTACCCAATCTCAAGTAGTTCTTTATAGCAATGCAAGAATGGACTAATACAATATGCATTATGTTATATGTCATGTCTATATGGTAGCAAGTTGACTAGGTTCATGTTATAATCCCAGCACTTTGGGAGGCCAAATGGGAGAATCACTTCAGCCCAAGAGTTTGACCCTAGCCTAGGCAAGATGGTGAGACCCTGTATCTACAAAATATTTAAAAATTAGCTGGGGGTTGTAGTGTGCAACTGTAGTGTCAGCTACTTAGGAGGCTAAGGTAGGTAGATCTCTTGAGCCCAGGAGCTCAAACCTGCATTGAGCTATGATCACACCACTGCATTCCAGCCTAGGTGACAAAGCAAGACCCTGCCTCTAAAAACAATAATACTAATTAAATGAATGAATGAATGAATAAATAAATGCTCAGAAACTAGTAAGCCCAAATATTTTCCAGGTTCACATGACTTAAATCTTTACTAAACTAATTATAAAACTTTTGGTAAAATAAAAATAACTTTAAAATTGTTGACCTATATTTTTGCCTGGATTTATTAGTCAGACAGTTTTATGTTTGTCTCTGATAGATATTTTAAGGTGTCAGGGTTTAACATAAAAGTTACAAAATCATAAACCCAGAAAATAACAAAATAATCTTTGTGTAATTTTTTGGTAGGTAAGACTTATTTAGTATTGTTGGTTTAATAAAAACAGCTGTATTTTCTAAGTCATTGACAACATGCCTGCATATTTAAAGTTCGTACTTAAGTAAACACCTGATATTTACAGGCTATAAAATTGGTTAACAGAAAAATAAAATAATGACTAACTTTGTCTAATACCTCAGTTCTTATAAGTAATCTAGTTATTAAATAAATTAAATAAATTAAATAATTAAATAAATTAGGTAAATATAAATGGAGCAAATGTTTATAAATTTTAATGTAATTTTAAATCTTAGAGTTATGTTAAATAAGATACTCATTAAATGTCTGGGTCATTTCCAATTAAAAATTATGTTATAAGGAAATATGTTTCTAAAAATTATAAAATGGTTCTCATCTATAAATACCAGTATGTGATAGAGAAGTCAAGATTTCTTGCTTCCCAGGTTTTCACTAAAAATTTAAATTCTCACTGATATATATATAATTTTTTATATAAAGTATACCAAAAATAGGATATGTTTTAAAATAAAAAGCATACAAAATACATAGCAATGTGTTTTTTATTAAAAGTAATTTTATCTACTTCAGGGGTTATGTAAAGGTTATTTATAAAACAAGATAGAACTAAACCAGTAAGCAAGAGAGAGAGAGAGATGTAGAAAAGTTATGGATATAAAGATATATTTTTTAATAAAAATAGTTTAAAAAAGAGAATAATATTGTATGAAAAATATTATATGGTAAGTTTTTGTTCTAAAATAAAACCACTGTTTATTTTAAAAAGTATAGGACAAAACAAAAAGTCCAAAAATGTGGTAAATAGTCTGTGTAAGCCACAACGATATGGCTCATAAAACAGGAATTTATGAAAGAAATTTTGTACATGATCAAGTTGACTATATAAAAGAAATTACTTAACAGTCTTTCTAAATATCAAATGAACTTTGATATTAAAAATACACTAATACAAAACTGAAAATCTTAGTCTCCTATGTTAGAACAACAAGATTTTCTCAAAGTTTTGATTTACTCTTAATAAAATTACAAAGAGTTTTGATTTTTTTTTTTTTTAAGACAGGGTCTCACTCTGTTACCCAGCCTGGAGTGCAGTGGTGCAATCTCAGCCCACCGCAACCTCCACCTCCTGGGCTCAAGCTATCCTCCCAACTCCTGAGTAGCTGAGACCACAGTTCTGACTCACCACACCTGGCTAATTTTTAAATTTTTTGTAGAGATGGGGTTTTACCATGTCACCACGGCTGGTCTCAAACTCCTGGTTCAAGTGGTCTGCCTGCCTCAGCCTCCCAAATTGCTGGGATTACAGGTATGAGCCACCATGCCTGGCCATTCACTTTTTAATTCTACATATATCATTGCCTTCTGTTTCTTTTTCCTGTAAAAAGGTTTATCTTTTTATTGGGTGAAATGTTAACTCTCTTCTTCAAACTTTTTATAAACTCCTGTAATGTTTTCTCTGGTTCTAACTTTACTATCATGGCCCGACACTAAATGTTTTATTTTAAAGCTCTAAAAAACAATGTTTTCCTTTAGCATAACTTGATTCTGTACCTTTGGCTTTTCTTGATATGTCTAAATAGTTCAATGTAATAAGGAAATCTCCTATGTTGTTACTAAGAGCCATGCGTTTTCCTGCTCAAGGTACCAGGAGTGCACCACTGCACTCCAGGCTGGGTAACAGAGTGAGAACCTGTCTTAAAAAAAAAAAATCAAAACTCTTTGTAATTTTATTAAGAGTAAATCAAAACTTTGAGAAAATCTTGTTGTTCTAACATAGGAGACTAAGATTTTCAGTTTTGTATTAGTGTATTTTTAATATCAAAGTTCATTTGATTTTTTTTGTTATTTTCATTCCTCTATAATACAGTGTTCACTCATAACCCTGGACACAATTTTTCTGTGTCTGATTAAATTCAAGTACCCTTTTCATCATATTTGACTTCCAGATTATCTAAATGCACTTCCCAGAAGGAAAAACAATCACAGTACAGGAAGTTTTTCTTTACCTTTTGGTAACTGGCCTAAAAAACAAAGATTTGGTGTTTTCTCAAGATAATTCCTGTGTTGTATTTTTAAAAGATTTTTGAATCCTTAAGAAAACTGAGTCTTAAAAGAGTGAAAGTTTTTGCATACAGGTTACCTTCTATATTGCTTTTAAGGTCCCTATGACTGTTACTCTCATCAAATCAATAACAATTATTTTACAATGACCTGTGATTCTGTTTTACACAAATGGTTTAAACATTTGAACATCTTTGATGGTTTTCCCCAGGATCCAAATCTTAAATTAAGTCTTCTTGGCCTAAAATTAACTTTGAGATTTTCTAGTTGGGCCCTGGAAAGCCTCAAAAAATTTCTCATCTTGTAAAAATATTAAATGATTAGATTTGGTTAAATTGTATGGGAGACATTGTCAAATGCTAAATGATACCAGATCTTCTTTCAGTTACATTTATGGGTATGTTATTGATGTAACTATTCCAAAAATTATATAAGTTCATAAAAATATAATGTGTCATTAGTCATAATTTCAATTGTTATGTTAACTTTTCTAAAGTTATATTTATATGGATCTGTTATTAATGTGAATATTCTAAAGATAATATAAAATTTGTAAAAGTCTGGTGATTCTGATGTGACACTGTCAGTCATAATTCTGGTTATTATCTTAAAATGCTACATGTAATAAAAATAACTAAATTTTCTTGTGAGTTGGAAACTTTTATCACATTTTATCATGACTCTTTTAAGTTTTTGTCATTTACAGTTATTGTTATAAATTCTTCTCTAAAAATTTATAATTAATTATAATCTGAAACTGCTTTCCATGGAAAAACTAATAAATACTCTTAAACACAGATTTCTAATAATTTAAGATAAGTGGACTAAATAAATACTTCCATAACTCTAATAAAAACTGATACATAAAGATTACCAACACAGGCCAGGCACAGTGGCTTACATTTGTAATCCCAGCACTTTGGGAGGCCAAGGTGGGTAGATCACTTGAGGTCAGGAGTTTGAGACCATCCTGGCCACCATGGCGAAACCCTGTTTCTACTAAAAATACAAAAATTAGCTGGGTGTGGTGGCACATGCCTGTAATCCCAGCTACTCAGGAGGCTAAGGCATGAGAATCACTTGAACCCGGGAGACAGAGGTTGCAGAGAGCCGAGATCCTGCCACTGTACTCCAGCCTGGGCAACAGAGTGAGACTTTGCCAAAAAAAATTAAAAAATTCCAACACAGCATTAAACAGAGCAAAAATTACATGGGACTGAATGAATGGAGAACTAAAATCATTTTTATTACTTTTGTTGAAAACAATGCTAATTATTTTTATATTCTGTTTTCCAAAGTAAAAAAAAATTCTTCTCCCTTATACTATTTATATCTTAGAACAATTGAGTGAAGTATACATTTGTAAACAAAAATAACATTTACCTTTCTCTTAAGCTAACTAACTGTTCCAGAATTTAAAAACTTTTCTTCAATGGCTGAGGCCAAAATAATGGTCACCCAGTGTGTTAGTCCATTCTCCCACTGCTATAAATATACCACCCAAGACTGGGTAATTTATAAATAAAGGAGGTTGAATTGACTCACAGTTCTGGTTGGCTGGGGAGGCCTCAGGAAACTTACAATCATGGCAGAAGGGAAAGCAGGCACATCTTACATGGCAGCAGGTGAGAGTGAGCATGTGACCGAAGCAAAGCGGGAAGAGCCCCTTATAAAACCATCAGATCTTGTGGGAGCTCACTCACTATCAAAAGAGCAGCATGGGGGAAACAACCTCCATGATTTAATCACCTTCCGTCTGCCCTCTCCCTTGACACCTAAGGATTACAATTCAAGATGAGATTTGGGTGGGGACAGAAACCTAATCATATCACCCAGTGACTGGAGATGATTCATTATCCACAAAAACAACATATTTTTCTCATATTATGACCTACCAAATGCTGCTAACAATGTGATCCACCTGTAATAACAAGTTCTCTTCCTTCACTGAGAGACATGACTTCCTGGAAATGAGCCTTTTCAGCACTGGGGGATAAAGAATGTCTATCACTCTAAACAGAGACTAATCTTCCATGTTTTCATGTATCAAAAGGGGGAAATGATAACCTATAGATCACAAATTAATGGCCTGGGGAAGTTCTAATGTTTCATTGCTTACATCGTGTCCCTAAGTATAAAAGTCTTATTGTGAGTCACTCAAATCTTATCATGAGTTCCTCAAACTGTTGATGAACTGATTAATATGTACAGGACTACTGATAATAAGAGGACACTGATTTGTTCCAAATCATGAAGTTATATTGATTGACTTACACATAGAACATTTTTGCCTTTATGTTGTAACATGTAGCCAATGATTGAAACCTCTGTATTGTATCCTCCAGTGAAAAAAGACAATTCTAATGTGAGGAGTCCCCTTCCCTTCTCCTAAACTTTCTTATAGAAGCGTTCTAACTTGTAAACAAACTTTGGAATATGCCCAACTTTTTCGCTGTATCTTCCCGGGTTGATCCTCACGTTTGGCTTCCATTAAACCTTAATCAAATTATTTTTGCCTCGACAGCCTTAATTTTGGTTGACAATAGAAAAGGGCATATCCTGCAACAAGTTTGTCTGGAATTTCAAATCCAACAAAGTCTGGCCTATTTCTAACACTCTGAAGGGTGCTTTCTCACTAGCGAGCTTGCAAACCTTGACCATTTTTAGATTATAGTACTTGACCCAGAAGGCAAGGTTGGCATTGTTTTGCCAGTGTCAATTACATCTTCAAAAATCAAGACATTCTTTCTAGTTAAAGTTGAAGGATCATCGCCACCAATTACCTTTATATCCCCTGTTGACTGGTCATTACAGTAGCTCCTTGCTCTGTATTGGCTCTATCATAGGAATGGCTCTATGACTATTTCTATTCAGGTGCTTTGATGTTATCTAGCAGGTCAGCAAAAAAAGTACAACCCCCCTTGAACAAACAGAAGGCTACAATGTGAGAGGCTCCTATCTCCTTCATCACATCTCAGGCAAGTCGTTTGGTCCTGTTCACAATCAGTCCATGAGGAATAAAACCTTTTGCAAATCCTCAGTGTAATGATGAGGTATATGATATAAATCTAGGTTATAACCTGGTTCATCATCACTAATCATGATGCTGGGGCTGTGGGTAACAATAATGGACTTTATTTGTTATTTTTGTCTAATATCTATTGACCGTTTTTATAATGCTTCATGTAATAGGACTGCTAATAATGGGTTAGTTCAATTCAGTATATTATAAATCTTAAAATGCTTTCTTCATTAAGTAAAATAAAGACTTCTCTATATTTGTATTATTTAATCGACCGAAAACATTTTAGCAGCATTGCCTCAGGATATGAGGTAAATCCTGGCTTCTTGGGCATCATTTAAAATAGATATAGATGGATAGAGCTTAATATCTGTTGATGATTCTAGTGATCTGACTCTACTTATAATTTAGAAAGCAGAGCATTTTTACAACTTAGATCCTCATTTGACAATGAGTTCTTCTATCTGAACAGGAGACATAGCTACTGGAGCCAGGTGGACTAAATACAGGTGAATATAGGGTGAGCAGGCATTATTTAATGAGTGTATTTGTTAATTAAGGCCAAGTTAAAGCAGAAACCAGTTTATCATGAGCACTGTCATGGCTAGCAATTCAATATACTCTAACAGATCCTTGACCAATGACAAGGGACTGGCCATAAGAATCTGGGCAGGTATTTGGGGTATGGCGACCTTGAGTGTGGGCCCTTTTAAAGTGGGACTCGAGGTCCTTATATGTACAGTTTGGTCCCTGGGCACTTGACATGCATATATCCATATTCTTAACATTCTATTTTTTTTTTTTTTTTACAAAAAATCATTTTGAAAGCAGAGATGATGCTACTGGTAATAGTTATTCCAACAGATTTTAGCCAATATTTAGTGAGCCCCTGCTGTGTACCAGGCACTGTGCAATGGGTGAGAGTGAAAATATCACCAAGATCCGTCCACTGCCTTCAGAGAACCCAAAGTTATCATTGTTCTGCAGGGGCGAGTAGAGAAAGACAGGAAATTTGTTGGAGTAAAACATTTCTCCCAGTGGGCAATGGTTATAGGTTAGCTCATGTAATCCTTTCAACAACCTGATGAGATATGGTATTATTCCAATTTTACAACTAAGGAAGCATTAAGACACACTATGCCAGGGGTTGCAAGCTCAAATAAATCCAGGTATCAGGCAGGTAACCAAACTGAGATAAGCAGCCCAAGTGTAAGATCACAGAAATTGGTGGGGATTGTAGAAAGCTGCAACAGGCATGTTTTACCCAAAGACATTCACAGTCAAAGCAAACCAAAATAATAGCAGCTGTGTAGGACAAACAGAACAAGACTGTAAGCCAGATCAGGCAGCCAGCTTCTGATGTCTGCTCCGTACCATCACAGGCTTCCTAATTCTTAGGATGGGAAGGAACGTTAAGGTTCCCTAACTTCTCCAGCTCTCGGTTCTCACTTCTTCACCCTCGAAGGATGAAATGGGGGAAATAAACATTGAAACTAAAACCATTTTAGATTAGTAATAATGCCCTTTTCACTGTAAACAGACTGCAAAGCATGATAAAAAGTAACTGTGGTCAAAAATCATATGGCTTGAAATTTAAAAGATTCATCAGTGCACTAGAACAGAAATGATGGAAATTCCAAATTGTGTAAGAACTTTATAACGTTCCAGAAACAGCATCACAATAGGGAAAAGAATGACTATTCAATCAGCATTTTGAGGAAATTGGATATCACTAGGGAAAAGAATGAACTTTGAGCTGTACACTAGAATAGATTCATGATGAGTCAAGGAATGAACTGTTTAAAAACAATCTGTCAAAAATAAGCTTGAAATACACAAATTAGCATAATCAAATACTACTGAGGACCGTCATATGGCAGCTTGAAAGTCTGGGTTTCTGTGTTGCATGACTCCAAGGGTACTACTATTCATGAACAGAAATCAATGGGAGTAGAAAATGCTGTAAGATACACAGTAAAGAGAAAGGGGAAAGATTGGGGAAATTTTATATCAAAGAAGTGTAAAGGCTTGATGGAAATATATAACGTTACTATTTGTTTTCCACTTTGAATGTAGTAAAAAATGAATAGGTGTCTTGTTGCTGATGGGAAAAAACAAAGTACCTCATCACATGATAAAATGTCCACCCTTGCTACTAATTTAAAAAGGCAAATAACTCAGAAGTACCATTATATCTCCATTAAAGTAACCAAATAGTGATAACATCCAATGATGACAAGTCTGTGAAGAAATAGGTTCATGAGAAATCGTGTATCAGCCTAGTCTCTTTGGAGGTCAATGTATTGATCTCTTTCAAGGTGTTTATATATTTTGACCAAACCATTCTTGCTGCCATAAGGAAACATTTTATGTATGTATGTATGCATGTATTTGAGATGAAGTCTTGCTCTGTAGCCCAGGCTGGAGTGCAGTGGTGCAATCTCAGCTCACTGCAACCTCCATCTCCCAGGTTCAAGCAATTCTCCTGCCTCAGCCTCCTGAGTAGCTAGGACTACAGGCACATGACACCATGCCTGGCTAATTTTTTGTATTTTTAGTAGAGACGGGGTTTCACCATGTTGGCCAGGCACGTCTTGAAGTCCTGACCTCAAGTGATCCACCCGCCTCAGCCTCCCAAAGGAAACATTTATTTATTAATGCCAAATATGTTTATAATACAACCAATTGTAAAAATATAAAGAAAAAATAAATAAATATAAATAGAGCTGCTAAAAATAACAAGTGTTGTTGATGTAAAGTAAAATCAAAATGTGGAATACTGTTCTCTGATGACTACTATGATATAAATCTATGCATGTACATTAATAGACAATAGATTTCTGAATGATATAAAGCATTTGTTCAGTTTACAGAGCTCTTGCTAGTAACCAGGAGGTCTGGTAGTTTCTTAGAAACAGAGAAATGACATAGTCATATACTGTGATAAGAGCACAGGCATTTTCAATGCGGTAAGTGCTACCAAAATAAATACAAGAGCTAGAAATGTAGGGTGTGATTAATATAACACAAGCACTATCCTAAGCACTTTGCATTTATCTTGAGTAATTATCCTGATAGCCTTGTGTAGTTGAGACTATTATTATTCCATTTTACAGATGAGGAAACTAAGATATGCAAGGTCAGGTTCTGTGCAGGGTCAAATGGCCATGATAGAGATAAGCCAAAGGTCCTGTGGGAGTTCCAAGGTGGAACAGCTGATCCAAGCTGAGAAGGATTGGAGGTGTTTCCAGAGAAGGTGACACCCGCTCTGAGTCAGGCAGGACGGGAAGGAGTTAGATGAGCCAAGAGCATTCCCAGCAGGGGAATCAGATGAGTAAAGACAAATAAATGAGAAACAGCATAAAACCATTTATCCAAGAACTACTGGCAGATTATATTGCTGCAATGTAAAGTTTCACAGAGAGAGTTGCAGATTTCAGATGTGGGCAGGGATCAAATCTGTAGGGACTTACTTGCCATGCTGAAAGCTCTAGGCTTAGTCTTGCTGAATTTAGCTTTAATGGTAGAAGGAAGAAGGACAGCATTTATTGTTCACTACCATGAGACACATCCTGATTTAGGTGCTTGACATGGTTTATTTCAATATATTTTCTTCTTTCTGTAAAGTTTCCTCTATTAATAAAAAATAAGGATCACAGTCTATTTTAATCAGGCAAAGACTCTATGGACAACCCATCCTATTTTATATTGACACTACAAAGAAGATGCTGCCAGAATTAATGTTATAAAGAAGTACTATTTTTAATGAGAAAGTGATGAGAATAATATTCATGCATTATTTATACCAGATAAAAGCTTTATAAATATTGTATTGTTAATCTTAAAATGACAGAACCGATGAACCAGATACCAATTTATTAGAACCACAAATTATCTCAATCTTGTCCTATAATTCCATTTTTAAGAAAAATAAGAAAAAGACAAGAAAACAGTTGATATTAGAGATATAGTAGGAGAGAAATAACTTCTAGGTCAAGAACTGAGCTCAATGAACATTCATCCTAGTCCTCATCTCTACCCTACAGAGCATACTATAAGGCCTGGTCCTAGAGTGAAACCATTCGTCCTTTAGGACGGTGATTATTGGTTAAGTTCATTATGTGAGGACATTTAACAGACACCACAAATGATTTTTCTTTGTTCAAATAAGGGATTCATTTATTTACTTAAAAAATATTTATTCTGTGCTTAACTCTGTACCTGGCCTTTCTAGGAGTTGAGGTTTCCTTCAGAAGAAGAAAGTTTTTGTTTTGAGACAAAGTATGGAGTTTATCAGATAGACAAGTGGAAGGAAATGCATTCCAGGCTGAGGGATCTTCAACCCCCATGTGGAAAAGCCCCTAAGCCCCACTGTACATGGTGGGTTTGGAAACATACAAAGAGCGCTTCATGGTGGAGGATAAAGTTGGAGAGGTGTGAGGCTGGTTAGGTCCTCAGGGGCTGTATTAGGAAGGGTCATTTATGGCACAAAGAAGGCTGAAGGAGGTGGATCATCACCAGATTTGTGTAAGAGAAAGATTACTCAGGAGCAGCACGGAGCCATGATGGAGGGGACTGGAGGGGCCATGAGACCAGTGAAGACATGGGGGCCATCTCCACACATGAGATAATGGCTGTCCTGATCAGCGGCTGTTGCAGTAAAGAGGAATGGAGCCAGAGCTGTCAAAGGAGCTAGCAACAGTAAATCTGGCAGAAATTAAGGGGAGGGCATGTAAGAGGAAGCCAGGTTTCCAGCCTAGGCTCCTGGCGGTGGTACCCATCACTAAGATGGACACAGAAGGAGCAGGTTTGGGAACTGAGATACTAATTTAGGTAACATGAGCCTCAATGTCACTCTTTGATAACCCCAGTGCTAGTGTTACTCATGCCAGTCTTTGGTGGTGGAACAATTCAAGTCAGACCAATCCTTGATGCGATATGAAGTAGTCACATCTCAAGGCCCCACTTTACAATTTTTTCTAATGAATAAATGGTGCCCATTCACTTTTTTCTTTTTTAATTACACAACTTATACATGACTATATGCTTGTTGGAAAAATTCAAGTAATATAATTTACCCTTGCTTGGTTTATTAAATTAGAAATTCTCAAACTTTTGAACTCAGGACCTCTTTATACACTTAAAAATTACTGGAGACCCCAAAGAACTTTAGTTTATATACAGCTATTGATATTTACCACATTAGAAGTTAAAATTGAGAAGTTTAAAAAATACTTATTAATTCATTTTAAAAGAAGAATAATGTTAACATAAAACCCATTAAATGTTAACATAACTAACATTTTTAATTTTATTTTTATTTTTTCCTTTTTTTTTATTATACTTTAAGTTCTGGGGTACATGTGCAGAACGTGCAGTTGTGTTACATATGTATACAAGTGCCATGGTGGTTTGCTGTATCCATCAACCGATCACCTACATTAGATACTTCTCCTAATATTATCCCTCCCCTAGCCCCCCACCCCCCAACAGGCCCCAGTGTGTGATGTTTCCCTCCCTGTGTCCATGTGTTCTCGTTGTTCAACTCCTACTTATGAGTAAGAACATACAGTGTTTGGTTTTCTGTTCCTGTGATAGTTTGCTGAGAATGATGGTTTTCAGCTTCATCCATGTTCCTGCAAAGGACATGAACTCATCGTTTTTTATGGCTGTGTAGTATTCCATGGTGTATATGTGCCACATTTTCTTTATCCAGTCTATCATTGATGGGCATTTGGGTTGCTTCCAAGTCTTTGCTATTCTGAACAGTGCTTCAGTAAACATATGTGTGCATGTGTCTTTACAGTAGAATGACTTATAATCCTTTGGGTATATACCCAGTAATGGGATTGCTGGGTCAAATGGTATTTCTGGTTCTAGATCCTTGAGAAATCACCACACTGTATTCCACAATGGTTGAACTAATTTACACTCCCACCAACAGGGTAAAAGCATTCCTATTTGTCCACATCCTCTCCAGCATCTCTTTCCTGACTTTTTAATGATCACCATTCTAACTGGTGTGAGATGGTATCTCATTGTAGTTTTGATTTGCATTTCTCTAATGACCAGTGATGAGCATTTTTTCTGTGTCTGTTGGCTGCATAAATGTCTTCTTTTGAGAAGTGTCTGTTCATATCTTTTGCCCACTTGTTGATGGGGTTGTTTTTTTATTTTCTTGTAAATTTGTTTAAGTTCTTTATAGATTGTGGATATTAGCCCTTTGGCAGATGGATAGATTGCAAAAATTTTCTCCCATTCTGTAGGTTGCCTGTTCACTCTGATGCTAGTTTCTTTTGTTGTGCAGAAGCTCTTTAGTTTAATTACATCCCATTTGTCAATTTTGGCTTTTGTTGCCATTGCTTTTGGTGTTTTAGACATGAAGTCTTTGCCCATGCCTATGTCCTGAATGGTATTGCCCAGGTTTTCTTCTAGGATTTTTATGGTCCTAGGTCTTATGTTTAAGTCTTTGATCCATCTTGAGTTAACTTTTGTGTAAGGTGTTAGGAAGGGGTCCAGTGTCAGTTTTCTGCATATGGCTAGCCAGTTTTCCCAACACCATTTATTAAATAGGGAATCATTTCCCCATTGCTTGTTTGTGTCAGGTTTGTCAGAGATCAGATGGTTGTACATGTGTGGTGTTATTTCTGAGGCCTCTGTTCTGTTCTGTTCCATTGATCTATATCTCTGTTTTGGTACCAGTACCATGCTGTTTTGGTTACTGTAGCCTTGTAGTATAAATTGAAGTCAGGTAGCGTGATGCCTCCAGCTTTGTTCTTCTTGCCCAGGATTGTCTTGGATATGTGGGCTCTTTTTTGGTTCCATATGAAGTTTAAAGTGGTTTTTCCCAATACTGTGAAGAAAGTCAGTGGTAGCTTGATGGGGATAGCATTGAATCTATAAATTACTTTGGGCAGTATGGCAATTTTACGATATTGATTCTTCCTATCCATGAGCATGGAATGTTTTTCCATTTGTTTGTGTCCTCTCTTATTTCCTTGAGCACTGGTTTGTAGTTCTCTTTGAAGAGATCCTTCACATCCCTTTTAAGCTGTATTCCCTGTTTGAAGAAGACATGATTGTATATTTAGATTGTATATATAGTATATATACATATACACACACAATATATATATACAATTTGACTTCCTCTCTTCCTATTTGAATACTCTTTATTTCTTTCTCTTGCCTGATTGCCCTGGCCAGAACTGCCTATACTATGTTGAATAGGAGTGGTGACAGAGGGCATCCTTGTCTTGTGGCAGTTTTCAAAGGGAATGCTTCCAGCTTTTGCCCATTCAGTATGATATTGGCTGTGGGTTTGTTATAAATAGCCTTTATTATTTTGAGATACTTTCCATCGATACCTAGTTTATTGAGAGTTTATAGCATGAAGGGATGTTGAATTTTGTTAAAGGCCTTTTCTGCATCTATTGACATGATCATATGGTTTTTGTTCGTTCTATTTATGTGATGGATTACGTTTATTGATTTGCGTATGTTGAACCAGCCTTGTATCCCAGGTATAAAGCCGACTTGATCGTGGTAGGTAAGCTTTTTGATGTGCTGCTGGATTCAGTTTGCCAGTATTTTATTAAGAATTTTCGCATCAATGTTCATCAGGGATATTGGTCTGAAATTTTCTTTTTTTTGTTGTGTCTCTGCCAGGCTTTGGTATCAGCATGATGCTGGCCTCATAAAATTAGTTAGGGAGGAGTCCCTCTTTTTCTATTGTTTGGAATAGTTTCAGAAGGAATGGTACCAGCTCCTCTTTGTACCTCCAGTAGAATTCGGCTGTGAATTTGTCTGGTCCTGGACTTTTTTTCATTGGTAGGCTATTAATTACTGCCTCAATTTCAGAACTTTTTGTTTATTCAGGGATTCAACTTCTTCCTGGTTTAGACTTGAGAGGGTGTATGTGTACAGGAATTTATCCATTTCTTCTAGATTTTCTAGTTTATTTATGTAGAGGTGTTTATTGTATTCTCTGATGGTAGTTTGTATTTCTGTGGGATCAGTGGTGATACCCCCATATCATTTTTTATTATGTCTATTTGATTCTTCTTTCTTTTCTTCTTTATTAGTCTGGCTAGCCGTCTATCTATTTTTTTGATCTTTTCAAAAAACCAGCTCCTGGATTCATTGATTTTTTGAAGGGCTTCTCGTGTCTCTATCTCCTTCAGTTCCTCTCTGATCTTAGTAATTTCTTGTCTTCTGCTAGATTTTGAATTTGTTTACTGTTGCTTCTCTAGTTCTTTTAATGTTAGGGTGCCAATTTTAGATCTTTCCTGCTTTCTCTTGTGGGCATTTAGTGCTATAAATTTCCCTCTACACACTGCTTTAAATGTGTCCCAGAGATTCTAGTATGTTGTGTCTTCATTCTCATTGGTTTCAAAGAACATCTTTGTTTCTGCCTTCATTTTGTTATTTACTCAGTAGTCAGTCATTCAGGAGCAGGTCAGACTAGAACAACTCCAAGCTCTCTTCCTGCTCTAAAATTCTGTGCATTTATGAGCCTACTTGTAGTACCTGTTCAGCACATATTTTTTTAATGAATGTATGAATAAATAAAGAATACATAATGTTGTTGAAAGGGCTTTTGCATGTAATGGAAAACTGGACTAGAATGCAGATGTCAACAACTCACATACCTGCAGGCCAGGTGCCCTGAACAAATGAAGCAGACTGATGTGAGACTGTGGACTGATAGGGTCTGCGATGAACTGGAGGGATCATAGTCTTATTAAGGAAATCAAATTCAGATTTTTTAAATTAGATACTACTTTAGACCAACAAAACAGGCTAGAATTGGCCTGTGGGGTGTAAATTGGAACTTCTGAACTAGGTAGTTGCTTGGATTCCCTCTGACGTGTAGCAGAGTCTTACTGGTACCTCTTCCTGGAAGACCAGGTGTCTCATGCTCCCTCTGTTCCTCCTTCCAGTCTTCACCTATTCATGGGAAAGCACCTAATAAACTCATCCATTGAAGGCAGCTGCAACCGATGAGACCGATGCCATGAGATACTTGCATTTTTACAGGGTTAGTCTTAAGCCAAAATTAGGAAGCTCTGACAGCAGAATTCAGGCATCAGGGATCAGGTCAGAGCAAGGAGCCTTGGCCATGCTCCAAAATCCATACTACATGTGTACGTGCCTAAACCTGGGAGCTGAAGCCCTACCTATAAAGCTCTTCTCTGTAGCATGGCTGTGTGCTTTTATCGTCAGAAGCATTGCTTCTGGGAATCTATGTCCCAGGGAAGTCTCACCTGAGCAGCTCCCACCTGGAGCCAGAGACCTCATTTCTAACAGGAATTCACCTCCTGCAGCTACCCACACCCAGAAATTTGCTACAGTTAATCAGCATCATTGATGCCATATAACAAGATTTCCCAAAGAGCTCTGCTCCTCAGGGTGGGATATTTTAAAAAGTGCTGGTGAGCAACCTGGTACCTTCCCAGAAAACAGGTTGGGAGTCTGTAAACTCCTTCCTGGGTTCCCTGTCCAGCTCATCTGCATTCTGTCAGCCTAGGTCACAGAGGTATACTAAAGACAGCCCTATTGAGCCAAATTAGTAAAAGAACCATAGAAGAGTGGGAGAAAGAAGGGGGGCTCTTTCATCTTCAAAGAAGGGATGATCTAGAGTTTGGATTGACCTTCAACCAACCAGTTCTAGAGAGTGCCCTGATTTGCCAAATGCCTCCACACAGACATCACGCTGAAACCTGCAGGCCTCAAACAAGAGAAGTCACTTTGTCTTTAAGACTTTTTCTCTGGTCACTAATGATAAGTGGAAATGGAGATGTCTCTACTAGTATAAATGACTGTGATTACAACCAAGGTCAATACAAAACAAGCTTCAAGGATCAGGGAAGACCCACTTATTTTAATAGAGTATTGGATACACACAAAAAATTCTAGGTTCAACAAAAGAATTCTGAGAGTTCTAACGCAATGGAATTTGACTTGTACTGATCACCCACATAGTTGTCAGCCCATTGCCATTGCCTTCTTTGTTTCTGATAGGAAGTCTTGGGAGCAGTTTTTTTTTTTTTTTTTTTAGATAGGGTTCTCCAAGTCCTGGCCTCAAGTGATCTTCCTGTCTCAGCATCCCAAAGTGCTGGGATGACAGGCATGAGCCACCACTCCTGGTCATCTCGAAAACTTTTGGTGACTGGATTTAGGAGAAGTTATGACCATATGTCATGTACCCAAGCAACAACACAGCTGGTTGTGAGGTTTGAGCACGGAGGGTAGCAGGGCATATTTAGGGTATGAGGGGGATTGTGAAGGGGATCCCTGTCCTGTGGAGGAGTGAATGAATGCCTAACCCTTTAGTTATGGAAAGAGGCAGGTGTGAGTCTCTGAGATCTTTCCTGCCCTTTGCTCTTGTTTCTCTTTTTGAATGAGAAACACAGAGTGCCATCCTAAAGCGTCCAGAAGTGTCACCCATGAAATGCTATGGGAAAATCCTATGTCTCAACCACAGTGGCCAGATTGTGCCCACGTCTCCCATTTCTCCCCCAACAAAACCCCCAAACACTGGAGCCAAGAGGAGAGCTAGATGCCTGTACCCAGTATTGTCCTTACATCTGGGCAATGGGGCCCCTGTGCCAAGCCACAGCCCTCAGACGGTCTTTTGTTTAAAGTGCTGCCCTGAAAGATGGTTTCCCTCTGGGCTCTGGGACTGTCTGGGCTCCTCTGGGCAGGTTACTCTGAGACAAGACAGCAACTTTCCTAGGCCTTTGAAGATCTCCAGTCCCATTTTCCCCCTTTGGGGTGCTTTGTAACCCTCTAGCTTGTGCATGGGGAGGTGGTCATCCAGATGTCCTAGGAGTTCTAGTACTTGAGTTATGGGGTTGTTCAAGGGCCCTTTGGCAGCTCCAGTTTCAGGATGGTGGCCTTGTTGGCGGAATATTCCTACTGGCAGGCATGATATTTCTTTTGTAAGATTGGGCTACCAGAACTGTGCTCATGTTGTTTATATTCACCTCCCACTCCTAGAGGTGGCCCCAAGATCAAGATCCACAGATCAAGATCCACAGATCAAAGAGCACTGGGGGCTTGAATCAACTCCTGGGCTGGGAAGGGAGGGGTAGACAGAGGAGCTTGAGGAGAGAGTGGAGGGAAGCCAATTTCCTCTGTTCTTCTTTTCACTGTGTCCATGATTGAAGGCTGGCTTTTCTGAGTCTCTGACACCAGAGTTTGCCTCAGGCTTGTGGGAGGTGAGACATCATCAGGTACTTTCCAAGTGGAGGAAAAAAATGAATGCCTGAGAGTGGATGTACCCACTGGGCAGGGACGTGGCTTCTTAACTTTCCTCAGGGAACTCAACCAAAGTGTGTTTCAGGACCACCCTGAGTTGTCCTGTTTTTTGTTGTTGCTGTTGATGATGATGGGTGAGGTTTCTAGGGATGGGACTTCTATACGCTCTATTTCACCCTGTAAACTATAAGCATGCTTCAGAACAGGCTGCTGGGCCACCTCCCCAGACACCTCCTGAGTGCAGTCTTGAGGTTCTCTCCACACCATTCACCTTTGAACTTTGCTGCACTCATCACAATATTTAATTAATCTAGAAAACCTATTTGTGGTTTACAATTTATTTTCTTCACTAGATTATGAACTCTTCAAGGACAGGGACTGTCTGCCTCATTCCCAGTTGACTAGAACAGTGTTTGGCACAAGGCAGATGCTTGGTAAATATTCTCAAACAATTAAATAAATTATTTCATCACAGCACTTTTATTTGTTGGGGTGTTTGCCCATGTGCAGTCTCTATGCTATGCCTTTAAAATTCTTAGGTCCTGGTTATGTTGGAGGAAACCTCTCGTATGATGCTAATGTTTCCTTCCCTGAAAGGGTCTCCTGAGCTGGCATTGGCTTTCCGGTTAGCCCAGTTCCACTAATACCCACTGACTGTGGAGCTTTGGTGTGTAGGCTTTGGAGTCAGAAAGACCTGGGTTTGAATCCTGGCCTGGCCATTTGCTAGCCATGACTTCAGGCAAGTTATTAACCTTCCCAAACCTTAGTTTCCTCATCTGTAAAACAAGGACAATAACATCTACTTCATAGGGTATTCTGGTTGCACAGAGTAAAAGTGATACTATGTGTAAAACAGCATACTGGCTGACATACTGTAAATGCTACAATTGTTAATATTATTTCCTCAGGTCCTGCTGAGCACCTGGTTCTATAATAACCACTACACAAAGAAGAACAAGATAATCCCCTGATCTAGATAAGAAATGGCTTAAGCACCAGACCTGGGTGTGAGGGTGAGGAAACCTGGCCTTCAGACCTCAAATCTTGGAGCAGAGTCTCTTGGTAAGAGCAAGAGTCTAAAAACTGGGGATCCAGGCTACAGGCAGGGGAGGCTGGAGCAGCCCCTGAGCTGCAGATTCCTTTAATAAATTCTTGAGACAGATATAGTGGGAGGGCGGTGTGGAGACCTGGTCAGATGCTATTCTCAAGGAGTTCGGGATCTTTTAAAGGAGACTAACATGTAAGCAAACAATAACATAAACAGGGATAGGCGTATGGGCAGAGTACAGAGGAAGCACAGAGAAGAGAATGACTAATTGCCAGGGGCTGGGTGGAGGGTGTGGTAGGTGTGGAGGAACCAAGGAAAACTTCAGAGAAGAAAAGCCCAGGATGATTTGGGAGGATGAGATGGAATTTAGTGGGGGTGGAGACTGGGGGAAGGTGAGGTGGGGGTGGAGGGTTGGGACATAAAATGAAGAAATGAAACAGAATGGTATGTTTGGGTGTCTTTAAGGTTCTGTAATGATTAGGGTTTTATCTGGACTGTCTGGGTGGATGGGCTAAGCTGGAGGGGCATTTTGGAATACTCCTCCAGTGGCCCAGTCCTTCAACAGCCCTGGCCCATATTTCTTTGCAGAGCATGGGTCCCACTCTGCAGCATGAAGCAGGCGACCATGGTCTCTGGGCCCCCCACCACTCCCCATTCTCCTCGTCTGGATGGGCTCTGTAGGGATGCTGGTTTTGGAGTCTTCCAGACCTCCACTATTTGCCAGTTGTGGGGTACTGAGAAAATAATCTGAATTTTCTAAATCTCAGCTTCCTGATTTGTAAGACAGGGGTAAAACTTGTGCACACCCTGAAAGGGCTGTTGTAATAAGGAAATTAAATAATTCATATAAAAGATCTAGTGCAGAGACTGCTACATAACATAGAGCCAATGTACATTTGCAAGCATCTCTTATTCATTTGTTCATTCATTCATTCATTTGCACATGCCTTAGTTCGCCATTTCTCCAGTGCCTATGATGTGTCAGACCTTGGGGACGCAGGGGTGAACAAGACCCAGCCCCCATCTATGAGAAGCCTGTATTGAGTGTGTAGGGGAGAGCAGATGAAGAGGTGGTCACTGTACTGTGTGACAGGCTATGGCAGAGGCATGCACAGCACTGGTGGGAGCTCAGAGGAAGGGCACAACCATGATGATGACTAAATGTTGAGGAGTGACCCCAGTTCCCAGAAGACAAATCAGGACCAGCTCTAAAAGTCAAGTCAAGACCATTAGTCCTTACCCTAAAGGCCATAGAAAACTATTGAAAACTCTCAAGCAGTGGAGAGACCTGGTCCTGTCTGCAATCGGTAAGGTCATTCTAGCACCAGTCAGAGCAGTAGAGAAGCCACAGGGCTCCAGGTGGGGAATAACAAGTTACTATCAAGGGACTAGGGACCCTAGTGAGGTTTGAGAGCCATGATTTACTGTAGCAGGGCAGGGAGAGTGCTGGGCTGATGGAAGCTTGCAGTCACGGTTTGGGATATCAGAAGTCTTTTAAGGAGAATTCAATGTATTTCTCAAAAAAGGAAAACATTAAAGAATGGGAGAATCAATTTTGTCCCTCCCATTTTACTTATTTTTAAAAATGACACTTCAGCTAAGGCTAGGTAGAATATTATTCATCTGAATTGACTTCTCCCAGATCTAGCTAAGATAATTTTTTATTTAAATAGCCTGTATATAAATAAATTGGGGAAATGACACCCTATCCATTCAATGGTGCTGGGAAAACTGGAAAGCCACATGTAGAAGAATGAAACTGGATCTTCATCTCTCACCTTATATAAAAATCAACTCAAGATGGATCAAAGACTTAAATCTAAGACCTGAAACCATAAAAATTCTAGAAGATAACATTGGAAAAACTCTTCTAGACATTGGCTTAGGCAAAGAATTCATGAATAAGACCCCAAAAGCAAGAGCAACGAAAACAAAAGTAAACAAATGGGACCTAATGAAACTAAAAAACTTCTGCACAAAAAAGTAAATAATCAGCAGAATAAACAGACAACCCACAGAATGGGAGAAAATATTTTTAATCTATGCATCTGTCAAAGGACTAATGTCTAGAATCTACAAGGAAGTCAAACAAATCAGCAAGGTAAAACCAAATAATCCTATCAAAAAGAGGGCAAAGAACATGAATAGATAATTCTGAAAAGAAGAGATACAGACAGCCAACAAACATATGAAAAAGTGCTCTACCTCACTAATTACCAGGGAAATGCAAATTAAAACCACAGTGAGATACCACCTTACTCCTGCAAGAATGGCCATAATTAAAAAGTTAAAAAAAAAAGATGCTGGTGTGAATGTGGTAAAAGAACATTTATACACTGCTGATAGGAATGTAAATTAGTACAACCTCTACGGAAAACAGAAAGGAAATTCCTTAAAGAACTAAAAGCAGAGCCACCATTTGATCCAGCAATCTCACTACTGGGTATCTACCCAGAGGAAAAGAAATCATTATGTGAAAAAGACACAGGTGTATGCATATTTAGAGCAGTGCAATTCACAATTGCAAAGATATGGAACCAACCTAAGTGTGCATCAACTGAGTGGTTAAAGAAAGTGTGGTGTATATACACCATGGAATACTACTCAGCCATAAAAAGGAATGAAGTAATGTCTTTTGCAGCAACTTGGGTAGCGCTGGAGGCCATTATTCTCAGTGAAGTAACTCAGGAATGGAAAACCAAATACAGTGTGTTCTCACTTATAAGTGGGAGCTAGCCTATGAGATGCAAAAACATAAGAATGATATAATGGACTTAGGGAATTGGGGCCAGAAGGTTGGGAGGAAGGTGAGAAATAAAAGACTACATATTCAGTACAGTGTGCACTGCTTGGGTGATGGGTGCAGTAAAATCTCAGAAATCACCACTAAAAACATATCCTTGTAACCAAAAAACACCTGTACCCCCAAAACTGTTGAAATAAAAATAGAAGTTAATTAAAAAATATAGCCCATACAGGCCCACCTTGTCCTATCAACATTAACAGGAGTTTGGAAGAAGTTGATTCAAACCCTCATGGATGACTTTGAGAGGTTCAAGACTTCAATGGTGGAAGTAACTGCAGATGTGGTGGAAATAGCAAGTGAACTTCATGTCATTGCACTTCACAGATACTGGGCCTTTTGGAAATTGAAGGTTTGAGGCAACCCTGCATCAAGCATGAGCTGACAGAAGTTTGCAGTCAGAGTTGGGGATCTCTCAAAATGTATTTCTCAGTCTATTTGTGCCATATTTCCAACAGCATGTGCTTACTTCATATCTCTGTGTCACATTTTGGTAATTCTCATAATATTTTAAACTTTTCATTACTATTATATCTGTTATGGTGATCTGTGATCAGTAATCTTCGATGTTACCACTGTAATTGTTTGGGGGCACCACAAGCCATGCTCATATACAACAGCAAACTTAATTGATAAATGCGTGTGTGATGACTGCTCCACTATTGGGAACAGGCCCCCAAATCTGGCCATAAACTGGCCCCAAAACTGCCCATAAATAAAATCTTTGCAGCACTGTGACATGTTCGTGATGGCCATGATGCCCATGCTGGAAGGTTGTGGGTTTACCAGAATGAGGGCAAGGAACACCTGGCCCACCCAGGGCAGAAAGCTGCTTAAAGGCATTCTTAAACCACAAATAATAGCATGAGTGATCTGTGCCTTAAGGACATGCTCCTGCTGCAGATAACTAGCCAGACCCATCCCTTTACTTTGGCCCATCCCTCTATTTCCCATAAGGAATACTTTTAGTTAACCTATAATCTATAGAAACAATGCTTATCACTGGCTTGCTATCAATAAATATGTGGGTAAATCTCTGTTCAAGGCTCTCAGCTCTGAAAGTTATGAGACCCCTGATTTCCCACTCCACACTCTATATTTCTGTGTGTGTGCCTTTAATTCCTCTAGCACCACTGAGTTAGCATCTCCACGACCGAGCTGGTCTTGGCACTCCACTGACTGCCATTCTCCCATCACTTTCTCTCCTTGGGCGTCTCTATTCCCAGAGACACAACAATGTCGAAATTAGGCCAATTTAATAACTCTACAAAGCCCTCTACCTGTTCAAGAGAAAGAGTCACACATCTCTTATTTTAAATCAAAAGCTAGAAATGATTAAACATCGTGAGAAAGTCATGGTGAAAGTTGAGACAGGCTGAAAGCTAGGCCTCTTGTGCCCAACAGTTAGCAAAGTTGCAAATGCAAGAAATGTTCTTGAAGGAAATTAAAAGTGCTACTTCAGTGAACACACGGATGCTAAGAAAGTGAAATAGCCTTATTGATGATATGGAGAAAGTTTTAGCTATCTGGGTAGAAGACCAAATCAGCCACAACATTCCTTTAAGCCAAAGCCCAATTCAGAGTGAGGCCCTAACTCTTTTCAATTCTTTGAAGACTGAGAGAGATGAAGAAGTAGTAGAAGAAAAGTCTGAAGCTAGCAGAGGTTGATTCATGAGGGTTAAGGAAAGAAGCCATCTCCATAACACAGAAGTGAAGATGAGGCAGTGAGTGCTGATGGAGAAGCGGCAGTAAGTTTTCTGAAAGGTCTAGCTAAGATAACTGATGAAGGTGACTACACTAAACAATACATTTTTTTTTCTTTCTTTTCTTTTCTTTTTTTTTTTTCTTTCTTTGAGACAGGGTCTCACTCTGCCTCCCAGGCTGGGTGCAGTGGCAGGATCTCAGCTTACTGCAATCTCAGCCTCCTGGGTTCAAGTGATTCTCCCAGCTCAGCCTCTGGAGTAGCTGAGATTATAGGCATGTGCCACCACGCTTGGCGAATTTTTGTATTTTTTGGTAGAGATGGGTTTCACTGTGTTGGCCAGGCTGGTCTCAAACTCCTGACTTCAAGTGATCTGCCTACCTTGGCTTCCGAAAGTGCTGAGATTATAGGCATGAGCCACCACACTAGGCCAATAAATTTTCAATGTAGACCAAACATCCTTATAGTAGAAGAGGACAAGTCGATGCCTGGCTTTAAAGCTTCAAAGGATAGGCTCACTCTTGTTTTTGTTTGTTTTTACAAGATGGGGTCTTGCCGTCTTGCCCAGGCTGGTCTCAAACTCCTGCACTCAAGTGATCCTCCCACCTCAGCCTCCCAAGGTGCTGGGATTACAGGCATGAGCCATTGTGCCTGGCCCAAGGATAGGCTAACTATCCTAGCAGATGCTAATGCAGCTGGTGACTTTAAGTTGAAGCCAGTGCTCATTTACCATTCCAAATGTCCCAGGACCCTTAAGAATTATGCACAGTCTACTCTGTCTATACTCCCTAGATGGAATAATAATGTCTGGACAACAGTACATCTGTTTGCAGCATGGTTTACTGAATATTTTAAGTCCAGGGCTGAGACTTACTGCTAAGAAAAAAAAATTCTTTCAAAATATTACTGCTCATTAACAACGCACCTAGTGACCCAAGAGCTCTGACGGAAATGTATAATGAAATGAATGTTGTTTTCATGTCTGCTAACACAACATCCATTCCGTATGTCATAGATCAAGGAGTAACTGAATTTCAATCTTATTACTTGAGAAATACCTTTCTTGAGGCTATAGGTGCCATAGATAGTGATTCCTCTGATGAATCTGGGCAAAGTAAATTGAAAACCTTCTGGAAATAATTCACCATTCTAAATGCTGTTAAGAATATTTGTGATTCATGAGAGAAGGTCAAAATATCAACATTGACAGGAGTTTGGAAGAAGCTGATTCAAACCCTCATGGATGACTTTGAGAGGTTCAAGACTTCAATGGAGGAAGTAACTGCAGATGTGGTGGAAGCAGCAAGTGAACTACAATTAGAAGTGGAGCCTGAAGATGTGACTGAATTGTTGCAATCTCATAATAAAATTTACATGAATAAGGTGTTGCTTCTTATGGATGAACAAAGCAAGTGGTTTCTTGAAATGGAATTTACTGGTGAAGATGCTGTGAATATTGTAGAAATGACAACAAAGGATTCAGCATATTACATAAACTTAGTTGATAAAGCAGGAGCAGGGTTGGGAAAATTTATTCCAATTTTGAAAGAAGTTCTTTTATTGGTAAAATACTATTAAACAGCATCATGGGTTATAGAGTAATCTTTCATGAAAGGAAACCAAATGATGTGTCAAACTATTGTTCTTATTTTAAGAAGTTGCCACAGCCACCTCAACCTTCAGTGACCACCATCCTGATTAGTCAGCAGCCATCCACATTGAGGCAAGACCCTCCACAGCAAAAAGACTGACTCACTGAAGACTCAGGTGATTGTTAGCATTTTTAAACAATAAGGTATTTTTAAATTAAGGTGTGTACATTTTTTAGACATAATGCAATTGCACACACACTTATAGACTGTAATATTGTGTAAACATAACTTTTTTTTTTTTTTAGATAGGGTCTCCTTCTGTCAGTGAGGCTGGAGTGCAGTGGCATGATCTTAACATACTACAGCCTCGACCTCTTGGGCTCAAATGATCCCCCCACCTCAGCCTCCTGAGTAGCGGGGACTATAGGTGCACCCCACCATGCTTGGCTAATTTTTTTGTATTTTTTATGGTGACAAGTTTTGCCATGTTGCCCAGGCTGGTCTCAAACTTCTGGCCTCAAGTGATCCTCTCACCTTGGCCTCCCAAAGTGCTGGGATTACAGGTGTGAGCCACTGTACATGGCCTAAGCATAAGTTTTATACGCACTGGAAAACCAAAAAATCCATGTGATTCGCTTTATTTTGATATTCACTTTATCATGGTGGTCTGGAACCACACCTGCAATATCTTCAAGGTGTGCCTGTACCATAATTTCAATAAAATGTGATTTAACCCAGCATTATCTTTCTCTGCTATTGATGCATGATGTCAAATTTACCTTATCTGAAACCTGGTGAATGTTTTGAGGAATGGAGTGAATATTTAGAACTGGCCATCTCACATAATAAATGCTTGATAAATGGGTTTCTTGACTTTAAAAAAATGTCTGACTAGTGTTCAATGGAGTTGGAAGTATTTGCTAACATTATTACTTACACAGGTTACTTAATCAAATTTTAAACATTGTCAAACATATCTTGTATGTAACTGTGGGTTTTTAAAAATGAGTGTTGATATGATAATTCACAGGTTTCCTAATAAAATTTAGACACTGTCAAACACATTGGGCGTGGAACTGTCGCTTTTCTGAAATGAGTGTCACAGGAACACTGCATTGTCTCATACCAGTTTATTTTCTTTAGCTCCTATGGCATTCCAATGCTCTTTGAGTAACACCTTTATTGTCCTAGGATAAGGAAGAATTTAAGAGAGCTTTCCAGAACCCTATTTCATTGTTTTTAATAAATTCTTTCCCACTTTTGGCCCTCTGTAAGCAAGTTCTCTGCTACAAATAGATTAAATGCGTTGACTTCATCTGCTATAGTGACTCAGATTTCTTGACCTGATCTATTCTGCAGATCTAGTTTTTGAATCAGAAGTTAGGTAATGCCTTCTCCTGGGTTTTAATTATATGCGTTCAGTATCTTGGGTAAGAAAGTTAACTCTTTTGTCTTTTTGAGCTGTATCACTTATACCTTTTTTTTTCTCCTGTCCAAAAAGGGGGGAATATGTCCTAATAACGTCTTTGATACGCCCAAAATAGCCAGCTTCTCTGGGATGTAAGCAACAAGATATTTGGTTTGGGACATTTCCAAATTCCACAACCTTTTTTTTTTTTTTTTTTTTTTTTTTTTTTTTTTTTGTGAGACAGAGTCTCGCTCTATCATCCAGGCTAGAGTGCAGTTGTGAGATCTTGGCTCACTGCAACCTTTGCCTCCAGGGTTCAAGAGATTCTCCTGCCCCAGCCTCCCTAGTAGCTGGGACTACAGGCATGCACCAACATGCCCGGGTTATTTTTGTATTTTTAGTAGAGACAGGGTTTCACCATATTCGGCAGGCTGGTCTCGAACTCCTGACCTCAGGTGATCCACCCACCTCGGCCTCCCAAAGTGCTGAGATTATAGGCATTAGCCACTGCGCCTGGCCAGATTCCCCATACTTTGAACTCCCTACTTCTTCTGAGGCCAACCTCAGGCCTACCACGTAAGTCCTCCTCTATAGTGTCCGTTGAAGTGCCAGACTCATACGAAGCTCCCAAACTCATGTTGAAGAGGAGATTTTAGCTAAATGGAAATGTGCTGTGGCAATTATTCTACCAGTGTCCTTGATACAACAAACAAATCAGTAAATCAAAGTTGTAAAGAGCCTGGCTATGAAACAGGATACTCAGTATGTATTTTATTATTTATTTATTTATTTATTTACTTATTTTGAGAAGGAATCTTGCTCTTGTTGCCCAGGCTGGAGTGCAGTGGCACAATCTTGGCTCACTGCAACCTCCACCTCCCAGGTTCAAGCGATTCTTCTGCCTAAGCCTCCCAAGTAACTGGGATTACAGGCGCCTGCCACTACGCCCGGCTAATTTTTGTATTTTTAGTACAGACAGGGTTTCACCATGTTGGCCAGGCTGGTCTCAAACTCGTGACCACAGGTGATCTGACTGCCTTGGCCTCCCAAATTGCTGGGATTACAGACCTGAGCCACCGTGCCTGGCCTTTTATTAATTAAGATGAATGCTAATACAAACTGTGCTATGGGACATTTATAGGGTAGCTACCATTTAAAGAAAAAGAATTCTCTTACTTGAGACTGGTGGAAGGCATGGCAGATAGGACTTTGGCAAAGAATAGTGGAAAGAAAGTTGAAGACTGCGGGGAAACACAAGTCTGTGGATACACAGGTTGATACAGTCTCTCTTAGAGGGCATGAATGGGCAGGAAGGACTTTAACACTTACTTAGTACCTACCCTATGCTAGGGGCTGGGGTAAGCACTTTGCAGACATCATCTTTTAAAAAGTTCCTTAAGAATCCCTCAATCCTTCTTCTATAGTCTCCAGCTCAATGATGTTAAGTGATTCCTCCATGCCACTAAATTGGAAAGTGGTGGGAACTCACATTCAAACCCAGGTCTGACCAACTTCAAAGGCCAGGAGGCTGTTTCCTTCATTCCATGGCTGCTCCCTCAAGAGTAACTGTGCATGGGGATAAGAGTAACTCTTTTCCAAGGTTGATCAAGGTCTCTTTCAATACCGAGATTCTGGGACACAGATTAGAAGACACAGAAGAATGGCCCAGCCTTTTCCACCCAAAGACCTGTTACTGAATTTTGTCTCCATGTGTCTGAAGGGTACTTCCCCATCATCATTTTCATTCATCCTAAGAAAGGCGGCTCCCTGTGTGGAGGTGGTGGCCGCGAACATTTTGGCTGAACTGAGCAGTCAACCTTCTCATTTTTGCTGGAAGGATTTGAGAGAATATGGGGGAGATGGTACACGAGCCAGTGGAGGATTAGTGGGGTTTTATGTTGTTGTGATGAACTTTATGATGTTAGTTTGTGGTTTCACATAGCCTCATAAAACAAGCTGGATGGTGATTATGTCACTTCCTCTGCCCTCCCGACAGAGAGGAGGCCTTCTTTAGTGCCTGGAGTGTTTCCTGATGCTCCACTCAGGCCAGCTCACTTTTCAGATTTTAATGTAAGAGGTGTGGAGAAGAAAAGAAGAAGAAGGGGTGGGGGAAAGCCATCGGCTCAAGTAGTCACACTGTCATCCTGGCTGACAAATGACTGATGTCAGAGCATGGTACCGAAACGTATAGAAACAGGCCTGTTGGCTTGGGCAATACATAAATGAGCCAGTCACACATTTCTCGGATGGCTGGCAAAAGTTTTGTTGTCAAAGCAACGCCCCCATCGAGCTTGCTTTGCTTACGCAAGGCCTCAGCCTTTGCCTCTTCCCCAAACCCAAGCTACCTGAGGAGGAGGAGCTGAGTGAGGGGGAGGGACCAACAGATTTGTCCCCTGTGCAGGCTGCCTGCCTGCTTGAGTTACATCCACAAATGCCTCGGAAGCAGCCAGCTGGCTGCATCTTTCTCCTCACATTCCTGGGTCTGTCTGGGCTGGTTGGCACAGTTACCAGAACGTACTACATTGGGATTGTGGAAGAATACTGGAACTATGTACCCCAAGGGAAGAATGTTATTACTGGGAAAAGTTTCACAGAAGACAAGTGAGTGAACTTAGGGTCCTCATTGACTCCCAGGTTTGGCCTCTTTTTGACTTTGTGTGGGGAAGGTTGTATTTCTTGGGTACTTACAATGGGGGTGAGTTGATCTAGACCAAGAGAAGGTGTTTTGTTTTTTGCTTGAAGAGCCCTAGTATGGATGGGTGTGTAATCTGGAAGAGATATTCATAGCTCCATGTATTTGTTGAGCCACCTATTAATAGCCTTGCCTGTGAAGGGACATATACACAACCAGGTGTTTGACAATTTCCACCAGGTACTACTAGTAACTTCTGGGGGATTCTGTTTGTTTGTTTGTTTTTAAATGACAACACTTGGGATGAAGATTTGAGAAATTTCAAGAATTCCTTATGGTTAAAACACAGTGTTTTCTTAGTTTGTATTTCTGGAATGAAACATCATAATGGGAGATAAGTATGCTAAGTCATGTTTTTCAACGTTTAAAAGAGGGGGAAGTCACAGGAGATTTGCCTGCTATTTTCAGGGTTTCCTTGAGTCTACTTAGAATTAGCGCTTTCACTGGTAAAAAGTTTATTCCAGCTCCAAGTCATTCTTGCTGAGGGCAATATCTTATCCCAGAACCTATAGCATAGCTAGGTGAGATGGCGCCACGGTGTTCTATGTTCCTGATTTTTAATTTGGGGCAGAAAATAACCCTTTCTCCCTGCCCCCTCCAGGGCCTAGTATCTTAACCATCTAATTTGTTTCATGGATCTCCCTCTGAAGTCACCTCCTGACTCCAGAAGATGTCATGCTATTTTCAACTTTGTGGTTATTAGAACATCTTTTCAGATGTTTTGGCAACCTCTGTTGGATATTTGAATGCTTGCTTCTTTTCTGACAGGCAGAACCAGTTGCATTCTGCATCCATGTTCCATTTCCTAAAGATGAGTTTAGTTGATAAAATTCAGGAACAGCACAGGGCCTACCAGCAAGTCTTTAAGAGCCAGGGCCCCTTGTCTTTGAGGAAAGACCAAAGATCCAGTTGGCTTGGAAATACAGCTTCCAAGTTTTCTAACAAAACAAAGGTGGTATAGTCATGTTTTGTTTACCAAAGATGAAGCCTGTGCCAGACAAGCTGCCAAGGCAGACTTTTCCTTAAGCTTTGTACCTGGAAATGTAATGTCTGCAGGGCTATTTCCAAAGGAAACTCTTGATTGCTTTCAATCCCACATCTGCTGACCATTGGTGGTAGTGTCTTTACTGTGATGAATAGCTATGGGATTGAAAGGGTACCAAAAATGCCAGGAGCCTTCTCTACAAATAGAGCTCTGCTATTCTCAGAGAGGGCTCAGTAGGAAACAGTCAATGTGAGCAGCTACTGGGGATAAGAATGTTGAAAGTGTGTACACTGAGTGTAATGAATATAGCGTTTAAGCTAAATGTGATACTGGATTGCCTTTCCATAAGATTAACACCCACAGAAATTCTTCTTCCTAAAATGCCCACGTCACTATAGCTGTGTATGGGCATTTATTCTGACCCAAAAATTCTATGAGGGATTTTTCAATTCATTACTGCTTGCAGATATTATTATTCTCATTTTATGAACCAGGAACCAAGGCTCTGAGGTTAAATACTTGCCGGAGTTTATAAGTAAGTGGTAGCACCAAACTCATTGCTTTGGTTCCACAGCCCATATTTCTTTTCACCACACAATCTGTTTCTTGGTAAAGGTGATCCTTCTCCAGTGAATTAAAACAACTTTGAGGGAAGCCAAGGATCACAGTAATAAGAACTTTCTAGAAAGTCCTAATTTTTGCCAAAGGCATGTTTAGTCTCTTTTGTCACTCTTCCTAGAAGCATATTGAAAGGGATCACTGGTGGTCAGTGACCAAACAAGTTATCTGGGTTAATTCAAAACCTCAAAGAATCATAAATACTCAAGTACTACAATGCTGTTTTCACAAAGTGGGGTGCTGGAAGAAGTTGGGGTCTCTGTTGATCATTTCAACCAGAAGATGGTGCTTTGATGAAAGTACAATAAAACATATAAAAATTGCTATGGTGAAAAAGAAAATAGGCATGATGAAAACAGTTGGTTTGGCATCAGATTTGAGTGAGATGGTTTCAAAATGCATGGTCCCATATGATAGTGCGTTTGTTCTTAGAAGCAGCTGGCATGCTAAGGTGTCATACCTAGAACGCCAAGGTCCCCAAACATTTCTTTCTGGTATGCGAAGGGACAGAGTTTGTGTCAGACAGACTGCTACCTCTTGGAAGGGAAATCCAGGTGAGTATGCAGTGGACGTTGGCTTTTATCAGTGATCCCATCAGAATACTGGTTTTTATCAGTGATCCCATCAGTGCTAGTAGTTGTGGTAGGTGGCTCAGACAAGTTCCTAAAAAGGTAGGGCTGTCGTAGGTGGCTGACATTGCTTGTGGACCACAAGATATCCATCCTGGGTGTATGTGAAGATGCTGTGACTGGGACATAAGTGGAGTTCAGTGTGTGTACTCTGTGTTGTGCCATTTCCCCAGGAGCAGGAAGGAGCCATCGTGGATGATGTAATCATGCCCCTCTCTCAGCCTCCTGGAGGGTGAATAGGCTGCCTTTCTGAGGACAGTCTGTTGTTTTGGATATTCACACTTGGGCAAATGTCTGATATTTAAAGGACCAGGAGAGCCAGGTGCTCAGAATTCCACCATGAATGGAAAGAACCTGAAATAGAAATCCAGAGACCTAACTTCTAATGCTTGCTCTGCCCAACTTGCTGTGTAATCTTGAACATGTCATATAATCTCTCTGAATATCACTTTCCTTAATTTGTGTAAGAAGGGAGTTGAAATGTAATCCCTAGAGTCACTTGAGAAGTGTAATGCCAAAGCATTAGAAATAATTTTGAAACTGAATGAAAAATATCTTTCCTGACTTGCCAGTTCTAGAAAGATTTTTGCAATGGTGAAAGAAAGGAGAGAGATGATTTGCAAATGTTCAGTCCTAGAAATTAGAGTTGGAGAAGACCTGGGACTGATCGTGGGCATATGTGACAACTTTTGAAGTAGTCTTTATTTTTCTTTCTCCATTTTTTCCCCTGTCCTTTAAGAATTATCTCCAATTCCTCACTTCATACATGAAGCTTTCCCCCATGACCCTGGCTTGTACTGATCTGTTTCCTTCCTAACCACTCATGGAGCTTGGGGTCTTTATCATGAACTTGGACACTGCATTTTCTTCCCTCTGCATTGCC
Source organism: Homo sapiens (assembly GCF_000001405.40). Classification (NCBI taxonomy): domain Eukaryota; kingdom Metazoa; phylum Chordata; class Mammalia; order Primates; family Hominidae; genus Homo; species Homo sapiens. Next base: position 94,024,745 of record NC_000011.10, read on the forward strand.
CTCTAATTGCTTGATGTACATTAGTCATGTCTGCAACTGCAGTAAAACACCCTGATGATAGATAAGAAGTTTTGGCGTATATTCAATAATCCCCCTTCCCTGCACGGAACTTTGTCATTGACAATATCCTATGGAGGATCCAGTACAGGGCAGGCATTCAAAATCATTGAAGTAAAAGCTAATCACCTTATCAACTGAGTTGTTCTGGTTGTTTTATCTTTGAATAAGGGGAATGGGCAAAAATCTGGGGAACAAGATGGTGGGTGCCAAAGTTTCAGTAATGTGAAAACATTTGGAAACCAAAGTTAGGCACATCCTTATGCACAAGGACGAGATCGAAAATGAATTGAAATCATTTTGCTGAGACTCTATAGCCCTCAGATGGTGCAAATTAACTTTTATGCTTGGTACCTATGCTTGATTATAGGGTTCAAAAATATAATTGAGTCTATAATCACTAATGTTTCCTAGAAAGTATAGGATTTAGGAGTTAGATTCTATTTAGAAATACTTTCTCCAGATAAATATACTTCTCCTCCTCCTTGGAGTAAATGGGGACACTGGGCTCCTTTGAGTTGCCTGGGGATGGTGTCAGTATTTTGATCTATTTATACCAGTCCTGCTCAGGCTCATAAAGTCCTTAATTAAGGTGTGTGTTTGGTGGTAAAGCCTGATCCTTAATGGAAGTAGGGTGGGGTCATCTTATTTAAAGCCACAGTTCTCACCATAGACCTCATTAGGCCATCAACACACATTCAGCCTTTTTCTTCCCAGTGAAATGCAGGGTTTTCATGGACGCTAACTCATGGGTGGAACTGCGCTTGAACATAAGTGAGGCTAGCCACTGCTCAAACCCCATTTTTGTAGAGTCTGTTAGTTGACCCAGCCACATCACTGCATCAGCCCAGTGTATGGCAAGGGGCTTTGAGTATTCTAAGAAGCAGGCCCTAGGATAGGTGTGAGAGAGAACTCACACATCTATCTGAAAGAAGGACCAACTGAGGGGAAGCAGGGAGGAGACAGAGGTTTTTGTGAGCTTTGAAATAAAGAAAAGAATATCATCTGGTAAGTGCATGGTCTAAACAAATGGTAACTTTCAAATCTCAACTTCTGTCTTATCAGCACCAAAAATATTTTGTTTGGACTGATGCCATATGAATCTCTGGGAACTGCTGTTCTACCCTATATCAGTAAGTGATTGTTTCTGGCTGCCACTAGAGACTGGAGTATAATGTCTTTAACAAATTAGGATTTTGTATTCATTTGTAGAAGAATCCAGAAGTGGGCAGTCCAAGGCTGGTGGGATAGATGGTATAACAAGATATCAGGGGCTTTCTGTATTTCTGATCCACCATCCTTAGCCTATGTGCTTTAAACCCTTTGTGGTTTCCCTCCTCAAGCACATTCATGGTCACAAGATTGCTGTTGGATCTCCAGCCATCGTGTCTACATTCCAGGAAGAAAGAGAGAAAGGCAAAAGGTAGAAGCAGAACAATTTTTGCTGCATCAGCCTTTCAAAGGGTTCTCATTGAAACCCTACCCAACCAATTTTACTTAAATCTCATTGGATACTCATAGCCACAAAGAGGACTTGAAAAAATATAACGTTTCAGCTGTGTACTTTTCTGCCTGAATAAAGATAGAATTTACCTCTGACACTAAGAAAGAAGGGGAGCATGAATATTGCAAGGCAGCTGGCAGTCCCTGCTCCCCTCCCCTACCTCAGTTCTCTCCTGTTTTCCATGATTCACAGGCATCCTCTTAGTCCCCATCTTGCTTTTCCCACCTCCATATGATGGACCCCCAAGGCCTGGTTAGCAGGATCTGAAAGATAACTCATTGACAGTATAATAAGTTAGCTAAGTGTCACTGAGTATTTACTATGCTCCAGGCATTGCTTTAAAAGGTTAGCACACCATGAAGTGGGGTGACCAATCTTCTGTCTCTGGGAGGGAGATCAGGTGGCATCGGGAGGATTTCTCCAGCCAAGTGTAGCCCAGCCTTGGTCTTAGGGAGATGCCAAGGCAGTCCAGTTTGCTGGTAAAGTATGGGGCTCTGGCATCAACTGTCACATTTAGAATTCTTGCCCCACTTTATGGGCAAGTAATTCAATCTCTCTTTGCCTCAGTTTTCTCATCAGTAAAATAGGGATAGTGACAGTACTTGCTTTGAGGGTGTATCAGTTTTCTGTGGCTGCTGTAACAAGTTACAAACTAGGTGGCTTCAAACAACAGCAATTTATTCTCCCCCAGTTTTGGAGGCCAGATGTCTGAACTGCATGTGTTGTCAGGGCCACAATGCCTCTGGAGGTTCTAAGGGAGGGGCCATTCCTTGACTCTTCCAGGTTCTGGTATCTGCCAGCATTCCTTGGCTGTGGCTGCATCACTCTGATCTCTGCCTCCATTTTCATATCGTCGTCTTCTCTCTGTGTGTCTAGCCTATCTTTGCCTCTTACTTATAAGGATGCTTTTGATGGTGTTTAGGGCCCACCCAGCTAATCCAGGATGATCTCCCCATCTCAAGATCCTTAACTTAATCACATCTGCAAAGACCCATTTTTCCAATAAGTTTCTGTGGATGAGGACTGCGGAGTTATCTTTGGGACTTAGGATCTGCACATACTCAGACACAGTGCCTGCCACTTGAGAGCACTTGATCAGCTCTCGTGGTAGCTCTGCCGTCTCACGGGGTTCTTTGGAGAGCAGGAGCCCTGGGGGAAAGACCTTGGCTGGTCACATTTTCCTCTTTTCTAACAAAGCTTTACGCTTTACCAGAAATAATCATAACTGTCATTGATTCAGCACCACTCTCCCAGTTGCTGTGTGTGTGGCTCTACACCTCTTCTCATTGAATCCTTATGATAGCTCTACCATGGTCACTGCTTTACAGCAGAGGAAACTGGTTCAGAGAGGTTAAGTCTCTTCCCCATTTCACAACCAGCAAGTGAGAGAGTTGGGATTCAAGCTCATTTTCATTCCCCCTCATCATGCCATTTGTTTTGAACACACCTTGTATATGAAGGGCTTCTGTGGAAATGAAGAGTGAAAAGGAAGGACCCAAGACATAGGTGGTGCCAGGGACCCAGAGTGAAAGAATGTATATAGAAGCACATCCAGATGGTATTAAAAATTATTAATCTAATAGGGAGGGTGCAGCTTCACCAAACTGAATGTGCAATCTCCGTCTCCACCCTTCCTTTTTCCAAGTGACATTTGTCTCAATCTCATCTTTTTTTCTCCTTGGTGAAGAACGTTCCTTCTCAAGCTCAAACAATATTTCTTGTCCTTATTGTGACTCTTATGATCTCACATGTTGGATCTGACCACACTCTCTGCTAACATTATTTTGCAGTTTATCTTCATCTTATATTTCCCTGCCCTCTACACAGACATGTGGGCTCTGGACAGTAGAGTTGGCAGTTAACATTGTAAAACTGTGTTTACTGTCAAATGCATGTTTTGCTTCCCAACTAGATGGTAAAACTCTTGCATGCAGGGACTGAGATTAATACATCTTGGCCCCAGTTTCTAGTTTTATGTCCCAGACATAGTAGATGATCAGCAATTGCTCCAAGGAAGCTATCAGAAAACATCCCTCTAAAAGATGCAGAGGTCATGGGATTGCTGGGTGGTTTATATCCCTGCAAGCTACGAACTCCTGAGAATCTAACCTGGAAGTCCAACTCTGTACTGTGTAGGGGATTCCCAAGGGCAGGTTTGTTCTGATAATGATTAATCTCCTCTGCTTTTGGAAGATATCTCCATCCACAGGATTGGCCCCAGGCACTGGCAATGTAATGTTCCAAGTCCCCATCTTGTCTTTAAGGCAGTTGTTAATGTTAACCTTCCTGGCCCCACTGGATTCTTTTGCAGCAGGAAGTAGACACCTCCTTAGCTTGAGTCAAGATGTTAGAATGCAGATTGAAAATGTTCTTGAGGAATAGTGATTGCTCAGCCCCTCGCCATGGCTACGTGATAAACAACAGATGGCTCACCAATGCAACATTCTAACAAATATACTCCATTTAAATTGGAGGTTGCTTCATGGGGATGGCTCCCTTGAAGTTACTTCCTTACTTTGTTTCTTGGGCAAATTTGCATTTTATAGAACTCAAAGGAGCTGGAGTTTCTGTTCTACTATTACAAATGCATAATATGTTCTCAATGGGTGGTTTGCTGTGTAGACACTAAAACAAACTACTTTCTCTTATTTCTATCCCTTCCCACTTCTTTTTTTACTTTCAAGCTTTTTTTCCTATTAGTTAAAAAAGTATAGGATCTCACTGTATTGCCCAGGCTAGTCTTAAACTCCTAGCCTCAAGTGATCCTCCCACCTTGGCCTCCCAAAATGCTGGGATTAGGCATGAGCCACCACACCCAGCCTCAACAAATTTTTATCAAATAGTTACTATAGTTTTTGTTTTGTGTGAAGTATCTTCCTAGGGCACCTTCATGGGTCAACCCTGTCCTACTCTTGATGTGGAGTCAGTGCAGGGGAAGAAGTCCTGGGACAAGGAGGAAGCTATGGGTTCTCTTCACTGTCTGAGCAGGAGGCTCCTCCTGCAGCAGAGGAAGAGAGGGTCTTGCAATAATAATTAAATGCCCCCACCCAGAAGTGACACGTGGCATTTCCACTCACAGCCAATTTGCCAGAACACTATGGCCCATCTAACTTGCAAAAGCAGAATCACTGTGGTCTTCTTTGGTTAGGAGGAAAGAAAAATTAGAATACGCAAGCCCTAAAAAGCTCTACTACAGGAATCATTTGGTGATCTTAGGAAAAAATACAGATACCATGGTCTTGCCAGTAGAAAGTCTGATTCCATTGCCCTGAAGTGGGGCCTGAGAATAAAAATTTGGCAAATGTTCCAAATGATTCTGATGCAAGTGGTACATGGGTGGACATTTGGGAACCACTGCTTTAGAAAACCCAATCCCCCCTTGGGGTGACTATTGGCTGTATAGGTGATAAGACTGATATGTGTCCAGGAATATGAAAAACAGTCAATGTATAACTCAGTGCCAAAATATGAAGCATACCATAAGTGCTCCAGTCCCTACAGGGACTCAGCAAACACTTCACTGCCCCTCCTGATACTTATTTTGCCTCTTATTTAGTGCCTTTGCCAGACAACTCATGGTAAGACCTGGTCTTGTGGAGGTGATGGAGAAAGGTCTTGGGCAGAGGTGGGGTCAGGACCTCTTAGCAGATTAAAAGCAGGAGTACATATGTGAAGATGTGAGCATGTGTGCTCCACATGCATCTGCATGTGTGTATACTTTTGTGTCTTCATGTGTGCAGTGGGAGAACAGGGTAGAGAAGTAGAGTCCAATGTCCATCCTTCCCTATAGGGCCTGTTGGAATGATAAGGTCCTATGAATAATAGTTTTGTATTATAGTTTTTACCCATCAGGCTGAACCCAGAGAGCATACCAGGGATTCTGAATCTAATCCTTGCTGTGCCACCTTACTGGGTGACCCATTGTCAGCTATAAAACTGGGCAACTCTGAGGCTTATTAGCAAGCTTGGGGATGACTCAGTTCTTCCTCTGCCTCTTCCTCTTCCTTCTCCTTTTGCACAGCCTGTTCAATCAGGAGTTGTATTCAGCTACTCTTTAACAGAATCCTGAAAAACAGAAGTGGTTTAAATCGATTAAAGATTTATTATTATTGCTTACATAAAAGAGAGCCAGAGGTTGGCAATCATCTGGGTCCCAGGTTCCTTTTGGCTCTCACTTGACCATTCCTAGGGTGTGACCCTCTTCCTCGTTATCTCAAGATGGCTGCTGGAGCTCCAGTCATCATGTCTACATTTCAGGCATGAATAAAGGGAAGAGAAGAGGAGAAAAATGGTGTCTTCCAGCTACACCTGGAGAAGTATCATTGAGTGACTTCTGCTTACATCTGATTGGCTAGAATTATGTCACATGACTATTCCAAGTTGCAAGCAAGTCTGAGAAATGTAACAGCCTCTATTATAAAGGTCCAGGGGTCAGGCATCCCAACTTTTATATCCCATTCTCTTGCACAGGGAAATGTAAGTCTTTGCCTTATAGAGTGGGAGAGGGCTAACTCTTGCTCCTGGGTAGACACATGCAGGCTTAGTGGATGCTTGGATACAAGAGACCCAGAATGTTCATACACAGTCCCAAGACTTCAGCCTCAATGCCTGAGAGGAGAGTTGGCAAGCCAGAGGTTGAGCAGGGATAGTGAGCAGATGCCATGCTCTCTGCTCCAGAGGCCAATCCCCTTGCAGAGCAGAACTCAATCCAACAACACCCTTTGTTGTGGCAGCTTTGTTTTTAGAAATAGAAGGCATGCAAGAGAATTTTGGCCCCTTGGAGGCCAAACAGCATGGGTCTTCTTTTTTTTTCAATAAAACGTGAGCTTGTTTTTAGTATTGAATTTGTAGGTACAGAGTAACCGCCCCTCCCCCTACAACAGTATAAAAGAGGATGAGTGAAAGTAAACTTCTCCTCCGTCCTCCCTCCCACCTGTGGCTTCAGTCTCATAGTCTGGAGGCTACACTTTGTTTCCCTGGTCACTTTCCAGATGTATTCTTTGCATATGGGTAAATGTGCATTGTTACACACACACACACACACACACACACACACACACACACAAATGGGATAATACTTTACATACGGCTCTGCAATTTGCTTTTTTTTTATTAGTATCTTGGTGATCACGCCATATCAGCACCTGTAGACCACCTTATTCTTTTCTTATGGGTATGTGGCATGAATGCCATCATTTATTTACCCAGCTGCCAGTTGAAGAACATTTTGGTCTTTCCAGGCTTTTGCTATCAAAATCATTCTCTAATTTTTTAAACAGGATTCCTCTCTTGATCACATTGTTTGGATTGGAAGCTGAACCTAGTAATTGGGGGACAGAGAACATTGCTGCCTCTGGGAGGTCTTGTCCTGTGATTCCTGGGGTTCTTCTCTAGTCAGGCCCATCTCTGGCTTCTCCATCGGGGGTCTAAACCCATGGGTTCCTTCTTGTCCCAGGACCTCCTCCCTACCACGGACTCCACCTCAAGGGTGGGATAGGGTTAACCCTGGGAAGGTTAATAATCAGATGCTCTGGGCAGATAAATAGCACGGATCTCCTTCATCTATAGGAGAGGCTGAGTACTGAGGAGAGGAGAAAGTGGTCTGGTGATGGCCATTCTTACCTCCCTTTGGCTGCAAGCCAAAAGCAGTCTACTCTACAGTTCACTGCACCAATTCTCCTTGGAATAGATTTTTGTGGCCACCTGTTAGTATTCGAGCATAACCTTTGGGGTCTCTTCACTCACCTCCCAAACCCCATCTCAAACAGCTAATCAAAGCCTCCTTTCCAATGACATACAGTGCTTACCCCACAGAAGTTCCACAGGTTGCAATTTTCTCCAACTTCAATGTCATTTCCAGTGAATTTTATCCACCCTGAAATGCTTCCAGCTCCCCAGTGATGTTCCAGTGGCCTTTAGATCTGAGACCCAGCTGCTCTACCCCTTAATCTGGCTCAGCTGAAAACCGTGGGGGATTCTCCAGCCTCCGAGGCCAAGGCCTGCTTCATTTAAAAGAGGCTTTGTTGCTGGTGGGTTTGACCTGGCTTATGATTTTATTACGTGGTCTGGGGCAGGCTGGATACCTCAGCTGGCTAGACAGCGGGAGTGATAATCACTTTTTAGCTTGACTTTTAAACCTTGCTGCGCTCTCTTTAAATTATTTTCTTTTTAATTTTGCTATGCTGTAAGCTTCAGTTTACAAATTAGAAAATGTCAAGGTGGCTGTAAACCCCATTTGTTAGCAGGTCCCAACAGTCTTTGGGAGGCATACCCAGCAAACTGAAGCCTATAAGGTTGTTATAGTAGGTAGCTAGTCAGGCATGAGCAGGGCAGGAGAGGGGTCCGCCTGACCAGGAATGTCAGGTAACCACCAGGTGATGGTCAGGCGGTTGTTAACTGTCTCTCTAAAGTAATAATTGGTCACAGTCAGTGCCAGGGAAAGGCAGTCTCCCTATAGATAGAAAAAACCTGAAACTGGTGATCAGCAGCTTCCTGATAAGATCTCAGGAGTTGGGCAAATGGGCTCAAGCAAGTGCATTGAGGGGCAAAACGGCGGAGTTTAACTGGTATATGACCTTCCAGGGACATTCCACTGGTAAGGGAAGAATGCCTCACGTGAGCATGCGTACAGCTCCAGTAAACACACCGCACCTGCTCATCTCCCAAGTGCTAGGAGGCCACTGCACATATGGACAACCCATGCCAAGGGAAGAATCAGGGGAGAAGTGACACAAGAGCCCAGAAGTATGCCAATGTATAAAACCCCAAGTCAAAAGGTCAAACTGCGCACTTGTTTTTCAAGTCGCCCGCTTGGCCCTCTTCCAAGGGTGCTTTCCTTCCTTTTGTTCCTACTCTAAAGCTTTTTAATAAACTTTCATTCCTGCTCTAAAACTTGCCTCAGTCTCTCCTTTTGCCTTATGCCCCTTAGTTGAATTGAATTCTTTCTTCTGAGGAGGCAGGGATTGAGGTTGCTGCAGGCCCATATGAATTTGCTGCTGGTAACAAGGTCATATGTTGAATTTCTGAGAGCAGCTGGGTCTCAGATCTAAACAACTCAAGTGTGTTTTCTCCCAGTAGTAAGATATGATGTCATCCAGGTGTAGAGAGGACCCGAAGACTCTGGAGCACTGTGTGGCCTGGCCATTTGTGTAGGGTAAGAAGAGCAACTATGTGCTTGGAGTGCCCCCACCCTCATATCCACAGCGGACATCTAGTGTGGATCATGGTGTTCTTCTCTCATTGAACTCAACCTTGACTTCTTTTCTAAGCAATTACCACCAATTAGATTTGGTGCACAAGATAAAATCTATTGGCTGTCCTGGACCTAGAGGGTATTCAAATATGGTAACCTATGCTTTTCAGCAAATAGAGTTTGCAACACCATCCCAGCTTTAGCTTGCCAATATGGGGACAAACTCACACTTGTTTGTTTGTTTTTAAGTGCCAAAGCCATTAAACACCAACTCTTCCAGGCGAGTTGCTGGGGCTTAGGAATAAAAAGGATGTTTAAAGGGGTATTGTCTTCAATGAGCTCACAAACCAGAGATGTGCATATCTCACTGTAACACGCTTTGGTGAGTACCATTATTAGCACATGAACAGAGCACTGTGTATGTAGAGAGGAGGAAAAGAGGAAGAGTGTGAGTCTACCTCAAAGGGTGCTTGGCAGGTAGAGAATGAGGAAGACCACTGAGGCCCAGGAAAAAGAATGTGCTGAAGTCTTAAAATGCTGAAAGGACATGGTGTGTACCAAGAAGAGAGTGTCTGATCTGGCAGAAGCATGGGGACCTGGGAGTTGGGGCAAAGAGGGAGGAAATGAGGTTGGAGAGAAAAGCTGTTGCTTCAAAGAGGACTTTTTCTGCTTTGATTTGAACCTGTGGATCCTTCTTCCCAGCTTGACTCAGATGTCCTTTCCTCCATCTGCCTAAGTGATTCTTCTACCTTCTAAGGTGGTTCCCATCTTCTGCTCCATGCGGGATGGATTCCAGGCTGCTCAATATGTTGATCTCTAGCTCCATCATCCTGAAAAGTCTGCAGGGTGGGCAAAGCCACCATTTATTATTAAGACTGCTTAGGAGCTTTGAAGTAGGAGCTGCTTTGAAGTAGGAGTGCCTGAGTCACTGTATACTAATGTGATCATCTCTTTGAGGAAATGAAGATGAAGCCCTGAAAATATCTCTTTATCTTTTTGATCTATAGTGTTTTTCCCAACCTTAATGAAGCTAACAAAGATTCATTATTTAATACAAAGGCTATCAGACCTGGTGTGACTCCATCAACAAAGGAATGTGGCTGTAAACCCTATTTGTCAGCAGGTCTGCCCCTTGTCAGAAAGAAGGGAGAGCAATGCAGAAAAGATGACATTTAAGTAAAGAAAGATAATAAAACTTCACAAAGAAAGTCCCAGACTAGACAGGCAAGCAGATGCCACCCTGGGCCACTGGGAGTAGGAGGGCCAGCTGAATCCGATACCAAGGAATAACATCCCCCAAATCAGGCATGAAGTTAAACAGAGCCCTGGTGAGCATACAGTTGTAATGACTCAGTATTCAGAGGTGGAAGGTAAGGAAGGGGCTTGATCCAGTGAGCAGAAGCAGATGAGAAAAATCATGTGGGCAGGTATGATGAAAAGGAATCAGATATAGGATCCTTCCAAAATTGTCTTCCCTAGACACAGATCTGGTCAAATACATCTGTTTAAGAATCTTCAGTGGCTCTTAGTTGAAGATACAATTACATCTAAATGCCTTAGCCAAGCACTCAAATTTCTCCACAGTTTCACTCTTATCAAATTTTCTGGTCCTATAAAGCTGCCTGTGATTTCCTGAACTGACCTCTAATTCTCTCACCTGGATACCTTTCTCAAGCTCTTCCTTCTATTTGAGTAAGGTATTGAGGTGTCTCTCCCTCTGTCCTAAATTCCCATAACACGTTCTTTTCCTACAATTCTTAGCAGTTTCCTTTGTGCAGGTAACAATGGCTTTGTTCCTTCCTCTTGACTACAAACGTACTTATTTAGAGATTGTACCTTTTTTATTATTGTACTCAAAACAACATCTAGCCCAGTACTTTGCATGCTATAAATCCTTAATCTGTACTTGTTGGAAGTCAGCAGAATGGCTTTCAAGCTTACCCAAGACTGAAACAGAGGCGATGCCTGTGGGATCTTCTGGGAGAGTTCCTTTTTTTAAAAAATCTTTTATTATACTTTAAGTTCTAGGGTTCATGTGCACAACGTGCAGGTTTGTTACACATGTATACATGTGCCATGTTGGTGTGCTGCACCCATTAACTCGTCATTTACATTAGGTATATCCTGGGAGAGTTCTTAAAGGGGTCATGCGGGGTGATAGGGGCAGCCAGAGCCTATGACAAAGGCAGGCAGAGGCTTCCTGTTGGTCCCCCTCCAGAGTGGTCATGAAAGTCTCTTTTATTTTATTTTATTTTTTGAGACGGAGTCTCACTCTGTCACCCAGGCTGGAGTGCAGTGGCGCGATCTCGGCTCACTGCAAGCTCCGCCTCCTGGGTTCACGCCATTCTCCTGACTCAGCCTCCTGAGTAGCTGGGACTACAGGCGCCCGTTACCACGCCCGGCTAATTTTTTGTATTTTTAGTAGAGACGGGGTTTCACCGTGTTAGCCAGGATGGTCTCGATCTCCTGACCTCGTGATCCGCCCGCCTCGGCCTCCCAAAGTGCTGGGATTACAGGCGTGAGCCAACGCGCCCAGCCTGAAAGTCTCTTTTAAATTTAATTTTATTTATTACTTTCCTTTTATACCACCACTGAAATGCCTGAAGTTCATGGAAGCCCTTAAGGGCGTATTTCATTAGGGTGACACAGTCATACATGAGTAGAAACTTTATATATTCTGGTCCAGGAAATATGTCCACCTCAGAAGGAGCACTGTCCCTGGGTCTGTCTCTGGACAGAATAGGAATTCAAATGAGGTACAGTTAAAGGCTGAACCCCAAGGGTCTATGAGTTTATAGCTCCACCTGCTGATGTCTGAGGCTGGGGCTTGGGACTAGACAAGGGTGCCTGACCAAGGTATCTGCCTAGGATTCTGACTTGGAGAAGGGAGAGAAGAATCAAAGAGGATCGCTGTGCCCTATGCTGAGAGGGGTGAGGGATGGGAAGAGTTGGTGCAGGACACTCTAGAGGAATTTTTGAGACTTGAGTCATCTCACAACTTTTCAGGCTCCAATGCCATAGAACAGAGCTTCTAGAGTCTTCTAGATCCAACTGGTCTACCCATCTTAGAATTACCCTGACACTCACTGTGGATCTGGAATGAACAAAACTGCATGAATTGGAGGTCAGGAGATTGAGACCATCCTGGCTAACATGGTGAAACCCCATCTCTACTAAACAAAATACAAAAAATTAGCCCGGCGTGGTGGCAGGCGCCTGTAGTCCCAGCTAGTCTGGAGGCTGAGGCAGGAGAACGGTGTGAACCCGGAAGGCGGAGGTTGCAGTGAGCCTAGATCGTGCCATTGCACTCCAGCCTGGGCAACAGAGCAAGACTCCGTCTCAAAAAAAAAAAAAAAAAAAGGGAGGAGCCAAGATGGCCGAATAGGAACAGCTCTGGTCTACAGCTCCCAGCGTGAGCGACACAGAAGACGGGTGATTTCTGCATTTCCATCTGAGGTACAGGGTTCATCTCACTAGGGAGTGCCAGACAGTGGGCGCAGGCCAGTGGGTGCGCGCACCGTGCACGAGCCGAAGCAGGGCAAGGCATTGCCTCACCTGGGAAGCGCAAGGGGTCAGGGAGTTCCCTTTCCGAGTCAAAGAAAGGGGTGACGGACGCACCTGGAAAATCGGGTCACTCCCACCCGAATATTGCGCTTTTCAGACCGGCTTAAAAAACGGCGCACCACGAGATTATATCCCGCACCTGGCTCAGAGGGTCCTACGCCCACGGAGTCTCGCTGATTGCTAGCACAGCAGTCTGAGATCAAACTGCAAGGCGGCAGCGAGGCTGGGGGAGGGGCGCCCGCCATTGCCCAGGCTTGCTTAGGTAAACAAAGCAGCCAGAAAGCTTGAACTGGGTGGAGCCCACCACAGCTCAAGGAGGCCTGCCTGCCTCTGTAGGCTCCACCTCTGGGGGCAGGGCACAGACAAACAAAAAGACAGCAGTAACCTCTGCAGACTTAAATGTCCCTGTCTGACAGCTTTGAAGAGAGCAGTGGTTCTCCCAGCATGCAGCTGGAGATCTGAGAACGGGCAGACTGCCTCCTCAAGTGGGTCCCTGACCCCTGACCCCCAAGCAGCCTAACTGGGAGGCACCCCCCCAACAGGGGCATACTGACACCTCACACAGCAGGGTATTCCAACAGACCTGCAGCTGAGGGTCCTGTCTGTTAGAAGGAAAAATAACAAACAGAAAGGACATCCACACCGAATACCCATCTGTACATCACCATCATCAAAGACGAAAAGTAGATAAAACCACAAAGATGGGGAAAAAACAGAACAGAAAAACTGGAAACTCTAAAACGCAGAGCGCCTCTCCTCCTCCAAAGGAACGCAGTTCCTCACCAGCAACGGAACAAAGCTGGATGGAGAATGATTTTGCCGAGCTGACAGAAGAAGGCTTCAGACGATCAAATTACTCTGAGCTACGGGAGGACATTCAAACCAAAGGCAAAGAAGTTGAAAACTTTGAAAAAAATTTAGAAGAATGTATAACTAGAATAACCAATACAGAGAAGTGCTTAAAGGAGCTGATGGAGCTGAAAACCAAGGCTCGAGAACTATGTGAAGAATGCAGAAGCCTCAGGAGCCGATGCGATCGACTGGAAGAAAGGGTATCAGCAATGGAAGATGAAATGAATGAAATGAAGTGAGAAGGGAAGTTTAGAGAAAAAAGAATAAAAAGAAATGAGCAAAGCCTCCAAGAAATATGGGACTATGTGAAAAGACCAAATTTACGTCCGATTGGTGTACCTGAAAGTGATGGGGAGAATGGAACCAAGTTGGAAAACACTCTGCAGGATATTATCCAGGAGAACTTCCCCAACCTAGCAAGGCAGGCCAACGTTCAGATTCAGGAAATACAGAGAACGCCACAAAGATACTCCTCGAGAAGAGCAACTCCAAGACACATAATTGTCAGATTCACCAAAGTTGAAATGAAGGAAAAAATGTTAAGGGCAGCCAGAGAGAAAGGTCGGGTTACCCTCAAAGGGAAGCCCATCAGACTAACAGCAGATCTCTCGGCAGAAACCCTACAAGCCAGAAGAGAGTGGGGGCCAATATTCAACATTCTTAAAGAAAAGAATTTTCAACCCAGAATTTCATATCCAGCCAAACTAAGCTTCATAAGTGAAGGAGAAATAAAATCCTTTACAGACAAGCAAATGCTGAGAGATTTTGTCACCACCAGGCCTGCCCTAAAAGAGCTCCTGAAGGAAGCGCTAAACATGGAAAGGAACAACCGGTACCAGCCGCTGCAAAATCATGCCAAAATGTAAAGACAATCGAGACTAGGAAGAAACTGCATCAACTAACGAGCAAAATAACCAGCTAACATCATAATGACAGGATCAAATTCACACATAACAATATTAACTTTAAATGTAAATGGACTAAATTCTCCAATTAAAAGACACAGACTGGCAAGTTGGATAAAGAGTCAAGACCCATCAGTGTGCTGTATTCAGGAAACCCATCTCACGTGCAGAGACATACATAGGCTCAAAATAAAAGGATGGAGGAAGATCTACCAAGCAAATGGAAAACAAAAAAAGGCAGGGGTTGCAATCCTAGTCTCTGATAAAACAGACTTTAAACCAACAAAGATCAAAAGAGACAAAGAAGGCCATTACATAATGGTAAAGGGATCAATTCAACAAGAGGAGCTAACTATCCTAAATATATATGCACCCAATACAGGAGCACCCAGATTCATAAAGCAAGTCCTGAGTGACCTACAAAGAGACTTAGACTCCCACACATTAATAATGGGAGACTTTAACACCTCACTGTCAACATTAGACAGATCAACGAGACAGAAAGTCAACAAGGATACCCAGGAATTGAACTCAGCTCTGCACCAAGCAGATCTAATTGACATCTACAGAACTCTCCACCCCAAATCAACAGAATATACATTTTTTTCAGCACCACACCACACCTATTCCAAAATTGACCACATAGTTGGAAGTAAAGCTCTCCTCAGCAAATGTAAAAGAACAGAAATTATAACAAACTATCTCTCAGACCACAGTGCAATCAAACTACAACTCAGGATTAAGAATCTCACTCAAAGCCGCTCAACTACATGGAAACTGAACAACCTGCTCCTGAATGACAACTGGGTACATAACGAAATGAAGGCAGAAATAAAGATGTTCTTTGAAACCAACGAGAACAAAGACACAACATACCAGAATCTCTGGGACACATTCAAAGCAGTGTGTAGAGGGAAATTTAGAGCACTAAATGCCCACAAGAGAAAGCAGGAAAGATCCAAAATTGACACCCTAACATCACAATTAAAAGAACTAGAAAAGCAAGAGCAAACACATTCAAAAGCTAGCAGAAGGCAAGAAATAACTAAAATCAGAGCAGAACTGAAGGAAATAGAGACACAAAAAACCCTTCAAAGAATTAATGAATCCAGGAGCTGGTTTTTTGAAAGGATCAACAAAATTGATAGACCACTAGCAAGACTAATAAAGAAAAAAAGAGAGAAGAATCAAATAGACACAATAAAAAATGATAAAGGGGATATCACCACCGATCCCACAGAAATACAAACTACCATCAGAGAATACTACAAACACCTCTACGCAAATAAACTAGAAAATCTAGAAGAAATGGATACATTCCTCGACACATACACTCTCCCAAGATTAAACCAGGAAGAAGTTGAATCTCTGAATAGACCAATAACAGGAGCTGAAATTGTGGCAATAATCAATAGTTTACCAACCAAAAAGAGTCCAGGACCAGATGGATTCACAGCCGAATTCTACCAGAGGTACAAGGAGGAACTGGTACCATTCCTTCTGAAACTATTCCAATCAATAGAAAAAGAGGGAATCCTCCCTAACTCATTTTATGAGGCCAGCATCATTCTGATACCAAAGCCGGGCAGGGACACAACCAAAAAAGAGAATTTTAGACCAATATCCTTGATGAACATTGATGCAAAAATCCTCAATAAAATACTGGCAAACCGAATCCAGCAGCACATCAAAAAGCTTATCCACCATGATCAAGTGGGCTTCATCCCTGGGATGCAAGGCTGGTTCAATATATGCAAATCAATAAATGTAATCCAGCATATAAACAGAGCCAAAGACAAAAACCACATGATTATCTCAATAGATGCAGAAAAAGCCTTTGACAAAATTCAACAACCCTTCATGCTAAAAACTCTCAATAAATTAGGTATTGATGGGACGTATTTCAAAATAATAAGAGCTATCTATGACAGACCCACAGCCAATATCATACTGAATGGGCAAAAACTGGAAGCATTCCCTTTGAAAACTGGCACAAGACAGGGATGCCCTCTCTCACCGCTCCTATTCAACATAGTGTTGGAAGTTCTGGCCAGGGCAATCAGGCAGGAGAAGGAAATAAAGGGTATTCAATTAGGAAAAGAGGAAGTCAAATTGTCCCTGTTTGCAGACAACATGATTGTTTATCTAGAAAACCCCATCGTCTCAGCCCAAAATCTCCTTAAGCTGATAAGCAACTTCAGCAAACTCTCAGGATACAAAATCAATGTACAAAAATCACAAGCATTCTTATAGACCAACAACAGACAAACAGAGAGCCAAATCATGAGTGAACTCCCATTCACAATTGCTTCAAAGAGAATAAAATACCTAGGAATCCAACTTACAAGGGATGTGAAGGACCTCTTCAAGGAGAACTACAAGCCACTGCTCAAGGAAATAAAAGAGGATACAAACAAATGGAAGAACATTCCATGCTCATGGGTAGGAAGAATCAATATCGTGAAAATGGCCATACTGCCCAAGGTAATTTACAGATTCAATGCCGTCCCCATCAAGCTACCAATGACTTTCTTCACAGAATTGGAAAAAACTACTTTAAAGTTCATATGGAACCAAAAAAGAGCCCGCATCGCCAAGTCAATCCTAAGCCAAAAGAACAAAGCTGGAGGCATCACACTACCTGCCTTCAAACTATACTACAAGGCTACAGTAACCAAAACAGCATGGTACTGGTACCAAAACAGAGATATAGATCAATGGAACAGAACAGAGCCCTCAGAAATAACGCCACATACCTACAACTATCTGATCTTTGACAAACCTGAGAAAAACAAGCAATGGGGAAAGGATTCCCTATTTAATAAATGGTGCTGGGAAAACTGGATAGCCATATGTAGAAAGCTGAAACTGGATCCCTTCCTTACACCTTATACAAAAATCAATTCAAGATGGATTAAAGATTTAAACGTTAGACCTAAAACCATAAAAACCCTAGAAGAAAACCTAGGCATTACCATTCAGGACATAGGCGTGGGCAAGGACTTCATGTCCAAAACACCAAAAGCAATGGCAACAAAAGCCAAAATTGACAAATGGGATCTAATTAAACTAAAGAGCTTCTGCACAGCAAAAGAAACTACCATCAGAGTGAATAGGCAACCTACAACATGGGAGAAAATTTTCGCAACCTACTCATCTGACAAAGGGCTAATATCCAGAATCTACAATGAACTCAAACAAATTTACAAGAAAAAAACAAACAACCCCATCAAAAAGTGGGCGAAGGACATGAACAGACACTTCTCAAAAGAAGACATTTATGCAGCCAAAAAACACATGAAAAAATGCTCATCATCACTGGCCATCAGAGAAATGCAAATCAAAACCACTATGAGATATCATCTCACACCAGTTAGAATGGCAATCATTAAAAAGTCAGGAAACAACAGGTGCTGGAGAGGATGTGGAGAAATAGGAACACTTTTACACTGTTGGTGGGACTGTAAACTAGTTCAACCATTGTGGAAGTCAGTGTGGCGATTCCTCAGTGATCTAGAACTAGAAATACCATTTGACCCAGCCATCCCATTACTGGGTATATACCCAAAGGACTATAAATCATGCTGCTATAAAGACACATGCACACATATGTTTATTGCGGCATTATTCACAATAGCAAAGACTTGGAACCAACCCAAATGTCCAACAATGATAGACTGGATTAAGAAAATGTGGCACATATACACCATGGAATACTATGCAGCCATACAAAATGATGAGTTCATGTCCTTTGTAGGGACATGGATGAAATTGGAAACCATCATTCTCAGTAAACTATCGCGAGAACAAAAAATCAAACACCGCATATTCTCACTCATAGGTGGGAATTGAACAATGAGATCACATGGACACAGGAAGGGGAATATCACACTTTGGGGACTGTGGTGGGGTGGGGGGAGGGGGTAGGGATAGCATTGGGAGATATACCTAATGCTAGATGACGAGTTAGTGGGTGCAGCGCACCAGCATGGCACATGTATACATATGTAACTAACCTGCACATTGTGCACATGTACCCTAAAACTTAAAGTATAATAAAAAAAAAAAAAAAAAACTGCATGAATTGCTCATTCTGGCCCAGAGTGGGTGGATTGAATACTCTGTTAGACATTAATTCCTTTGGGAAAGGCTGGGATAGGTTTCCTTTGGAAAGGATTGGGAAAGAAAAGAAAAACAGAAAAAATTATTAGGGCCACAGAAAAGTAGAACAGAGAAGTGCTCCATGATACCTGACACGTGCTTAACACATTTTTTAAATAAATTATATGAATGATTGAATTCTTGGAACTGAGTAAAAGAATAGAAAGTACAATAAAATAAAAACAGAAAAAATGAAAAGAAATAGTCTTACGATGATGAAAACAAGTAGGAGTTGATTAGAGGGGAAAAAGTCAATAGCCAAATTTAAGAGATTAGAGGAACAAACAACTCTCAGACAGACTTCCTCCTGTGGTTACCTGAAGCTCCAGACTCATGTACCAGTCCCAAGTACACAAGAAAGAGATCCTTCACAAGTCCCTGGATTTTCTCAGATTTAACCAACGAGACACTCTGTGGCTGTCCCTGAACTAATCATGGTGGCCCAGGGTAGGCTGGCTGGGGGATGAATGATATCAATTGGCCAGGTCTGGATCACAAGTCCTGCCCTAACAACAGCTTATTAGAGAAATTTGGCGTGCTTATAGGCTAGGCTGAGGCACTTGCTCCATTAGTGGGGCTGGGGGATGGAACCCCATCCGAAGCACAGAGAATGAGAGTGGGACAGGTGTGCTCTCCCACTCTGGGCACACTCCTCACTCCTCAAAGAGTGGAGTGTGTGTGCCGAGTTGCCAAAACTTAAAAATGTCTTCTACATCAACTTTTTCTATTTTTTTTTTCTTGAGTAACTCTTCATTGTTCGAGAGTATACTGAAGCATTACTTCCTTAAGGAAACTTCCCCTGACTTATCTTTGACTCCAGATTAGATGCCCCAGAACATAATGTGTGTTCTCATAACTCTCCCTTCCAGAATAGGGGCTCCTTCAAGGCAGGGGCTTTGTCTTTTTTCCTCCATATCCCTGGTACTGATGGCAGGGCTTGGTATAATTAATATTTGTTGGATAACTGAGAGAGAATAAATGCACGGACACTTGCAGGAGTGTGTCTCAGAGTAAGATGTGGCCTCTTACCCCCAAAAGGGACACAGCTACATTGGGATGGCTGCACCCAGGAGTGGTGGAGCTTTTGCTCAAGCAGAAGCCAGTATTTATGGAGCTGGAGCTAGGATGGGAGCTCCAAGCCAAGCAAATAGACCGAGAATGGGGAAGGGGGCTTCACCTCTCCAGGAGAAGATTGTCAGGCACCTCCCAAGTGGTGCTATTGTTTCAGGCTTCCAGACACCAGGGACTGAGTCTGCCCTACGTCTAGGTCCCCAGGAAGGCATCTGGTCATCTCAAGTCTTAGAATTCTGTTTTTCTCATGTCCACCCCTTTTCTTCTATTGCACCACCCACTTCTGGTCTCATAACAGTGTCTCTGCCCCTCAACTTTGCTCTGCCTTTTCCTCAACTCCTTTAAAACTTGCACACCACTGCCATAGAAGGGTCCTTGAACACATGATTATTATGTCACCCATTTTGTGAAAAACCTCAGTGAGTCTCAGTGCTTCCAAGATAAATTTTAAATTCTCCAACCCGGAATTAAACTTGTCAGTCTATCTCCGGAACTTACCTGCATCCTTATCTCTCACTCCTCACTTCCTAGACCTGTGCACCAGCCTATAACCTGCACTTCCCATTCCATCTGCACTGCTTCCTCCTCACTGTACATCAGTTGTCCCACTTAGTGTCCTCACTTTTCCCTTTTGTTATCCAATCCTACTTCTCCTTAATTCTTGCAATTGTCTGACCTCTTGTAACCACAGCAATCTTTTCATTCTCCAAACCTTTTTTTTTTTTTTTTTGAGACAGGATCTTGCTCTGTCATCCAGGCTAGAGTGCAGTGGTGCGATCTTGGCTCACCAGAGCCTTAACTTCCCAGGCTCAAGTGATCCTCCCACCTTAGCCTCCCAAAGTGGGATTACAGGCATGAGCCACTATGCCTGGCTATTTTTTTTAAGACGGAATCTTGATCTGTCACCCAGGCTGGCATGATCATGGCTCACTGCAGCCTTGATTTCCCAGGCTTGAGTGATCCTCCTGCCTCAGCATATCAGGTAGCTAGGACTACAGGCGGCCCACCACCATGCTCGGCTTTTTTGTTTGTTTGTTTGCAGAAACAGGGTCTCACTATGTTGCCCAGGCTGGTCTCAAACTCCTAGGCTCAAGAGATCTGCCTGCCTTGGCCTCCCATTGCTGGGATTACAGGTGTGGACCACTATGCCTGGCCTCCCTGAACTATTACGTTCCTAGAAATGTTGAGCCTGTATCTGTTGTATCAATCATTCACTTGACACTTAATTATCTAAGCCCATTATTTGATTACAAACTTTTGTACACCATCTAGTCACAGGCTGAGAATGCAGTAAATGTGCAATGAGTGTTAGTTAAATGAAAAAGCAAAGGGGAACATGTTGAGTGGAAAGGGGCAAATTTGTAGTGTGGCTTTAGAGTTCTTTGGATTTGTTTTAGTTTGATTGTGAATACTGCTTGTGCCCTTTGGCTTGCCACTTCATTGCTGAATCTCATTTCCACATTAGTAAATTGAGGATAATCTTCCGAGCCCTACAGAGGTTGCAGCTTATAGTGAACACCAAATGAGAGGTCATACATGCAATACTTTATAAACTCCTAGTGGTAAGCTATTAGGTCTTCTCTTTTCATTTCAATTAAAAATGTTTTTCTTCTTACTTTTAGACTTGCAACCTTATTTCTCGAAAGAGGGCCCAACAGGATAGGCAGTATTTACAAAAAGGCTGTTTACAGACGCTTCACGGATGGAACCTACTCCATAGAGATCCCCAAACCTCCCTGGCTTGGATTCCTGGGCCCCATCTTGAGGGCCGAAGTGGGTGATGTGATTGTCATTCATTTAAAGAACTTTGCTTCTCGACCTTACTCTCTGCATCCACATGGCGTTTTCTACAACAAAGATTCAGAAGGTAAATATCAATCCTTTATTACTGGGGTCTTGTCTCTATTTCATAAGTAAGGTAACTGTCAGAGTTAAAGAGATTTTAGGAGCACATTGATTACATGGATATATTTATCTTCTCTCTGTCTGCTTCTCCATCCATCTCCATCTATCTATTCTGTCTCTCTCTTCCCTTTCTTGCTTTTTTTTTTTTTTTTTTTTTGAGAGGTAGTCTCACTCTGTTGCCCAGGCTGGAATGCAGTGGCATGATATCAGCTCACTGCAACCTCCGTCTCCCTGGTTCAGGATATTCTCCTGCCTCAGCCTCTCTAGTGCTGGGATTACAGATGTGCACCATCACGCCCAGCTAATTTTTTGTATTTTTAGTAGAGAAAATATGGTTTCACCACGTTGGCCAAGCTGGTCTCAACCTCCTGACCTCAAATGATCCGCCCGCCTCAGCCTCTCAAAGTGCTGGGATTACAGGCGTGAGCCACCATGCCCGGCTCCCCTTCATGCTTTTTCTTTCCCTTATTTCCTACCTCTCCTCTTTCTTGCTCTTCTTTATGTTGACACAGAACTCCTCAGTACCTGCTCCACCACGCACCAGGAACACACTAGCTTTCTTCCTTGTCACTTAGTTGTGCCTGATTTGCACACTAGATAAAGGGCAACATGCTCCTATCTCCGGTAGCAGCCTTGGCTGTGGGTACATTTTTATCAACAGAAGCTGATCCCCACTCCTTGCTTCAGGCGGCTGTTTTTGGTGCTGCCTTTGTGAAGCAGCCCTGTCTTCCTTCTTGTGTGTATGTTAGGAGTTTCATTAGGGCAGTTTCTGGATTCCTCCCTAATTGAAAAATATTAAACAACTTTCTTAGACTTTTGAGACAGAAGTATTTCTCCAACATCAAAAATATTTTTTTTGAATCCTGTATTTCATTCTTGCTCATGACCTGGTGGAATAGGTTGAAAGGTGCTGTACCTGCTAGGTGACTGCTTCTAGGAAATGTGCCAGCACAGTGCCATTAACTCTGATGCAACTCACATTATCATCAAGGAGGAGTTTCTGGGCATTAACAAATATCCCAAGGCAGCCTAACTTGTGAGGCAGCTGCTCCAGCCATGTCTCTATAAGCAGCGAGAGGAGAGAACTCTGATGGTGAACACACAACTGGGATTGCCCTTTGTTCTGGGCTCTTTTCCTCCACCTGGAGTGCAGCCAAGATTTGGTAGTTCTTAGTTGTTGAGGATGAGCACAAAAATTGTGCCAGGTAAACTTTAAGGTGTAACTATGAATGCATTTTCTTTAATATAGTTTTTTTAACTTTTATTTTAAGTTCAGGGATATAAGTGCAGGTTCGTTACATAGGTAAACTTGTGTCATGGGGATTTGTTGTAAAGATTATTTCATCACCCAGGAATTAAGCCTAGTCCCCATTAGTTATTTTTCCTGATCCTCTCCCTCCTCCAACCCTCCACCCTCTGCTAGGCCCCAGTGTGTGTTGTTCCCCTCTATGTTTCCATGTGTTCTCATAATTTAGCTCCCACTTATAAGTGAGAATATGCGATATTTGGTTTTCTCTTCCTGTGTTAGTTTGCTAAGGATAATGGCCTCCAGCTTTATCCATGTCCCTGCAAAGGACATCATCTCATTCTTCTTATGGCTGCATAGTATTCCAAGGTGTATATGCATGTCATTTTCTTTATCCAGTTTATCACTGATGGGAGTTCAGGTTGACTCCATGTGTCTTATTTATGCTGCACGTAGCAAGTAAAGATGTACCAAGATAGTTGTGCCTGCCTTTTCAAATATGGAGAAAATAGGGGCATTTTTAAGTGTAATTTTTGTCTTCAATCCTCCATCTGTTTCTGGAAAGCATACCTTAATAGAGTTAATGGTGTCCTGAAAAATCATTTAGGCCAGTGATTCTAAAGCTTTATAGGGCTACAAATTCTTTTTTCAAAAAAATTGTGGTAAAACATATGAACATAAAATTTACCATTTTAACCATTTTCAAGTGTTCAATTCGGTGGCATTAATTACATCCACAAGGTTGTACAATCATCACCATTATCTATTTCCACAACCTTTTCATCATCCCAAACCGAAACTATATAGCCATTAATCAATACCTCTCCATTCCTCCCTTTTGCTGCCCCACTGGTAACTTCTATTCTATTTTCTATGTCTATGAATGTGCCTTTTGTGTCTGGCTTATTTCACTTAGCATAATATTTTCAATGCTTATGTATATTTTAGTATGCATCATAATGTAATTCCTTTTAAGGCTGAATACTATTCAATTGCATGTATATACCACACTTTGTTTATCCGTTCATCTGTTGATGAATGCTTTGGTTGTTTCCACATCTTGGCTATTGTGAATAATACTGCTATAAACATTGGTGCACCACAGATCTTTCTGAGCATCTGTGAGAGCCATGAGCCCTTGCACCAGAAAAATATGTATGTGCATAATTTTTTTTTGAGATGGGGTCTCGCTCTGTCACTCAGGCTGGAGTGCAGTAGTACAGTCATGGTTCATTGCAGCCTTGAACTCCTGTGCTCAAGTGATCCTCCTGCCTCACCCTCCCAAGTAGCTGGGACCACAGGCATCTGCCACTACACCTGGCTAATTTTTAAAATTTTTTCATAGAGATAGGATCTTGCTGTGTTGTCCTGGCTGGCCTCAAACTCCTGGCCTCAAGCAGTCCTCCTTCCTTGGCCTCTCAAAGTGCAGGGATAACAGTAATGAGCCACTGTGCCCAGCCTGTGGACAAAATTTTGAACCCACTTTTAAGAGGTTCTCAGAGTCCCTGAAAACATTCATAGGTCCTTAAATTAAGAACATTTCAAATGTTGTTTACCCAGGAAACCTTCTCTCTATCCTGTCTGCAGGACTGTCCCATTTCAGAAGTGTGTTGGTTTATCTCATAACACTTAATACTGGCTGGACATGGTGGCTCATGCCTATAATCCCAGCACTTTGGGAGGCCGAGGTGGGTGGATCACCTGAGGTCGGGCATTTGAGACCAGCCTGGCCAACAGGCGAAACCCCATCTCTACTAAAAATACAAAAAATTAGCCAGGAGTTGTGGCACATGCCTATAACCCCAGCTACTTGGGAGGCTGAGGCAGGATAGTCGCTTGAACCTGGGAGGTGGAGGCTGCAGTGAGCCGAGATCATGCCATTGCACTCCAGCCTGGGCAACAGAGCAAGACTCCATCTCAAAAGAAACAAAAAAAAACAAAACAAAAACAAAAACAAACCACACTTAATACTGGTATAGTAGACATACAAATGGCCAACAGGTATATTAAAAAAATGCTCAACATCACTAATCATTGGGGAAATGCAAATCAGAACTACAATGAGATCTCATCTTACCCCAGCTAAAATGGCTATTATCAAAAAGACAAAAAGTACCCCCTCCAAACCCAAAAAACAAAAACAACCAGATACTGGCAAAGACACAAAGAAAAGAGAATACTTATACACTCTTGGTGGCAATGTAAATTAGTACAGCCACTACGGAAAACAGTATGGAGATTCTTCAAAAAATGAAAACTAGAACTCCCATATGACCCAGCAGTCCCACTACTGGGCATTTATCCAAAGGAATAAACCTTTCATTGAGCACCCACCAGGTGCCAGACACTGACTCCCAGGTGCCAGACATTGACTCTGGGTCCTGAGAATAAAAGATGAATGAATCATAGGATGTAGTAAAAAAAAAAAAAAAATCAATGACCATAAGTATAAGGAGTTAATTTCAGTGCTCTTAATTCTGCTCCATTGATCTATATACTTATCCTTGGACCAATGCCACAGTGTCTTGATTACTGTGAAATTCTAGTAAGTTTTGAAATGGAGTCACATAAATCCTTCAACTTTGTTATTCTTTTCAAGGCTTTTTGGCTATTTAGGTTCTTTCCCTCCATATATATATTTGATCAGCTTATTAATTTTTACCAAAAAACATCAGCTAGGATTTTGATAGCAGTCGCTTTGCGTTAATTTGGTTGATAAATTGTAGGAAAATTCCATGTGCATTTAAAAACAAATGGCCATCTTACCAACATTGAGTCTTTCAATCCATGAACATGGAATTTAGGTCTTTAATTTCTCTCAGTAATGTTTTAGTTTTTAGTATACAAGATTTGCATTTCTTTTGTTAAATTTATTCCAAAGTATTTTATTTTTTCTGTTGATGTTATGAATGGAATAGTTTTCTTAATTTCATTTTTGGATTGTTTGGTGCTAGTGCATAGAAAGAATTAATTTTTGTATGTTGAAGTTATATTCTACTTCCTTGCTAAACTTGTTTGTTAGTAGATGTTTAGTGGATTTCTTGGAATTTTCTACATACGGACTTAAGCCATTGTGAATGAAGAGAGTTTTAATTCTTCCTTACCAGTCTGTATACCTTTACGTTTTTTCTTTTGACTTATTACACAGCTATAACCTTTAGGAAAATATGTAATATTAGTAGTGAGACCAGATATTCTTACCTTTTTCCCAATCTTAGGAAGAAAGCATTTTGTCTTCCTCCGTTAGGCATGAGGCTAGCTGTACATTTTTTTCTAGATGGCTTTTTATCAGATTGAGAAAGTTTCTTTCTTTTTTTTAATTTTGAATTTTTGTGGGAACATAGTAGATGTATATGTTTATGGGTTGCATGAGATATTTTGATACAAGCATGCAATGCATAATAATAACATCATAGTACATGGAGTATCCATCACCTCAAGCATTTATCCTTTGTGTTTCAGACAATCCAATTATACTCTTTTCGTTATTCTAAAATGCACAATTAAATTATTTTTGACTATTGTCACCCTGTTGTGCTAGCAAATAATAGGTCTTATTAATTCTTTCTAACTATTTTTTTGTATCCATTAATCATCCCCACTTCCTCCCACCTTTCCACTACCCTTCCTGGCTTCTGGTATCCATCCTTCTATTCTGTATGAGTTCAATTGTTTTAATTTTTAGTTCCCACAAACAAGTGAGAACATGTGAAGTTTGTCTTTCTGTGCCTGGCTTATTTCACTTAACATAATGACCTCCGGTTCAATCCACATTGTTGCAAATTCTTTCTTGTGGCTGAATAGTACTCCATTGTGTATATGTACCACATCTTTATCCATTTGGCTGCTTATTGACACAGTTTGCTTCCAAACCTTGGCTACTGTGAATAGTGCTGCAATAAACATGGGAGTACAGATATCTGATTTCCTTTTTGGGGGGTACATTAAAATGGGGTATGTACCCATACCAGTGGGATTTCTGGATCACATGATAGCTCTGTTTTTAGTTTTCTGTGGAAATTTCAAACTGCTCTCCCTAGTGGTTGTACTAATTTACATTCCCACCAACAATGTACAAGGGTTCCATTTTCTCCACATCCTCACTAGCATTTTTTATTGCCTGTCTGTTGAATAAAAGTCATTTTAACTGGGTTGGGAGAATATCATGTTGTAGTTTTGATTTATATTTCTCTGATGACCAATAATGTTAAGCACCTTTTCATACACCTGTTTACCATTTGTATGTCTTCTTTTGAGAAATAGCTATTCAGGTCTTTTGCCCATTTTTTAATCTGGTAATTAGATTTTTTCCTATAGTGTTCCTTATATATTCTGGTTATTAATCCCAGATAGGTAGTTTGCAAATATTTTCTCCCATTCTATGGATTGTCTCTTCACTTTGTTGATTGTTTCCTTTGCTGTGTAGAAGTGTTTTAACTTAATGTGATCCCATTTGTCCACTTGTGCCTTGGTTGCCTGGCTTGTGGGGTATTACTCAAGAAATCTTTGCCCAGACTAATGTCCTGGAGAGTTTGCCCAGTATTTTCTTGTAGCAGTTTTATAGTTTAAGGTCTTAAAGTTTTTAATCCATTTTGATTTGATTTGATTTTTGTCTATGGTGAGAGATAGGAGTCTAGTTTTATTCTTCTGCATATGGGTATCCAGTTTTCCCAGTACCATTTATTGAAGAGACTGTCTTTTCCCCAGTGTGTGTTCTTGGCACCTTTGTCAAAAGTTAGTTCACTGTAGATGTATGGATTTATTTCCAGGTTCTCTATTCTGTTCCATTTGTCTGTGTGTCTGTTTTTATGCCAGTACCATGCCATTTGGGTTACTATAGCTCTGTAGTATAATTTGAAGTCAGGTAATGTGATTCCTCCAGTTTTGTCCTTTTTACTTAGGATGGCTTTGGCTATTCTGGTTTTTTTGTGGTTCCATATAATTTTAGGAATGTTTTTTCAATCTCTGTGAAGACTGTCATTGGTATTTTGATAGGGATTGCTTTGGGCAGTATGAACATTTTAACAATATTGATTCTTCCAATCCATGAACATGAAATGTTTTTCCATTTTTTTGTCCTCTTCAATTTCTTTCATCAGTGTTTTATAGTTTTCATTATAAAGATCCTTCATTTCCTTAGTTACGTTAACTTCTAGGTATTTAATTTTATTTGTAGCTACTGTAAATGGGATTACTTTCTTGATTTCTTTTTCAGATTATTCACTGTTGGCATATCGAAATGCTACTGATTTTGTATGTTGATTTTGTATCCTGCAACTTTACTAAATTTGTAAGTTATAATAGTTTTTGGTGGAGCCGTTAGGTTTTTCCAAATGTAAGATTATATCATCTGCAAATAAGGATAATCTGACTTTTTCCTTTCCAGTTTGGATGTCCTTATTTCTTCCTCTTGTCTGATTGTTTTAGCTGGGACTGGAGGAAATTCCTTTGTATTCCTAGTTTGTTGAGAGTTTTTCACTAAGTAAGTACTGGATTTTTTTCAATACTTTTCTGTATCCATTGAGATGGTCATGTGGCTTTTCTATATCTATTGAGATATATTGATATATATTGCATTAACTAATTTTTGGATGTTAAGCCAACCTGGCAATCATGGGATAAATCCCATTTGGCCATGGCATAGAATCCTTTTTATATGCTGATGGATGCAATTTGCTAATATTTTGTTAAGAATTTTTGTGTCTAAGTCATGAAGGATATTGGTCTGTAGTTTTCTTGTGATGTTTGTATCTGATTTTGTTGTCAAGGTAATACTTGCCTCATAGAAGGAATTGGAAAGTCTCCACTCTTCTGTTTTCTGAAAGATTTTGTAAAGGATTGGCATGGATTTTTTTTTTAGTATTTGTTAGAATTTTTATATAAAACCACTGGACCTGAATTTACTTTCAGGGAGGATCTTTAGTTACTAATTCAATTTCTTGTTATAGGTATATTCCAATTTTTTATTTTTATATTTTAGTCAGTTTTGGTAACTTGTGTCTTCCTAGAAATTCGTGTGTTTCATCTCAGTTGTCTATTATTTTGGCAGAAAGTTGCCTATAATATTTCCTTATAATCCTTTTAATTTCTGTATGGTCAGTGATGTTGCCTCTTTCATTCCTGACTTTGGCAATTAGTGTTCTCTTTCTCTCTTGGCCAGTCTAAATGAAGTTGTCTCAATTTTGTTGATCTTTTCTAAGTACCAACTTTTGGTTTCATCTATTTTGTATTTTTTTTCTGTTTTCTCTTTCACTGATTTCTGTTCCAATCTTTATTTCTTCTTTCTACTTGCTTTGGGTTTGTTTTTCTCTTCCTTTTCTAGTTTCTTAAGATGAAAGCTTAGGTTATTGATTTGAGAGTTTTTTTTAACTTCTGAGATAGATGACTTAAAATCTAAATTTCCTTTTTAAGCATGGCTTTACCTGTATCTCATAAATTTTGATATTTTTGTCTTCATTTTAATTCAGTTCAAAATATTTTACAATTTCCCTTGTGATTTCTTCTTTGACCTGTGGGTTACTTAGAAGTGTATCATTTTATTTCCAAATATTTAGATGATTTCAAAGATTTCTTTCTGTAGATATTTAATTTAATTCCATTGTGATTGAAAAATATGCTTTGTATGATAGTAATCCTTTTCAATGTATTGAAACTTATTTTATGCCTAGTATGTGCTCCATTCTGGAGAATCATCCATGTGCTCTGTAAAGAGGGTATATTCTACAGTTATTGGGTGCAATGTTCCAGAGACATCATTTAGGTATAATTGGTTCATAGTATTGTTCAAGTCTCCTATATCCTTGCTGATTTTCTGTTTAGGTGTTCTATCAGTTATTGAGAGTTGAGTATTGAAATCTTCAACAATTATTGTTGAGTTGTCTATTTGTTCTTTTTTTGGGGAAGGTCTGAGTGTCATTTATTAACAACAGTTTATACAGATCTATTTTCAAAGCACAGGCACAGAGCCCTGGAGAAGAGCAGTCTCTGAACAAGGAAGCCAGGAACACAGGATGTACACATCTTTGGCAGGCATGTTTAGCCCCAGAAGGATTCAATACTTCAAGTTGGAATTCCATTGGATATTTGAGAGGGACCAAAATTGAGGGTAGAAAGAAGTCTTCAACAGGACTCAGATCTCAGTCTAGGGCTCCTCTTGCACTATCTAAGTCCATCCGGGTATTAGGACCCTGGGGGGCAACAATCAGGCCTACCCATTTCAACAGAAGCAGATTCTTCAATCTACACTCAGTTAGTTCACACTTGTTTCCACTGGTCACACAGTTAAAGAGAATCAGCCTTATAGTAAGAGACAGACCACTTTCTCTCTGACCCTCTCCAGCACCTCTCTTCAGCTTCATCTGTGCAGGAACTGCTGGGAAAATTGAGGCCTACCTTTTCAATTCAGCTGCATGTGCTTTTACCCTCAAATCTTCAATCAACGATAGGATGGAGGCTACATGTGTACTCAGGCTGACAACTGTTCTTCCCAGTCCATCACACACATTGCCCTACCTTAGTTCTGCCAATTGCAGTACCTAGGCTGGAGCTACAGTAGACCTCAAATTGGGACCTAAAGCCAGTCTGCATAGGCACTTGGGAATTTTTCGTAGGGGAGTAGATAAAAAAGTCTTTGAATATGCGAAGAAAGAAAGA
Source organism: Homo sapiens (assembly GCF_000001405.40). Taxonomy (NCBI): domain Eukaryota; kingdom Metazoa; phylum Chordata; class Mammalia; order Primates; family Hominidae; genus Homo; species Homo sapiens. The sequence continues at coordinate 94,054,855 of NC_000011.10, forward strand.
GCTTCATTTGATAATTAGACATCTGAAGTGATTTTACTTTTATTTTCTTCACTTTAAGCCAATCATGAAATTTCACAGTGATTTCTCAGGTAGGAGCAGAAGGAAGACACTGTTACTCATTGGGGCTGTGGCCCAGTTGGCTTGAGGAAGTACAGGCAGGGTGGGTCCTTACTGGGGCAGCTGGAGGGGCACAGACTGCTCTGCCGGAAGGTAGGTGATGATATGAGAGCATAAGAACTGGTATGTAATATCATCTGCAGCTTCCAGCTTGTGTAGCTCAATCTGGCCATCACCTGTGGTGGCCAGTGAATTGGCACTCAGCTCAGCTGCCTTGGAGACTCCCTTGGCAGAGATGATGGCCACCTTTTTCTGCTGCTCAGATTTTCCACCATGAATCTGGCCCTCTCTGATTCCTGTTGAGCCACCTGTTTCACTCCCACCACTTCTGTGAACTCCTTCCCAAAGGTCAGATGTGTCAAGGACACATCATCCAAGATGAGCTCAAAGGTGGCTACTTAGTCTGCAAGGTCGTTGCTAACCTGCCTGGAGACCAGCTCTCTCTGGGTGATCAGTTCTCCATCATCAAAGTAAGCCATCAGTAACATGAGGATCTTTTCACATCATCCAGGATGAGCTCAAAGGTGGCTGCTTGCTCCGTAAGGTCGTTGTTAACCGGCTTGGAGACCAGCTCTCTCTGGGTGATCAGTTCTCCAGTATCAAAGTAAGCAATCGGTAACATGAGGATCTCTTAGTGATGTACAGCAGCACACGCTCATCATAGTCCTTTCCAATGCTGGTGAAGATGTGAGGAAGCTGGCTAGTGACAGGCTGGAAGACAATGCACTCTGTGATCTTGACATTCTGTAAATCTTCACTACCAGTGATGACTGGTGTGTTATGTGATCAAGAGTAGCAGTCAACGATAATTGGTTTCTGTACCCATAGGATGAGAAAATGAGTTCCTTTCCATACTGCAATGTCCTGTACTCCATGGAATCTGCCAAAGATTTAGCTCTGTGCTCAGCATCCACATAATATAAGGCAGAGCCTACCGTGCCTCCTGTAACAGCTAAGGCCAGGCCAAACTTGCCAGTGGACTCTAACACTTTGGCAGCCATGTTTCCTTCTGCTGGACCCTTTCGCAGCCAGCTTCCATTCTCTGTTCTTTAAATTAAGTCAGTTTTTCCTTCCTGTATTTTGATGCATTTTTGTTAGATATGAATACATTTATAATGTTATATTTTCCTGATATATTGACCCTTTTATCGCGACAAAATATCTTTGTCTCTAATAGCATTTCTTGTCTTAAAATCTATTTTGTCTGTTATTGATATAGCCTCTTACTTTTGCTATTTGAATTATTTTACTTTCAACTTATTTGTGTCTTTCAATGTAAGACACAATACAAACAGCATATAATAGAATTTTGCTTTTTTTCCCCCAGTTTGACAATCTCTACATTTTGATTGTGGTGTTAGACCATTCACAGTTAATGTAATTATTTATTAGTTTGATTTATATTTGTCATTTTGCTAATTATTTTCTATATGTCTTCTGTATTTTTTGTTCCTCTGGTCCTCTTTTACTGCCTTCTTTTGTGTTAAACAAATATTTCTTAGAATAATGTTTTAATTTCTGTTTATTTTTTAGCCTATATATCATTGAGTTATTTTCTTATTGGTTTGCCTCGGGATTGTAATATGCACCCTAGTTTATTACATTTACCAACTAAATTCTGGTAAAATGTAGAAGCTTTGCTCCATAAAGCTCCATTCTCTCCCCCTCCTTTGTGCTATTATTGATTATCTATCTATCTATCTATCTATCTATCTATCTATCTATCTATCTATCTATAATGCCCTTCTCTAAATAAACCCAGCAATACGTTGTTATATACTTGGTGCTTTATATTACTTTATGACTTTTAAAAAATAAAATAAAGGAAAATATATTTATAGAACCTTTTATATTAAGTCATATATTTCCCATTTCTGGTGCTTTTCATTTCTTCCTGTGAATTCAAGTTACTCTTTGGTGTCATTTCCATTTATTATGAAGTTTGATTGTCCTTTAGTATTCCTTGTAAGGCAGTTCTGCTAGTAACAAACTCACTCAGTCTTTATTTATCTAGAACATCTTGCCTTTAGTTTTGAGGGATCGTTTTGCTGGATATAGCATTCTTGGCTAATATTTCCTCCCTGGCACTTTAGGTATATCATCTCATTGTCTTCTGGGTTCGAATGTTCAGATAAGAAGTCAACCATTAATCATATTGATGCTCCCTTGTACGTGATAGGTCATTTTTGTCTATCTGATTTCAATATTATCTTTTTGTCTTCCTTTCCTCTTTCCACAGTTTAGCAATGATGTATCTATTTGTGGACCTCTTTGTATTTATCAAATTTTGGCTCATTAGGCTTCTTTGATGTGTAGGTTAATGTTTTTCATCAAATTTGGGAAATTTTTGGC